>NC_000015.10:61401874-62026874 GCF_000001405.40 Homo sapiens
TTCCAAGTTCAAACTGCCCATCAGTACTTGTCTTTCCTTTGAGACTCTCCTGCCTGCTTCTTCCATGGTTCTGGGGTACAGGAGTTAGTGTGCCTGTCCTCTGAGAGGTGGGGGTCTCCCTTGGCCTCCCATGAGAGGTCACGTGGGGATCATGTGCCTGAGTCTGTCTGGTGTGGGTGTGCTGCTGGCACCACTGCTGGGGAGCACGGATCTTGCCATTGCTCAGGTGGCCATGTGCCTGCCTCCATCCTGACCTCGAGCCTCTTCTGGCTCATAAGTTCTCTCAGCACTGCCATGTGCCCCATCCTGGTGTGAAGCAACTTCCCTGCTACCACCTAGTCTCACGGCAGGAGAAGAGTTTGGGGAGATGGACACAGGTCAAAAAGGAAGGAATTTGAGTTTTATTCTAAATGCATTGGAAAGCCATTAGAAGGTTTAGGCAGATAATTGATACGAAGCAGTTCTCATTATGAAAGGATCACATTCATTGCTCTGTGAGAATGGATTGGGAGAGACAGGAGTGGAGGTAGGGTGACTAGATAGGAAGCTATTGCACAATCCAGGCCAGAGGTGATAATGGCCTAAACCTAGGTAGTGGCCACAAAGATTAGAGATAAATGCAGGAACTTGATACGGCAGGACTTGCTGATGTGTTGGATGTTTAGGACAAAGGGCAGGTGGATGGTTACACCACTATTGACATGGAGGAACCTAGGTTGGGACAGATTTTACATGAGGGTGAGATCAGGAGTTCTGCCTTGAACATGTTGAGTTTCAGATTTTCCTGAGATCTTCAAGGGGAGATGCTAAGCAGGGAGCTGGCTGTGTGAATTCAGGAAACAGGTGTGGACATCGTCAGCACATAGCGGACCTTTAAAACCATGGCAATGAATGCAATTACATGGTGATTCACGTAGGCCAAGAAGGAAGAGCCTCCACCTAGAGAGCTTGAGTAGAGGAAGGAACAGGGAGAGAGGGGGTCAGGGAAGAGAAGTGTGCCACAAGCCAAGAAGAGTAAGGGTTCAAGGAGAGGAGGACATGGTGAACTGTGGAAAGCTGCTGAGAGGGCAACCAAGGGAATCCCTTCTGAGAAGCGCTCCACACCTCCCCTGGCAGTCTGGGAGCCTCTCCTATCCTCCCCCACCCCTCCCCAGCCCCAGATATACTCTTTATACACTCATCACATTTCACTGTAGGTTTTGTTAACATATCTGCCTCCCTGACTAGTCTGAGAGTGATCCTAATTTCTCCTTGCATCTCCTCCAGAGGTAGCCCAATGTCTGATCAAGTCTCAGTTCCCAGTAAATGTTAAAGGAGTTAAAAAGATTAATCACTAGGGCGAATAAGGAGGCTGTGCAGAGCACTGGAAGAGATCCATGAAGATTAAGAAGGGGCTGTTACTCCTTCAGACAGAAAATGAGCAGGCACCATTCTAATAGAGGCATGGCTATTGCAGGTGCCCATGTTTGCAGGGCTGGCTCCTCTGGCCTCCCTTAGAGAAGCTCTTTTTCATGGCTGAGAGGAGGGGTCAGCTTGGGAATTAGCTCTACTGATTGCTGGCATTTGTGAGAGTTTTGGAAGGTGGAAATGGGGCAGATTGGCTGCTTTCTGCCGGCAAACATGGCCCAGGGACGTGCAACTCTTCCTCAGCATCGTAGAACTTGGGGAGCTTCAGTGGTGGAGGCAGTGACTTCCTATCGCTGGATCTCAGTGACTGCAGAATGTTCTGCAGCTCTGGGGGCAATCTCCTGATTGGGGCAGAAAAGGCGGCTTCCCTGGTGGGTCAGGTCTGCAGTGCTCTGGGGGTCATCAAGCCCAGCTTAGGGCTCACTCCACCAGCCCCTCAGTGATCTGATAAGTCAGTTTCCCGGATTACATGTTGTTCTCTTTCAAATACACAGGGGGTTTCTGGTTCTGGTTCTCAGTGCTCACTGAGAACACCATTCCCTATAACTCTTCTAAGCAACAGCCTGCAAGGAGGAAGGAAACAGGCAATTAACATGGTGAAACAATTCCTCCTTCCTCTGTCTGTCCACCCAATTTCTGGGGGCACATGACCCAGGAGTGGCTTCACTGGAGTTGGTTCCCTGAAATGGAAAACCATGAAGGGTATGAGACTGCGTAATATATGCTGATGTAAGGGTCAAACAGAAAGTCGGAGATGAAGGTGAATAAGACAACAAATAATTCTGTGTGGGACATTCTGTGCAGGTCTCCAAATTAAATGGAAATGGTGGGGATTGACGAAAGGTTCAGAGCAGGAATTGTGAAACGGCTCCTGGCAGCAGCCTGAATCTACTCTGCACTCTGTCATGATGCCATTGCCTGGGACTTACGAATTTTGCTTGTACAAGATTTATTATCTTATTTTAAACTACAGAATTCCAAAACACAAGGCAAACCCGGGCCCAAAGGTCTTTGTAGAAGTGGTAGCAGCTGAGAAGGGGACGTTCATAATGGCACATGGTAGGTGCTAAAACTTGCCTAATGAATGAAGGAATGGTTAATAAAGGGCTTCTTATGGCATGGCTGTGAGCATTCACCCTCACCTCTTTTTCTGTGGTTGAGCAAAGTGTTTTGAGCTGCGTTTGTGCTCGCTTGATACGTAATATTGTTAAGAGCTTGATATTGCTCTTTGTAAACCTCCTCACCATTGGGACTATCCTCCTTGCTGCCTGCCTCCTCCCCCTTGTCTTCTTCAGTCTGGAATGGCTTCATCTCTGCTTTCTCTCAACCCTCATAGCCCAAACTTGGTAAACCCTGGATCAAGTCCTACCGTCTTCTTCAAACTGCTGGGTTTCTCTATGATAGACATCTCATCTCTCTGAGCTGGCAACACCTTGAGCTTGTACACACTTTAGAGAGTTTCATCCTGCTGAGTCATGAAGCTAGCTGAGTAACATTCATCTTGCTGCTAGAATTCCTGGAAGGGAAACCAGCTCACCTGCAGCCCATTGCATCTGCCCACTACTTCACAGGCCTTAACTCTCTAAGTCATCATTTCAATCCTTCAAAAGACACAAGGGATCTTAGAGTTTAAATAACTTTCCCGAGGGCAGCTGGCTTGGAATTGGCCAAGCTGGAAATGGGCCTTAGTTTGGAACTGAGTCTGTTTGGACCTCGTGTGTGTGCGTTTGTGTGTGTGTGTGTTTGTGTGTGTATGTGTGTTTGTGTGTGTGTGTGTGTGTCTCCTTTATTTAGTTTACCACATGAAGTATTAATAATTTTGGTTTCCAGCTTCATCCAAAATCATCATTCTCAGCAAACTATCGCACGGACAAAAAACCAAACACCACATGTTCTCACTCATAGGTGGGAATTGAACAATGAGAACACATGGATACAGGAAGGGGAACATCACACACCAGGGACTGTTGTGGGGTGGGGAGAGGGGGGAGGGATAGCATTAGGAGATATACCTAATGCTAAATGATGAGTTAATGGGTGCAGCACACCAACATGGCACATGTATACATATGTAACTAACCTGCACGTTGTGCACATGTACCCTAAAACTTAAAGTATAATAATAATAAAAATAATAATTTTGGTACATATAATAATAATACAGTGATTATGTTTTTTAAATGACCACATTTGTTAAAGATGCCCACTGAAGTATTTACGGTAAAATAGCATGATGTCTGATATCTGTGTTAAAAATTCCAGAAAAATCAGTGGATATGTGTGGAGAAAAAGTGGATGAAATAAGACTGGCAAAGTGATAATTATTGAAGATGGGTGTTAGGTACATGGGGGTACATTTTATCATTCTTTCTACTTTCTGTATTTGTATGAAATGTTCCATAATTTTTAAACCACTATAGATATTATTAATTTCCCGTGTAACTCACTCTAATCTCATTCTCCTCTCTGCCTTCCCAGATGGAATTGCCATGCTGAATTTGGTGTTTTTACTCCTTTCCATAATTTTAGTATTACTATACATTTAATTATAGTATTACTACACGTTTAATTACAGTATTACTACACATACATGTCTTAAACAATATATAGAATTAGTTTGCACATTTCACAAATTTATATAAATAGTATCATACTGCACATTTCTACAGAGTTTTTGCAATATATTCATGCGGACACATGGATAACTCTAGTTCTTTCTATTTTTAGGTAAGTAATACAAAGTATTCAACAGTATGGCTATATCTAAATTCAGCCCTATGTTGATGTATATTAAAGTTGTTTTCAGTTTTCAGTTACCACAAACAATGCTGCAATAGACCTTCTGAATATCTCCTGTATAAATGTGTGAAATTCCCTTTAGGATACTAAGTAGTGGAATTGCTAGTTTATAAGGCATATGCATCTTCCTCTTAACTGGATCTTGCTAAATATTTACTAATGAGGTGGTGCCAATTTATACTCTTCTGCCGTATATGAGATTTCCATTTATAGTCACATCTTCATCCTCATTTAGTATTTGAAGACTTCAAAATGTTTGCTAACCAAATTGATGTGAAGGAATATCCACTATTTTATTTTATTATTTTATTTTATTTTATTGTTATTATTTTTTTTTTGAGGCAGAGTCTCCCTCTGTCACCCAGGCTGGAGGGCAATGGCATGATCTCGGTTCACTGCAACCTCTGCCTCTGGGGTTCAAGCAATTCTCGTGCCTCAGCCTTCCCAGTAGCTGGGATTACAGGTGTGCACCACCACGCCCAGCTAATTTTTGTATTTTTAGTAGAGATGGGGTTTTGCCATGTTGGCTGTGCTGGTCTCAAACTCCTGGCCTCAAGTGATCCACCTGCCTCAGCCTCCCATAGTGCTGGGATTACAGGCGTGAGCCACCGTGCCTGACCCCCATTGTTTTAATTTGCAAATATCTGATAGTGAGGTTGAGCATCTTTTTATCTGTTAATATTCTTTCATTTTCTCTTTTAATTCTTTAAACTGTGTCTAATCTAAAGCTTATCTCATCTCTTATGCTTATTTTAATATTGTTATTTCCAATATTTTTAAAATTTCGGCTTTGTCTTTTTAAAATTTCTGCTTTGGCATTCTAAACATTCTTACTTTAAACTCTTGGAAGATTATAAGATTAATTTCATTCAGAGTGAACTCATATTTTGATGACTGACTATTGATTTTGTAGACTCTTAGATTT
The DNA here is from genome assembly GCF_000001405.40 of Homo sapiens. Taxonomy (NCBI): domain Eukaryota; kingdom Metazoa; phylum Chordata; class Mammalia; order Primates; family Hominidae; genus Homo; species Homo sapiens. The sequence goes on from NC_000015.10 coordinate 61,407,006, forward strand.
TTATTGGTTTTTGAATTTAAGTGTGCAGGCTCAGTTTGAATTTGGGATTTTTGGTTCCTATGTTTGTTTGTTTTTTTTCTTCCTCTTTCTCCCTCTGTCCACATCCCTTTCTATCTAGCATTACCAGTGGCTCCTTCTTGGATTCTTAGATTCTCAGTTTAGACCAGGGTCTTATCATGGTATTTCAGGTCTCCCTTTTTAAGGTGATATTGAGAGCACTGGAGAATCATTCAAGGAGCAAGGGAGGGGCTGGTGTCAGATCCTGTTTGTGAAAAATACCTGTGCCTTACTGCCTTCAGAGTCTTGTAGCTTACTAATGGCAAAAAGCTCCAGGTGGTGGTCAATAGCACTTTTTTTTCAGCTCTTATGCATAGGACACCCCTACACCAGCCTGGGCTTCAAGAAAGGAGCTTGGCTTTGGTCTCCTTCTTTGCATAGAGCAATTTTAGTCTTACTTACCCCACATACGCATCCCCTGTCTGGCCTGTCTCTGTTTATCACTTTCAATTTCTCATCTGCTTCTATTTTACAGAAATGGGTAACCAAATTTTCTAATCCAGCTCTGAATTTTTTTCAATTGTATTTGTAATGGATAGGCACCTACACAGAAAGGGTGCGTTGGGTGAGATTTCCGATAGTCATTGTGATTAGAGATACAGGCTACTTTGCTCTGGGAGTTAGCTTTTTATATCCTGGGCAATTTCTCATAGGGTTGTTATGTGGGGTTGTTGAGACAAGATACGAAAAATATTGAAGTCACAATTTTGAAGACACCATTCTGTTGTGCTCAGGACTGAATGTTGCTGCGAAGTATGTTGTGAATCTGATTCCTGTTTTCTTGTGAGTGCACAAATACACACAAATGTATGCATGCATGCCTTCATATTTCTGTTTGCAAGTATAATATCTATTTGTCTAATTATCTACTTGTGTATATTATGTGTTTATATCTTTATTTGAAAGTATTTACCCTTTTCTTAGGATTTTTTTTAATGTTCTGAAATTGACAAAAATGAACTGATGTGTGAACCTTTTCCTTCTTTCTTATTGATGCTCAGTGAAGCCTTTCATTCAGAAAACTTGTATCTCACCAGTTATGGGAAAGATTTTCTTATTATTTTTATGTTATTCCTCCTCCATTTCTCTGTTCTTTCTTTTGATAGATGTTGCCCTTTCTGGATTGACTTTTGTGTCTCATATTTTCCTCCTTATCTTATTCTCATATCTTTTTTGTTGTTCTTGTTCCATGTTTAGAGAAGCTCCTTAATGTTTTTCAGTAGTTCTTTAATAAACAAATTTGTTGGCAAGCATACATTTTTTTTTCTTTCCATGAATTCTTTCTTGTCCTTTAGCTGATTCTTTTTCATGGTGGCCTGTTCTTGCTTTATAGGTGAAATATATTCTCTCTTTCTAAGGATACTCATAAGAAGTTTTAACAGTTATCTTCTCTTCCCCAGATTCATTCTTGCCTCTTAGGTAATTTGTTGTGAATGGTCACCTTCCTGCAGTTGGGTTAGCTCAGCTGTCCGGTGGTCCTTGGTCATCTTCCATGTTTATAAATGAAGGACTGTGCTGAGCATCTGACCCCAGAGAGCACTGTATGCAGACTGGTTAGCACCAGCTTCTCCCTGGATTCTGTCCTTGACAGGATGACTGACCAGGCACTTTCTGTCCCAGATGCACTCAGGGGCTGCATGCAAAGAAGAGACTCCGCTTTCCTTGCAACCTTTCCGCCTTGGGTCTCCCTTTTCCCTGGTTTATCAGTTAACATGACTCCAACTCCTTTATACTCCTCCAGAAAGTTATCGAAGTCTCTACCATAGATACACCTCCCCATTCCTATTCTCAACATTTGAAAAAATGTGTTTCATTCTACGTTGTCTAAGCCTGATGGGACTTAGGAGGCAGAGGATAGCAGGTAGCTTAAGGGGTTCACCATCTTGAAGCAAAACATGAATGGGACGAACTGAAAATTTAAAAAAAAAAACATCGCTCTTGCTGCTCTATGGAAAGGAGGTTGGATAGGGCCATAAGTTAGAGCTCAGAGGCCAGTAAGTTTCATCAATTTCTAGCACAAGGTGATGGGGCCATGTCTGAACTGAGGGAGTCAGAAAAAAAAAAAAAGAAGTAGGAGGATGAGGGAATGTATTTTGAAGGTAGGGCTGACAGAGGTCTCTTTTCACTTCTTCTGAACATGTCCATACTTGTGTGAGATCCTGGGATTGAGATAAGAGGGTCTGGGCCTCAGATGACTAATCTAAGAGTAGCATGGAATAGTGGATAGAATACAAGGTTGGGACAAAGGCAGGTCTAAATTTGAATTATACAAGTGATATTTATAGACTACCTCATAGCCTCAGCATCCACATTTATAAAATGGGTACACTAATACCTACTGTTTTCAGTCAGGCAACAGAATTCCCTTAGACAACTCTACAGAGGAGAATTACTGCAAGGATACAGGCAGCTTAGCCTGGAAGTGGGAGGCTGTTCAGAATCAAGGCACCGATCTCTCCACAACTCTCTATAACCCAAAAGATTTCTCTCTCACAGCATTTCCATTTCTGTGTGTCTAGTGAAGCTCTGTTTTCTGAATGTCAGTTTGCAGAAGAAGATAGTCTGATTTCATTAGGTCATTATTATCAACCCAGTTGGAAAAGCCGTTTCTAGCAGGTTGCTGACCATTGACTGAGAAGGCTTTCTTAGGTTAAGTCAGGGGGCACTTCTGTGCAAAGAGCGGAATAGCCTTGCTTTTCTGGCCAGAGTGAACTCCATGTGTTCAGATAAAAGGAGACCCAGGAGGCATAAGTACCTTGACTAACATATTCAGTACCTTATCTCTTAGGGTTGATGTGAATAGCAAATAAAACAAGACATGTAAAATACATAGTAGGTAGTAGATTTAGATGAATCCCACTTCATTAAAAAACAAACAAACAAGAAAACCCGCTTGCATTCCTTAAAAAAGTGGATTTAATAATTGTTAGGCTACCCAGCTTTCCGTATTATGGGACATCCTAATTAGCAAAAATTAGTTTAGTCGTGGAAATGTAAGCAGGCTTTGAAATGCATCCAAAAATAAATACTGGAGAAATAAAAGATCCCAGGAATTTGGGGGAATTACTTTGTTTCCTTGGTTTTGTTTCTTTGTGAAAATCTCTATTGTAAATTCAGTGAGTTGAATTAATTATGCCTGATACATGCCTTCCCCTCTTTATTTTTCTTGAAACTCCAAGTCAAAATATGATTTATATGTTCAGCACCACGACTGTTCAATATCTATTTCTAAATCTGTATCGTTAAAAATATATATGAAAACAGAACCTGTTATACTGTCATTTAATTAATAAAGGCAGAATTCTCAGTTTTCCCACCATATGCATTCTTTTGTTCAGTTGCAATGTAGGTGCTATTTTCTGTGTTCCTTTTTAACTTTTAATAAGCTTCCTTTCTGTAAAGTGTGGATAGTGTTGTAAAAGAGTAGCTAAAACATATTTTCAAAAGAAAAACAATCCTTAACTGAAAATTGATCCAAAGGAAGGGGGAAAAAAGAAAACTACCCTGACACATTGACATAAATTTAACATTCCTTATGTGTTACTGCTTATTAGATCGAAAGAGAGGAAAGAGAACAGCCTCACTTTTTCTGATTTTGTATTTTGTCACTCAGTTCTTTCAGTTTTGTCTCATTAACATTTCTGCTTCTGTAGGAAATTGGAGGCGTGTGGAGAGAAAACAGACTGTGGGGTCTGAAGACCTGGAACTGTGTACCAGTCCTATAGTTAACAAGCTCAACCTATCAGCTGAGGAATAAGTAGGTTTGGACTAGGCCTGGGCTTCCCAAAGAAACAGCCTGACACTGCTGATCTGGGATTTGTGAACATTCCATAATATTGACTCACGTAATGACATGTTAATCCTTTTCTTCAATTTATGTTCAGTACTTTTCTTGCATTATATCATGGAGAAAGCTTCAATTTTATGCTGGTATGTCCTTAACACCTTTCTATCCTTGATCTTAGCCAAAAGGTTGAGAAGCAGTCTTCAACACCTTTCTAATCCCTCACTGATTTTCCTTTTTTAACAGAGCAAACCTCAGGCTCAGACCCTTTGGCAGGCAGCAGTATCTAGCTGGAATTTAAAAATCACTCCCCTCACCTCCCGCGGCATTTGATGTTAAGGTCACTACTAATTATGGCAAGTGATCCTGCTATTCCATTTACAAAAATAATACAATGTTTTCTTTTAAAATAAATGAAATCTAAGTTTTAAAAGTATGTCTAATGAATACAGTCACATGTCACTTAACAATGGATACATTCTGAGAACTGCATTGTTAGGTGATTTTGTTGTTGTGTGAACATCATAGACTGTATTTACATAAACTTAGAAGGAATAGCCTACTACACACCTAGGCTATATGGAATGGCCTATTGCTCCTGGGCTACAAACTTGCACAGCATGTTACTGTACTGAATACTGTAGGCAATTGTAACAAAATAGTAAGTATTAGTGTATTTAAACATATCTGAAGATAGAAAAGGTAATGCATTGCACTAAACATTAGAATGGCTATGATGTCATGAGGCAATAGACATTTTCAGCTCCATTATAATCTTATGGAACCACCATCATATATGTGCCTGTCGTTGACCAAAACATCATTATGCAATGCATGACTCTACTATTATTTGTACAAGAGGCAAATAGTTATGGCTAGGATGGTAAGTGATATGATTGAAGGAGAAAACACTGGTCTAGATGATCTCTAAGAGCCCTTGCAGCTCTTGAGGCTAAGCATTCCCACTTTCTGTGCCCATCAATTGCTATTTCTGTTAGTAATGCAAACATAGTTTCAGAGGATCAAACACACCTACTCCATCTCCCTTATATGACAATTCACTGGGTCCTGTGACCCTCAGAGTATTTATATAACAAACACAGGAAGAACCTGTAGTTCATGACACTGGGTTGTAAAAGGAAAGTGAGAAAGCAGTACTTGAGGAGTTTTAGGAAGGCTGTAGACTTCTGGTTAAACGTGACAGATTGAACACATGTTTACTTTGGCTCTCTCTCAAAACCCAACTAAAAAGACAGTAAAGGAATAAAACAAGTTTAATCTTATAAAAACAAGGAGAATGGAGAAACAGCGGACCAGAGATCCTAAAAAAGTACTTTGGAAGGTGGAAAACTGATGGATGAAGGATAATTGGAACATAAGTGCCTGAACAGAGAGGTACCAGGGAAAGCCAGATGATTCATGCTTTAGCACTTTGGAAAAGCTCAGGTATTAGAGATGCCAGATTCCTCTAAAGGCAGCAGAAGAGCTGCCATCAGAGTGACTGCTGGAAATTCTGTCTAAAGCAGAGTTTCTCAGCCTTAGCACTATTGACATTTGGGGCTGGATAACTGTTTGATTTAGTGGTGATCCCGCATCACAGGAGGTAGAGCAGCATCCCTGGCTTCTACCCACTAGATGCCAGTAGCACCACCTCCCCACTGTGACAACCATGAAAGTCTCCAGACATTGCCAAACATCCTTTCGGGGGGCAAAATTTCCTCCATTTGAGAACCGCTCACCTTAATATCACTAAACCCTCCCTGAGCGGATGCAGCCAAGTCTCTATTGCTTATCTACCTTGACAAGGAACCAGAGGTTTATTCTGTGGATACACTGGACCAGAGAAGCTCCAGACCTGGGAACAGGAGGCACAGAGAAGGCAGGGGTCAGGCACTGTCCTGAAAGCCAGGCATTAGGTAAAGTCTACATACAGAACCCAAGCCTCTTCCCCTACTCAGCTGCTGGAACATGGCCAACCAGTGAACTACCTTCCAGGAATGGAGATGGAGAGGCTTCTCTGAAGAAAGTGGCCCTAGAGAAGACTTAATATTTGAGGGCTCCCCTGAGATACAGCCAGATCCTGCCCAGTCTTCCTGTAGGGGGCCACAGTCAGCAAGTACCCCCTCCACAGATACACATACACATACATACACATGGAGATACACACACACACACACACAGATACACATATACATACATAGACACACATACACATGTAGAGGCACACAAAGACACACATGCATATACAGACACACAGACCCACACAACACACACATGTGCACACACACATGCAGAGCTTCTAACGAGTATTTTTGTGCATCATTCGCAAACTGACAGCCAAGGGGTATTTGTCAGATTGTGTGGTGACAATAAACAAACCCCGAATCTTAGTGGCATATGCTAACAGTTGTTTTTTGCTCACTGGTCTGCAAGTTGGCTGTGTCTTGGCTTTGGCCGGGCTATGGTTCAGTTGTGCTCAGCTCCAAGCTGGAGGGCCTCAACTTCCATATTGAAAGAGCTGACTAGGCTGGGCGCAGTGCCTGTAATCCCAGCACTTTGGGAGGCCGAGGCGGGTGGATCGCATGACCTCAGGAGTTCGAGACTAGCCTGAGTAACATGGCAAAACCCCGTCTCTACCAAAAATACAAAAAACAAACAAACAAAAATAGCTGGTCTTGATGGTATGCACCTGTGCTCCCAGCTACTTGAGAGGCTGAGGTGGGAGGATCATTTGAGCCTGGAAGTGGGAGGTTGTAGTGAGTAGAGATTGCACCACTGCACTCCAGCATGAGTGATAGAGTGAGAGCCCATCTCAAAAAAAAAAAAAAAAAAAAAAAAAAAAAAAAAAAAAAAAAGAGAGAGAGAGAAAGAAAGAGCTGACTGAGTGCTCAGTGCAATTAATTGTAAAGACCCACAAAGGAACACATCAACTAGATTTTTCAAAGTGCTATAATGAAGAAAAGAGCCCAGAAGGATTGAGGATGAAGGTTATGTACAAATAAGAGCTATTAAAATGGCACATGACTGCTCACCAGCAGTGTTGGATGGTGGAATCTAAGGGGGCAGTGCTTTCAAAATTCTGAAGGAAAAGGTTCGCTAATCTAGAAATTTTGTCCACCAAATTATCGATCTAAGCATAGACTAACTATTTTCAGGCATGGAAAGTCTCAGAACTTTCCCTTACATGGGCTTTATTAGAAAATTACTTGTGGACCAAGGTGGGCGTATCACCTGAGGTCAGAAGTTCGAGACCAGCCTGGCCAATGTGCTGAAACCCTGTCTCTACTAAAAAAACTAAAATTTGCAAAACATGGTGGTCGGTGCCTGTAACCTCAGCTACTCGGGAGGCTGAGGCAGGAGAATTGCTTAAACCCAGGAGGGGGAGGTTGCCATGAGTTGAGATCACACCATTGCACTCCAGCCTGGGCAACAAGAGTGAAATTCCGTCTCAAAAAATAAAAAAGAAAATTACTTGCAGATGAGTCCACCAAAATAAGGGAGTAAAGTAAGAAATCCGAAGATGTAGAATCCAGGAGAGACAAGAAAGGGATTCACGGTGCCTGAAAGCTGTACCCAACTGGCAGCTGATATGTACAGGGAAGCCAATTCAAGTTGGAATGGAAGGGTGAGGGCTCTGGAGAGGATGTATACTGTACTGAGAAAAAATAAAGACAACTTGAGCAGGCCAGCTTTATTTGTGCACAGAGGCAATTTGCCTGAGGCCCTGGGCAGATGAGCCCCTGCCCTGGGTCCTCCTCCTACCTGCCCCTCTGATTGGATGAAGCACCTTCAGAACTAAGGTGTATTAAGCCATTCTTGCATAGCTATAAAGAAATACCTGAGACTGGGTCATTTATAAAGAAAACAGGTTTAATTGGCTCACGGTTCTGCAGGCTGTACAAGCATGGCACTGGCCTCTACTGGGCTTCCGGTGAGGCCTTGGGGAGTTTTTGCTCATGGCAAAAGGTGAAGTGGGAGCAAGAGAAAGAGAGAGAGGTGCCACACACTTTTAAACAACAAGATCTCTTGTGAACTCACTCATTGCTTAAGGAGCGGTGCTAAGCCATTTATGGAGGATATATTCCCATGATCCAAACACCTCCCACCTGGCCACAGCTCCAACACTGTGGATTACATTTCAAGATGAGATTTGGTGGGGGCGCAGACCCAGACCACATTATTCCATCCCTGGCCCCCTAAACCTCATGTTCTCACATCGCAAAATACAATCACCCCCTGCTTAATTGTCCCCAAGAAGTCTCAACTTGTTTCTGCGTCACTCGAAAGTCCCAAGTCCAAAGTCCAGCATCTCTTGCGGAGATGAGTTCCTTCCAACTATGAGCCTATACAATCAAAACAAATTATTTACTTCTAAGATACAATGGCGGTACAGGCATTGGGTAAAGATTTCTGTTGCAAAAGAGATAAATTGGCCAAAAGAAAGGGGCTAAGGCTCCACACAAGTCTGAAACCCAGCAGGCCAGTCATTAAGTCTTAAAGCTCCAAAATAATCTCTGTTGACTCCATGTCCTACATCCAGGGCACACTTACTGCAAGGAGCGGGCTCCCAAGGCCTTGGGCAGCTTTGCCTTTGTGACCTCTCCACACTCAGGTTGTAAGCTGCTGTTGTTTCCACCATTCTGGGGTCTGGTGGGTGGCAGCACCCTTCCTAGAAGTCCATTAGGCAGTGCCACAATGGGGACTCTGTGTGGGGCCTCAAAATCCACATTACCCCTCTGCACTACCCTAGTAGAGGTTCTCTGTCAGGGGTCCACTTCTGCAGCAGACTTCTGCCTGGACACTCAGGCTTTTCCATACAACCTCTGAAATCTAGGTGGAGGCTGCCAAGCCTCCTTTACTATTGCACTCTGCATACCTACAGACTTAACACCATATGGAATTCACCAAGGCTTATGGCATGCACTCTCTGAAGCAGTGGCCTGAGCTGTATCTAAGGCCCTTCCAGCTGAGGCTGGAGCTGGAGCAGCTGTGAGGTGGGAAGTAGCTTCCTGGGGTAGCACAGGGCACTGGAGCCCGGGCCCTGGCCTGCAACACTATTCAGTCCTCCTAGGCCTCTGGGGCTGTGATGGGAGGGGGTGCCTAGAAGATCTCTGAAATGCCTTCTTCCTAGTGTCTTGGCTACTAGCACTTGGCTCCCTTTTAGTTATGCAAACTTCTTTAGCAAGGTTGCTTCTCAGTTCGCTTGGATTCTTCTCCAGAAAACAGGATTTTCCTTTCTATCACATGACCAGGTTGCAAATTTTTCAAACTTTTATGCTCTGCTTCCTCTTTAAATATAACTCCCAACTTTAAGTAGTTTCTTAGCTCCTGAATCTGAGCATAACTCGTTAAAAGCAGACTGGCCACATCTTGAGTACTTTGCAGCTTAGAAATTTCTTCTACCAGATACCTCAAGTCATCACAATTTTTTGTTTGTTTGTTTGTTTGTTTTGAGATAGAGTTTCACTCTTGTTGCTTAGGCTGGAGTGCAATGGCGCGATCTAGGCTCACCACAACCTGTGCCTCCTGGGTTCAAGCAATTCTCATGCTTCAGCCTCCCAAGTAGCTGGGATTACAGGCATGCACCACCACACCTGGCTAATTTTGTATTTTTAGTAGAGATGGGATTTCTCCATGTTGGTCAGGCTGGTCTCGAACTCCTGACCTCAGGTGATCTGCCCACCTCGACCTCCCAAAGTGCTGGGATTACAGACTTGAGCCACCGCGCCCAGCCATCATCTCTCTTAAGTTTACACTTCCATAGAGCACTAGGGCATGAACTGCATGCAGCCAAGCTCTTTTCTAGGGCATAGCAAGGATGACTTTTGCTCCAGTTCCAACAAGTTCCTCATTTCCATCTGAAACCTTGTCAGCCTGGATAGCACTGTTCATATCACTATCAGCATTTTATTCACAGCCATTTCATTCATATATTTAACTTAGTGTTTATAATATATATAACATACATATATAGAGATTGAAAATTACTCTTTTAAATATTGAGATGTAAATAAAATGCAAAGATGTTTGAGACAGTTGTGTGTGTCAGCTGGTGGGCAGTAGTGGGTGGTTGTCAAATCCTTATCTTCCATGGTAATATGTCAATAGAAAGGTTCTTTTTAATAACATTGAAAAATCAAGATATGGACCATGTATATACTACATAAAAATATAAAAGTGAGTTCTAGAGAAAAAATTAACTGTTTAAACTGGCTGTCTCTGGAGAGTAGAACTTGAATGTGGGGCAGAGTGCATAGTGATATTTTTCAGGATAAACCTTTCAGTACCATTTGCCTTTCTGAACCACGTATGTGTTTTACACTGATATAAATAATTTTTTTGTTAAATAAAGGCTTGGAATGTCAGTTAGGAGTCTTAATATATAGAATATAGAGGAGAGAATATAGAATAGTGAGTATACAAGAATATGGATAAAAGCAATAGCATGACACATTTTTGATATCAATAGGGAATAAGAAGAAGATAGAACACAGTGGAGAAAAGGGAGCCCATGTTAACACAGTGAAGACACGTGGAAAAGTCAAAGACTTTAAAAAAATAAAGGAGAGAGACAGAGCAGACATTTGTTTACAGTCTACTAAGTGGCTGGCAGAGTGCTAGGAATTTTACATATATCTTATTGAATTCTCATGACAATTCCATGTAGTGCATATCGTTAGTCTCATTTTACAGGTGAGAAAACATAAAAGTATAACTAGGAACAGGAAGGTACCATGGTGCGTAGGTCTGGAGCAAGATGCTCAGGTTTAAATCAGGCTACCGGCATTCATAAGCTACAGTCACCTTAGGCACTAGCTTTTTCTTCCTGTGCTTCTGTGTTCTTCTATGTAAAATGGGGATGAAGATGAGAATGAGGATTATTATTATATTATCCCATCTCATACTCATATAGCCCATCTCATAGGAATATTGTGAAGAATTTATGAGCACATGTATGTAAGGCATTTATAAAAGTGCCTAATACACCATAAGTGTTATTATTGTAAAAGGCATGCAACCAATCAAGATGGAATGAAAACAATTGGTAGATATTTTCTGAAACTCAGTATCCTCCTATTATTTGATCTCTCTGGGCATTTGGAATCACAGACCACTTGCCCAAGATCACGTAACTATTCGTTACTGAAGGTAGACTTCAACTTAAGTCCTTCCTCAGAGCTCAGGCTCTTTTCTCTATAAATCTGTTGCCATTCATTAGCTAATGGGAAAAGTGACCGAGGGGCCAGATACAAAAGCAGAAAACATCGACACTAGAAAACAAGAAGAGGAGAAGGAGAGAGGTGGCCAGTGAAGGAGTTAAACAAGATGATGTTGCGTCAGATAGAGGGGGAAGTGTGATCCATTAGGATAAAAATAAGATGGCAGCACGGGTAGGAGAGCGTAGAAGATTGTGTTGCTGAGACAGAGATAATATCAAAGCAAGCACGAGTAAGTAGGACACTATGACTGGCAGAAATGAATTTAAGTAGGGATGGTCTCGGGAGAAACACTTTAGTGAGCCTTTAACTTCACTTACTTTAACTCCTGCAACGCCGACAGAAAGGTCCCAGCTGGACTTTCAGAGCTTCCATGTAAGGAGCACTCATTTCCCCTCTGCTTCATGCACTCTGCTTTCCAACCGACTGCATTGTGATCAATTTTTTTATTTTGTGATGATTTGTTTAATACCTTTCTCCTTAACCCAACAGTGAGGTCTGTGAAGGCTGTCTGCTCCATCATGTTTAACCCAGAGTTGGCAGCACGTTGAAGGAAGAAGTAAAGGGAAGGAAGAAGGGTGTACCTAGATATTTAATAAATTATACTTTAAGGGTGGCCCTGAAGGCCTGTAGACCATGCCAGAAGTCATGAAAAAAGACTCTTTTATATAAATTAGCCAATATTTTGGTTTGGGAATCAGAATATGCAACCTGGAAGGATGTTAGAGGTTATTCATTTATTCCCTCATTTAACTAATGTTGACTAAACGTTTCGAATGTGCTGGGTCAAGTACTAGTTACAAGGGACACAGAAAGGAGTTGGACATAATCCCTGCCCCAGAGGAACGTGCTTCCAGTCTAAAGGGGAGAAAGAGGAGACAGATCAATATAATAGGAGTTAATGGGGGATTGGAGATAGGAGAAAGGAGGAAAAAAAATGGAAAGCAATAATCCATTCTTGTGACTGTTTATTAGATATTTTATTTTTGTTAATGTTTCCAAAGCATGCAGGGAAATCTAAACTTGCCTAAAAAAATAGCCAGGTGGAGCCCCAAAAGTCCTTCCTTCCAGTGGGTTAGGGAAGGGGTCAGGGATCCGGTGATCAGGCAGCTATCACTGAACGACTTGTGCCAGCCCCCATCTCTTTTCCAGTGCGGTGGTTTTCAGATTGGGCTTTAAGAAGAGCACGTCTGCAGCCATAGAGAATTGCCAGCTTTAGTTCTGCCCTGAAATGGGGATAAAAATGAAACAACCCCCAAGCAACCTATCCATTACTCCTACCATCACTGTTGTTAGGTTTTGTTTAAAAAAAATTAACATATTTAACATAAAAAATGTAGGAAGGAAGTATTTTGGTAATTGGAGCATTTCTTTAAAGTGATTGTCTCCTCTGGCCGGGCGTGGTGGCTCATGCTTGTAAACCCAGCACTTTGGGAGGCCGAGGCGGGCGGATCACGAGGTCAGGAGATCGAGACCATCCTGGCTAACATGGCGAAACCCCGTCTCTATTAAAAATACAAAATATTAGCCGGGGCTTGGTGGCGGGCGCCTGTAGTCCCAGCTACTCGGGAGGCTGAGGCAGGAGAATGGCGTGAACCCAGGAGGCGGAGCTTGCAGTGAGCTGAGATCGAGCCACTGCACTGCAGTCTGGCGAAAGAGCAAGTCTCCATCTCAAAACAAAAAACAAAAAACAACAACAACAAAAAAAGTGATTGTCTCCTCTTTAGTGTATGCAGGATGATACTAGAAGCCAGGGAGCTAAAATGACTTAATCAAGGTCACAGAAAGTTGGTGGCAGAGCTAGGACCAGAACCCAGTGACTCCCAGGCCAGCGTTCCACCATATATAACAACAATGTCCAAACAGTGATGAGAAAAATATGAGCAAGTCTTTTTAGTTCAGGCTTCATCCTATGACAGTAGGTTTCCAGGGAAAGCCAATCTTGTCTTTGTATATTCCAGCCACTTATGCACAGGCTGAGAGTCGAGGAAAAGCAAATCCTCTCAAATGGAAAACCTGCATAAATAATCCAGCTGATAGAAGATAGCTTCTGAGATATGAGTGGTTGCCTCTCATTACCAATATTTAAGTGTTTTCTTGGCATCTCTTCATTCTGCACATGCAAGAAGGGTGCCTTTGAAACACTGGACACACAAAATACATCATAATGAAAAAAATTAACCTTTGCATGTCAATCCTTTCATTTATTATCTTACTCATTTTCTCCTTATAACAACCCTATGAAGTTGGTGCAGTTGTCATTTTCATTTTAGAAAAAGGAAAACTATGGCTCAGAGAAATTAAATAACTCGCCCCAGTTTACTGAGCTGGTAAGAGTGGAGCCAGGCAGGATTTGAACTCAGAAGTGTGACTGGAGTTCATGGTCTTTTCCATTATGTTCTAACACATCACTCTAGAGAGCATTGTCAGACACACATCACCACCCAGGGATATGATTGATTCCTGTCAATCTAGAAAGGAATTCAAAGTCTCTCACCTAATGACAGTAACAAAAATTTATCTGAAGCACTGAACAGTTTACAAAGAATTTTCCACATGAGTTCTTTTCTCTAATATTTACTCTAATCTATGAAAGAGATAGAATTATTCCTGTGAGGAGCTGGAACTCAGAGAAGTCAAATAATGTGCCCAGGTCACCTAGCCACAATACATCCAAGCCAGGATCCAAACCTCATCTGCCTGCCCTTCCAGTCTGAACTCTTGGCACTGAATTTGCTTTCTAATGCATTTTTACCCCTGTGACTACAGAGGCAAACTCTGGTGGGATATTGTTTAAATGGCATCATATTTTACTAAAATTTTACAATGAAAGTATACAACATACTAAACTACACAGTAAGCACTGATTTATCTAGAAAACCTCAGATAAGTCAGAGTTTTTCTTCCAATAATGCCTGATAATCATAATAATCTGTCTAGAAGAATGGCCCTGATTAAGTTTAAAATCTCAAAATGTCAACCAAGAATGATTCTGTTATATTCAGGATTATTTAAGATTCTCATTGAAATTAATAATACCTTGCTCAAATTTACACAGTCTTTGCAGTTTATAGAAGATCTTCATGTTCGTTATCTTATCTGACTTCACAAGATGATGGGCGTATTCAATTATTATTATCCCCATTTAATAGAAAAGGATTTTGAAATTTGGTGAAGTTACAGCTTACTTACAGTGGCTTGCAAGAGATAGCGCTGGAGCTTAATCCAAATCACCTGACTCTAGTTTAAAGCTCTTTCTACAACCCCACCTGTAACTTCCCCATCATGTGCTTTTAAGCTAAAATCAAACTCTGAAGAAGATTCCAGATGCAGTATATATATGTACCCTTCCTAGCATTGCCTAAGTCTTCTGGAAAACTAAGTTTACGGAACCTCTGACAAGCATCCTTGGTGTTGGTGTCCTCCAGGGCAGGGATGTCTGTCCTCACTGTGGTTAGACTGCTGGTGTATTTGGTGGCAGATGTGGGAGCCTGAGGTTTCTGGGAAGGACCTGCTCTCTGCAAAAACACCCACAACAGAGAAGTGTTCGAGAGGTGGGAAGGTGTTTGGAAATGGCTGGAAGAGATATGACAAGCATGAACAGATACAGCTTGGGGAGTGAGTCATAGGCAGGTATTAATGAAAAGAAACTTAACACTTGAACAAAGAATAGAATCACTCAGAACTGTGGCAAACATGATGAAAATAAACACTAATACCTATCCCAAAAGAAATGGCACTGGAGACAGCCCACAGCGCAGGACATCAAGACTACTCCTTAGAGCCCTGGCTGGTTTTTGCCTCATATCCTACAGAAGCCAGTGGGGCAGAAGTAAAGTAACCAGCTGTTGGTCTGGCTATGTACTATTGTCTGTTTCATGAATTGTTCTTATTCTGTGGTATCTTCTCTGCTTGCCTGCATAAGAACATTCTGCTCCTTTTCACAGAATGCAGTCCTGTTTTCCTTTAGGCCCAGATCAATATCACCTCCTTTGTTAGGCTTTCCCTGACCTCTCTCCCCGTGCAGAGTTTAATGTTCTTTCCTTTGGGTTTTAACTCATCATACTGTGATGTAATGTTTATGTACCTGGATGTCAGCCACTGAACTGGGAGCTCATGGAGGCCAAAGTCTTTCTCATCCTGCAATGTATTACAAACTACCCACCACAAACTGGGCACCTGAGAGATTTCAGCTGAACACATGCATGAAGCAAACAGCACTACTAAAGAATTAAAATTAACTTTGAATGAATTAGGATGCTCAGTGAATGGGAAGTGGCACTTTCTATTTAAATGAAGTTTTCCAAAAAGCTCTTGTGTCTTATCTAATTGTAAATAATCTATCTCAATTTTACCTGTCCTTGCTCCTGCTTAAACAGAAGCATCAGTGAATATCAAGAATCTGTCCTTGCTGTTGGAAAGCACAGGAAGGAGTAACTGATTCTAATCAATGAGATTGTAGCAGGTTTTGAAACCGACATCTCCCCTCTTCTAATACTGCTCTCATTTGAATGACTTCTTTGATATCTGTATCCTCTATTAGGCTTCGTCAGCTCTGCAGGGGAAGGGAACAGACTGCATTGCTGCCTGGGGTATCTCAAAGGCCTAGCATAGTGCCTGGCACTGAGTAGATTTCAGTAGCACTTTGTTTACTGAATGTGTACACGAATTAATAAATCAAGGGCTTCACAGGAAAGGGGGCTCACTGAACCTCCCATCATTCATACCAACCTCAGGGCTACATTTACAGAGTGCCCACTGTGGATCAACTGCTCTTCTAAACACCTCAAAATTAACACAGGATAAGGACCATTGTCTATGTTTTACAGATGAGGAAACCGAGATTCCATGAGTTAAGTAACTCGCTTAGACTCACATCACCAGTTTTTGGCAGGCACATCATTCAAACCAGTTCAAGCCTGATCCCAAAGTGAGTGTGTAGATAAAGGGGAAAAGCACTTTCTGGCTGAGAAAAAAGCATGGTAAAGGTGTGGACATGGAAGCGACTGATATGTTGAGAAACTGGCTGGGGAGTAGGGCTGTCCAGGGAGGAAGAGGCTGGCAAGGGAGCTCCGGTGGGGCTTACCACAGCATCCAGGACTATAGACTATACCAGATCTGCACTAACCCCAGAATTTCCCTTAGAAGGTAATTTTCTGCATAAATCCTAGGTAATAGCTTATTTGCTAGGTCTTTTGCTAAACACAGAAGTATAGAGAAGAAAATTTCTAATACATCGAGGCTCCAATTACTTGGGTTCCAATTAATTAAATTTTACTGTCCTAGCTAGTAAAAAGTCCTAGCTAGATTACTTACAATTAATTTTTTTAAATGAAAAATAATGTTATTTTACAGAAAAATTACAAAAATAATACAGGGAGCCCCCATATACCTTTTATCTAGTTTCATAATGTTAACTATTTACATAAATAGTGTATAATGATTGCAACTAGGAAACTAACATTGGCACAACACTATTCACTTACTCCAGACTTTATTTGGATTTCACCAGTGTTTCTTCTAATATCCTTTTCTGTTTCAGAATCCAGTCCAGGATCCCACATTGCATTTAGTTGTCCTGCCTCCAGAGTATCCTTCAACCTTGCAATGGTTGCACAAACTGTGTCTTTAATCACCTTGGTACTTTTAAAGAGTACTGGTCTGCTGGTTTGTAGATTGTTCCTAAATTTGGGTTTGTTTCATGTATCATGATTAACGTCACATATTTTTCACAAAATGTGCCAAATGTTGCCATCAGGGCAAGTCTATTACCTTGCATCATACCAGGGGGTACAGGATGTCACCTCCACCTTGATCACTTGGTAAAGATGAAGTGGGCTGGGTTTCATCACTGTAAAGTTACTATTTTCCCCTTTGTAATAAATAAGTATCTTGGTAGAGATACTTTTAGACTATGCAAATATCCTATAGCTGCTCAAACTTCTGCTCACTAGTTTTAGCATCCATTGGTGGATCTTGTCTGCAACAATTATTACAGTGCTGTTCTCATATTCATTTTATGTTTTTCACATTTCTTGGGGAGTAATGAATTGGAACTATACCATAAAGCAAAGTTGCCCCTTCTTACCCACGGATGTATTTATTCAATTATTTATTAATATCAGAGTAGGCTCATGAATATTTATTTCATTATGTGGGCAATAATCTAATACTATCTTTTTTTATTTTCTTGTTCAAATTGCTCTGGAGTTGGCCACTGACAACTCCTGTGTCCTTTTGAAATGCCCTAATCCTTTTATTAAATACTTCTCACTTTGCAGCACCCTGGATGTGCCAGGTTCATCTGGTTTTTTCTGCCCAGCCTTGGAATCCACCAACTCTCCAAGGAACCTAGATTCTTTTTATAGAAAATGGCATTCAGAAACCAAGATCCGGGCACTAGATATGCATATTGCAACTAGGGTGCTATTTCTTCTAGGCCCTCTCACTAGACAAAGCTAGGAAATACATATATATCTTCACCCATGCATACTCATACATACATCTCTATTTCCATATCTATCATTTCATGTATATGTTACAAAACCATGAGTTCATACTAATACCTCTGATTCCAACTTAATACTATAGGTTTCACAGCCTTTACAGTTTTCTTAATGAAGGCTTACTTTTGGAACAATTTTCTATCTCTCCCTATATTTAAACACTGCAGCATATCACCAGATTTCAGAAATTCTGCTGTGCTGAACCAAGAAGAAATATCTTCTAAGGCAGATGAGAGCAAAGGTATCCCCTTATGTTTTCATTGGCCAGTTTTATGTCACACACACCTAACACAAAGAGACACTAGCTGGCCCCTGTGGAAACTTTAAAGACAAGGAAAAGTAAAATGCTAAATAACTACTTGAAACTTGAAAGACCCCTTCCTCAGGTTTCTGACAAAACATCCCCTACAGTACCTCAGATTGAGTAATACCGTTTAAGGGAAAGAGAGATTAGGGATCTCCACTTGTAATCAGAGAAGGCCTCTTTGCTGAGGCCAGAAAAATTAGGCCCTTTTCAGACCGTTAGCTTAAAGTGGTCAAACTTAGCCTCTCTGTATTACAAATGGGCTTCCACAGAAGAACTACGGCACTTTTTTCAAAAGCACTTATGGGTGTGCTTCCAGAAGAAGCCTGCTTTAGAAACCATAAGAAACATAAAGGGAATATGAAGGAAAACTAAAATATTTTGGTATAATGCATGAGGAAAAAGAAGGCATCAGTAGAGTAAATGCCTCATTATGGCACAATTTCAGCAGGACCATGCATTAAGAACCTACTATACCCCAGTCTTACTGGAGACAGAGAGAAACAGAATATTCCTTTTATTATAAGGTGGAATTCATGAATTTCAGTTGGTGTTGTTTCTGTATTTGAAATATGACCAAATGATTGATGTATTTAATTCAACTTCAATGAATCCCTAATGTGTGTCAGGTACCATGACAGATGCTAGATGGATAAAGGTGAATGGGCAATAAGCATTTAACGAGTTGGGTAATACATGATTTAATAATACTAACAATAATAAAAGTTGAAGACTGGAGCTCAACTGAGCATTTCAAGTTCTGGTTTTGCTTTTTTTTTTTCCTGATTTAGTGGGATAATGTATCCTCTTTCCTCTTTTGTTGAACACCATGCTCTTGCTGTATCTTGCATTCTACCCATAGAGATATTCTTCCTTCTTTTCCCCCATGTCCTCTTGATAGTCTAATTGTGCAAAAAAAAAAAAAAACCCAAAAAAACCCTTTTTCTCAGTCCCTAGCACACTTCCTGCCATGATCCCAATTACACACTCCTCACCCTGTCTACATTGCCGATGGGAATGCAAAATGGGGCCCTATTCTGCATTAAATACTGAAAAAAAAATGACCTAAAAATCCTTTTTTTAAAAAAAAATACATTCACTATTTCCATGTCTTTAGAGGCTTGATAAATTTTTTTTGCAAGATATTGGAGGTGAACAAGAGAGGGGCTAGAAGAAAAGAATGCTCTCATGAAAATTCAGAACTCCGGTGTAGACTTGCTCATGTAGAAGAAACAGCCCTGACACTCTGGTCAGCCCATTGTCAAACAAGACTCAAGATACCCAGCCCCTTACACATCTTTGTTTCCTTTTTTTTTTTTTTTTTAAAGAAGTCCATATCCTTAAAAGCCCCACAATAGAGGAGACATTTATCAGTGACAGTGCTGTTTTCCAAGCATCTTTATGGAGGCTTAAAAAAGAAAGCAAAGTTTAATGTACATATCAATGAAAACTGTTTACAAGGCAGAAGATTGCACCCAGCGTGAGCCTTCTGACACATTTATCACTTCATTCCAAAGCTGGGTGGGAAGAAGCGACCTTCCCCCGACAGCTGATGCCTGGTAAAAAGGATGAAGAAAGTGTCAGAAATTTTATGAATCTTCTGCAGGCAGTTATAATAGTGAAAATGATCATGATTCTTTTCTCCATCCCCATTCATAAATCTCCGTCAGCACTTGAAGATAACACTGACAATCTATTGTAGTCTTTCAACACATGCTACTATTGTGGCAGCTTAACTTAGAGCCCAGGAGTGGTACCTGAAATTGGAAGCCTTCCTGGTAAGGTATGTACTGATAAGATGCTGAAGAGGGAGAGAGAGTAATGGGAAAAGAAGCAGGAAGTTGGGGTGGGAGGGAGGCAGGAAAGGAGAAGTGTTCTAGCCCTAACTGTATGAAGGGAAGCAAACCACTTTGCATTTCTGTGATCTACTTTTCTCTGTCAAATAAAAATAACAATATTTGCTTTTCCTAACTCACAGGAGAAATGTGAAGAGAAAAACAAGATAATGGATGTAAAACCACTTTGAAAAGTTGAAAGCACTATGCTAATATGAGGTATTACTATTCATATTATTGTGCTTTTGTGGTGGAAAATGTTCAAAGGAGAAGGATCCAACTAATTAGCAGTAAATGTGTAGCTTGGAAAAGATATGTGGGCGACATCAGGCGGGGAAGAGAATCTTACACTTGTATTGGCAAAGCTGAAATTCGACATGAGTTCAGTGTTCCATATTGCCAAGCTGATAGTATGTGCTCAATAAATATTTATTGACTGAGTGATTACTTTTAGTGCATTGTGTAATAGTTGTTTCTGTAACGTCTTCCTCACTGTGGCAGTTGTTTAAGACAGGAATTACGCTTACTTAATTTATCACTCTTTCCCAGAGACAGTTACAAGGCTAGCATTCAATAAATATTTATTGAATAAATGAAAAAAATAAATGAATGGAAGAAGGAAATAATGGCAAATGTCTCCATAATTATGGTGAATCAGTTAAACTAATGATTACTAAAAAATTAAGCAGGCCTGGCATAGTGGCTTATGCCTCTAATCCCAGCACTTTGGGAGACCAAGGCAGGCAGATCACTTGAGGTCAGGAGTTCAAGACCAGCCTGGCTAACAGGGTAAAAGTCTGTCTCTACTAAAAATACAAAAATTATCCAAGCGTGGTGGCGCATGCCTGTAATCCCAGCTACTGGGGAGGCTGAGTCAGGAGAATCGCTTGAATCTGGGAGGCAGAGGCTGCAGTGAGCCAAGATTGCGCCACTGCACTCTACCCTGGGCAACAGAGACTCCGTCTCAAAAAAAAAAAAAAAAATTGAGCAGTTTAGAACCACGTTAAAAGGCTTATATAACATAATTTCAAGAGTCTATAACACTACAGTAATGAAGACTACTGAATACTGATAAATGGATAAACAAATAGATAAATGGAACAGAATATAGAGGCTAGAAACCCACATTTATACAGTCAAATTTTGACAAGGGACTGAAGCAATTCAAGGAGGAAAGAAAGTATTTTCAAAGATGGTACTAGGATCACTGGCTATCTATAGGAAATATAAACCTCAACTCCTAACTCACAACATCTGTAGAAGTTAATTCAAGATGGATCACAGATTTAAATCTAGAGTGAAAAATGAGAAAACTTCTAGAAGCAAGCATAAGGGAATATCTTCATGATCTTGGAGGCAGGCATATTTCACTGAGAGGTCATAGAGAACACTAACAATAAAAGAAAAAAATAATAGGCTAGGAGTGGTGGCTCATGCCTGTAATCCCAGCACTTTGGGAGACCAAGGCGGGCAGATTACGAGGTCAGGAGATGGAGACCATCCTGGCTAACGTGGTGAAACCCCGTCTCTACTAAAAAATAGAAAAAATTAGCCGGGCGTGGTGGCGGGTGCCTGTAGTCCCAGCTACTCGGGAGGCTGAGGCATGAGAATGGCGTGAACCTGGGAGGCAGAGCTTGCAGTGAGCCGAGATTGCGCCACTGCACTCCAACCTGGGCGACAGAGCAAGACTCCGTCTCAAAAAAATAAATAAATAAAAATAATTATAATAATAATAATAAATTGGAGTCCATAAGAATAAAATCTTCTGCTCATCAAAAGACATGATTATGAAAATAAACGAAGAGCCATAGGCTGAGAGAAAATATTTACAACGTATATATTTCGAGTATCTTCACTGACATTTGAGAGAAATGACTACTCCCGCTTGGTCTTGGTCCATACCATATTTCCTTCCCTCCCTCATGGTTTTCCTCCTGCTTTGGACAACCTCTCTTCGGCTAATTTTAGGCTTTTCTTCTTGCCTCTTGTATTCAGAGTTCCTTGGGGCTGTATCTTGAATTTTCACTCCTACCTTTTGGAGATCTCATCTCAATTCATGATTAGAATTCTGCCTGTATGTTGATAATTCCCAAATCAACATTTTTTTTAATTTTTAGTTTTTTTTTTTTGTTTTTTACTGTAAAAAAAAGTCAATAAGTTTTTGGGGAACAGGTGGCGTTTTGTTACATGAATAAGTTCTTTACTGGTGATTTCTGAGATTTCGGTGCATCCATCACCTAAGCAGGCTACGCTGTATTCAATCTGTAGTCTTTTCCCTCACACCCACCGATTTCCCCCAAGTCCCCCAAAATCCATGATATCATTCTTACGTCTTTGTGTCCTCATAGCTTAGCTCCCATTTATGAGTGACATTTATACAATGTTTGGTTTTCCATTCCTGAGTTACTTCACTTAGAATAATAGTCTTGAATTCCATCCGGGTTGCTGCAAATGCCATTATGTCTTTCGTTTTAACGGCTTAGTAGTATTCCATGGTATACATATATCACATTTTCTTTATCCACTCATTGATTGAGGGGCATTTGGGCTAGTTCCATATTTTTACAATTGCGAATTGTACTGCTATAAACATGCATGTGCAGGTATCTTTTTCATATAATGACTTTTTTTTTCCTGTGAGTAGATACCCAGGAGTGGGATTACTGGATCAAATGATAAAATGACAGATATACTTTCAGTTCTTTAAGGAATCTCCACACTGTTTTCCATAGTACTAGTCTATACTCCCACCGCCAGTACAAAAGTGTTCCCTTTTCACCACATCCACGCCAGCACCTATTATTTTTTGATTATGGTCATTCTTGCAGGAGTGAGGTGGTATTGTGTTGGGTTTTTTTCCGCCCTTTTTTCTTTTTCTGAGATGGCATCTCACTCTGTTGCCCAGGCTGGAGTGCAGTGGCATGATCCCAGCTCACTGCAACTGCCACTTCCCGGGTTCAAGTGATTCTCCTGGCTCAGCCTCCCAAATAGCTGAGATTATAGGCGCACACTACCATGCCGGGCCAATTTTTGTAGTTTTAGTAGAGATGGGGTTTCACCATGTTGGCCAGGCTGGTCTCGAACTCGTGACTTCAGGTGATTCACCCGCCTTGACCTGCCAAAGTACTGGGATTACAGGCATGAGCCACTACGCCTGACTTAAACTTTTCCCTGTTCAGTATAACATTGGCTGTGGGTTTGTCATAGATGACTTATGTTACCTTATCACATGTCCCTTTTATGCCAATTTTGCTGAGAGTTTTAATCAGAAAGCGATGCTGGATTTTGTCAAATGCTTTTTCTGCATCTATTGAGATGATTATGTGATTTTTGTTTTTAATTCTGTTCTTGTGGTGTATCACATTTAGTGACTTGTGGATGCTAAACCATCCCGGCATCCTTGGTATGAAACCCACTTGATCATCGTGGGTTGTCTTTTTAATGTGCTGTTGGATTCTGTTAGCTAATATTTTGTTGAGGATTTTTGTATCTATGTTCATCAGGGATACTGCTCTGTAGTTTTCTTTTGTTGTTGTATGCTTTCCTGGTTTGGTATCAGTGTGATACTGGCTTCATAGAACGATTTAGGGAGGAATACTTCTTTCCCTATCTTGTGGAATAGTGTCAATAGGATTAGTACCAATTTTTCTTTGAATATCTGTTACAATTCAGCTGTGAATCCATCTGCTCCTGGACATTTTTTGTCGGTAACTTTTTAATTACTATTTCAATCTCTCTGCTTGTTATTTGTCTGTTCAGAGTTTCTATATCTTCTTAGTTTAATATAGGAGGGTTGTATATTTCCAGGAATTTATCCATCTCCTCTAGGTTTTCTAGTTTATGCATGTAATGGTGTTCATAGTAGCCTTGAATGATCTTTTGTACTTCTGTGGTGTCAGTTGTAATATCTCCTCTTTCATTTCTAATTGAGCTTATTTGGATCTCCTCTCTTTTTTTCTTGGTTAAGCTCACTAATGGTCAATTTTGATGATCTTTTCAAAGAACCAGGTTTCTGTTTCATTTATCTTTTGTATTTTTTTTCAATTTTAGTTCTGCTCTGACCTTGGTTATTTCTTTTTTCTGCTGGATTTGGGTTTGGTTATTCTTGTTTCTCTAGTACCTCGAAGTGTGATCTTAGATTGTCTGTTTGTGCTCTATCAGTCTTTTTACGTAGGCATTTAATGCTATGAACTTCCCTCTTAGCACTGCTTTTACTATATCCCAGAGGTTTTGATAGGTTGTGTCACTACTATTATTCAGTTAAAAGAATGTTTTAATTTCCATCTTGATTTTTTTCTTCATCCAACGATTATTCAGGAGAAGCCTATCTAATTTTCATGTATTTGCATGGTTTTGAGGGTTTCTTTTGGAGTTGATTTCCAATTTTTTTTCCACTGTGATCTGAGAGAGTACTTGATATAATTTTGATTTTCTTAAATTTGTTGAGACTTGTTTTGTGGCCTATCATATGATCTATCTTGGAGAATGTTCCATGAGCTGAATAGAATGTATATTCTGCAGTTGTTGGGTAGAATGTTCCATAAATATCTGTTAAGTCCATTTGTTCTAGGGTATAGTTTAAGTCTACTGTTCTTTTTGTTGACTTTCTGTCTTGATGTCCTGTCTAGTGCTCTCAGTGGAGTACTGAAGTCCCCCACTATTATTGTGTTGCTGTCTACCTCATTTCTTAGGTCTAGTAGTAATTATTTTACAGATTTGGAAGCTCCAGTGTTAGGTGCATATATATTTAGAATTGTGATATTTTCCTGTTGGACTAGTCCTTTAATCATTACTTAATATAACGTCCCTGTTTGTCTTTTTTAACTGCTGTTGCTTTAAAGTTTGTTTTGTCTGATATAAGAATAGCTACTCCTGCTCGCTTTTGGTGTCCATTTGCATGGGATATCTTTTTCCACCCCTTTACCTTAAGTTTATGTGAACGCTTACATGTCAGGTGAGTCTCTTGAAGACAGCAGATACTTGTTTGGTAAGTTATTATCCATTCTGCCATTCTGTATCTTTTCAATAGAGCATTAAGGCCATTTATGTTCAAAGTTAGTATTGAGATGTGAGATACTATTCTATTCATTGTGCTATTTGTTGCCTGAATACCTTGTTGTTGTTGTTTTCATTATGTTATTGTTTTATGGGTTCTGTGAGATTTATGCTTTAAAGAGATTCTATTTTGGTTTATTTTTAGGATTTGTTTCAAGATTTAGAGCTCCTTTTAGCAGTTCTTATAGCACTGGCTTGGTAGTAGCGAATCCTCTCAGCATTTGTTTATTTGAAAAAGACTGTATCTTTCCTTCATTTATGAAGGTTAGTTTCACTGGAAACAAAATTCTTGGCTGATAATTGTTTTGTTTAAGGAAGCTAAAGATAGGACCCCAATCCCTTCTAGCTTGTAGGGTTTCTACTGAGAAATCTGCTATTAATCTCATAGGTTTTGTTTTATAGGTTACCTGTTGCCTCTGCCTCACAGCTGTTAAGATTCTTTCCTTTGGCTTCAATTTAGATAATCTGATGACTATCTGACTAGGCGATGATCTTTTTGTGATGAATTTCCTGGGTGTTCTTTGAGCTTCTTGTATTTGAATGTCTAGAGCTCTAACAAGGCTGGGGAAGTTTTCCTCAATTATTTCCTCAAATATGTTTTCCAAACTTTAGATATCTCTTCTTCCTTGGGAACACCAATTATTCTTAGGTTTGGTAATTTAACATAATCCCAAACTTCTTGGAGGTTTCGTTCATTTTTTAAAAATTCTTTTTTGTCTTTGTTGTACTGGATTAATTCAAAAGACTTGTCTTCAAGCTCTGAAGTTCTTTCTGCTGCTTGTTCAGTTCTATTGCTGAAACTTTCCAGTGCATTTTGCATTTCTCTGAGTGTGTCCTTGATTTCCAGCAGTCATGATTATTTATGCTATCTATTTCACTGGAGATTCTTCCATTCATATCCTGTATCGTTTTCTGATTTCTTTAAGTTGGACTTCACCTTTCTCTAGTGCCTCCTTGATTGGCTTAATAATTGACCTTCTGAATTCTTTTTCTGGCAATTTAGAGATTTTGTCTTGGTTTGGGTCCATTGCTGGTGAGCTACTGTGATCTTTTGGGGGTAGTAAAGAAACTTGCTTTGTCATATTAGCAGAATTGTTTTTCTGGATCCTTCTAATTTGGGTAGACTATGTCAGAGGGAAACTCTGGGACACAAGGGCTGCTGTTCAGATTCTTTTGTCCCACAGGGTGCTCCCTTGGTATGGTGCTCTCTCACTTCCCCTAGGGATGACCAAAAGCTGGGGGCAGGGTTAGGCATGTATGACCTCAGACTCCTTGGGTAGGGCTTGCTGTGCTTACTGTGGGGGTGTGGTTCTCTCAGGCCAATGAAGTTATGTTCCCAGGGGGATTATGGCTGCCTCTGCTGTGTCATACAGGTCATCAGGGAAGTGGGGGAAGCCAGCAGCCACAGGCCTCACCTAGCTCTCATGCAGCCTGCAGCCCGAAAGGCCAGTCTCATTCCCACCATGCCTGTCCAACAGTATTGAGTTTATTTCCAGGCAGCCAATGAGCAGGGCTTAGAAGTTGCCCCAGGCTACAAGCCTCCCAGCTGAGAAAGCACCCCAACTCACAGTTCCTTGGCTGTCCCATGGAGCCTGCAGCGGCAGTCCACCTTCTTCAAAGCGTATGTGGAGTCTCTCAGCTTTCCTGGTATGTTTCTGTGGTAGTTCTTGGAGCAAAAGTTCACAGTGTGAGTCTCCACATGCTGCTTTGTCCATCCAAGTGGGAACTGCAAATTAGTCCTGCCTCCTAGCCACCATTGTCCCATAATTCTTACCCAAATCAACATTTCTGAGTGACTTCTCATGAACTCCAGTCTTGTATACTCAACCAGATGTTTTCTGATGTTTCCAGATGGATCTCAAATTCGATGTGTTCATTACCAAATGTATCATTCCTTTCTTCTTAACCACAAATCTGCCACTCCCACTGTTTCACTTTCAGTACAGGAGAGCACTATTACTAGACCACACAAGCCGAGACCCTGTCATTTAAATCCAATCATTCCCAAGTCCTGTAGATTTTCTGTCCCAAGCATTTTCTCAGGTTGGTTCCTTCCTGTCCATTTCTATTGTTATTGCTTTTTGCCATAGATGTTTAGCTTCTTATGATATCTTCTTACATTACTGCAAGAATTTCCTCACTCTTATCCTTGCTGGGAGCCTGCACCTTCCTCCCTTCCATGCTCGACATTACTTGCAGCCACAGTGATCTTTCCCCAACATAAATCTCATGTTGCTACTGTGTTCAAAATCCTCTGATGGTTTACTTTACCTTCAGGACAAAATTCAAACTCTTTAGTTTGATACCCAAAGCCTTTTTTACTTAATTCCACTCACTGCACAACACATCTTGAGTTTTGGTTCTCCTGGCAGTGCCTGAGTAGCCTAGCCATCCATCTCTTTGTTTGTCAATTCATTTATTACTACTGAGTGTTCATCCTGTCCAAAGAGCTATGATGTTTCACCTTCCTGAATCTTACATGAAGGATGCTGACCTGCAATTATGACTAGAAAAGAGACACTGGGGGCTTCACACTGACAGAAGTTTTTGGTTACAGAAATTCAGCCCCTACTCTTCCTTATTAAAGAGTTAATTGTCCGTGGCCACCGTCTTTTTTTTTTTTTTTTTTTTGGAGACGGAGTCTCACTCTGTCCCCCAGGCTGTAGTGCAGTGGCACAGTCCCAGCTCACTGCAACCTCCACCTCCCGGGTTCAAGTGATTCTCCTGCCTCAGCCTCCTGAGTAGCTGGGACTACAGGCGCGAGCCACCATGCCTGGCTAATTTTTTGTATTTTTAGTAGACACAGGGTTTCACCATGTTAGCCAGGATGGTCTCGATCTCCTGACCTCGTGATCCACCCACCTTGGCCTCCCAAAGTACTGGGATTACAGGCATGAGCCACCGCGCCCGGCCCATAGCCACTGTCTTTAATGCGTTTTGCACTTTTTTGTATATAACTAACTTCCAAAAACCCCTAGAGACTCAATACAATGGTCTCTTCTCCTGAAAGACTTACTGACTCTCTATCTTATTTTGATATTCCTCAAACCCCCCTACAAGCATAATGGCCTTGGTTCTCATACAGGCCTTACCACACAGCATTGCATTCCTCTATCTCCTTGCTTATGTGTCTCCCCAGCTAAATAAAATCTCCATGAAGGCAGTATTTAACATTTTAATCCACTGGAACAGGGTGGCTTTACTGACTTGTTGAATGAAGTCAACCTCAGTTGCATTCCTATTCACCCACTTCCCTGCTCAATCATCTTGGAAAAATTATGTAACCTGGGAAATTTCTTTGAGTCTTCTCGGTTGTGATCATATTTCATAGGACCATATTTTGAGGAGATTGAATAATACAATGTAGGTCAAACTTTAAGCACATGACCTGGCTTCTGGTGGATGGTTCACAAATGTTAGTTCTAGCAGTTTAACCATCATTTCCAATGGTGTAAGCCACCTCTGGCCTTCCAGAAGAAGATATCCTGAGGTATAAACTATTGCAGAAAGAGACTGTATTCCTGTCGTTGGCCCATTCTGTGTGAGAGAAAAGTCTGGAGACATTTGAAAGATAAAGGCTGTATGAATTGACTACATATAACACATTAGATGAAATACAAATGGAAAGTCAAATCGGACATGATATAATTTAACATGAACATGTGACTCTTGCAAGTCATCTCAGTATGAAGTTAGCTTTCTTCCAGAAACATTTATTCCTTCACTAAACAAGCTTCCACTATGTGTAGAGTCCTATGAAAGATGTGATAAATGACCCAGGAATAAAGCAGACCCAGCGCTGTTTTGGTAGGAAGAACATAGAAAGATTTATCAGAGACCTTTGATCCAACTCCTGGCTTTATCATTTACTAGCTATGTTATCCTAGACAAAACTCTTAATCTTTCTGAAACTCAGTTTCCTCAGTTGTAAAATAGAGATGATGTTAATAAATACCTCCCTTAATTTGAATAATAAATGAAATAATGTAAGAATCACATGATAAACCTTGAAGTGCTATAGGAATACATCAATTTTTATTGATGTGCTGCTTTTTTTTCTTTGTTTTCCTCTTTTATTTTACTTTATTATACTTTACGTTCTGGGATACATGTGCAGAACGTGCAGGTTTGTTGCATAGGAACACATGTGCCATGGTGGTTTGCTGCACCCATCAATCCGTCACCTACATTAGGTATTTCTCCTAATGCTATCCCTCCCCTAGCTCCCCACCCCACAACAGGCCCCGGTGTGTGATGTTCCCCTCCCTGTGTCCATGTGTTCTCATTGTTCATCTCCCACTTATGAGTGAGAACATGCAGTGTTTGGTTTTCTGTTCCTGTGTTAGTTTGCTGAGAATGATGGTTTCCAGCTTCAACAATGTCCCTGCAAAGGACATAAACTCAAAGTAATTTATAGATTCAATGCTATCCCCATCAAGCTACCACTGACTTTCTTCACAGAATTAGAAAAAACTACTTTAAATTTCATATGGGTGTCCTGCTTTTAAGAAATTTAGAGCCTAGCAGGGAAGATAAGACATATCACGAAATATGGAAAATAATGGCCACTAGTTGAGGGAGTCTGGAGGGGCTGAAGTGTGCAAGTGCTCTTTCTTAAATTCTACTTTGTTTACTTGAGTAAAGGCACTTTGGTTTTGGCATCTTGTTTTGTGTTTTGCTTTGGCCTATCTCCCTTCCCTCTCTCCTACTTACTTTCATGTTTTTGCTTTTGCTGTCCTGCTGAGCAAACAAACAAACCTCAAAGCCCTGTGCTTGTTCAACTCACTCCCACTTTCTAACGTTTTCCATCACAGATCTTTTTTTCTGACTCTGACTTATTCTAAAAGATGAAGATGCTGACTTACAATTATGACCAGAAAAGAGAGAGTGGGGGCTTTACACTACAGGTTTTTGGTTACAGGAATCCAGCACTTACTCTTCCTTATTAAAGAGTTAATTGTCCACAGCCAGCTGTTTAATCCACAATATTTTCATGTATCCAGAGGAAAGTGTGAACCAGAAGCTCTCAGAGAATGAACTATCAGAGAAGGCATGGTCAGTTCAGCTTTCTTTAAATGTGATGGGGTTTGTAGAGATAATAAATATAACTTTTTAAAGCCTGGAGTGCTTGATTAATGAAATGAGGCTTCTTTCTACTAGATCTCATTTACAATCTAATTTACAATGTTCCATTTTTTGCTTAATATTAAGGGACAATATTTTATTATAAGGGATTGTTTTTTTCAATTAATATGCACTTATAATAGATTTTCTACATTCTTTAAGGTAATTTTGGGTCCTGAGGCTACCATAGCTCTGATATTACAATGAAAATAAGTGAGAATATAGGGTTTGGCTTTACATCTAATGTTTCATGGGTATAGCTATTTCAGAAATCAAGGTAACCTTGTGCTTAAACTTAATAGAATCATAAAAATACATTAACCTTAAGGTTAAACCCCATTTGTATTTATAAATAGGGAGCAAATTTCTCAGTAGCAGGGATGCTGTTGTGAATTTATCACCTTTCCTCATGTCAGTATGAGACATGGACCTAGTCTAAGGAGAGAAGTCAGAACAGGGCAAACTCTACAAATTTAGGATTTTTTTTTTCATTTTAAAATCAGGGATTTGGTCAACATTAGGCTTTTCCTCAAAGTGTGTCCTATATAGTCCTATAGGTCCCACAGGTATCTTCGATACTGCCATGAAGAACAAGAAAAGCTTTAAACATGCAGAATTCTGGGCCTTCCCAGCTAGAGCCAGAGAAATTCTGCTTTTATTTTATTCTAATATATTGAGCTTCTGAAAATTATTTGAAATAAGAGTTATGTCGTTATAAAGAACACATTGACCTAGGTTAACCCTGAGATTCATGTCAGAAAATTATTAAAAACTAAATATCTTGAAAAAGCCACCAGCTCCAAAACATCTAGAAACATAGGATAAAATGTAAAAATGTCTGCTTAAGTTTGGCTAAGTTTTCAGCAATGACAGGCAAAACCTGAGGGGCCCAAAGCTAGGAGGAGTGGAATCAAGAATAATAGCCTCCTACTGAAGCTTTTGCTGCTTTCAGGGCCTTTGCCAGTCCCTGTGACTTGAGGGACTAGATGGCTGCATGTGAGAACCTGAGACTAACCTTGGGACTGTACACGGTATGGTTTCAAAATTAAGACTCCTATACAGAGTCAAAGGCCTTCAAAGGAGCCTAACTTCAGTGAAAGGGTGGGCTAGAAAACTTTAGCTTGGTAACAAGAGGAGAAACTTGTTAATCTGGGTATAAACTCTTGTGAGGGAAAAAATGTCTCTCTTGAGAATTTGTGAACACAGATCGGTGCTCACATGAATTTCAAGCTTACCTCTGTGCTATCAAGGTGATCTAGGAAGTCACCTAGATATGGATTTATAATTACCATAGCACAAGCATATGGCAGAAACAAAAGCAAAGCTTTCCTATAAAGAATCACTCTTAAAATGGACTTTGCAGAACTCACATGAAATGAATAAGTTGGGAAACCAGAGTTGTAAAACTCTGAGAAATAAACCAAAATGAATTAAGATTGACAAAACCACAAACAAAAGAATTAAGACTCCTGTGGATTTTAATATGAATTGTCAGAAAAATACTACAAAATTGGTATGTTTAAAATGTGTAAAGAAATAAAAGAGGGAATTGAAAATATGATCAAGGAATATTATGAAAAAAAATAGAAGGACATCTTGAAAAAAAGAGAAATTCTAGGAATAAAAAAGATCACAACTTTAAAAATTAGCAACTCAATTGATGGATTGAAAAGCAGAGTAGAGTTAAAGAATTGGTGAACTGGAAAGTAGCTCTAAAGAAATTGTTTATTGTATACTGACTGTATACTAAAGTAATTAATGTTTAAAGAAGAAGATAAAAGTATAATAGAACAATTTAGAAAAACATTGACTATTGAAAGAGACAGTCTAGAAAATGTCTAATCAAAACTTCAGAAGGAAAAACTAGTGAAAGTAGGAGTGGGTAATATTTGAATGATAGCAAGAATTTTCAGAATTGATGGAAGTCACAAATTCTCAGATTCAGAAACCAAAACAAATCTCAATAACAAAAAAATTCTATATCTAGAAATAAAATTACAGAACAAAAAAGATAAATAAAAAACAGCAAAAGCAGCTTTAAAAAGATTACCTTCAAATAAATAACAATTGAACTCACGTAAGACTCCTTACAGCAATATGGAAATCAAAACAAACTGAAATATCTCCAAAATTCAGATTAAAATATCTATACATATATACCCAGGAAATATATCTTTCCAAAATGAAGATGAAACAAAAACATTTTTAGACAAAATTGAAGTTTACCAACAACAGATCTTCACTAAAGGAATATTTAAAGGAGTACTTTAAGAAAAGTAAACATGATTCTAGAAGGAAAATATGTATCTAAAAAGGAATGAGCAAAGAAATTGCTTCCAGAGATTAAGTGCTGTGATTCTGTGAAAGTTGTTCATATCTAATCAGAAGAGGCTATTTTTGGGTGAGAGAGATGTGAGAGAGAGAGAGAGAAAATAAAATTTCTGCTCTTTTAGAGGAAGAGAAAATAAAATTTCTGATCTTTTAGGATTAGCAACAATATTTTACTATTCAAGGTTTGCCACAAAGCGTCTCTATAGAAT
Organism: Homo sapiens; assembly: GCF_000001405.40. Taxonomy (NCBI): domain Eukaryota; kingdom Metazoa; phylum Chordata; class Mammalia; order Primates; family Hominidae; genus Homo; species Homo sapiens. The sequence continues at coordinate 61,439,428 of NC_000015.10, forward strand.
CAAATCTACAAAAAATGAAGGAAAACTGGGATTCACAGGTAACAACACTTCTCAGCTACAACCATTATACTCTAGTAGATGCCTCTATCTCATCATTCATTTACATATTAATTGTACATGATTTTAAATATTCCCTCATGCATTCCTATCTATTCTCATCCTTTCAAATTGGGGTACCTACCAAGGAAATGCCATATTTCTATATAATTTCTGCTTGAGAGTGCTGCCTTCAGTGTCATCAGAAACCATAAGTTTGAAAGCAGCCTGCAGTAGTGCTAAAGGCTGGAAGAAATTATTGAAGAGTGCTGCAGACCCTGCACTGAGAAAATCACTGTTTACACTTCTTCAATTGCATTAACTGAGCCAATTAGTAGTAAAAGCAGCTTCTTTAAAAGATGAAAAGAAAATATAGTAAATATCAGCCCATCGTTATGTAAAGTGCCAATCCAAGTTTGTATACTGTTTGTTAAAAATTATACAAATACGGTAAAGGGTGAAGGTCCAGTCAATTGTTTTATTGTCCGGTCAGCCCTGCTGCGATAAGTTGTTTCTTATCCTAGATAGTGCCTGGGGAAATCCTAAAAATGGCAGACAGAATTTAAAAAATAAGCTCAAAGCAGCCAGCCTGTGGATTCTGGAAGCAGCTTTATCACAATTGCCTGGGTATCCTTGTATAGGAATGAACCTACCTACTTTTCTTTTCCTGACAGAGACGTATCACTGTTTCCTGCTACCACCTCACTCCCACTTTCCAAACCATCATTCCGGTATGGAAATATGGTACTAATATGTTTGGCATCCTGGAGCGTTCATTGTACTACATTTACAAAGGGGCATTGTCACTCTGTGCATGAACCAAGGCTCACTCTTTATTTTGCTGTTCTCTCTTCAACACAGCTAGTGACTAAGTAAATTAAGGTTTTGCTCTTCTTTTTTCACACATTCCTGAACATTATGGCCATTCTGTTCAGTTTTTAATAATGAGCCAGGGCAGAATCTGGTAAGATTCAAGATTTGGATTGAAGCTTTAGTGAATGATGAAGACTCCTTAGATTTTAAATCCAAGACGTTTGCTCTTTGCTCTTAAGAGTGTTATGAGAGCTTTGCATTGGGCTTCTTCAGTGCTCTTGCAAGCTAAAATCAAAGAAGTCTTGTTGTTTCACATTTGCTTACTGTTCCTATGTATTTCTCTCTTGAGAGATGGTAATAATTGCTAACATTAGGTGGGTGCTTAATTCTTGCTAGGCATGGTTCCTAGTGCCTAATGTAAATTAATGTTAGTATTACAATAATAGTCCTATGCAGTACTACCAAAACAGTCTCCTTTTTACAGATGAGGAAAATAAGGTCTAGGGATTAAATAACTATATTCAAGGTCACAGAGAGATTTAACAGTGAACGTAGAAATTAAACCCAGGCAGTCTTTTCATATTGAATATACTATGCTCTGCTCTTGGAGCGAATGGGGTAGATGGCAGAACAAGATTCTGCCATTCCTGGGACCTGATTATAAATCCAGTAAATAGTGCCAATACCCCATCCCAGTACTATACAGGGAGGTAATCCAGGAAACCTGCACACCCACTGATAGGGTTTTTCCCAGAACACTGCTGTTCGCCCAATGTTCGTTCATCAAGGGCCTCTGCCTGGGCTTCGTCTATTCCCTGATGTCTCCCACATAAAGCAGGCTGATCTACTTGCATCCCATCTGGAAGTTCATTAATTAAAAACACACTGGGAACACCCCAACTCCTTTGTGAAATTTTCTTGGAAACATTCACTTTGTTGTCATCCCTTCTCCTACCTCCTGCTCTGCTCCTGTGGTTTGGATGTGTTTGCCTTGTCTGAATGCAATTCCAGGTCTGGATTCCCCCACAAGCTTTTAGATAGTGAACTTTGGTGTCTAGCTTGACTCTTTCTAGGATTGTAGCTTACACTTATCATCTGGCTCACCCTCTCCAGGCTGCTATGGGTAAAAATCCAGAGCTGACTGAATTTGGAGCTCTTGGTTCTCACACCAACCTTGACTGGTTGGCTGATAAGTGTCTTGTTCACACAGAATAAGTGAACCAGATCTTCAAAACAGACCTACAACCTATTAGCCTGGAACTGCACCAAATTCTGGCCAATGTGAACTTGGCACCATCTCCCCTATTCCCACTACTGCTGACACTCTCCCTCCCATGTATCAATCACGTAGAACCACAATTCTCCTCTCTCTCGTGACTCACAGATTCATCCTCTAGGTATATTTCTGTCCCTTTGCCTCATTCCTATAGTGTATCACTTTTGATATTGAGGCTGGTCCAAATCTATCCCCCTTAGATGGTCTGCTTATTGCTCTTCTCAGGGTCAACTCTGTAGTTACATAAGTTTACTTGGACTAGATGTTATCAAATTTCGTCCCTTGTCCCACCTTTCTATGCTGCTGAGATCTGATAGGCCTTATTCCTGTGCCAGCTTGAGTTCAACCAATGGCTAAGGATGGCTCAATGACAAAGCTATCCTGAGCTTTACCAAGCCACAGTAGGGAGGATTCTCAGAATCCCAAGATTTAATATTGCATGTTTTGTATTTTCAATTCCTAGAGGACTGGGTTCTTGGCAGTTTTTCTCTTCATAGTACTTAGCACAGTGTCAAAAACATTTGAGAAGTAGACAAATGGGATTTTTTAAGGATGAGTCTGTTGGGCAGTACCCTCTTTGTGGTGGCTAGAAATAACTTAAACAACAAAGAAATCCAGGGGTAGGATTAGCCTTGGAGGCTCCTGGCAATTCAGACAGTGCTATCAGGGTTCTCTCATTCTCAGTTTGTACTGGGTTTGGGGCTTGTTTGTTGGTACCATCCACAGGCTTCCTCCATTTGGCAAGAGGAGGGGATCATGGCCAAAGTCATGCTTATACTATTCTAGAATAGGAAGCCCAGGAGAAAGTGGGAGCTTGTCTCACTTAGTCTCTACATGAAATTCAGAGAAGAATCCTGACCAACTGGGCATGAGATAATTCCTAAGCCAATCATCATGGCCAAGGGTCATGTGTACTAAGATTAGCCAGGCAAGGGTCATATGTCTTTTCCTATAGCCAAAGGGATAGCTTGTGTAATTAGCATCCTCTTTAGGACCTAACGGACTTGGGCATGGGCATTTGTCCAAGGAAAGGAATGCAAGTCAGACGAAAATAACAGATGGTCACTATAGCAGGTTGCCCTGGGTTCAGGGGTGTGTGTGTGTGTGTGTGTGTGTGAATTTCTCAATCCATTGTTCAGAACTGCATGAATTTCTTCAGCTGAATGTCTTTCTCACTCAGCAGGGACACCAGAGCTCACTCCTGTTTGCAGCCTTCATTCTGAACCAGTGGCTTTCATTATAGATCACATTTCCATCTACTCCCACATACCTTGAAAGATATTACCTTCCAAGTTCATCATTCATTCTCCCCCCTTGGACCTTATCTTACTTTTCAGTCTTGATCCTCACCATTTTCTACTTTACCATGATCTTGTGTCCTCTTCAGCCACAATTCTGGCTGGCTCTGTTCAACACTTCCCCAGCTCTGACTCAGCCCTTGAATCTCCCATGGACCTACCTACATTAGTACCATCATCTATGGATGGTATCTCAGGGAGGTTTGCAGTGACTCACACTTTCATAGGGCCGTAAGTTCTGCCATTCTTTGCCTAGATATTTATAATATTAAGGAATTTCCAGATCCTTATTTGCACTTGAAGAGACTTGAATGATGCCTAAACTGTCCTATTCTCTTTTTTTCTCATCCAATCCCCCAATTGCTTTAAGCCACATGTCCAGACATAGCTTCCCCTCTTTTGTTGGTTTAACTGCTTTTTGTTGTCTTTAGCTTTGTGGTTCTACTAAGGAGGAATCTAGCCTTTTCTTTCTTCTCCACAATTGTCTCTTTGTCTCCTACTGTCAAACAAATACTTTTTTTTCTTAAAAAATGTCATTAGTTGCCAAACATGTAGTTGTTTCTTCTGATATTAACTTTTGTTACTATAGATGTGACATCCTTCTTCCCTTCTCTCCTTTTTTTCCCTCCATGAACACATTTCTTAGGAGTCATGTAAGTACTCTCATCAGGCTGTTGGTGAGGGTATGAGGATAAAGATGATACATGCGAACAACAGGAAGCCACAGCAACTTCAAAGGCTGAGATAACCATTGTCATCAGGTTGGACTCATTTGGCAAGTGTCACCATATCTGTCATAAAGGCCAGGTATTTTAATGGATACAAATGTGTGTATAGGACAAAAGAACATTGAGTATAGCCTGTTACTGAGCTGGCTTAGCCTCAGTCTGGGCCAAACTGGCAAGTAAAGTCTATCTTCAGTGTCACAGAAGGTATAGTGCTTATGCTGAGGAGCCAGGTTTTTCATATTATAAAGGCATTTTTGTGCAATGCTTAAAAACTTAAATTCTGTGGTGAGTAAAAATGGATTCATATCCCACTCCTGTTATTTACCAGCCATATAATCATGGGAAAATCATTTAAGAATTTCAGGCCGGGCGCGGTGGCTCACGCCTGTAATCCCAGCACTTTGGGAGGCCGAGGCGGGCGGATCACGAGGTCAGGAGATCGAGACCATCCCGGCTAAAACGGTGAAACCCCGTCTCTACTAAAAATACAAAAAATTAGCCGGGCGTAGTGGCGGGCGCCTGTAGTCCCAGCTACTCGGGAGGCTGAGGCAGGAGAATGGCGTGAACCCGGGAAGCGGAGCTTGCAGTGAGCCGAGATCCCGCCACTGCACTCCAGCCTGGGCGACAGAGCGAGACTCCGTCTCAAAAAAAAAAAAAAAAAAAAAAAGAATTTCAAACCACAGTTTTCTCATTTGTAAAGTGGTCATTCATTTATTCAACAAACACTGAGCACTTAGTATGTGCTAGACACTGTTCTAAGTGCTGGAGAAGCAGCAATGACTTCAAATCCCTGCCTTCCAGGGTTCTGTCTCTAGTAGGAGGACAGAAAATACATGAAAGAATCAATCACATAGCATCTTAGAAGGTGGTAAGTGCTGTGAAGAAAAAACAAGGATGATAGATAAGTTTATACTACATTACCTCACATGAAATATAGAAATCTTGTAACAGTATAGTTCCATTTATCCCCCATTCTTTGTGCTATTGCTGTAACATATAAAATAGCTACACAAACCATAAATTCTATAACATTGGGTTGTGGTCTTTCTGCTCCTTAGCTCAGCTAGGTCTGAGTTCTTGTCTCACAACCAGGAAGAATTAGGTGCATGGACACTGGAGAGTGAGTGGAGTAAAATTTATTAAGTGAAAGAAAAACTCAGCAGAGAAGGGACACAGTGGGTGTTTCCCCTACTCGAAGATGGGGAAGTTCCCTCTCGTGTGACTGGTCCAGGGCCTTTCATGGACTCAGAATGGGGAGTGCATGCTAGTTGTTTTGTGAGTATGCAAAAAAGTTTAAAGTAAAGAAAGCACTCAAAGGTGGACAAGACACTGTAGAAAACCAATTAGGAAAAGGTAGGTATAATAGCAGTTTTAGAGTCTTGTCTGCTAATTTCAACATCTGAAAAATCTCTGGGTTATTTTCTGTTGAACACCCTTTTTTTTTTAACTGGGTCTCATTTTTTGTTTCTTCATCTGTCTAGCAATTTTTTTAAACTTAATTCTGGGCTTTGTGGTAATATATTGTCTTACAATGAAGAGTACTGACTCAAACTCCAAACTCTGTCTTTCCTGTAGTGAAAATAAGCTGAGATTCCACCTCAGTTCTTTAAGCTTCCATATGCTGTTTTTGCGGGGGTCCTGGAATCTCCCTTGAACGTCCACAGTTCAATGACTAGTCAATAGTTAGAGGACTTTATCTTCATATTTTGAGAGGTTCAACCCTTCTGCAGCTCCCTCCTTTCAGGTATTTCTCCTTTAATTTTCAAGCCACTCTGACTCTGCCTGCACAAAACTTTGTCCTCTGATACCTCAATTCAGCAAGTCTGTGGCTTTCTGTAGCCCTGCCTCATGTGGAATGCAGGTGCCCTCAGGCAAAAAGTTACAAAGATGCACACATTATTACATATAATTCCTGTCATTCAAGGGTCAAAAATGCCTTACAGTTTCCTTCTATACTTGGTTGTTCTCCAGTATTTTCAAATTGTTTTAAAAACATTTTGTCCACATTTAAAACTGCTATCTGTAGGAGGGATAATTCAACCAAGTTTTCTACTAGTATCAAAAGCAATAATACAGTTTTGAACATGTTAGACTTGACATATTTACTAAACATTCTTGTTAAAACACAGAGTAGGCAGTCACAATATACAAGTATGGAGTTCAGGGTAGAGATCTGAGCTGGAGCTATACATTTGGTAGGGATCAATTTATAGATGCTATCTAAAGTTATAACACTGGGGAAGATCACCAAAAAAGTGAGTATAGATAAAGAAGAGAAGAAACGCAAGGACTGAGACTTGAGCATCTTCGAAGTTTAGAAGGCTTCAAGAAGAGTTGACAAAGTAGACTGAGATGGAGTGGCAAATGAGGTAAAAGAAAAACCACGCGATTGTGGCATCCTGGATTCCAAGTGGAAAAAGTTTTAATAGAAGAAGGAAGTGATCAATTTATCAAATTCTGCTGATAGGACAAGTAAGATGAGAACTAAAATTGATTATTGGATTTAGCAATGTAGAGGTCATTGATGACCTTGGTAAGAGCAGTTTTAGTAGAGTGCTGGGGGTAAAAGCCTGACTAGAGCGAATCATAAAAGCAATTGCCAACTTCATGGAATTATTGTGAGGATTTATATGACAAATCACAAATTATGTTAATATATAAAGAGCTCATAAAATTAATGAGGAAATAGGTTATTGTTTAATGGATACAAAGTTTCAGTTTGGGATGATGGATAAGTTCTGGAGATGGATAATGCTGATAAATGCACAACAATGTGAATGTACTTAATGCTAGTGAATTGAACAGTTAAAAATGTTTAAAATGGTAAATTTTACGTTATGTATATTATACCACAGTTAAAGAAAATGGCAATCCATAAAAACGAGCAAAATAAGAGTGTTCAAAAAATACAAATGGCTGTTAAACATATGAAAGGAGTTCTATCTAATAGTTAAATGAGCTAGCTAATTAAAGAAATATAGATTAAAATGGACAAGTAGTACATTCCACCTATCAGATTGACCACTTTGAAAAAGTTTGATGATATATTGTGCTGGTAAAGACATGGAGGAACAGTACTTTTTTTCATTATTAGTAGAATGCAAAATGGTATAATGTTTTCAAAGAGCAATTTACCGATATCTATCAAAATTAGAATGGCATATACCACTCGATCTAGTAATTCCATGTTGATGTACATATATATTCATACATATATAATTTAAATATATTTACACACACATGCAATTACTTATTTAAAGAGATATTTTTGCTATATTGCTTTGAGTAGCCATAGACTAGATAAATCGATCATGGTATAAACATGTAGTGGAATTCATGATTTTGGGGCAATAATTAAAGAGAAGAAATCTGATCAACCTAATCAGCTAAAAAAAAAAAAAGCAAGGTACAGAACAATACATATAGTATACTAGAATACTGATGCAGAAAAAAGAAATATACATACATATATTCATAAATACAAACACACACTCAAATATGAATACACATAATCCTAAAACAGCTCTGGAAAGACTTGGGAGAAACTGTTACAGCTTTGCCTCTATGTAAGAGACAGAAGACTGTGGGTCTGAGGTATGAGGGAGACTTAGTGTTTACTATGTCTTTCTATACGTTAAAAAAACTGGGGTTGTTTTTCGTTATTTTTTTTTTTATTTGAGACAGAGTCTGGCTCTGTCACCCAGTCTGGAGTGCAGTGGCGCGATCTTGGCTCACTGCAACCTCAGCCTCCCAGGCTCAAGCAATTGTTGTTGTGCCTCATTTTCCCGAGTAGCTGGGATTACAGGCACATGCCACCATGCCCAACTAATTTTTTACAGGGTTTCACCATGTTGGCTGGGCAGGTCTCGAACTCATGGCTTCAAATGATCCGCCCACCCTGGCCCCTCAAAGTGCTGAGATTACAGGCATGAGTCACTGCGCCCGGTCAAAAAAGTAGTTGTTTTTTTTTTAACCATGTGCCCACATTACTCTTTAAAAAACTTCATTAAGTATAATGTAGACAAGAAAAGTGCACGTAAGTGTACCGTTTGATAAATTTTCACACACCGATGTAACTAACATAGAAACATTACCAGTGCCCCTGAAACCCTTCTCCCTCCCATTCCAATATTACTGCCCCAAAGGGATTATCTTTTCATTTTAATGGAATATTTAGATATATTTCTTTCAATGCCTAGACCTAATCATTATCTGTATTATTCCTCAAAACTGGACAAAGGGCAGAATGTTTTTAATTCTCTATCTCTTCTTCATCTCCCATAAAATATTATCTGAGAATTCAATTCTCTATTGCTACTACTTTTAAAACATTAAGAACAGCTTGTTTAGATTAAGCATTTTCCTGGCTTACCTGCTTCTTATATCTCCTGTCTTTTTATAGGCGTCTGTAGTCATGTTTGATATTCTTTTCAGTTGTCCTCTTTCTCATCCCCCTTTCTATCATCTGGAAATTTTCTACCTCATAATCTAAACCGTGCTTACCATGAGAGAATTTGGAAGTAACAGAGATTTGCTTTCCCCGGCTGCCTTGCAGCATGGGCCAGGTCTGCCAGTCAGATACACTCTCCCTAAGGAAGCCAAAATCTGTCTTGATGATGGGAGATGCCAGAGCTGGCAGCTGCTTCTGGTCTCCAGAGGCAACAGGGGTGGTTGTTCTAGTGGGAGTAGCCACGCAATATGTTTCTGAGATATTTCCATGGTTATGTGTTCAGAACTTGCATCCATAGTCCATTTTACTGCTTTAGAAAATTTCCATTGTATAAATACAGTGTAATTCATTTTTCCATTTTGCTACTTAGGAACATTTCAGTCGTTTCTTTTTTTTTTTTTTTTTTTGAGACGAAGTCTCACTCCGTCACCCAGGCTGGAGTGCAGTGGCACAATCTCAGCTCACTGCAAACTCCGTCTCCTGGGTTTAAGCAATTCTCTGCCTCAGCCTCCTGAGTAGTTGAGATTACAGGCGTGTGCCACCATGCCCAACTAATTTTTGTAGGTTTTGTTTTTTAATTACAAAAAGAATGCGACTTCCAACAAACTTCAAACACATTTCTTGGTGCACATGGGCAAGGGATTCTCTCTTGCACACTAAATATTCATACCCTATCCCATCCCAGAAAACTAAATCATAAGATATAGGAGTGCAGTCATAAAACTGATAAAAATTAGATTATCCATATAAGATACATATCTGACATCATCATCATCATCATTAGAATTCTAGACTAATCCACTGAAATCTAGTTCCCCTGCCACCACTGATCTTGTAGTAGGGAGGGAATATGTATCCTGTATCAATTTCAGCAGTGTCTATTCTCATCTCTTTTGGAGAATCTGAGAGATTTCTGGTATTATCCTCTTGACCAGTCTTCTCCAGTGACCTGCCCTGGAAAGAACCTAATGCCCTTTTGCACACTCAAGAATTAATACAGCACTGTGAGTTGCCTTTGCTCAACATAAAAGGCATTTGAACAGGATGTAAATAATGCTTTAGCACAAATAGAGAAGTTTCTAGTAGTTGAATTTTATGACTCATTGTCTGAAATAGTTGAAGGGATGGTGGGTTTTCTTCCTTCCTTCCTTCCTTCCATGCTTCCTTCCTTCCTTCCTTCCTTCTCTTCCCTCCCCTCCCCTCCCTTCCCTTCCCTTTTCTTCCTTCCTTTCCTTCCTTTCTTCCCTCCCTCCTTCATAAATGATACCATCTATGCAGCCACCTTCTACAGATCAGGCATGCATTCCCTGAGAGCATTCTGAAAAAATGGATGCTTTGGGCTCATTTGCATTTCTAATGGAAAAGAGGCAAGACATTCCAGGAGCTGAATCCTAGCACACTTTGGGCTTGGGAAAGTGCTTCAGGCAATAGTATTTTTTTCAATTCTGTATTGGGAAAAACCTAAAATGTACTTAGCCAAACACCCTGAGCCCTGAGGCACTTGAAGCAAAATGTAATCCATATGTTTCTGATTCATTTCACTCACCTCAAAGGCTTTCAGAGTGGGGTTTCACTGCTAAGAAGTTTTCAAACTGTTCAACTTTTCCCTTTCACCACAACAAAAAGAATTCATCTATTGAACCCATTTCCCAAAAGATAGTAACATACAGGCTTAGTATTTAGTATTCTAATTTCTAGGATCCCACATGCAACTGAATATACTCTGCATCCTTAAAAATCTGTCTTTTTTTGTGGTTTAAAATAGAAGCACCATAACATTTTATTATTATTATCATTATTATTTTTTTTTTTATTGAGACAGAGTCTCACTCTGTCACCCAGGCTGGAATGCAGTGGGATGATCTTGGCTCACTGCAACCTCCGCCTCCTGGGTTCAAGCCTCAGCCTCCTGGGTAGCTGGGATTACAGGCATGCACCACCACGCCCAGCTAATTTTTGTATTTTTAGTAGAGATGGGGTTTCATCATGTTGTCCACACTAGTCTCAAACTCCTGACCTCAAAGGATCCTGCCCACCTCGGCCTCCCGACGTGCTGGGATTACAGGTGTGAGCCACTGCACCCGGCCCACCATAACATCTTAATAACAAGCTGCAAAAAGGGAGAGGAAATGTTATGCTAAGGAATGATTTTGTTTTAAAGATACAGAGGTTCTCAAGGTTAGAAGGGAGCTGAAATTCCATAATTTAATTTGGTCCAATTTCCAACTCACTTATATGATGTTGATTATACTTAATATTTTTCTCTTATATGCAAAATATTTCTTTTCTTTTTTCCTCCCTCCTTTCCTCCATCGCCCCCTCCTTCCTTTGACACAAAAATTTTGCAATTATACATTCTAGGCAGAAAACATTTTGGTTTCTTATTAGAGCATTTTACAGATAATCTGATCTCTTGTTTGTTCCTCTTAATTGGAAAAGGTAGTCTCTGTACACATAAGGAGTAAAGTCTAAGGGGGTGTACAGAGCAGAGCAGATCCCCAAAATATGTTAGCTGTTCAGGGAAGTGAACAGAAATAGCACAGAGGATAAGCAAGAAGGCCCAGGATGGGACTTGAATTTAAGGAGGAATCTGGTAAATATATTTAGAGAATCCAAACTCCGTGCATGAGATTGCTGAGTGCTAATCCCAGGGCAGAAACTGCTTGCTTTCTGGCCCATTTTATATAATCTGCTACATATATTTTATAAAAACTCTTTATATTTGCCATTTCTTTTAATAAAGAATAGCCAGGAGAGAGTGTTCAACTGTCTACTCTTCCATCTGCATGCACAGTTAGAACATTTTGATTAAACTGCCTAGTCATTTCACACAGTGAGACATTTTTCGTCAGATAACTAAACTAGTTAATTCTGTCAGCATGCTTGAGTTTTTTTTTGTTTTTTTTTTTTTTTTTTTTTTTAATGACACCGAGTCTTGCTCCATTGCCCAGGCTGGAGTGCAGTGGTACAATCTCGGCTCACTGCAACATCTGCTTCCCGGGTTCAAGTGATTCTCCTGTCTCAGCCTCCCGAGTAGCTGGGACTACAGGTGCGTGCCACCATGCCCGGCTAAGTTTTTGTATTGTTAGTACAGACAGGGTTTCACCGTGTTAGCCAGGATGGTCTCCATCTCCTGACCTCATGATAGGCCCGCCTCGGTCTCCCAAAGTGTTGGGATTACAGGCGTGAGCCACCACGCCCAGCCCTGAATTGAATTTCAACTGAATTCGAGCCTGACAAGTTAATCGAACTAGTTATAGCTTAAGTAAAATTATTCTAGTGAGCACTGTCCTTGAATTTTTTTGAATTGACAAAATTTATATTACTGACCTGAATTTTCAAGTTGCTCAGGTCTAATACTTTTCCATTCTATCTAGAGCCCTTATGACATATGGTAAATGAAATGCAATTTTCCCCAGTAGCTTATTAAAAAAAAGACTAAAAATAGCTTTTACTTCACCTGCAAAACTTTGCTATCCAGATTTTCCATTATGAAGAGGAAACTAGTCAATAAAGAATAGGACAAAAAAGCTGTGGAGAGGAAAAAGTTAAAAAGAAATACCAGTGGTTGTCTTTTTTTTTTTTTTTTTTTTTTTGACACAGTCTTGCTCTGTCACCCATTCTGGAGTGCAATGTTGTGATCTCGGCTCACTGCAAGCTCCACCTCCTGGGTTCAAGCAGTTCTCCTGCCTCATCATCCTGAGTAGCTGGGATTATAGGTGCGCACACCACCACAGCCTGCTAATCTTTGTATTTTCAGTAGAAATGGGGTTTCTACATGTTGGCCAGGCTGGTCTCGAACTCCTGACCTCAGGTGATCTGCCCACCTTGGCCTCCCAAAGTGCTGGGATTATAGGCGTGAGCCACCGTGCCTGGCCACCAGTGATTCTTTTATATCGAAGCCCAAACTCTGTCCTGGAGTGATCCATTTCCAGTGTCTGTAGTTTACGGGAAGGCAGCCTTGGGAGGAAAGTGTCCCCTTCCCAGGTTCCCTGTTCTAACCCCGAAGAATGTATGGCACTTATGTAGCGTTTCCAGTGTTTCATACTGGAATAGTGTTTATAGACATACATACTGTTTTCTGCATGACATTCTCTTGTCTTATTATGCAAAATATATATATTTAGTTTAAAACTAGTTGACTAGGGTTATATAGAAATGCTTTGAAATATTCCTGAAAAATTACTCCATTTACAAAATCATATTCATGGGTTGCTAGATGTTAATTTAATGAGAAGCTGCTCTTTTTCTCCTATGTAGCCAAATTTAGGATCTGACTAAATTTTACACCACTTTTTTCAGTTAGTACCCAATTCCCTTTCTATTCTACACCCATCCCAATACATTTAGTTTCATAAAAATATTTAGGTTCTCACTGAGGAATTCCAGGCCCTGGGGTACATTTCTAGAACTATCTGCCCCTACAAGACCTTGCCCAGCCACACTGGTGGATTCTCTGTTCTGGGCATGAGTGTATCAGCCTCTGCGTTTCTCACCCCTCACCCATTGCTGAGGTTGTCTCCTCCATTTGGCCTCTCCTTCCTCTCCCCTTTACTTATATGACTTATCCATCTTTGAGACCTTCATGTTCTACTTCATCAAGATGGAAGCTTTTTCTTGTCTATTGGATCCACAAATTTCTCCCTTTCCTGAAATAGATCAGCACCTTTCCTTTTGTGCCCCTCATCTGGTAATGACGTGCTATCCATTATTACTAGACATGATTACATACATTTTGAATCTTTACCCTTTTCTTCCAACTAGATTGAAGTTCATTGAAGAAAGAATAAGTGCCGTATGTTTTCGATAAATACATGGTAACAAACTCAAGTTTTTTTTTAACATCATTATCACCAACATCACCATTATCATCATCACCATCATGTATTATTAATAATACCTTACATTTGTTTTAACTTTTGTTTTAGGTCGGGGGGTAACATGTGAAGGTTATATAGGTAAATTGCATGTCAAGAGAGTGTGTTATACAGATTATCTTGTTACCCAGGTGCTAAGACTAGTACCCAATAGTTATTTTTTCTGCTCCCCTCCCTCCTCCCATTCTCCCCCATCAAGTAAGCCCCGGTGTCTGTAGTTCCCTTCTTTGTGTTCATGAGTTCTCATCATTTAACTCCCATTTATAAGTGAGAACATGCAGTATTTGGTTTTGTTTCTGTGTTAGTTTGCTAAGGATAATAGCCTCCAGCTCCATTCATGTTCCTTCAAAAGAATACGATCCCATTCTTTTTCATGGCTGTATCGTATTCCGTGGTGTATATTTACCACATTTTTTAAAAAATCCAATCTGTCACTGATTGGTATTTAGGTTGATACCATGTATTTACTATTGTGAATAGTGCTGCAGTGAACATTTACATTCATGTGTCTTTATGGTAGAATGCTTTCTATTCCTTTGGGTATATATCCAATAATGGGATTGCTGAATGGTAGTTCTGTTTTTAGCTCTTTGAGAAATTGCCATACTGCTTTCCACAGTGGTTGAACTAATTTGCACTCTCACCAACAGTATATATGTGTTCCCTTTTCTCTACAACCTCACCAGCATCAATTATTTTTTGACTTTTTAATAGCCATTCTGACAGGTGTGAGATGGTATCTCATTGTGGTTTTGATTTGCATTTCTCTCAGATCAGTGATGTTGAACTTCTTCCATATGCTTGTTGGCTGTATGTATGTCTTCTTCAGAAAAGTGTCGGCTCATGTCTTTTGCTCACTTTTTAATGGGGTCATTTTTTTCTTGTACATTTGTTTAAGTTCCTTAAAGATGCTGGATATTAGACCTTTGACAGATGCATAGCTTGAAAATATTTTCTCCCATTCTGAAGGCTGTTTACTCTGTTGATACTTTCTTTTGTTGTGCAGAAGCTCTTTAGTTTAACTGGATCCCATTCGTCAATTTTTGCTTTTGTTGTGATTGTGTTGTGATTGCTTTTGGCATGTTTGTCATAAAATCTTTGCCTGTTCCTATGTCCAGGATGTTATTGCCTACGTTGTCTTCCAGGGTTTTCATACTTGTGGATTTTATATGTAAGTCTTTAATCCATCATGAGTTGATTTTTGTATATGGTATAAGAAAGGTGTCCAGTTTCAATCTTCTGCATGTGGCTAGCCAGTTATCCCAGTACCATTTATTGAATAGGGAATCCTTTCTCCATTGCTTGTTTTTGTCAGCTTTGTTAAGATCAGATGGTTGTAGGTGTGTGGCCTTATTTCTTGGCTCTCTATTCTGTTTCATTCATCTATGTGTCTGTTTTTGTACCAGTATCATGCTGTTTTGGTTATTGTAGCATCGCATTATAGTCTGAAGTCAGGTAGCGTGATGCCTCCAGCTTTGCTCTTTTTGCTTAAGTTGCCTTGGCTATTTGGGCTCTTTTTTGTTTCCATATGAATTTTAAAATAATTTTTTCTATTTCTGTGAAGAATGTCATTGGTAGTTTGCTAGAAATAGCATTGAATCTATAAATTACTTTGGGTAGTATGGGCATTTTAATGATATTGATTCTTCCTATCCGTGACCATGGGATGTTTTTCCTTTTGTTTGTGTCATCTCTATTTCTTTGAGCAGTATTTTGTAATTCTCATTGTAGAGATATTTTGCCACCCTGGTTAGCTGTATTCCTATTTTTTTTGTAGCAATTTTGAATGGGATTATATTCCTGATTTGGCTCTCAGCTTGGCTGTTGTTTGTATATAGGAATGCTAGTGAATTTGTACATTAAATTTTGGATCCTGAAACTTTGTTGAAGTTGTTTATCAGCTGAAGGAGCTTTTGGGCCAAGACGATGGGGTTTTCTAGAAATAGAATCATGTCACCTACAAACAGGAATAGTTTGACCTCTTCTCTTCCTATTTGGATACTCTTTATTCTTTCTCTTGCCTGATTTCTGTGGGCAGGACTTATAATTCTATGTTGAACAGGAATGACGAGAGAGGGCATCCTTGTCATATAGTTTTCAATAGTGCCTTATATCTGAATGGTGATATACATATCATTATATTAGAACCATGTAAAATGAGTGTGCTACTCATTCTCACAATACAGTTTTGAAACAGTTATGACAAAATTATGTCCATTTCACAGAGGAGGAAACAAAAACCTTGTGACTTATGCAATTTCATATTGTAAGTGTCAGAGACAGAATCAAAGACTAATTTTTTGGGGGGTGGGGGAAGGGATATTAAGATAAATCACAACTTATTTTGACTCCAAGATAAATTTGATAAAAGGAAGCTATTTTAAAATCACTAAATGAAGATGTACACACCTTCCTAGTTGAAAACTATTATGCGCTAAGCATATGCTCTCCATTATCAAAGCATTTACCCATATGATACCATGTAATCCTCATAAACTTCCTAAGAAGTAAATATCACCCACTTTTACAGCCGAGGAAACTGAGGTTTATGAATTTTAACTCACCTGAAATCACACAACAGAAAGTGATAGTCTAGAGTAATCTTAGAGGGCCTGATTCCAAAACACACCCTCCTTCTATTACATTATGCTGCTTTGCTAGAACCCTAGAGCAAAAGGAAAAGGAAGAAAAAAACCTTATAACTGTGCAGACTATCTGCTCAGAGATAATACAGATATTCCTACATTGAAAAGTAGTTTCATAATCTATCTCAGTTACAGATTCATTGATGTATTTTTGTTTGTCATGTTTTTCTCACTAATTTTAATCGATTTTGATACCTATTTGCTTTATACTATCTATGCTTTGAAAAGAATAGATTTGAGACTTCTGCTTTCAGCTACAATGGTGTAAAGATAAAGACAGAGTTAAAAATTCATCTTGTAAATCCTAGAGCAAGTGCTAAAATAAAAAAAAAAAGAACAAAGAGTTACAACTAATTAGCCAATAGTGGAAACGAAATGGAATTATTAAACAACTCTATTAGTACAGAAGAATTAAGGAAAAGAAGAAAGGGACAAAGAACAAATGGGATAACTCAGAAACAAACAATGAAATATTAGATTAAATCTAAACACATTACTAATTTTATTAAATGTAAATGCTCAAAATACTCCAGCTGAAAGACAGAGTTTGTCAGACTGGATAAAAAAGCAATTATATGTGGTCTAAAGAAATGTAATTAAATATAAAGATACAGTTTAAAAGTAAAAAATGAAAATGATATGAGGAAATTATTTATATTTATATTTTTTGTATTTTTTTTTTCTGGCTTTATTTCCCATTCTCTGGGCCTGCTCTGTTTTTCAGTCATGTAGTTTCATGGGAGTAGTAAAGGACCAAAAATATTATCCAGACCTTCCGTTTAGTTATTAACCAATCATCTGCCACTTAATGAAACTAAGAAGGAAAAAACCTGCTAGCTGTCCAGTGTTGAACAGGTATTGATTTTTCTTCTAGGGAAACAAGGAAATACATATTTATATAGGTATGTTTCATTTTTAAATTTAAACAAATTGTTTTTGAATAATTACAATGATGGGTGTTCACTGCAGAAAATCTGAATATCTTGATAAACACAAATAAGAAATTAAAGTTATCCAATATTATGCCACTTATATTTCACACATTTCCTTTTTACCAAAGTCAAGCATGTTTTACAAAAAGGAGACAAAATTTATTTCAACTTTAAAACACATTGTGTATATCTTTTCATGTCAATATATCTTCTAAAATTCTAATGATTATTATTCTCTCATATGGTATATTGTAATTTATCACAATAATTATAGCTAATGTGTATTGAACACTTACTGCCCGGCAACATGCTGAGCTTTACATTATTTATTTGGTCCCTATCACTGTATATCTATGTGAGTAACATGAGTTGCCATGACAATGTTCTTTTATATTGTAATTAGGCCAAGTTCTCTTGTATTATAGGAAATGTTAAATTTTCCTTTGGAATTGGCTTGGCCCAATTGGCTACTCCTTCTACCTCTAAAATGTTGGATCTTTCTATTTCTAGTTCATGTGTCCACCCAATACAGCATTTCACCTATTGAATGTATCCATGACAGTGTGTCCCTCAGTTGCAAAACAAATTGAATTTTACACATTGATATAAACTTAGTGAATGCTGTGAGTGCTTCCGCATTACACTGTAGTACCTCCTAAACTCTTACATCATGTCACTAATTTGTGTCCACATTTTTTGCTATTTTTGGCAATGCTGTGATGAACATCCTTGTGGGTATACAAGTAAATTGTGTTATACTCATGCCATGACTTTCCTGATGTCCAGATGTTCTCACTCCCTCTCAAGACCTGAACTATGCACTAAGATACTCTATTTGGTGCTGAGTATAAGTCTAATTCAGTGGTGTGTGAGATCGACTTCTGTTAACTTGTAAGAGTTGATGGTGTGCATCTTTTTTTACACTTAGCATTGAGCGAAATCACATTGAAATCAGCCATGGGGGTGTATTTACACTCCAGAAATCAGCAAACACTGTAAGTCAGGAAACTTTCTTTCTTTGGAGGGCAGATTGTGAAACATTTACTAGCACATCCCTGGCTTCATTGATGAGTTGATACAGGTATCTTGTATGCAGCACTACACAGTGACTCAGTTGGCATAATTCTTAATCAATATAGTGTTGTCCACCAGCCAAGAAGTCTGCAACACAGCAGTGATGAATATATAGTGTGGCGCAAGGTCACACAGCCAGTAAGTGGCAGAATCAGAATTCTAACACCAGATGTTCCCTGTCTACAAAGGCATATGTTCCTCTGCTCCATCTTTACTGTTTCAGGAAAGGGTAGGGCCCGGAGACAGACAGCCTGGCTTTGTCTCTTGACACTACGACTGTGGGTGGGTTATTAGCTTCTGTATCCCTAACTTTCCTCGTCTGCAGAAAGGGAACTAGAGTAGTACCTATGTAATTGTGATACCGTGAGGGCTAAATGAAGTAATGAATCCAAGGAACTTAGCACAACACTGGGCACATAATAAATGCTCAATAAATATTAATTATTTTTAATATGTATATTTTAAAGCACACAGTGTAATAAAACTGATATCATCTGGAATTAATCTATCTTTTATCCCACAATGTTCGTTTTAAGGTTAGGAATGTTTGACAGTTTTGTTTTTAAAAAGATTTAAAATTGAATTGAGCACATAAATTCTTTTTTTGAAGTTAATACATATTTCACCTATAGTTCCATTATGAAACAATTATTTACCAGTTCGCTTAGTTGATCAAGTACCCTTAAAAGAAATATGTGGATTCATAGGAGTCTTTGGATATCTGGAGAAGTGATTTCCTTTAGAAAAGTTGCCATGCCATGACTTGAATACTTAATTTTGGTTAATCATTAGAAATCTGGTTGTTGCTATCTTGGACAAACATAATCCCCTTAGACATCTCTTTATGAGGAAGCTGTCCTTTGGACATAATGTTCCTGTCATTTGAAAGAACACCTCTTGATAAGTGGAAATATTAACTTTCAGCAGAGAATCTTCTTCTACCAAATTTATTCAAAATGAGTTTAATATTCTCTTTCAATTCCTCTGTCAATTGATGGTGAGGAAGAAGTTCTGGGGTCATGATTATCTATAAAACAAAGATAGGAACAGATTGAATAGAACAGTGCCTGGCCTATTGTAACCTCTGATACATATTGAATGAATAATGAATCAATCTGAAGTGGAGGTTGTGATGCGCGCGCACACACACACACACACACACACACACACCCCTATAAGCACCTTATATATAATACACACACACAAAGATAACAACTGAAAAAAACCATAAAATCTAATCTGAAATAAAAGCTGTCATGTAGATCATCCATGCATTTCTCATGTTTTATGGGAGCAGTGTTTTGACGGATGGCTTTTTGTAATGTGCCTGGTACTTCTCTTGAAGTTATCTGGCAGCCCTGACACTGAACACTGAGTAAAGAGAGCACTGACCCAAGAGGGCTTCGTGGAGAGGCAGAACTGGCAGTCAATGGTCAAACCTGACAGCAAAGAGCCAATCCTTTTAGCCATGTTTTCCTCAGCTGATACCCTAGACTGTGATGAGAAAGTCTGAAAACAGATCCAACATTTGAAGTGTCCTTATTATTTTTGCTCGTTTTCTAGAATTTGGATTTCAATGGCATTTCCTCTGATGCTATGGTGAAACTTTAAGGCAGTTTTTAGTTTTCTGTGGAGTTTTGACAACTGAAGCCAATTTCTCCCAGTGCAAACATAACTTGCCTCTCAGCTCTGCCCCAGGTTGAAAATGTCAGCCACTGAGAGGCCTACCCAGGCTGCTGATGGCCAGGGGCCAATCAGAAAGACACTTTTTCTCTCCCAGAGTTCCCCTCAGAGAATGTTTGCCGCCCCATTTTCTACAGGGATCAAACAATGACAAGTGAACAGTATGAAGTGGTAAGTCAAAGTCCCCTAAATTCTAACAAGCCCAGCCCGACAGAGACCTCCAATGGCTCAAAGACACATGCTCTTCTCACTACCCTGTTCTCTGTTTCTGTCAGGCCAAATGGACTAGTGAAGGAAGGAAGATAGCAGACCTCTCCAGCTAGTTCAGTCAAGGAAGAGAAGAAAGATATTTTGTGTATCAAGAAACATCAATTCTCATCCTGCCTCTGCCATCACTCGTCAAAGGAAGTGACTGCCTGGTCCCTAGTCTCCTCAGCTATCCAAAAAAGATGTGAACCACGTGATCTTGAAGGCTTTCCAAACCTGCTCTTTTAACATTTTTAAGGATCCTACATCTATGGAGTGTTTACTGAGTGCTTTGGATTGTCCTAACTTCTTCATATGCATCGCCTCACTTTGTTTTCACAACAGCCCGTTCCACTGATATTATTTTCCTTTTGCAGAGGAGAAAATTGGAGCTCAGAAAGGTTAGGCAACTTGGTCAAGCTCATGAATAGGTATTAGGGCAAGGATTCAACCCCAAGCCAGCCTGTTCCAAATCCCACATGCTTACTCCCTACCCTGAGCTCTGTCTGACACACCCTTGATATTTCTACAGCATTCAAAAGTATCTTAAAGTACAGTCAGATCAAAGTCTCAGGAGATCCTCTGGACACTCCTCTAAATGTCGCTTTTACAATTTTCCATCCTCCCATCCATGGGTATTAAGAGCCCAGTTCTATATTGTGTTTAATGGCAAACGTCCATGCAACACAAAGAAGCTGCAGGATCTTATCTGGTCACTTCATTTGTGCAAGCAAGGCTGTATGGAGTCCGGATGTCTGACTCATCCATCAGCCCTGGAATCTCTTTCAAAATGTACTGATCTCCTGACAGGAATGGGCAATGGCTTCACAGAAAATGGAAAGCTCTGAACTTTTGCCAAAATCTGAAACCCAAATGAAACCCAACTGCTTACACTGAGGATGGGTAATAACTCTGTTCTCCTGGCTCCTGCAAAGTCAAAGACGTCTCTCCTTCCAGTGCTCCAGGCTTAATGAATGACAAATTAAAGTGAGCCAAACATGTACCTAGCAAGGAGGGCTGCCAGAGACGGATTTCTGATCTAATAGCCTTAGGATTTTCTCTGACATGGTTAAGCCTGAGACAGTTCATTTAGAGGAAAAGCAGTTAAAGGAAATCTGATAGAAATCTTCCATTACTGCTAAGGCAGAGGTTTTTACGAGTCAGAATGGGGAAACAGGGAGAATATGTGCTTTGGTTTCTGTGGGCCCCTGGTACGAATTCTAATTCTTCCACTTAACTGTGTGACCTTAGGCAAGTTAGATAGACTCTCTGAGCCCTAATTTCTTTATATAAAAAACTGAGATAATATTATTTGCCACATAGATTTGTCATGAGGATTAAGCGCATCAATTATGTAATGTATCTGGTGGCACATAGTAAAAACTTAATATGTTTGTTACTCCCAAATTTCACAAAATTATGAAACTTTAGAGTAAAAAGAGACTCATGACATTAAGTTCAGACACTTGATATTACAAATTAGAAAGGTGAATTCCCAGGGACTTAAAATCCAAAAATCATATAATTAATGGTATTCTAGTCCATTCTATCTGTAGCTATCTGACATTTTACAGCTTCTTCATTTAAACATATACTTATCCATCAATCAACACAATTTATGGAGTGTCTTGTATGCACTCAGCACCATGTTAAGCAGTGTGAAGGATTAGAAAAAAGCATCTCAGGCCTCATCAACAACAGGTGTAGAGACCCTGCTGTGTACAGTGTTCTGAGCTTCAGGCCTGGGGATGATAAATTAAGTGTAAGACATGGTACATGGCCCTAAGGGAAGTCACCATTTAGTTAAGAAAGCACTATCTCACACAGAACAAGTAGAGAGCCATGTAAGGTGTCCTGTATAAATGCAAATAGTATGGTTTACATGTGGAGCTAGGAGAAGAAAATAAGTAAGCACTGGAGGACTTGGGAAAGGCTTCCTGGCGTTGTCTAGCATTGAAGGATTATCTTCCTAAAGAGTCTACAGATCGTCCCTGACTTAGGTTGGTTCAACTTAAATGGAATGAAAACAATAGACATTCAGTACACTTCTTGATGTATGAAGGAACTATGTGCAGATAAACCCACAGCAAGTTGAAAATATCGTTGGAAGTGCATATAAATAAGTAAGTTTATTGGGATATGACCCCATTGCAGTTGAGGAGCATCTGTTCTTTTAATGTCAAAGAGAGGCTCGAAGAGCTCCTTGTGCTCCTGGGAAGATGACCACTGAGCCTCTTTCTACCTACCTTTGCCTAACCCACCAACCACTGAACAATGAGCCCCTGCAACTGCCTGAGAGGACAGTCTCTGGACAAAGGCTATAATTAGAATAGATTCTTCACCTCCCCTTAAGAGACAATAAGGAAACCATTACACTTTATATCCTTGGGAACCTTCACTTCCACAGAAGTCTGTGCCTCCCAGCTTCAAATTCTTAGACTCCCTCTTCAAATGGACCCTTTGGACTCTTCTTGTACCCTACAACTGTATACATCTTCTGATCTGTGGAACCAGGGTCTGGCATAAATGAAATCTCCTCTTTGTACTCTGAATAATTAATCCACTTTCTTGCTGATGCCTGGTTCTCCCCTCTGGACCTTGCCTCCGTGCCAACCGCCACTACTAGGAGAAGTTCCTTTTTCTCTTACTTCCTATATACTACAGGCCCTGGGGTGAGGCGGGGTCCTCCTTGCTCATCATTGCTGCTTCCAGGCACCATCCCACCATTAAAAATGCTCTTTTAAATACATGTCATCAAACTACACCACTCACACCTTTTAATTGTAATGACTTCCTCTCTTGTAAGCTTGATTTATTTCATTAAAACTATGAGCCCCAAGTTTATCATGTTTCTTTCTAACACAACTTCTGTAACCACTCTTAGATACTGGTGACCTCAGTATCTATTGTATGTTTCTACATTTAACCTCACCAACCTATTCTCATGGTCAAATCCTAAACCTTATAATTTGAATAATGGTACCAGCTTGGAAAACTCAATTTCAGACATCTCAGCCTCACACCACCCCCGTTAGTCTTTGTAGCTTAATTTCTTTGATATGCCCATTTCAGTCATTTTTCACTGCCCTGAACCTCTAATCTGTTGATCCAACCCCTTGCCCGTAACTATCCACATGCCCTCCCATCTCTTCTTACCTAACTTAGGTGCCATGACCCATCACTCCCTTGCACATTGCCTCATGATCTACCCTTTGCCCTTCTCTCCGTTTTCTTACTTACCTGGAAAATCCTCACCTCTGGTTAAATTTGATGTCCACACTCCATATCTGAATCTGAGAAACTGAACATGGCTGGAGGAAAAAACAGTTGATTGGTCACACTTTAAATGTATGACCACAACTTTTACATATTTCCTTAGTCAATTCACGCTTTGTCTCACGTAGATAACTATTTTATACCTTTTCCAGTTTCCTTACATCTTCCTCACCCTATCCCATCCTTAGGCTTAGCAGATGGCTTTCCCTCTTATATCAGTGAGAAAGATATTTAATTAAAGAAAACTTTCTCTATCTTCCCATGCTTTCAAGTCTAGACACTCTGCTCAGCCCCAGATCATATGCCTACTTGTCAGCTCGAAGATATTGCTTCTGCGATTGCTCATATTCTCTCCTAACTAAAATTTCCCCTATATCCTGGATTTTTCTCTTAGGCAAACCATTGTGGTTCCATATTTGCAATCTCAAACCAACCATAATCCCTTTGAGTACAAATCCCCTTCATTTACAGTTTTATTTGTAGCAAACCTCTGAAAGAGTGATCTACAGTGACCATCCATCTCCTCTCCAGCACCTCCCATTCTATCTTGAGTCTCCTCGCCTCAGGTCTTTGTTCCTACCACCCACTGAAGTCCTCTTGCCAAGGCCCTGATGTTGTTCAAATCTAATGATTAATTCTCAGTGCCCACACGATTTTCTTGAAGTGTTCTTAAGAATTTCCCTTGCTGAAATATTCTGGGATATCTACTCTTCTGCTTTTTCTCCTACTTTACTAGCTACTGATCTCACTTATTTAGCTAAATTCTCCTTTTTTCATTTTCCAGATATTTCCAAATATTCGAGTGTACTTGGGCTCACACTTCAGGTCACCTTTCTTTCTAGCTCCTGTCCCTAGGTATTCTTGTCAAGTCATCTTTTTTTTCAGTGCCATTATTTAAACATACTAGTGACTCCCAATTTTATAGATTCAGACCTCACCTCAACCCCAAGTTCCAGACTTGTATATACAACAGCCTACCAGCTGATTGTCTAATAGCCATTACAAACTTAACATGAAAATGAATCTCTTGATACCCTCTCCCAGACCCTAATTGCCTTCTCCCTTAGTCCTCTCCAATTCAGTCATAGGCACCACCGCTCACCCAGTTGCTCAGGACAAAAGCCTTGGAAACATCCTTAATACCTCTCTTTGCTTTACACTCTGCCTCCCTACACACAAATCCAGCTCATCTGACATGTTGCAGGTTCTATTTTCAAAAAATATTTCCTAACTTCCAGATTTTGCTTCTCTTAATATAGTATCTAGATTTCCAGACCAAGCCTACCCTTAAAAACATACAAATGCTTGTTTAAAAACGTTTTAAACTCTTTTTTGAGACTAAGGTCAAAATCTAGGTGAAGGTAGGAATTCAGACAGATAATCATTGCACTTCGGAACTTGTGCCCTGGAGTATTTAATAAAACTGAAGAACTTGAGTTTCATATTTTATAGCCTACGCCTCTATATGAAGAGATTGATAGCAGAGCTTTCTGCCACAAAGCTAAGACCATTAAGAGTTATGTCTTTCATGGAAGAGACAACCAAAAGTAAATCCACTTCACTTTCAAACCTCAACCAACTGCAAGAAAAGTTGCACTGATGCTGAGCAATGATGAAAAAAGCTCCTGAGAAGCTGTGACCATGAGTCACTCCTAAAATTTATTTGTAGCCCAAATTTACATTATCTAGATGGTTTTAAATTATTAAGCTGTGAATTTAGCTGAAAGGAGACCTAGGTGGTAGATATTCCAGGCCCCTGTAAGAAGCAGATACAAATTCTCTATGGAAAAATTGATCTTTTGTCCTAAGCCTCAAAGGAGTCCTACACATAATTTTCTTGACAAATGGTAATATCACAGTAAAGAAAAAGAGACTTTGAATACTGGAATTGTCACACACAGAATTAATATAGCCATGTTTACTATGTTTAATATACATATTAATTTTCTTGACTAGGAAACTCTAAAGAATAGTCAAGCAGATTTTCAACGAACAAAATTAAGCCTCCAGAAATAAAAAATATAATCATTGAAAATAAATGTTAATTAAATGGTTAAACACCAAATTAGAAGCTGTTGAATAAATAATTAATAAACTGAATTATATGTTTGAAGAAATAATTTAGACTGTAACACAGAAAGACAAATAGAAAGTATGAAATAAGCTTAAGAAAAGCAAAAAATTGTGTGAAAATATTGAACATCCAACTAAATGAATTCCAGAAATAAGGGAGAGAGGACATTAGAAAGGGACATTATTAGATGAAGGAATAGTTGAGAAACTTTCAAAAGTGATAAACCCCACCAATCTACAGTTTCAAGAGACCTAATTAATCCCAAGTAGAATAAATAAAAAAATAAAATTCACATCTTGACACATAAACATGAAATGCAAAAGAAACAAATACAAAGAAAAGACTTTAGCAGCATCTAGGGGGAAAAGACAGGTTACCCTTAAACAGCAACAGTGACACTAACAACTGATTTTTCCACAACAGCAATGAAAGCTAGAAATTCTAGAGGATGTACTTCATGTACAAGGAAAATGATCCCAGATGCTAGTTCTGTGCTGCAGGAAGACATGAAAGGCAAAGTATACAGTGAATACATAGGTAAGTCTAATCATAACTATGTAGCAGCCACTCCTGTGCATTTGTTCAAGCTCTGTTTACTTTTCATTTTAGTTAGGCAGTGAGGCTACCTTTCTTAGGGTGCCTGGCAATTAGTTATAGGCATGTGACTGTCTTTTGGCCATTAGTGTCTGAGCAAAAGTAATGTGGGTTACTTCTGGAATAAAGAGGTAAAGAAATGATCGTGCCTTCTCCCATGGACTCTTCTCATTTGCTGGCTTAATGAAGAGTGTTCCAAGAACTAAATGAAGGTAGAGCCATAGGATGGAAGAAGCCTGGATCCCTGAATGGCCACAAAAAAGGCTGTTCAACCAGAAATATCCCCCATTGGAGTGAAGCATGAGTAAGAAATAAACTTCTATAATACAACCACCGAGATTCCAGGATTTCACTGTTTGAATCCCTAGCATTACCTAACTAACACATTTACTGAAGGGTTAAAATAAGGTTCTGAATCAGAACACACTATAACAATTGCCTGTAAGCTGGGGAGTAGGTATGAGTAAATATGAAACTTAACTCTTCTGAGATTCTTGATTTGTCCTAAGGGAAGGTAGAGGTATAAACTTTGACCTTCAATACATTACATATACATTACATATACATATTGTAATCTCCCAGGTGACCACTAAAGAAGAGAAGCATAGAACATAAATTCCAAAAGTGAGAAAAACTTGAATAAGTAAAAATAATGAAAAAGAAGGTCATAAAGAAGGGTCAAATAAAAAGCATAAAATAAGATGGTAAACATAAATATACAGGCAATTGCATTAAAGGTAAATAGACTAAATGTTTCCAATAAAAGATAAATCAGAATGGACTTTTAAAAGCAATTATATGGTAGTTACAAAATATACATCCACAGGAGAATAGTTCCAGGACCCCTAACCCATGGATACCAAAATCCACTGATACTCAAGTCTCATATAAAATCACCTAGTATTTACACATAACTATGCACATCCTTCCATATACTTGAAATAATTTCTAAATTACATATAACACCTAATACAATGTAAATGCTATATAAATAGTTGCTATGCTATTTTTTAAAATTTGTACTGTACTTTTGTTGTTGTATTGTTATTTTTTATTGCTTTTTCCTAAATATTTTCCATCCATGGATGGTTGAATCCACAGATGCAGAACCTGTAGATATGGAGGGCTGACTATATCAGACTATCAAGTGACATGTTCTTCTCATGAGGATAGCAGAAGCAACACAAGAGTGAGTAGAAGCACAGGATATCTCTAAGGTTAAAGTTTGGATGAAAGTGGCATACAGTCATTTTCACTGATGTTCTTTTGGTCACTAGTCACATAGACAAGCCCATTTGTCAGTGAGGTAGAGAAATATATACCACCTCAAGCAAAAAGAATTACAATGTCACATGGCAAAAGATATGGACATAGGGAAAAGTGAAAAGTTAGGAATAATAAGGCAATTTATCAGAAATAAAGAAAATTTCTTTTAACTGATAAATGATATCTACATAAAGTAAGCAAAAATCTACAACAAGTAACATACATAGCTATGACACTTGAACGGTTTCTCTTTGAGATAGGGAGAACATAAAGATGGCTCCATTACCATTTTTATTTGGCATTTTTGTTGAATATCAGTGACAAATCAATGTACGGAAATCATACACTAGCAGTCTACATACTAGCAACAAACACATTTTCAAAAGATACAGTTAATGCCTCAGCAATATAGAGTATACAGTTGACCCTTGAACAACATAGGGGTTAGGGGCACTGATCCCTCTGTGCAGTTGAAAATTTGTATATAATTTTGGTTCCCTCAAAACTTAACTACTAAGAGCCTACAGTTGCCTGGAAGCCTTACCAATAACATAAACAGTTGATTAACAAATATTTTATATGTTAACTATGTCATATACCATATTTTTACAGTAAAGTTAGAAGAAAAGAAAATATTAAGACAATCATAAGGAAGAGAAAATATATTTACTCTTCATTAAGTGGAAGTAGATCATCATAAAGCCCTTCATCGTCATCATCCTCATATTGAGTATCCTGAGGAGTTAGAAGAGAAAGAAGGGGGTTGGTCTTGCTCTCTCAAGAGTGGCAGAAGTGGAAGAAAAATCCACATATAAGTGGGCCCTACAATTCAAACCCGTGCTTTTGAAGACTCACCTGTGCTTAGAAATGTACATAATGCACGATGTTCAAGACCTTTCAGAGCAAATTATAAAACTTTATTGAAGAATAGAGAAGATCTAAATAGAGAAATATATGGCCTTTATGGATTGGGAACACTTAATACAGCAAAGATACCAATTCTTTCCCAAATTGATCTATACATTCAATGTATCCCAGTCAAAGTCCAGACAGGATTTTGGATTGAACTTAGAAGTAGATACCAAAATGTAGATGGCTGGGAACCATCTGTTATAGCTGTATGAACAGGGGACCATGGGGAATCAGAGAAGTAATTGATTTTCCTAACTGAAACTCAGACAGAAGGGCGAGGTAAATGGTGCCTTTGAATAGCTCCATAAATCCATACGGAAAGGGGGAAATAGGCTCTTAATGGTTGAGACAAAAAAATGGGGCAGGAGGTTGAGAATAAATTTTCCAGAGACTTTTGACAGCAAACTGGAATAAAAGTCATGAGTCATCTCAGCTGGAGTCTGAACTAAGATTTAAGTTAAGAAAGAGGCAATTTATTCAAGTCTAAGGTTATATTCAGGGCTAGGATTTATGCAAGAGGTCCAGGTATTTGATTTTTTAAAAATAGCTTTTATGAAATATACTTCAATGAACACTGAACACAGAACAATGTAGATGTAGCATTATATAGCTTCATATTTATATTTGGCTGTTTTAATTATGAGTTGTACTTTTGTAAGGAAAGACACAGATGCTTGTGTTGCCTTCTAAGTCATTGGTTCTGAACCTTGGCTTTCATTAGAAACAAGCAGGGAACTTTAAAAATCCTGATGCCCAGGCCACATCAGAACAATCAAATCAGAACCCCTGGGAGCGGGGCTGGAGCATCACCAGTTTGTAAAATTTTGCTTGTGATTCTAAGGTAGAGTCAATGTTGACAACCTCTGCTTTAAGTAAAACCAAGCCTTCATGGTTGGTGGCTCATTAAAGATACCAATTTTGAGAGCCCTCTCTAGGCAAATTAACCCAAAATTTCTGTGGATACAGCTTAGGGACTGTCATCTTCCCAAAGCTCTCCAGGTAATTCTAACTTGCTGCCAGGGTTGGGAACCACTGGTTTTAGGCCTTCTACTTGATCTTAGCCACCACTCTCAGCATTGCCAGTACCTACTGCTGATTTTCTATAACAGATGTCACTCTTATACATCTGGATAACTCTTTGAGTGGTGAAATGGCTAAGTCCAATTAAGAAACTTATCCAACATTTATTTACTGACTGTCAAATACACAAATAGCATTTGTCTTTGGATGAAAAGAAACCCTAAACAAATACATATTCTAGTTTTTGGTAAATTGTAGGTGGTCCCAGTACCACCAAACTCTGAAAAGACCCTAACAACATTAAGGATAATTTATTAAGATACAAGGCATGTATATCTTTTCTCCAACCCTCAAATACAGCCCAGTCATATGAACCATATAGCACCTCTCCCATTCTCACAGCTTGGGAAAAGGGGAGCAGGCAAGGGGGTGATAATAGAAGGCAACATCACACCAAATATTATAATAGTCCTGTCAGCCCTGTCGTACCTGAGAAGTGTAGTTCACACTCACAAGAGCAGTGTAGCAAGTTATGCTCCTCTGGCACCTCCTTGGCAGGCATGTAACTACTAAATGACTTAGCAAAATCTGGAGCTTAGAGGCCAGGGCACTCGTTTGCAGCTGAACACATTGGTAGGAATCATCTGTGGACCCCGTGGACACCACGGCTTTGAATGGTCTTTCTCCATGTGCCCCTTCACTGGATGCCAGTTCATAGGGAAAGCATGACCCCCAAAATCCTAAGGAACAAACTCTGTATTCTAAAACGTTTCATTATGCTTCTATTTTATAAAGTTCTTTTGCAGATATTATCTCATGCAAGATAGGTTGTCATTCTATTTCATTTTTATGTATTGCCTTCATGGGTTGGAACAATTAATATGGCAAAGACATATAAGATATTCTGGATATATAGAAATCCAGAAAAATGAGGAAATGGCTCAGGGCCCTGTGATGAGTAGGGACAGACCTGGGATTTAAACTCAAGTCCTTCCCCCTAGAATCCATGCTTTCCTCTCTATTATAATAGGAATACTTGACATCAGTTTGATGCCTTGTGATACACAAAGCACATTTCCAATAATACTTTTTAACGAGAAGATATAAGTAAAATAACAATATGCCAAGCACATAATAGGCACTTGATACATAAACTTCCCTCTGCTTCTTTTTATTCATATATTATTTACTGTTCTCTTTTGCTCAAAGGATTTGAGTAGACCATAACCTTTATTAACCACAGGGCCTAATAAAATAAGCAGGATTGGCCATCACATTCGGTCTCCTAATATACTCCTTTGAGTGAAATGGTTTCAAGGTCAGAACATGGGATTGAGCAGTGCATGACCTGGGGCTTCATAGGCCAAAGGGAGAATGACAAATAGCTCTACACACCAGAAAGAGCATGACCTCTGATCCAAAAGGAAAGTTGGAGCCCGAAACTTCAATTCTAGATCAAGGTTCCACAATGGTGTTCACCTTTACTTTGGACAGATTTCCTCTTCATAATTGTTATGGACTGACGTAAGGGTTTGGCCACTAAGATACTGTTTTGACCAGAGTCCCGGGAATAGTTATATCCTTTCCAGATAATCCTTCTTCCTTATCCTCTCCATCCACTCTCTATCCTGAGACTGTTGTACACAGGAGACACAATAGCAGAAAGGGAACGAAAGTGCCAGGTCATTGATAGCTGTGTGAGAGTCCAACTCCCAAACTAAAATGCTGATAAAAACCCCTGTTACGGCAGGTGGGTTAGGCTTGAAGCCAAAGTGGACAAACCTCCAGCCCTCTCCTAATCCCCAGGCCCCCTTATATTATGGGACCAGTGTGTTTCACATGAGGCTGTGAAGACGGAGAGAGATGGTCAAGGTCAACTTATCCACCCAGCCATATGGAAACAAAAGAGAGAGGGACACAAGACCTCCGAGGGGCTGTGTCTGTCTCACTTTACCAATTCCACTCCATTTCCACTGCAAAGAGGAAGTTGAGTGTAAGAGCAAAAGGGGAGCCCTGGGTTTTGCCTTTTAAGACACAGTAGCCATGTTTCCTGGTAAAATGTAGCCCCATGAATGTTTTGCATTATGATCAACCAGCTCATCAACTCCTCCTCCCCTGTAGGGAATGCAAGGTCTAGGAGTGGAGTGGATGGAAGTGGGCCTGGTTGGGAAGATGGGTAGAAATATCCTCATTTCACACATAGCAGATACAGGTTCAATTTTCTTCATTCCTTTCTTTGCTTTTCTTTTATTCTTTTGCTCTAAAATATCATGCTTATAGATTTTGTGATGGTGAAGTCTTGGCAAAAAATTTAACGCTAATACTACCTTTAAGGTAAACAGAACATACCATGTGTCCTGCAATCACAGGGCCCATATTCTGACAGATTATTGACCACAGAATAATACTCCTCTGCCCTGTCGTAATTCCCTTGTTGTATGTAGCAAGAGTTATTCCCTGAGTTTCTCCATTTCCACATGAAGAAGGCTATTCTCTTTTGTTAGGATGCTCAAGGTCCACTTTTAACAACTTTGAAGTTTTCTGCTTATAAGGATCTCCTACTGACTGCCTTCAGGCAGGTAGGAATCCTGAGGCCCTCTGTGTCCACTCTATTTTCAAGACTTGTTCCTGCGACTTTTTATCAGTCATGCACTCCTTATCTCCTGAATAGTTGTCAGATCAGTCCCCTCCTCTCTACCCCCATCACAATGGCAATAGCTTCCTCTTAAACTCATTTTCCTAGCCTAACCTTTTTTTTTTTTTTGAGACAGTTTCACTCTTGTTGCCCAGGCTGGAATGCAATGGTGTGATCTTGGCTCACCGCAACCTCTGTCTCCTGGGTTCAAGTGATTCTCCTGCCTCAGCCTCCTGAGTAGCTGGGATTACAGGCATGTGCCACCATGCCTGCCTAATTTTGTATTTTTAGTAGAGATGGGGTTTCTCCATGTTGGTCAGTCTGGTCTCGAACTCCCAACCTCAGGTGATCCACCTGCCTTGGCC
This sequence comes from Homo sapiens, assembly GCF_000001405.40. Lineage (NCBI taxonomy): Eukaryota > Metazoa > Chordata > Mammalia > Primates > Hominidae > Homo > Homo sapiens. Next base: position 61,471,628 of record NC_000015.10, read on the forward strand.
TCCCAAAGTGTTGGGACTACAGGCGTGAGCCACTGCTCCCAGCCTCCCTGGCCCAATCTTTTCTCTCTCCAGTCCACATGTCCCTCTCCAGATGTAAGATTTAATTCTGATCATGTTCTTCCCCTGGTAAATATCCTTTGGTGGCTGCCCATTGCCTATGGCTGAAGTTACCAGCTCCTTAACATGAAATTTAAGGTTTTCTATGACCTAGCTCCTTAGAATGCTGAAACGTCATTTCCTTCCTTCGAATTTTACGTACCAGCAACATCATTCTTCAGGTAGTTTCCAGTATACCTGCACACGCTATGTTCTTTCATCCCCATTCCTCTGCTTGGAATGTCTCCTTACCTACTTATCATGCCTACCCCCTTCTTCATCTGGCCAATTCTCATTTTTCCTTTCCACGTTCAGCTCAGGTGCTACTTTCTCCAGGAAGCATTTTGGCTATCCCACCCCACTCCCTGCTGCTGTTGCCTAAGACATTATCTGTACTGTTGCCACAGCAGGTACTATACAATGTGAAATTTTGTCCTTGCCACTAGACAGCAGAACTCAGGGACTATTCTCAGTATCCTCAGCCTCCAGAGCTTTGAAGTAGGAGATCCTGCATGCCACATTTCTTACAACCCAAAATAAGGCTTAGAAATAGCTTCAGCAATTCACATGGGAACCAAGCACTTGCTTAAATAGTATTATTTGCAGGTAAAATGGCAAAGTCCATCTCTCATACTAATTTCATGGGTTAGCAGCAGCTACCTGGTTATCTCTTGAGGATTATGAAGAATTTCTGGATGCTATGAAAAAAAGTATGACTGAGGATACCCACCATTAGGACAAGAGAAGTGCCCTATAGCTGTCATTCTGGATATAAAAGAAAAGAAACTCATCTACATTGATCATCTAGATCAGATAATATACACATGTGGCTCTATGGTTATTTTGCTTTGTTTTAATTTCAATACTAACCTGAATTCTTATGTGTTACTGATCCCATGTTATTGATCACGTACTGGTTGTCAGACACATTATGTAACTTTCTGTAATCACTGTTATTAAGATAGTAGAGTATTAACTTAAGGTGGTGGGCCTGGAATTCAAACCCTGCTCTCCCTAACTTAGAGGTCCTGGCTCCATCCAGTGCATCAGCTCTGTCTTCCTTTAAGTTCGAGCTATTGTTACCCAATGTCAAATCAACACTGATCACGAATGACGGAGGCGCAGCCCCTGACAAGATGGAGCTAGAAATAAGCCTGCTCAGGGCCCTTAGCCGCATCCAAGCACTTGTCCTGGACCATGCCTTTCACTGTGCAGGGTCTGAACACTTGAACTCTCTCTGCAGCCCTGGCTCATGCCTCACTACTCACTTGCTGGCTGCCCACGACCCTGGCTGGGTATGATGGAGCTGCTTCTACCCTGACCCTTGGCCTCGGGAGAGAGGACCCTACTTGCCCCTAAACGCTTTCCCTGGCTCCTCACTCTGCCACAGGGACCAATGGTAAGTCCAAGTGAGAATTGGCCAAAAGCTGAGGAAAGTGGAATGGATGTACAGGATACAGAGCAACATGCCAACTATTGAGACTTCTCCTCGGTCTGCTGCCTGCCTCCTCTCCTGGGGGCAGTTCACCCCATAATGTGGAAACTGCCCCAGGCCTTAGAATCTGGGCTGAGCCAACCCCTGTGCCAGGAAAAGGGAATATTTATTCTTTTTTCTTCAGAATATTCTAAGTCCTGCCTTCCAAGTTCTCATTTCCTGACCTAAGACTGTTCTTCCAGGATGAGACACAGTGAAGGAGCCCACACTCTTTGGGAGAAACTCCACCCTTGTCCCCAGTTCCAGAGTGCGGCCTCACTCTCATAATCTGGTGACTCGGTCCCAAGCCTGACATCAGTATGTTTCCCAAAGCCAGAGTTTTATGTCATCATGGTCATCTTTTTACACAAGTCTCACCATAGTAGTTCCCAATGAGAACTCTATCTTAGTGGGCAATGGACTTCGAGTCTCCTCACTGAACTAACTTCCAATCCATTTAATGAATGTTGAAAGAGCAGTTGCTATATATCTATTACTCCAAGTTTATTATGGCAGTCATAGATAATTCTTCAGAGAGGGAGGTAAGGGGGAACAGAAGGAAGGGAGAAAGGAAGCCAGGAGAGAAAGAAGGAAGGAGGGGAAGGAGGAAGAAAAGGAGGAGACAAGGAAAAAAGAAAATGAGTAATAAAGGTGATTTCCATTACTGGGGTTAGAAGGGTGAGACATGCCTATAGTCAAGACTCATTGGGAAGGCTTTGATGTGGAAACTGGGTCTCTCTGTGGGAACCAGCAAGACAAAGAGTACACTTGAGAGGCCCCTAAAGACAGAGAACCTCTCCCACTGCCCCCAATTCAAGTGAGGATGTCCATTCCTGTTTCTAAGGCTACCTGATAGCACCAGCCATAGTCACTGCCCAGCTGCCTGCCCTAGGGGCTCTCCATGGTCCACCCATGCACAACATCAGGCAAGCTGAGGCCAAGCACCCACACTGACCCATTTCTCCATGTTTACTAAGGCCTGATTGCCTTAAGAAATAAAGGAACAGATTTTAGCAAGGTGGGGAGGAAGGCAGAGCAAGGTTGTGACAGATCACATGGTCATCAAGGTGGGAGGAAGCCATTCATTAAAAAGCATATTCTTCCAATGATGAATGGATACCTCTTCTTTGATGTTCAGGTGGCATGTTTTAAGATTGGTCTTTAGACAAACCTTTGCAAGGTAATCAGTTCCAACTATTGCTTATCATATATTTCTCTCCATGCTTTTGTGTCTCATTTGTCTGTCTTTTCTGTTCTATTTTCAGACAAAGGGGACTTAAGCAAAAAAAAAAAAATTTCCAAATGTATTCATGAATATTTTAGCATGTATTTTGTGTACACATTTAATATTTTCTCCAGGGCACTCAGAGCAAGGAAGCGATAAGAGGAAGCTAGACCACTGTTTGGTGCTGGCTGCCCAGCGGCTGATGGTCTCAGGAGGAAGGGGCCGATTCCCTAAGCTGACATAGCCTGAAGGGCTTCTGCAAAGCCAAAAGATGACATAGAGTTTTCCTGGTAAAAGGCAGAGGGTGGTAGGGGTGTGAGGGAGTGAGGTGAGGAGGAGAGGAAAGGAGCAAGAGGACAAACTACCATGTCTCTAAAGAGGTATAATGACTGCCTGAATTCATTCACTCACTCCAAATAAGTTGAACACTTGCTGTGATCCTGGATCTATACTGCTTTTAGGGATACAAAGTTGAGACATACTCACTGCAACAAGGAGCTCATAATCAAGAGGGATGCTAGCACAGAAATCAGCAGCCATGACTCAGTGTCGTGGATGCTGTGAAAGAAGCATCAAGGGGGAAGGAGAAGCCACAGGAATGGGAAGTGGTATTCAGGAAAGACTTCCTGAGGGAGGCCATACTTGAGCTAAGCTCTAGAGGATGAGTGACCTTTAGACAGAGGGCCTCCATCCAGGAAGCCACATGCATGAAGGTCCTAATGCATGAGAGGCTGAGGCCAAGCCCATGACCAGAGTGGCCCTGAGTGGCTGGAGTGAGAGAAGGGGAAGGCGCAAGAAGGAAGGCTGGAGGGGTAGAGCTCTGTTGCAGAGTGGCTGGTGTGCAGTGCTAAGGAATGTGAACTTTACTGACAGACAACAGATTTAGAGTCATTTAAGGATTTAGAACCTGCTCAGCTTTGCATTTTGGAAAGGTCACCCTGATAAAGGTTTTGAGGATCCATGAGCAGGGAGAGGTGAGATTATTGTAATGATGCAGGAGAGAGATGCTGAGGGCCTGGATGGAAGCAGTGGGAGGGAAGAGGGCAAGGGGATGAAGAGGAAGGGTGGGATGCAGATACATTAGAAGTCAAAGGGACAGATCACCAATGAGATGTGGTGCATGTGGGAGTCTAATCCTTCCTCCCACAAGTACCTGTGGGTGAGGGAGGGCAATAGTGGTTAAGAGCTAGGTGATCTGGGTTCAGAGGTCATCCAGTTGCTGCCATGTACCAACTCAGTGATTTTGGGCATCTGCTTCTGCTCCCATAAAAGAGAAAGGGGTAATGAAAGATTAGCTTAGGCAGGCACCTGTACTTCCAGCTACTTGGGAGGCTGAGGCAGGAGAATTGCTTGAACCCGGAAGGCAGAGGTTGCAGTGAGCCAAGACTGCGCCACTGCACTCCAGCCTGGGCAATAGAGAAGATTCCATCTCAAAAAAAAAAAAAAAGAAAAAAAAAAAGAGAAAAGAAAAATTAGCTCAATACTGATAAAAGTCAACTCTTGTAAAAAACCCTTAGAACAGTACCTGGCATAAAATAAGTACTCTATGCATGTGCTCAATAAAAGAAAATCTAACCCTTGAGCTGGGGGAGAGATGCCAGAGGGAATGGGTTGGGATGGGGTAAGACTAGTTTCCTAGTCAGGGTGAAAGGTGGTCTAGACCACAGTGCCACTCAGAGTGTGGTGCTAGGACAATTGTTGCTCCTAGAACCCTTTGTTAGAAGTTTGTGACAAGTTAAGGCACAAATAGAGAGTAGATATTTATCAGCCTTTATACCAATTTGACATTGCTGCTATAGCCAAGGAATGTGGTTCTTTTAAATTTTACAACCAGATGGATTGCAAATTAGCAAGCCGAATGGTCATGCACCCGAGATGGTTTGAGAAGCCTTGGTGGAGAGCAATGGTTCTCAAAATTTGTTTCATGTTAAAACCACTTGGGGAGCTTTTAGAAGATTTGACACCCAGGCTGACCTTATTACAATTACATGATGATTTCTGGGAGAGGAACTTCAAACTCCAGTATTTTTTTTAAAGTTCTGTAAATGATTCTCATGGGCAGACACATTTGAGAATTAGCGGTCCAGACAAGGGCTGAATTTTTATGTGCAAATAAATCATTGAGGAGCTTGTTAAAATGCAAATTCTGATTCATTAAGTCTGAGTGGAACTCAAAAGTCTGCATTCTTCACAAGCTTCCAGGTAAGGCTCTTGTTGTTGGTCCACGGACCACACTTTGAATAAGATCTATGGGAAAAAGTTCTGCCTATCTAGCCAACTGTGGTCATTCATATAACAGTGTAGAATTTGACCTGCAAAAGAAACCAGAAGGCAGACAGTGCAGAAGAGAAAATTAAAGCTCAGAGACATTACAAGCCAGTAAGTAGTAAAACAAGGACCGCAACCTAGGCCTCCCATACTCAAAATCATCATTTCCTTACTCATCATGTCTTTGTCAAGACTACTATTTCTGGCTTTGGCTTTATGCTTCCATCTGCAACATTTCCTCCCTCACCCACCACTCCCACCCTAGTCACTGGTTTTCTGTTATAATAAAGTAACTTTCAGAAAATCATACAGTTTTCTTGGCTGAATTAAAGAGAACAGGAAATTTGCCCATATGTAGGCCTAACTCTAAGCAAACCTTTATTCATACTTCTGTCTTCCAATAATATTTCATCAGAGTCCTTCTAGGAGTAAAGAACAACCAAAGAGAAACAAAAGAGGAAGAGTGGGATAAACTGATCCAAAAGGACAGCATCTTGTGGGGTGAATGTGCTTCCTTTTCAGGGAGTATTTGCTTCCTAAATGATGACAATTAAAAGAAAATCGTCAAATGCTGACATCTCAGATATAGGCCAGAGCACAGAGGGAGAGCTCCTGCAAGCCCTTTTTTTTTTTTGACACCCCTAATCATTCAACAATATGTGTTTGCAAAGGCCGAGACTTGTATCTGACACAAAGAAGAAGGCTGGGTGTGATCATCATAGACCCTTGGCTCAAACTGTTGATTCAGAATCCTTTGCGGTCTTCTGATTTTCATCACGCCACTCCTGTCTGGCAGAACAGTCAATCCTTTGACTCTGCTTCCAAGGCATTTTGTACATTCTCCTATACGGCATTAAAGTCAGGGGAATGTATGGGACTTCTCATCAGACCATAAGTCCTTGCAGCTCTAAGCACCACATCTACACCCTATACAGCCTTGAATTCTTAGTTACTGGACACACAGCACATGCCCAGTTACGTTTTGTTGAGTACTTGAACAAACAAACTCCCGTTTCACATGCAACATGACTTAAAATGTGGAAGACTGAATAAACTGGAGAATACAATGTGATATGCAAGTTAGGTGTGACGTGGCAGCTTCCAAAGGGACATCAGGCTGTGGTCACAGAAAGGGTGAAAGCTGGAGAGTGGGGCTTGGAATGAGCTTTGAGGAAGATAAACGTGCAAGCAAGGAAAGACGGTGAGACTCTGAAGTCCACTGGATTCTGAAGTGGCCCTGCAGACTTCAGAGGTTGCTTAGCACGGAGTTGTGGAGTCCCAGTGACTGCAAAGCACATGATGGGTCCCAAAAGATAAATGAATGGAGAGGGTGAAGTAGTGTCCTCAACTTCTATCCAAAAGCGTCTGCCAGAAAATGGTGGGGAAGTTTCAGAGGCGATAGGCCTGCAATAGGAAAGACCTCCCACGACTCTAACCGCCATGAGCAAGTTGAAGGACGTACCTGTGTCTGGGAATTTGGCTGCATGGGTTGGGGAATTGCCAGCTTCCCAATCTAGCTTCTGTCTTAACGGTGTTACATAGTGTTTTATGTTAATTAAATGTCTACTGTAGGCATGTGCCAAGAGGCCTTGCAAAATCCGGTACATGGGGAAAAAGAGGACAGGCGTGCTGATCGCAGCAGCCATTCCCAGGTGTCTGTAGACCAAAGTGGGAGAGGCATAAAAACCTTCACTGGGCCCTTGATGGAGATAATTGGAAGAAAAAAAAAATCCTGTACAATGCAAACAATTGCTGCAGAAGGGTTGAGTGACATACCTGGGTCCCCTGCAAAAAAGAGGTAAAAATTGGATGAGCCTTCTACCTCTTCATTCCGCTTTCTCATCCACCTCACCTCCTTGCTATCAGTAGAAATCTAAACTGTTGGTAAATTAAAATAAGAGCACATGGTGGGAACAGAAAACATTGCTGTCACACAACAAGAGTAAAAACATTAGAGGTTTTGATAATGAAGCCATGGTTTGGATTTACTTTTTTGCCTTGTGCTACACGAGTCAGGAGCATTTACTGTGGGCCTGGCCCTATGATGAGTATTTTACAAACATTGCCCCTACAAAGCCAAGCTTGGAGTTAGATTCAATTATTAAGAGGAAACAGAAATTAAAAGATGTCAGGTGACCTTCAGAGGTGCCCACAGAGAGCAGCAGAATTGGAATTTGAGAGAGCTGTACATGTGGACAGCCCGGGTGCTTAACTACTACCTTGATGGCCTCCTGGCCTGGGGGTTGGTCTCACTTCCAGGCACCTCAGCATGAGAGTGGAGGGTAAGAGAAACGCCTTCCTAGAGAGAGTGTGCTCTCACCTTTCCTCATTCTTCTGCTTCTCCTCCTCACCTCCTGCGCATCCTCAGGCTCAATGTCTGCTCATTGCAAAAGAGAGGGATGTCATGGCATCTTCTTCAAGCATCTTTTTAGAGCTCTGCCTCAGCAGCCCAACGTTCAGGCCTTGTCCAAACCGTCAGAACCGTCTGCCTGCAGTCCGTGCAGCAGAAAGACCATCTGTCAGCCTCTGACCCGTGCCTTCCTGTCTCACGGACCACTTGAGCTAGCTCTATGCTCCCTGAGAGCCTCTGAGGTCCCTGGCTCCACAGTCCATCTCCCAAACCTGACTGACAACTCCAGGCAGTTAGAAGAAAGGGTGCAGAGGGTGAGGGTGAGCTTAGCTGAGAAACCGTGCTCTCAATGGCAAAACACACACACAGACACACACACACACACACAAACACTCTTTTCTCATTTGGATCATCTTCTTGCAAGAAAATAATTATTTTATGCAAGCTTTGATTGAATACAAATACCCACTAAATTATGTAGGGAATACATACCAGGAATAGGTATGTTCTTAATACCTCTTCCTCAGGTTAAGCCACATCAAGAAAATAGTAGGTCAGCATTATGAGATTATCTAAAATTATTGTGAACAGTTTCTTACCTTTAACCATGTAGCCCAGTAACTCTCAACCCAAGCTACACAGTAGAATCATGTGGGGAACTTAAAAAAAAAATCAATGCTTGGGGACCGTTCTGGACCAATTAAACTGGAATCAATGGAATAGAGACTGAATGCGGTATTTTAAAAAAGTTTCCCACATGATTCAAACATGAGTCATGGAGTGAGAATCACTAAGCAATCATGATGTCAAGGAAAAAGGGAATGGCTAGGTGGCAGGGAGGTATGGGGCAGGGGGCACTGCTGCTGATTTATTTTGGATGATCAGGAAAGCTTTCAATAAATATATGACCTCTGAGCTGAGATATAGGTAATAAGCAAAGCATTGCATACAGAGGAAATAGCAAGTGCAAGGGGCCTAGAGTACAGTAAGCAGTGTATTTCTCAAAAACAAGACAGCACTGTGGTCCAGTATAATGAGAGAGAGGATGAATACTAGGAGATAAGGTTCAAAGGTGGGACAGTGGCTGGATGTCTAGAACACTGAAGCCTATGGTCAAAAGTTTGGATTTTCTTCTAAATCTACTAGGAAGACATTGGAGTGTTTTAAGTGATGGAGAAATACAGTCTGATTTTGTTTTATAAACATCATCTTAGCTATTCCATGGAAAATGGACTTGGTGGTGGCAGCAGAATGGGAGCAGAGAGGTGGGCTGGATATCATTGCAGGATGTCAGGAAGGAGATGACTAGCATTGTTGCCCTGTGACGCCAGGACCTTGAGGCAGCCATTTGTGGACATGGCTAAAAAGTATGAGAACAAAAATCCAATATGCTATGGGGAATGGAGAAGAAAAAGTCCAGATTCCAGCAGCATGGTGAACAGCTGAACCAACATGGACAGACGCCTACCCCTGGACTGCTTATCTGAGAAAAACAAACCCCTATCTGTGAAAGCAAATGCAGTCGGGTTTTCTGTTACTAGTAGTTAACGCATTGCCAACTGATATTACCACTGTTTTTATGTCAGGCACTGGTTTTAGGGAGCTACACAAATGAAAAACATTGCATCCCTGATTTGCCCCCAAATTTCAACCGAAGAGTTGGAAAATTTGCTCCCAAAAGTTGAAGACTACCAAAATATTGCAATGCTTTGAAGCATGGACTAACTTCTCTCATTTGGATAGATCCAAGAAGCAAGAGCTTCACTGTGGATTTGATGAAATCTGATTCTTGCAAATCTGGCCATGAAGGGCTAACAAAAACAAGCTAGGTGAAATAAATTCACAGGGAGAGAATTCTAATTCAAAGAACTAGCAGAGAGCTCAAAAATCATCTGGTCCATGAGTACAAGAGTCTGTTCAAAGAGAAGCCTCCTTTGCTTGAGAGAGTACATTGAAATCTGAGACTGGACAAGGGGCAGAGGGAAGATTGCAACCAGGAGATGACGTTGCCCTTCCCCTGGTCTCCATTGCTATTTTCAGCGCAGGCTTTCCAACTTATTCATAATTAGTACTTGCAGTGAGATAAGAAGAGGGAAGAGCACCGTGGCTGGGACTAGGAAGGGAGGATATTTTATCAGCAATGAGCCCAAGCTCCTAAGCAAACCCTGATCTTGTCCCCGTGCTGAGTAATCCCTCCCCGCCAGCTGGAGGCTGAGAGGGGCCCAGGAAGCGACATCTCTACCAATCTGCTGAATAGGACGATGGATGCCTGACATCCCAAGGTGGAACTCTAAACATATTTTCCTTCAAAACATTATTTTAATCAGTGATTAGATCACATAGTACTGTATTCCTGGTGCACTTGGATTCAGTAGATCATTAGGAGCAAGGCTAGTCTCTTATTCTTTCTTTAATGTTATTTGAAAGTCACTGTAGTTTAAGTTTCAAAAACTGGCTTATAAAGAAACTTTTTCAAAAGCATTTTTTCTAACTCGAGGCTTGCCTGTACTATCTTAAATATCATGATATGTACATATATATTCAAATACAAAAATTTTGGGTCCCTAGGTGCTGGTGACATTTACTTATGTTTAGTTTTTTGGACATTTCATTTTGACTCACTGGACTGACAAAAATATTCTTTAAATTGGAGGCAATGTTGTTTTTAGGTTAAAAATTCTCATTTTACCATGAAAATATCTTTCTCCAAGAAAAGAATAACCTTCTTAAATGTAAAATAAATTAGTTTTTAAAAGTTTATTTAAGCTTTAAAAAGTTAGAGCACTATGTACATATATAGAGAGCCAAATTTATTCATTTTTAATTCCCTGGTTTTATCAAATAGAAGAAATAATGTTTATAAGAGGTTTTCCAATTGGCACAGTAAGGAAAAACATTTTGGATATTTCAGAATATACTGTGAGAAAACATTAAGGCACATGTTTTCTGAAATATAAGTTTGACATTTTGGAGTAGTATTTAATACTGTTGACATCAATAGCCTGATGACCAGTATTCAACTACAACTTAACGTTCTTTCATGTATGTTGCAAAAAAAAAAAAATGGTTTTCATTATAGTGAGTGGATTTTGATCAACTGCAATGCCATGACCATGATATTAAGAAGAAAAGTCTCTGAGATAAGAGGAAATGTTTATAAGATTTGTAACACCAATGTTACTAAGGAGAATCACATGTGCCAGTACAGGGAGAGTAAAGTAATAGAGAATCTTCCATATCTGTAATACCACAGCACACATGGTGCATTTATAAAACTTTACATGTTACTAGGCCAGAAGGCAAATCTCAACAAATTTCAGTACATTAATATTATTGGAGCATATTTTCCACCAAAGTGGAATAAAATTATAAATAATAAAATAATAGCTGTTTCTCTTCAAGAACTTTAAAAATAACCCTCAGATTACTGAATTATTCATGAATAAAAGAGGAAATCATAAAGAAACAATAAAACATCTAGAACTGAATGGCAGTGAAAACTCTCCAAATAAAAAAGTTTAGGATAACACTAGAATGTTACACCCTTCTCCAAAACATGCTTATTCTCAATGATTATATTAGGGAAAAAAGACTAGAAATGAATGAACGATTCAACCCAAAAGTTAAGAATTGGAACAAATAAGAAAAAGAATCTAAATGTAAGGAAAAGAAAGGGTAACTAATAAAAAGCAGAAATTAATGAAATAAAAAACAAAACAATGGTAGAGACTGACACATTAAAAATAAATTTTGGCTCATTCATTCAAAAAACATTTATTGGTTGATACAGCACTGGGGATTCAGTAATGATCCAAATGAACAAAAATCTCTGCTCTTTGGAAATTATATTCTAGTTGAGGGACAGACAAGGGGGACAAATAAATAAAATGTATACTATGCTAGATGATGATATATATTAGAGAGAAACAAGAAAGCAGGAAAATTGGATACAGACATTGCCTGGAGACTGTCAGGTAAAATGTTACAGGTGATCGCTAGGGAAGATCTCAAAAGGTGGCTTTGACTCTTTAAAAAATGAATACAGTTAGATACCTTTGGACAACCTGCTGAAACATTAATAAAAGGACAGCAATAGTGCATGCTGAAACAACATTAGCACTGAAATAGATCACAGAACTATTTATACAGTAATACAATATATATTACATAATAGTAGTATATATTGTACATGAATATATACATAGTAATAAGTATATAAATATTATTAGAAATGTACTAGATCATATTTATACAAAATATTTGATTAGAAAATCTTTAAAAAATTCAAGGTACAACTTCACACTTAAATTTGAAGATGTAGACAAAATAACACTTAAGAAAAAGTACCAGAAGAGAATTATAAAGAAATAATGAATAGTCCTAAAATCATTAAAGAAGTTGAGTAGGTATTCAGAAATGTAACCCTAAAATCCCCTCCAGGAACAAATTCTACTATGCTTTCAAGAAACAATTTGTAGAGTTTAACGGTGGCCCCTCAAAAAATATGACCACATCAAATCACTAGAACCTGTGAATGTTACCTTATTTGGGTAAAGGACTTATGTGGATGTAACTGAGTTAAGAATTCTAAGATGAAGAGATCATCCTGGATTGTCCAAGTGGGCCCTAAATCCAATGGTGCGTCCTCATAAAAGATATACAGAGAAGAAACACGTAGACTAGGAAGAGGCAATGTAGCCATGGATGCATCCGCTATCCACCAGAAGCTGGAGTAGGCTAGGAACGGAATCCCCCCTGGAGCCTCTGGAGGGAGCGTGACCCTGCTGATACCTGCATGTCACATACCTGGCCTCTAGAACTGTAAATGTCTGTTGTTGTAAACAATCAAGTGCATGGTTGTTTGTTACACCACTCACAGGAAATAAAATCACAAATGATTCCAATATTATAAAAACTATTCTACATTTTTTTTTTTTTTTTTTTTTTTTGAGACGGAGTCTCGCTCTGTCGCCCAGGCCGGACTGCGGACTGCAGTGGCGCAATCTCGGCTCACTGCAAGCTCCGCTTCCCGGGTTCACGCCATTCTCCTGCCTCAGCCTCCCGAGTAGCTGGGACTACAGGCGCCCGCCACCGCGCCCGGCTAATTTTTTGTATTTTTAGTAGAGACGGGGTTTCACCGTTTTAGCCGGGATGGTCTCGATCTCCTGACCTCATGATCCACCCGCCTCGGCCTCCCAAAGTGCTGGGATTACAGGCGTGAGCCACCGCGCCCGGCCTATTCTACATTTTTTAAGGAGAATGCTTATAACTCATTTCATGACCCTACTATAACCTTTGTACTAGACTGACTTATGAAAACAGATCTATAACTATCAAACAAAACATAAGCATCTTAAATACAACAATGCATATGAAAAGTAAAATACTATACCTAAGAAGTGATAGTCTTTGAAATGCAAGAGTGTTTTAACAGAAGAAAAATGATTAATCTCCATTAACAGTTTTGAGGAAACAAAATAATTATCTTGGATACAGAAAATGCATTTTATAAAATTCAGAATAGTGACAAAATAAAATAAAATTCTTAGAAAACTAGGAACAAAAGAAAAATACCATGAACTATGATTAAAAAAGGAAAAGGATTCAAGACCTAGCACAAACATATTGAGTGATGAAATATTTGAAGGTCAAGGATAAGGCAAGGGGGATCTGGGATGGTGGCCACAGCCAATGACTGGCTGGTAGAAGTAGAACAGGTGGGCTCCACTGCTTCCAGGAGGGACAGCTGTGAGATGCCAGTCAGGTTCCAGCTCCCTGTGGGGTCGGGCTGTGGCCAGGTGTCAACTCAACCCACACCTCTGCCTACCTGCTTCCCCTGCCCTCTTTTGATTGCCCCACTCCCTTGCAAGTTTTGACCGGGAGCAATCCCTCAATAAATCACTTGCACGAGGAACCACAACTCAGATTCTGCTTCTAGGAAGCCCAACCCAAGACACTGAACACATTTCAGTGTCAAATTTCCTGACTAGATTATTCCTAAGAGAAAACATTGCCTGTCACTGCTATATAATAGCACAACATAGTCATTTCTAGTTAGACTCTGTCACAAAAAATGCTTTAGGCCAACAGGATATAGACTGAAATGAGGGCTGCTGTTCTAAGACACTCAATAATATTGTCTAATAGTCCCAAATCATTCTCATTTTCTCTCTGCTTTAACCAGCTTTCACAGAGATAGTATATCACTGCATGTCATACAATCTGACCTCTAAATTCTGTTCTAGTTCTTAAACACTGTGATTCAGTAATATTAGACTATATACTCTCTTTGAATTTCAGAAGTTGAAGAGGCCCCAGGGACCATTCAGTCTTTCAGATGAGGGAGAAGAGAGTGAGGAAAAGGAGAATGACTAGCCAAACCCCTAATTTCCTGTGGTCTCTCAGCTGTAGATCCAGCAAAAGAAGATAAATAAAGGAAGCTTCCCTAAAATGATAGGGGTGCATATCCTCTCCTCTGCACATATGGTGGGTAACAGGACCTCTGCCTCCACAACAAGTCACAGGGTGACAGAGCTAGGTTGAGAAGCTCACTCTGAGGAAGGAAGACCTACAGTCAGAAGAGGCATGCCAAGTTATCAAGCATCATTTGGAATGATAAAGATTTATGACACAAAACTAAGTTCTTTCTCCACTTAGAAAATGGAGAATCAGGTCAAATATTTAAATGACTGAGATGAAAAATTATGACATTAATAACTATCATACACTGAGTATTTACCATGTGTCAGGCACCTGAAGCCTCCCAACCCTGTGATTTTTAAAATATGATGTGGAGTTTTTAAAAAGTGATGTGGAGTTTATCATTTATTATTATTCCTATGGATACACAATAGTTGTACAAGTTTATGGGATACATGTGATTTTTTTGTTTGTTTTTTGGAGACAGAGTCTCACTCTGTGGCCCAGTGGTGTGATCTCAGCTCACTGCAACTTCTGCCTCCCAGGCTTAAGTGATTCTCCCACCTCAGCCTCCCAACTAGCTGAGACTACAGGCGCACGCCACCACACCCAGCTAACTTTTTTGTATTTTTAGTAGAGACGGGGTTTTGCCACGTTGGACAGGCTGGTCTTGAACTCCTGACCTCAAGTGATCCACCCACCTCAGCCTCCCAAAGTGCTGGGATTATGGGTGTGAGCCATCATGCCTGGCCTAGATGATATTTTTATGCAAGCATTCAGGGTGGAATGATCAAATCCGGGTAATTGGGATATCCATCACCTTAAGCATTTGTCATTTCCTTGTGTTGGAAGCATTCTAAATCTTCTCCTCCAGCGATTTTAGAATTTGTGATAAACTATTGTTAACCATAGTCATCCTACGATGCTGCTGAATCCTACATCTTATTCCTATTGAACTGTATTTTTGGATCCATTAGTCAACCACTCTTTATTCCCTCCTCCTCACTACCCTCCACTGCCTCTAGTAACCACCATTCTATTCTCTACCTGCATGGAATCAATTTGTTACCTTCCACATGAGAATGCTAACATTTGATATTTGTCTTTTTGTGCCTGGCTTATTTCACTGAACGTATGTCTTCCAGTTTCATCCATGTTGCTGCAAATGACAGGATTTCATTATTTTGAACGACTAAATAATATTCCATTGTGTATATTTACCACATTTTCTTTTTCCATTCATCTGTTGATGGACACTTAGGTTGCTTCGAAACCTTGGCTATTGTGAAGAGTGCTGCAATAAATATGGGAGTACAGATATCTCTTTGATATACTGATTACCTTTCTTTTGTTATATACCCAGCAGAGGGATTGCTGGATCATATGGTAGTTCTAATTTTAGTTTCCAAAGGACCCTCCACGCCGTTTTCCATAGTGGCTGTACTAATTTGCACTCTCACTATCAGTATAGGTTCATTCCCCTTTCTCTGTATCCTTGCCAGCATTTGTTATTTTCTGTCATTTTGATAGCCATTTTAACTGGGTTAAAATGATACCTCACTGTGGTTTTGATTTGTATTTCCCTGATGATTAGTGATGTTTAGCATTTTTTTCATATTCATGTTGGCCATTTGTATGTCTTTTGAGAAATGTCTATTCAGATCTTTTGCCCTTTTTAAAATCAAATTCTTATTATTGCTGTTGAGTTGTTTGAGTTCCTTATATATTTTAGTTGTTAATTCCATGTCAGATGAATAGTTTGCAAATATTCTCTCCCATTCCGTAGGTTGCCTCTTCACTTTGTCAATTGTTTCCTTTGCTGTACAGCAGCTTTTTGAGCTTGATATAATCATTTGTCAATTTTTGCTTTGGTTGTCTGTGTTTTTGAAGTTTTACTCAAGAAATGTTTGCCCAGATCCATGTCCTGAAGCATTTCCCCAATGTTTTCTTCTAGTAGTTTAATTACTGTCATTTTTACAGTGAGTCTACTAGACTCCAAAGCCCGTAATCAGTTAACTCTAGCCCTTTACAACTGAACTGCTGGTTCTAGAACTTGAGTTTGCACAAAAATCACCTGGAGTTCTTGTTTAAAATTCAAAGCACCACACTCCACTCTTAGAGATTTGAGCTCTGTAGGTCTAAGATGGGAGCCAGAAGTATTCAGTGAAAAAAATAGATAGGTGATTTGAATGCAGGTGGTTTTAGGGTAACACTGAGGAACACTAAATTTCACTTCTCTACCTTAGTTATCTGAATGTCTGAATAGTTTCTTTATCATAGGAACAGGAAAAGAAGCAATAATGTAATCTATCATAAGACTTAAGAAGAAGTTACTGGACCATCTATCTTTTTTGCATAGCACTATGTTGTAGAATGCTTCTACCCATAAGACAGAAATAGCTTAGAATAATTTTGTAGGCTAATATTGAATTTCTCAATCAGGTTTCATTTTAGATGACTTTTGCTACACAATTAGTATGAACAGTTATTTGAGTGCACTATCAAATTTTAAAAGTTGTAATTATATACACAAATAAATATAATGTTTTAAGAGTTGTTTGGGACTCCAACCTTATTATCATGCAAATAATAAATTACATACCTTGCCATACACACAATTTTTGGTAGTGATTGAAACAAGAACCTATTTCTCTAACTCCTAACACTAGTTACATTTGGGTCTTTCTCTGTAAAATATTTTTAGTACATTGTCCTAAAAGTCTTTCTATTATATAAGATTTTTAGTTAAATTAAACCATTTAAAAAAACACGGTGAAACCCCGTCTCTACTAAAAATACAAAAAATTAGCTGGGTGTGATTGCAGGTGCCTGAAGTCCCAGCTACTCGGGAGGCTGAGGCAGGAGAATGGCCTGAACCTGGGAGGCAGAGCTTGCAGTGAGCCGAGATCGCGCCACTGCACTCCAGCCTGGGCGACAGAGTGAGATTCCGTCTAAAAAAAAAAAAAAAAAAAAAACCAGCCTAGTGTTTGTTCTTATCCTTAATTTTGAAAGCTAAGTCCCTGGGAAAAAAGTACTTGAATTACGTATATATCTCATCAAGAAAACAGTGCATACATTTGAATGCATAAGCCACAATTTTCTTATTGACATACGGGTAACTTACAGAGGAAAGATTTCCATGCATAAATTCTACCTATGTTCACTTATTATTTAGTGTTTGTAACTTAGGTTGAAGTTGTGAGGTGATCTGTATCTTCCAAGGAACAGAAGACAAAGTAATCAAGCACACCCACCTGTAGCTCTGTGACGCTCAGGTTCTCAGGGTCACCAGTTGATACCTTCAGGAGACAAAGAAGTCTTGGGCTCTCAAAAATCCCACAAAGCAAGATGGCCACCACAATGGAACCCAAGACAAGGGAAGACTGAAGTCCTAAAGCCAGCAATTGGTAATGACAAAAACAGAGGTAAAGTGCTCAAGTGAGGCTGACTGATGAGTCACATTTTAAAAACAATGACCAAAGCCAAATATCTCTGTTCTTAAAAGTTGTTTCAGGGCCAGGAGTGGTGGCACATGCCTGTAACCTTAGTGCTTTGGGAGGCCAAGGCAGGTGGATAGCCTGAGGTTAGGAATTTGAGACCAGCCTGGCCAACATGATGAAACCCCATCTCTACTAAAAATCCAAAAAAATTAGTCGGAAGTGGTGGTGCGTGCCGATAGTCCCAGCTACTCAGGAGGCTGAGCCAGGAGAATAGATTGAACCTGGGAAGCAGAGGTTGCAGTGAGCTGAGATTGCTCCATTGCACTCTAGCCTGGGTGACAAGAGCGGAACTCCATCAAAAAAAAAAAACCTGTTTCGGGAAACCTCTGAGTTGATCTATGTCTACAAGACTAAACCAAAACATTAATGGTGAAGAAAAACGTCCTGTCTAGAAGAGTTGACTGCTGTCTATTAAAACAAAAGTGGAGGTGGGATAGCAGAGGAGGGGTGAAGAGTAAATCATAGGATTTAAACAGATGATGACAAGGCCAGGTGCCTAGGGACAGACAGATTACTAAGAAATTTATGATATGCTAATTTCAATTCTGAGTCTTGTCACTGATTTAAGTTCCAGTGTACTCTGGACATCTCATAGTCAAAATATAACCATTTGGAACATTTAATATCCATGAAAAGATTGTAAAACAAGAATGTAAATGAAAAAAGCATTTTTAAAAAGCCAATGAAATTTGTCTTTTCTTTATACCAACTACTTAGCTTCCAAGATTGCCAAGGACTTTTCAGAAAACAGTGTTTATTGTCAGTGATTCAGCAGGGAAACTGATCTGCTGGTCTTTGGCTTGGCCACATCTGAGGCCAATTCCAAGAATTTCCTAACTTAGAGCTTAATCACTGGAATAAGACCGAAGGCCTAAACCCAGATAATTCCTATTTTAGATACAGACCTCATGGGCTGATTTACTGGTTTTATCTTTAAAATAGCTTCAAAAATAATTGGGCTGTAGGGGTGAAAAATCCCACTCTCTCTGTATTGATTGTCAAGACACATAGGGGAGACTTCAGAGAAAAGTTAACATCAGCCTTTCCCTCCCCACTTTACCTTCAATACCTGCCCATCTTACTTTGGAACTACATACTTCAAACATAGGGCCCTTTTTCTACCTCCTCCATATCTCTCCCCCAGCACTCATTGTCCTAACATCCATATCCACTTCCATTTTGACTCCATGACGATGCAAAGTTAAGCTCCTAGAGAATACATTTGATCATCTTATGCTTAAAGATGCCCACAAGATAGGACTTAAATTTGTAACGTAACATTAAAAGACTCTTCACATTCTAGCCAATGGATTGGCAAACTACAGCCTACGTGCCAAATCTGACCCACCAACTCTTCTTGTAAAGTTTTATTAGAACATAGCCACGCCTATTCATTTGTGTATTGTCTATGACAGCTTTCATACAAGGGTAGAGTTGAGTAAGTCTCCCCAAAGCCAGAAACATTTACTGGTTTTTTTGTTTTGTTTTGTTTTGTTTTTTAGACAGAGTCTTGCTCTGTCGCCCAGGCTGGAGTGCAGTGGCACAATCTCGGCTCACTGCAAGCTCTGCCTCCTGGGTTCACACCATTCTCCTGCCTCAGCCTCCTAAGGAGCTGGGACTGCAGGCGCCCACCACCACAGCCAGCTAATTTTTTGTATTTTTTTTTTTTTTTAGTGGAGACGGGGTTTCACCATGTTAGCCAGGATGGTCTCGATCTCCTGACGTCGTGATCCACCCGCCTCGGCCTCCCAAACTGCTGGGATTACAGGCATGAGCCACCACACCCGGCCACATTTACTGTTTTTACATTACCAACCCTGATCTAGGCCTCAATTCACTTTTTCAGTCTCCTTTGCTGTCTGTCCCCAAAGTAAGTTCACTACACTCTAAAACCAGACTGACTATTCTCCAAACATACCACTGTCTTTTAAGAATACTCAGTTCTGAATACATTGTTCTCTGTTCCTTGAAAGTTCATATCATGCTGCTAAAACTGGTGAGCTCCCTCTCTTTCTTTACGTCTCAACCCAAATATTATCTTCTCTGTGAAACCTTCCCTGACTCTCCCCAGACAGATTGGCCTCTCCCTCCTCTATTCTGTCTTAATACTTTATATGTGCTTCTGTTATAGCATGTATCACTTCATATCTCACTCATCAAGATATCTTATTAGGCTATGAGCTCTTGGAGAGCAGTTGTCTGAATTTTTGTATTCCATGTGTCTTGCCGAGTGGCTGACTTATTTACATGTTTGCTAAGTGTTTGATGAATGAATGAATGAGCGATTTGCAGACCATGCATATTAATTTGGAACACTGGCCATGTTTGTTAAGTTATATTTTACTAATTTAATTAGCTTAGTCATCTTACAGAAAAATGTGCTTTGCTCACGGGAATGGGTTAAGAGATAGTGTCCAAAACAATTTGCAATTTATCCCTACCACAGAAAAATAAAAACAGTCAAAGCAAAACTGAGTATCCTATGTTTATACCTTAAGAACCATGCATTCTTATGAATGAGCTATCAAGAGGGTGTCTATAAAGTGGAGTCTTTCTATTTAACTACTTCTCTCTGTTCTCCATTCTCAAGTTCTCCATTCTTCTCTCTGTTCTCCATTCTCAAGGAAGAAAGAACAATTGCACAGTTGAGTTTTAATTAGGGCAACACTTTCCTTCTCCTTAATAAAAATCCAATACACCAAGTACAGATTTATTGATTAAAATCTTAAATTCCACTTTTCAAACAACATAAAGAAATCCTTCCTCAGTCCTTTTGTAAGCCTCTGTATTGATAAATTGACACATTTAATATTGAGTCACTCTTAGACCAAAGAGTACTTGTGTGTCCACATTTCTAGTTAGCAAAATGATGTTGGAAAAGGTAGAAGTAAACTTATGACACTAGCCTATTTTTTTTCATGGTATAATGTTTCCCAACATCTCCCGACATTGAATGAAGCACTTTTCTGAAAGCTGAAAATATTTTTTTATTGAATAGGCTGTAACAAGCACTAGAATAAAATGTTCAATTCATACAACTGAGATTGATTCATTTCTTTTGTATCCACTGTTTATGGAAAGATTTTACCTTTGAAAGACAACTAGTCCTATAGTTTCTTGAAAAGCTAAGGTATGCATTAAGTAGAAAAATAATTAGACACAAAATATTAGAAGATTCCACAGATCCCTCCTGGAAAAGGCTGTGTTGAAGTTTGAACACTTACATGGTGGCCCCCCACTTTGTCCTTAGGGCGGGACACAGCTCGCTTCCCTGGCCAGAGTCTGAACATTTCTCAATCACTGTGGCTGCACTGGCTGGAGGGGGGTTTGCTGTGCCAAACATTATTCTCATCCTTGTCTTTGGCCCATGCCAGGCCACAGCCCACTTCCTATGATGGCAGGACTTGTATGAAGCTACCATGATTGAAAATCAAATTCATATCCTAGGGTAACTGATTCAGAATCAGATCTGACTTGGAGCCAAACTTTTAAAATCATTTCTGAGCTTTCATGTTGTCTTCTGAAAAATGGAAAGGATAATAATAACGCACCAATTGCAAAGATGAATTAATGAGCTAAAGGTGAAAAATCAATCTATAAAGCTAGGAGAAATACAGATGAATTTTTTGAAATGACCTTTGGTTAGAGAAGGCTTTTCTAAACATGAAAACAAATGAGAAACCAAAGAGGAAAAAGATCAGTGGATATTTCTCCAAGGGTTTAGAAAGAAAGTTCTCAATCAGAATTGGGTGAGCTATGTGGGAGTACGGCCTTAAAAGTTGCTATTTTTTCTTCTATGTTTGAGCAGGGATTTGATATGTTTCCTTGCTGTGGTGTGCATGTCCCCTCCAAAACTCACGTTGAAATTTAATCCCTAGTGTGGCAGTATCAAGAGAGGCCTTTAAGAGGTGACTGGATCACGAGAGCTCTGCCCTCAAGAATGCATTAATCCATTCGTGGATTAATGGACTAATGAGTTATCATAGGAGGGGAACCGGTGACTTTATAGAAAGAGGAAGAAAGACCTGAGTAAGCAGGTTTGCCTGCTTAGTCCCCTTGCCATGGGATGTCCTGCACTACCTCAGGACTCTTCCAAATGTACCTCATCAACTTTGGACTTCCCAGACTCCAGAATTGTAAGAAATAAATTTCATTTCTTATAAATTACCCAGTTTCAGGCACTCTTCTATAAGCAACAGAAAATGGACCAAGATATTCCTTATCTTTCATATGGAATGGCCTTAGAAGTCCTAATGTCTAGCCGGGCTCAGAGGCTCACGCCTGTAATCCCAGCACTTTGGGAGGCTGAGGCAGGAGGATCATGAGGTCAGGAGATCAAGACCATTCTGGCTAACACGGTGGATTCTACCGTGGCTGTCTCTACTAAAAATACAAAAACAAAAACAAAAAAAAAATGTAGAAGCCCTAATGTCTGCATATTGATTTTCCTGTTGTCCCAATTCCTTTTGAATGTCTCCACCACATACTGCATTTTCTCTATGTGTAGTGCTTACGGCTGTCCTACAGAAGTGCATATTCCCCTTATCTTTCTTCCTGTATGAATGCCAGACACTAGGCGAAAACATGGACATGTAAGAATTTTAAATATTACAGCGACCCAGAAAGCCCAGAATAATTAAAATCTGTGACTATGAATGTGAATGCATAGACTTTTTAATAAAGTTCAAAGGCAAATGACAGACTATAGGAAAATAACTGCCACATTTATGACAAATGCTTATTAACATTCTAACATATAATAAAAATGTTTAAAACAGTAAGAAAAATACTGGTACATTCATAGAAACATTGTCAAAGACACAGAAAGATAATTCACAAAAGAAGAAACAGAAATAGCAGTAAACATATAAAAATTTATCATTGGTCAAAAAGTTCAAATTCAAGAAAAGACATTGTCCATTTATTACAATGATTTTCAAACTTGCTCTGCATCACAATCCTTTGAGGAGTTTTTGAAAAACACACATGTCTAGGCTTCATCTCTCAGTGGTTCTGAATTAGGAGATAAGAAGTGGAAGCAAGAACCTGTTTGACAATTGTAAAAATATATACTCAGAATGAGAGCACTTGTTCCACGTATCTTCAAGTGTTTTCAAAGCCTAGCACTATTCATACTATTCTATAACTACCTGATTCCTGAGTTTCTAATTTTGACGTAAGTGGTGTACTTTATTTGTTGAGGTATCTCTAGAATTTTCTTACTACTGCTTTCACATATAAATAGAGTTCCGGATTTAGAAATGTATCATAAACTTTAACCTTTAATACTCCATAGGCTTTTATCTATTGCTTTCTGCTTTTTGGAGCTTGTCATCTTCTCTCTTTCCCTCCTTTCTATCCTCCTTTCCTTCCTTCTATTCTTTACTCATCCTTAAAGACAGAAAATGTTCTCTAGGGCTAGTTCCTAATCAACAGCAAAGGTTGAGTCCTCAGACCTCCTTAGACCTTTCTACTGCCCACTTGGGGATTGGCACACCTGCTTCTCAGTTCAGTTTGATATGCAGTGCCCTTGCTCAATATGCCGTAGACAGCCTTCTTCTAGCATAAGTTCAGTTGAGCCTTGATCTGATATTTGCTTTTTTGACGTGACATAGAGAATCAGTCACAGTTTGAAACAACATCCACCATTCATAAATATTTCATCTTTAGTCCTGTCTGCAATATTTTTCCTTAGACAACCAAGAGCTAATACTTCACGGGCTAATGTGAGCTTTGAGTTACAGTGACTGAATGTAAAAAACAGCTGATGGGGTGGGGAAGAGTAGGATTCTGGGCTTGGAAGCTTGTGTTTAATTGGGTTGCACCTCCCTATTTTCCAGGGCAGGGCAGGGCTAGTCAAGTCTGGTCAGTGGGCGTGATTAGAGCCTTCACAGCCAGTACCTGCCCTGCTCTCACAGAGCACGATGTGGTTTGTTATATGTAATCCTACAATGGGCTTTTCAATCCATTTCCATCAGTGATTCAGTTGGTGTAAATTCCCCAACCACAGCAAATGTAGTTGACAACTCTGTCGCTGGTTTCTATGTTTTTATATATTTTTTGAAGCATTTAAATAGGAAATTAGGAGAAGACTTACTGGGCACATTCAATTTATCATGATGACAGCTCAGAAGTAGAGAGTCATATGTACATTCTCCAAATCTCCCACTCAGGAAATACATATATCAGAGTTTAAGAGTCTGTAATGAATAAAGACAGAAAATGGGCTAATTGAAGGTGGTACAAGGGAATTAAAAACCCTAATTTTACAAAAATGTACTCACTTTATTTTATTGTACCCCCTGAAGGTAAGCAGAATGTAATTGGGGAATAACTTCGGTTAACAAATGGTGATAGCTAAGACACTTTAAATTGGATTAGAAATTTGGAAATATACTACAAAATGAATTATGTAAATATAAGATCCTCAGTATACTTCCAGAACTATAGGACCCAAGGTTGCATTATGTAGCTATATTATTTGCATATATGTATAATTTGTATACAAATTATTGTAGATTGGAGCTGTGAGATGAATATGGTAGGGCTCAGAAAGAGATCTGGATCCTAGAAATCATCAGAAAGGGAAGTAGTCAAATACCACACTGTGCCCCACCACCCAGTGCAGTTCTGGTCATTGGGCCTCAATAAAACTTAACAACCTAGAGAAGGTTGCAGAAGGACATCGCAACTGAATGAGAAATGGACAGCTAGGGTTCCTGCTCACAGGACTGGGTAGACCTGCTGAAAGGAGAGAGTTAAGTTCAAACACTGCAGAGTGATTTCAAGAGGTCCAATAGATTTACTCTCTCTCTCTGTACACACAAACACACACACACACACACACACACGAATGTTTCTTAAAACTATATATTTGGCTCTATTAATGGCCTTAATAGGCTATTAGCTGGAAGCACAGTTGTTGGAGGAAAACTTTTCAAGGTGACTTGGAGAAGAACAGTCTTGGGTGCCAGGGATAGAATCCCGGGCTGGCTGGATGGCTAGACAGGTTTTGTTGCAGCATCTCTGATGCTTTATGACTGCACAGTACATGATAAGTGTTCTTGTCACCTTTTGCTTCTTGTGCTTTCAAATAATTATATGAAATTGGCTGTGGAATATCTACACTCCCTTGCTGTAACGCTGTTATAAGGTGCTGATTCTCAGTACTGGCTTCAATAGAAGAAAGTGGGAGAAACTAGATAAGGAAATACAACAGAAAATAGAGCACAAATACAAATAAGGAATGCACTGCTTTTCTGAGTTACCTCAGATGAACCTTTAAGGGATCCTGTAGCAAAATTTCAATAGCAGACGATCCAGTCCTAAAATATAAGGACCGATATCATTACCCAGCACTTTGCAAGACCCCAGGTGAGTCCCAGGAGGCATAGCATGTGCTATCAATGTGGCTCCTATCTCCTAATCCATCTCTTAAATTTTTTGTTTGCTTTTACCAGAGAAAAACATATACCTACCACCTATTGAAGGGCAGGTACAGCAGAAAACATTTTATAGTATTTCATCTTCAAAACCACAGCCCTACAAGATTGGGAATATCCTTATTTTACAGATAAGTGAGGCGTACAGAGGTTAGAAAATTTCTGAAGGTCTCACAGCTAACAATTGATGGGGGTCATAGTTTGAATGTAACTTGATGTATAACTTGATCCAGATATAACTCCATTCCAAAATCCAAGTTCTGAGCCACTTTCCCACAGTCCTTCTAGTTGAATTACAAAGTGAGCATCAATGTTAGTCTCCTCGATGACAAATGAAGCTGTCTACAAATATATGCTGAAGAAGAAAACTTTATGGCTTCAAAAGTGAAACCAGGAGGTAAATGACTGAGGTTGGCAATGTCAGATTCAGTGTATGGGGTTTTTCATGCTGCCAGAGCCTCTCCTGTGGGACAACGTCCATAAGTGAGCTTGTCATGCCACCTTGCCATCCTCACAACTTCCAGCAAACCAACTGCGTATGGACATCTTATTTTCCTTGGCTTTTCTTCTTCCTCTGCCCCTGTGGCTCTGAGCTCACCCTATCTCTTGGGCTCAGCTTTTTGTGCTCTCCCCTTCTGCTGTGAACATGGTCCCTTGGCTCACCCGCAAGTCTGCTTGCTGCTACCCTATGGAGGCACCTTCAGTGACCTCTTTTACTTTGGCTAATATCTGACCTTAGGCGAAACCTGGTTTTCGGCTTATTACTTCCTCACTTGTTTTGACAATTAGAAGGGGACCCATTCTGTTGTACAGGAAGAAGTTTGTCCCAGGAAGTGGATCTTGGTGCAATATGAGGAAGATTTCTCTAGTAGTCAGGGCTATGAAAAGATAGGATGATCTGCCTGGGGTGGTAGTAATAATTTTTTGTCACTGGAGGGATTCAAATATAGCTGTGTGATGATTTGGTGAGGAGACCTCAGTATCTATGTTGTGAGCAGTAACAAAGACAGCCAAAACCTCAGCAACTTGCAACAACTCAGGCTTATCTGTCACCCAAGTTACATAGTATACGTATGTCATGGTTTAATCGTGAATCTCCTCTTCATCATCCTCCCTTAGAGTCCCAGGCTAACAGAGCAGCCCTTACCAGGACACTGCAGGTTTCATATCAGAGCAAAAAGAGAGTTATGGCAAACCATGAGTTGGTTCTTAAAGCCACAGTTCAGATGTGACATTTGTACACGTATTTAATTGAGTAAAGCAAGTCACATGGCCACTCTGAGTTAAAAAGTGGGGAGATGTATAATTGCCCCTGAAAGAGGAAGACAAGTTCTGTGCCCAAGCTTGGCATCAGTGGGGCACGGAAGAATAAGGGACAGTCAATCTTTGGAACAGTGACATAAGCTACCACGATGTCACTGCTACATTAGGGGTTCTAACAGTGAAAATTAGGTGGGTTCGGCCACATAATTTGTAAGTTTCCTTCTAGCCTTGAGATTCTGTGATATGTAAGGACCTCCCAATCTTTTTGTGAGAAGCAATCACTTTTTGAAATACTGAGGCAGGAGAGTCAGGGCATAGAGTGATAGGGACTGTAAAGTTCCTGAAGGAGGTTGGCAGCAGCTTCTTACTATGCCCTTCCCTGCAGACTCTGAATGACCTAGTGTCCAGTAGAAATATGGTGTGAACCACATGTAAATTTAAAATTGTCCGTGAGTCACATTTTAAAAAATTTAAAAAGCCACAGGTAATATTCATTTTAATAATTTATTTAACCCAGTATATTTACAATATTATTTCAACATAAAATCAATATAAAAATTACTAATGACATTTTTTACCTTCTTTGTTTTATACTAAATCTTCAAAATCTGTGCATAGTTCACACTTAGACCTCAATTTGGAGTAGCCCCATTTTAAGTGCTCAAAACATGTGGCTAGTAGCTGCTGTATTGGACAGTATGCATTTAATGGAAAATGCTAAGCCTCTGGTGTCAGATACGCTTGGATTTGGGGTCTCAGGTTGGACTAGGGGGTGGTCCTTAGCTGTCGCTATTGAACAGAGTTGGAGAGAAGCAAGAATAAACAAGGTTTCATAAGTACCACCACAGAGGCATAAATCTAGTGTAGTGGTTACCATTGCAGATTGGGATTAGACAGACTAAATTTGAAACTGACTTGATTGGAAACCAGCTATGCCACCTCCAACTCTGTGGTCTTAGGTAAGTTAACGAAACTTTTTTTAGTCTTAATTTTTTATCTGTAAAGAGAGGAAAGTTTTACCTTTCTTGAATGACCTATGCAAGTATTGTTGATAGCATACATATGTTGCCTGGCACATAATAGATACTTAGTAAATAGTAATCAATGATAAATTTGTATTATTATTTGGGAAGGAGGAAGGTGCGTAGAGGAGAGAGAAATCATTGCCACAGGGCTGGGAGGTTAGTGGCAGCCACTAAGCAGGTTAGAGTTTATAATCAGGGAGTAGACAGGAATTGCTCAGGTAGAAAACTCTGGTCTGCATTGTATTTCTTCACTGTTCACTCCACAGGTCTTGCTAAATCATTGTCTTATTCTAGAACCTTTCGATTTAATTTCTTCCATTTAACATACGGTCTGCTTCAGTACTTCTAGAAAGAAAGGCTTTAAATTTCGCATTTAGAATGGTTTAGAGAAAGTATTTAGAGGACTTGGCATGCTGTTCAAGCACAGAATATAAGGAGATCTTTTCCTAACAGTGCATTTTCAGCATCATCTTCAGGGGTCCAGCACAGAGCCCAAGAGAACATGTCCCTAGACAGAGAGCATATCCCCAAATTAATGTACCTAATCATTAGGGTGGGAGAAAAAGAAGGCTGGGGGGTTAAAATATGACTAAAAGCCATAGCCAGACCCTCTTCTTTGGCTCTGTCTTGAGAAATTCTTCCCCTAAGTCTTCCCACAAGCTAGCCAGACCTCAAGTCCTTTATACTATGAGTGTGTTGGGAGAAAGCACACACTGACTTCAAAACTGTTATCAGCACCTTCCCAGGGATCAAAAAAAACAAGCAATACGGATTATACCTCTTAGATGCCAAGTTTGAGAAGGTTCACAATACACTAATTTTCCAGGACAATGAGTGTCTCAAAGTTGATCCTTGATCCTGTAGCAACACAGAGAAAGAGCTATGTCCTCTGGGCAGCCAAGAAGCACTGTTTTCTTAGCAACTGGCACCATTAGCTTCAGAAGGGGATAAGCAACCATTGGAATTTCGAATGGCGAATTTCCCAGAAAAGCATTCTTCTTTTCTGAGAACAGCACAGATTGGCTGGCTTAAATGAGGCACCTGGGGTGATATCCTGGCACCCAATATACAGGAAAAATATTGCCTGAGTGTTTCATAATAAGAATCATTTATAGTTTCAATTTGCTATATACCTTTAGCATTTTTTTAAATTGAGAAAAACTTATTTTTCTAGCAGTAAACAACTAAACATCATTATAGCTCTCTTAGAATCCAATAAAAATATACACTATTGAGATAGATCAGAAAAATAGAGTTTTTCACTCTATTTGATCTTGCTATTTTACATGAGTAAGAAAACAAATGAATCTTTTATGAACTTTACTTTCATCATGAATGATGTTACATATGACATTTAAACATACTCTTAATTATTTACTACATTTTTTTCTATTAATTTCTTGGTACTTAAAAATAAATTGAGGGGCTTTTCTTAGGAAAGGGGTTGATTTTGCATGAACATACCTTTCAGCTTTTCTATGCAGTCTGTTCATTTGAAGGACATTCCCATATAGGATCCAAATTCTCCATTTCCTTTGTGCTGCAGTTTAATGAAACCCCAGCATTTTTCTTGCTCCAAAAATGCCAAATGTAGTTAAGAATGCCTTGATAAGACGCTATTGCTAAAAACTATTTATATTCATAGTTTCCTGACAGTTTACTGCTTTTTGACATGGTATCTCTCATTGTAGAGCTTTGGCCAATATATATGTATATATATTACATGTATATTTATATTACATAATTAACACATACAAATATTTTACTGCATTTTGGTCTCCAATTGCTACCAAACATATACATACTCTGAGGAATACAAATATGTAAAGCACTTATTATCAGGATACAATTCTAGACATATATCTATAAATCATCTTTAAGTGGTTATGAATATTTTAGAAGCTAGGAATAATATATAGGAAAGCAGGATGCCCTAAATTTCAACCAATGTCAGTTTCACATTTTACTGCTCCTGTATGAAATAACACATTAGCATTGAGTATGAAATTAAAAGCCAGACAGAACTAGTTGCTTCTGTGAAGCCAGTGTGTGCATATGTGTGTAGATGGGTGTGGGGTGTGTCTTTGTGTGTTTTAAGTGAGGGAAAAATATTAAGAGGAGCTGAAAACATTTTAAAGAAGGAGATCATCACCTTCCACTTTATGGAATAACATGCAGTGTCTTTCATAAGCAAATACACAGGAATTTTTTTTCTTCATTAACATTTGAGGCAGAGAAGGTGAGTATGGCTGCCATCATAGGCTGGGAGATGTGCTGGCCTTAGGGAGAAGGAGGACTCCAGGGAGGGAAGCAAGTCCACGGATGCGCCATCCCAAAGTCTCCTAAATAATTGTATAACTTTGTCAGTGGGTGGTTTATTTGTGGAATCTTTCCCTGCTGGCCAGATAATGAGCAGGTGATTGTTCAGATAAGCATAGCTAAATACTGTTTGCATATCATTCGGAGAGTGCAGGACCACAGCAGCTCTGCCTGCACTTCATCACAACCTCACTGTGCATTCCCCAACCTGTGTTTAAGCTGAGAGCAAGGTTCCTTATGGGGATGGCTACAGTTCAACATCTCTGGCCTCATTTTAAAAAGATAACACACCATAATGCTGTGCTCATTCTTGCAACAGCAAGTATGTGAGCAGCCTAAAAAGAGAGAATGAATTAAAATGCTGTTAATTACGCTTGAGGCTATGACATTCCTTCGTAAGTAATTACGAGAGGGAGAAGTGTCCCCAGTGTTTCTGGTTTCTGATCGTTTACACAAAAAGTAGGAAGAGTGTGTTGCCCTCATCTCTCAAGTTCTTGGTCTGCGGGGGTCCTGATGAAGCCAGTCGCCTCTGTCAGTATTTGGAAAGCTGTCTACTAAAGCTGTGTCTTTAACACCACAATCTCACTGTCAAGAGGGAAGTGTAGTCAGAAGGGTGCCTATAGTAACAGAAATAACCCCATTTTTACTTCTTTTGCATATTACAACAGAAATTTAGAGCTTGCTGAGTTATCATCTACATTGCAGAGGTGGCCACTGAGGCCCACGGTCATACAACTGGCTCAGTAGGAACTTTCAGTTATGCATTTCATCACATAAAAGGTCTTCACTCATTCACTGAGTAAAAACAAAGAGAAAGGAAGGTAGATATCTGAGTAGTTAGTGCTGAGCCCTGAAAGCTGAAATAACTGCATTTTTTCTTTAACAAATCTGTCACCTTGAGAGTCTCCCTTGACCTCTTGCCCCAGTTACCAGAGGGAAAGAAATGCCAGGCACAGCTGAAATAGGAAATGCGACACGTCTCGTACATTGTCTTTGGCAAATGGATTACAGGAAACATTGATGCTTTCTGATGTTGTTTCAGCCGCGTTTGGGGACAGTCTGGAGTTGTGGGGTGGACCTTGGCAGATTACACGTGTATCAGAGTTCAGAGGTTTATTTGTTCTTGCAGAGACTCCAAATACTCTTGAATGCGGCACAGAAAACGAATTAAGAGAGAACAGGGCAGCTACAGGTACTTATGGACGTGAGGAGACTTAATAAAGCCTCTGTTGAGATGAAAGGACGTTAAACTCCATTAGCAGTATCCTTGCAAAACGCACATACACACACACACACAAGCAAGATATCCTGAAATGGTTGTCACGGAGCAACCCACTGCAAAGACTTTACATCTAATTGAAATTAATGATGCCTCCAGCAGCCTAAATTGAGCCCCTAGACCTCCCACCTATGCAAATTCAACAGGCAGGACTCAGCTCTTATGGAATTTGGTTTCCACCTGGCCTCCAGTTTTGAGAGTCTCTGCCCGTCCATGTTAGGAAGTATTCTTGGAATAAATCAAATTTACCTCTAAGAATGTTTGTGTGAGACTAGATAGAGACAGCCTGTAGGAAAATCAAGAAATTCACAGAACTTGTATTTGGCAAGAGTCAAAGATTCCCATCTAGGGACTATGTTTTCTGAACCAAAAGATTTTTTGTTTGTTTGTTCATATTTTTGCAACTGCCAGGTGCAGAAGAGAGTCTAGAAGATGTGTTTTTCTTTTGTAAAGCAACAAATATTTATTTAATCATAGAAACTGAGAGTTGAAAAGGATTTTACAGATAAAGCCTTCATTGGGGCTGAAATTTGTTTTGTGCTTTGATTTGTTCAACAGCTCTTTTTTGTAGCACGTGTTTCTCAAAATGGCAGCACACTGCAATCAGTTGGGAAACTTTAAAAAAAAATACCAATGCTTGAGGGAATCTCATTTAACTGGCCTGGGTGAAGGCTGATTCTAAAATATAGCAATGTTTGAAAACCGCTATTCAGTAGATTTCCAATATATCCATCCGTCCATACACACACACACACACACACACACACACACACACACACACACACACACACACACAGTAATTGTACTATTAATAGGATATTTTAAAGCAACTCTCAGGTAGCCACTTGAATACAACTGAAAGACTTCATTTTGATGCTAAAATATTAAGCATCTTAGATGGTTTTATAGAGACAGAATTAAATACTTGAAATTGGATCTGATCCACCTGGTGATTTTCACTCATCCCCCACAGCCAGACACCACAAAATAATCATGCTTTTCCCTGACTCAACCCAAACAGGAACTATAGCATGATGTCAACTGAAATTAAGGGTGTTGCAGCAGAAATAATTTAATAAAGGTTTATTGGAGGCCAAATTTGAGGACTGACCCAGGAAGACACATCAACAAAGTTGGGCATGTTCCCAAGTCTGTGACAAATGGAAATGCTTTTATAAGAAAGTTTAGGAGAAGGGAGGGGAGGCTCTTCCTATCAGAGTCATCCTTTATCATTGGAGAGTACAATACAGAAGTTACAATCATTGGCTACAGATGACAACACACTGGGTAAAATGTTCTGTGTGCAAGACAACCAACAAGACTTCATGATTCAGGAACAAATCAGTGTCCTTTTCAGTATCAGCAGATTACAAATTAATCAGTAAGACAACAGTTTGAGGAACTTAGGATAAGATTTGAGGGACTTATTGTGAAATTCTTTACTCAAGGACAGAATGGAAGCCATGACCTTCCCTAGGTGGTTAATTTGGAAACCTGTCAAATGTGGCCTGTAGGTTATCAATGAGGTGTATCTCCTCTGGGGAAAATTTGCATATTAAGATTGTCCAATGAGGATTGGAGTTTGGGGACATCAAGGACTTCCTGGGATAGGCCACCAATACCAGGGTGTAAGCAGTCACTCTGCCCTGGCTGGCTAAGGAATAGAAGCAGAAAATCCATCTAGCATTTCCCAGCCAATTTAACCTTCCAGCTCAGCCAGCCAAAGCCCTCCATGGCAAGAAGGCTTCCCCCATTAAACAGTTAATACACTGCTTTGAATAAACAGCAGAATTTCTGTATCATTCCTACTTATGAACAAAGATCCAGCACTCTTTCCAAGGCCAGCTCTGAACATACTAGCAGATTAGTGGCTTTGATTATTTAGTCTAATATTTTATTTGAAAGCCAGAGGAAAATAAGGCTAAGAGACCACAGTTATTTAGGCTTTCTGGAGAGGGATGGAAAGGATAGGTTACATGTGCAATCAGAAAGTAATCAGATGTGTCTTCTCCCTATCTACCACCGTAACACCCCTTACAGGCCTCAGATATGGTTCTGCTGGAGAACCTTAAATATTCATGATCAGATATTGTTTGGGTTAAGGCATTGAAGGTATCTGCCAAAAGGCAAATCTGGGAGGCAGCACTTGCTGCGATTCTGAATGGTATGGGGGCTGAGTGTGAGACCCCCGCTCAGGGCTGGGGAGGGAGTGCTCTTCTGGACTACACCTCCCCTCCCCACACTGAGCTGAGATCACTGGAGAGGGGTGATGAAGGATGTTGTTACTAATGGGATTTATTATGCATCTCATATGCATGGTGTGGAGATATATTTTTCAAAAAACTAAGAACGATTGATTTAAACCAAGAGTGATTAACATTTTGGCACAAATTAGTTGATCAGATGCTAGCAAAAGCCCTAAGGACAAGGACATGAGAGAGGAGAGAGGAGAGATGTCATGGGGAAGGAAGTGGGACAGTAAAATCTAAGACTTGGGGAGGTGATCCCAGGTGAGGTATTGCCCTGCGGGTCTTTGGGCAAGAGGGGAGCAGAGGAAGGGGAGCTGTGAAAAGACAGGGGTCAAGAAGGATCTGAATCAAATGCAAAGGCTCTGAGGACAGACTCAAACCTTTCCCTGACTCAGCCCAAACAAGGAGAATTTAAGTCTTTGTTTTTTCTAGTGTGTCTTGATCAAATTAAATGTAATCAGAGATGAAAACTGCCTGTTTTCTTTGTTCCTTTTGCTACATTAAGAGTGTAGCTAAAATTTACTAAGTGCTTGTCACGTGCCAGGCACCACACTAAGCACTTTATACTGTCTCTATGAGCACCTCTAATAGTAGGGGCTATTATTGCCCCCATTTAAAAAGTAGAGACCAGACCAGGTGCAATGGCTCACACCTGTAATCCCAGCACTTTGGGAGGCCAAGGCAGGTGGAACATTTGAGGTCAGGGGTTCAAGACCAGCCTGACCAATATGGTGAAACCCCATCTCTACGAAAAATACAAACGAATCAGCCAAGCATGGTGGTGCATGCCTGTAGTCCCAGCTACTCAGGAGGCTAAGGCAGGAGAATTGTTTGAACCCAGGAGCCAGAGGTTGCAGTGAGCCCAGATTCATGCCACTGCATTCCAGCTTGGGCAACAGAGCGAGAGTCCATCTCAAAAATAATAATAAAATAAAAATTAAAAAAATTAAAAGCAGAGACCGGAGACATTAAATAGTTTGCCAAAGGCCCGATGGCTATCAGTAGCTGAGCTGGAATTATGAACCCAGTCAGTGAGTCCTACTGCATATTGTCTTAAAAACAACATTCTGCCCATCCTTTGTGAGTGTTGGGATTGCGTGTGGACGTGCTTCTCAAAGAAAAGAGAAAATCTCTGCATTGTCTTTCTAGGGAAGCTCAGCAGGCCATTTATTCTTGAGGCCTTTACTTATCCTTAAAAGAAGACCAACAAATTTAGATTTTTCAAACATGAGGTCTCTTTAAATCTCTTGAGCTTAGGACTTCCAGTCTAGTCTGGGCAAGATAGACTTGCAAAAGACTTGCCGAGGCTGGACTCGAACTCCTGGGCTCAAGACATCTTCCCACCTCGGCCTCCTGAGTAGCTAGGACTATAGTAGCACACCATTATGCCTGGCTCAAGTTTTATTTTTCAAGGGCTGTGACTCCTTTCACATAGGCCACTGAGTACTAATAAAGAAGATAAGAGTTGAGGTCAGGACTTCTGTGGTGTCTATGGGAACAGGGAGTATTACCTAGAGGAGAAAGGTGGGGAAGAGGTGTGAAGGAAACAGAGGCGCTTAGGGGCCTGTAAGGTTGGGACACTGGGTCATTCCTCCTGACTCATAGTCTGTGTGGGGCTAGTTAAAAGAAATAAGGCCTCTTACAGGGATACCTTTTTATAGCCCAGAATGACTCCATGAAAGAGATAACTTTCTAATACCCATCACCTCAAATGATACTTGCAATCCTGTTTCCTCTCTTGAAAAATCAGGAGGGCTTCCAGTCTGAGCTGGAGATAACAGAATGTGCTTTGGTTTCAGAATGCCTTTCCCATGTCATATACTCATTTCTTAGAAGCCCCACATTAGTCTTTATTTTAAAAGCACAGTATTTAAAAAAAAAAAAAAAAAAAAAAAAAAACCTAAATGCATGTGCTTATGTTGAAAGCCCCCATCCGTTCGATCTGATTTCCTTTCCTAAGAGCTTTCAGAATGGCTCTGGCTTTTGTCTCTCTACCTAGTGGTTCCGTTGACCTTCTAACAGAAAAGCCTGAAACTGCATAAGTTCCCTGTGCAACCAGCAAGGTGAAAGCAGTATCCCTTGGGGCCTGAGGCAGGACTACAGGCTCCACGGCAGGATGCTGTCTGTCTTGCTTGGTACTGTAGACCTGGTACCCACTCCAGTGCCCAGCATAAAGAAGATCCTTAAGCAGGAGACCCTAGTTCAGAGATAAAGCTATCTTTCCAAGTTTACTTAACAAGTATAGTTACCTATTGCTGCATAACAAATCACCACACTCTTATCACAAAATCCCACCAATGGCTTAGAACAGCAGGTGTTAATTATCTCAGTTTCTATGGGTCAGAAATACAGGGGCAGCTTATCTGGATCCTCTGCACTGGGGTCTCTACAAACATGGTGTCAGCCAGGGCTGCATCTCCTCTGAAGGTTTGACTGGGGAAAAATCCAACTTCAAGCTTTCTTACTTGATTGTCAGCAGGATTTATTTCTTTGCTTGCTGTTGGACAGAAGCCACCATCAGTTTCTTGCTACACAAGTATCTCCAAAATGTGGTCACTTGATTCATCAAAGGGACAGTCTGCTAGCAAGATGGAAGTCACACTGTTAAACAACCTAATCATGGAGGCAGCAATTTCTTACCTTTGCCATATTTTGTTGATTAGAAGCAAGTCGCCAGTTCTGCCTGCACTGAAGGGGGGATACCTGTATGAAGACATGAATGCCAGGAGAATGGATCATTGGGGCCATCGTAGAGTCTGACCATAGCAATCAGATGATGATCATATGCCTGTGGTCAGCACTGCCTCTCCTTGCATTCCCCTTCCATTTCGGCCACCCATGCATATGTACGTTGAACACACATGTAGTGTGACTTCTTTATTGAGTCACTCTTGTCGAATTCTTGACCTCAGGTGATCCACCCACCTTGGCCTCCCAAAGTGCTGGGATTGCAGGTGTGAGCCACCATGCCTGGCCATGACTTCTTACAATCAAGGAAACGTGAGAGTAAGCCACGATTATTGTGAAGAGGGCTCACAATCTATTAGGGGAGATGAATAAAAGTGATACACAAAATACGTACTACAAGAGAATATTGGCACACACGAAAAAAACAGAGGGAGAGCAACATTCAATTCCAGAAACATAGGAAGTCCAATGAAATAAATACCACTTTGAGCTGGGATTGCCCAGGAAATTTATAGAGAAGATGTAATTTGAGCTGAGTCTTAAAGAGTAGTTAATAACCAACATTTATTGACCTTTACCTATGTTTTAATAAGTGTCTTATATAAAAGATTTTGCTAAATTTTCATAGTAATCCCCTAAGGTAGGTTTTATTATTATCTCCACCTTAAAGATGAGGAAACCGAGGTTCACAGACATGAAATGACTTGCCCAAATCCACCCAGCTTGTAGATGGCAAAAAGAGAAGCAAGTCCACATGAACCCAGAGCCTACACTTGTTACCACTATTCAGCATTGCTTCAGACAGAAATGGTCAGTAGAGACAAATGGAGGAAAGGCCTTTTTAGCAGTAGGAATGGCATGAAAAAAGAAGCAGAAGCAGGCAGACGGTAGCGGCCACTCAGGTAGAGAAACTGCAATTCCCTCTGTCTATGAAGTTTTCTCCTCAGCTCTTCATAGGGCTGGTCCCTTGAGACCTTCAGATTTCAGCTCAAATGTCATTTCTAGATAGTTAGGAGCCCTCTTCTGCCACCCCCATCACCATCACAAGCTGCACTTTGTCATTGCGTCTTGTTTGGCCATTACCACTGTGTCCGCCCGCCAACCCCTTGTCTACACAGTGCCCAGCACAAAGCAGGTACCTGATCGAGTATGGAGTCATTACAGGAGAGGAGTGGCTATGAAAGCAGGGCCTGTGTTTTGTGTCATTAAGAAGTTTGGTTTTTATTCTGTAGACAATGATGGAGCCTGTGGAGGTTTTTTTGAGCAGGAGAGTAACATAATGATAGCCAGGTGCTGGGGAAATGGCTTTGTGGGTGGCATGCTCTGGACAATGATACTGATAAGCAGTTTGCTCTAAGATTTCCTGCTGACCTTTGCTGTGACCTCCACCTCTCTAGCACCCAAAGATTTTCAGCTGTCTACCTTTCCCCTGCCAAGGAGAACATTCATTTGGAGTGAGATATTAGAGACTTATTTTTGTTCCTTCCAGGAAATTTTGAGCTTTAAATGAAGAGTTGATGCTTAACACTGGCTCCTGGGTTCCAGAACTGATTTTGGCTCTGGTATACTGTGTGACCCAAGATAAGTCTCTTCAGGTCTCTGAGACTAAGTTCTTCTGTAAAATGAGGGGATTGGGCTAGATGCCAATTCTACGATTTCATTATGTTTCTTTCTAATTTAAATCTAGAGCATTTTGATATATATATATTCAGGGATTTTTAAAAAGTCTTTATTCTAAGAAGGACATTTCAATATCTCTAGTTACTATTCACTATTTTCAACATTTCTTGAGCACTGGTCACGACAAATTGTTGACTTATATTGCCCTGGATTACAGGTGAGTTGGTTTATTCATCTTGGTATCTTTTCTCACTTTCTGCTTCCTCCTCCACAAAAGGTCCAAAAATATGCAGGCATCCTCTTGTGAGACACAGTCTCAGGAGGTAGATGGGTGTCCAGTGTTTCTGCATTTATAAAACTGTCATGAGCCAGGAAATGCTCACAAGCCTGGGTCATCTTGGGAATGACAAAGACAGGATCAGCCAGCGAATGAAATGTCATGGGATTCCAAATGATGTGAAAGAAAGTGAAGAAAGACAGAAATCACATAATTTCAGAAATCCTAGCACTGCTGCCCAGCCCCTCGTCCTGGCTTTCCTGCCTACCCTCCCTCCCCCAACTGTCCCATCCATCTCTGGAACCTTTCCTGCCATGCGCCTTCACAGCCTCCAACAAATATATATTTAGTAACTCCCAGAAAGATTTCCATCTAGGACGTCGCCACAGCATACAAATGAGGCCTCTGAGCAGTGTTTCATGGCTAGGTTGTTGTACAGTGGATTCCCACATCTGTTTAAGTTCCTGTTGTACCTCCCACCCCATTTCTCTTGTCCACCACCCCAGTCTCCCCCCTCCCCACTCACACAAACACAAGCACTCTCTTTGACTTCTGGAAGTGTCAATGATTTTCCCTCTAAAACTTCAGAGGAGGAGATTGCCTGGCAGCTTTTGAAACTTTCCCCATGTTCTGTTAAATTGAAATATTGTTTTTAGACCACGGAACAGAGTGGTGAAACGCAGTGGCGGTCTTCTCAGAGCATGTCAGGATGATCAATCTTTTTAAAGACCAGCAGGCGTGAAGTGTGACAGTGCTCAAGTGCTCGGATCCGATGTGTCTGACTTGCTGGAGTCTCTGTTTAGGGGGGAAATTGATCATATCTGAGCTGTGGAACCAGTAGGATTAATTGTTTAATCCTACAAGCATGTACGCATTTGATCGTGCATGACTACCTTCCTGAGTTGCACTTGGCAGGCTTTCCTTTCCTTTGTTTCCTAATCTGTCTTTTCCTTACCCCAAATCTACCGCCACCTCTCCCCAAAAATCCATAAGGTACAAAATTTCAATCTTTGTATTTAAAACACAAACACAAAGAGCATATTTAAGTTTCTTCTTCTAACATTATTTCAGTACAAAGCAGAATTCATTAAAATAGAAATTAATCAAGTTTTGCTCACAACCACAAAGTCATTTAATGAAGAACAGGGGGCCTATCCTAAGTTTTCCTGAGAAGGAAAACACGGCTGTACATAAGAATTGGTGATGGAAAGGGGCTCAGTGCATCCGACACCTCTGTCTTCAGTCTTGCCATCTGTGAACCAGACAGTATTGGCGCACAGTCTGTGGCCACAGAGGCTGTTACCCACTTTGATTTGTGAAAATCTTCTGTGAAATTTTACTTAATCCACCTAACCTATAGTGAAGTCACATGTAAAACAGATATAGTCGTGCTCAGATGCAGTAAGAAGCAAAAAACCACTTTACTTGAAGTGCTTACTTCAGTGATGGTTTCATTTGATGTGCTTAGTAAGTATTATGAGGCCACAATTGGGGAGGAAAAAATAATCAGCAGCAGTGTTCTCCAAGGGGATACCAAGCTCATCCTTTGGGAGTATGAGAAGACAGTATGATTTCTTTTGAAACTTATATTTTATCTCCAAAGGAAAAAAGTTAGCTTTATTAATCATGGATTGACTCATGGCCTCCCTCCATCTGTGTGTCAGATTGTCTAAGTGACCTGGGAGGCAAGCAAGTTAGCCTGAGAAAAGTGTGGGCTCATCACAACAAAGACAAGTGGACTTTAGGGCCCTTGCACTAGTTTTCATGTCAGTGTGTTAGGAAGAGTTAGTGTGCTTGCAGTTGTGTGGGTTTGCCAATATTATCTGGTTTTAATCAAACTAATTCTCACAAAATAGATCAACGTCTAAAAAAGATTCCTGCTCTAATTTTAAAAATGTATTAAAGATGCTGTCAAAAATTGTGAAAGGTCTGAGATTTTATACTACTTGCAATCTAACAAGCTAGCCTGCCACATTTCATGGATGCTGGCAAAAGACACAAGACTCCTGGGTCAGAGACTAAGGATGTTATTACTTAAAACACAACAAGCGTGAACCTCATGTATGCCCTGGCTAGCCTTGCCCCCCAAGTCCCCAGGGCCAATGTGGACAGTGCAGGCAGACGCTGCACATACAGTGTGTTTGTGTCACAGCTGAAAGCCTGAGTGAAGCAAACCCAAATCTTTTGTAATAGGACTGCTAGAAAACTTGCCCAACCTTTGCTCCAGAGGAAGACATTATCTTTATAATGTTGGACAGCAAACAAACCTGCTTTCTGCTCCATAGGGAGCCCGTTTCTGTGTTTCATGGCTTTTTGCTATACAAACATCCTTGAGAAGATAGACCAGAATCAAAGTTGTCAGAGCTCCTGCTTGCCAGACACGCAGAAAAATAAGAGATCTGTGAAGAACTGTCTCACAGCAGATATTATGCACTAATGAAGTACAAATGAAAATAAGAAAATGTCTGAGCTTACATTTCTTCTCCAAGAATGAGCAAACCTTTTACTAAGGCATAAACAATG
Source organism: Homo sapiens (assembly GCF_000001405.40). Lineage (NCBI taxonomy): Eukaryota > Metazoa > Chordata > Mammalia > Primates > Hominidae > Homo > Homo sapiens. The sequence goes on from NC_000015.10 coordinate 61,511,646, forward strand.
ACAATCTATCAGATCTAACAAGAGGTCAGCTAAAAAAATTGTACATGATAAAAGACTATCAAATATATATTTATATCTACTGCCTAAACCTTGATACAATTTTATATCATGCCTTGAAATATTAGCAAATGATAAGAGGCATATTTATATAATTTATAAATAAATATGCATATAAGTAAAGACAAAACTAGTGGGGGTCTGTGCTCGATTTGCTTAACATTGGGGGATGCACATTCAAAAGCATGTTAATCCCTGCTCTAGAGACAACAGTGGTATGATATAACTAGGACTTGGAAGAATTCCAGAATGCAAAATCTTTTGGCTCTACTAACAGTATACAAGTCATTCTTAAGTGCCTAGACTACCTCTTGAATTAGATTCAATCAGCTAAGGAGACTTGAACTTCCCCAAGATCTCTGCAAGCCAGTTTCTCCAAGGAACTGAACTTTCCACTAGGCTAAAGGAGACCCTCCACCTGCTGAGGGAGACAAAGCCACCAGAAGATGGAGTAAGGTCTGGGGCCGTTAATATTGTGTACCTTCCCCAATTCCTCCAACCTCAAACTTGTTGAATTAATTCAAATTAGCATCTGGGCCAATATTAAAGGAACATGAATCACAAAAAGGGAGGAGTGATGGGGTGAGGGGTAGGGGGGCTGTTAGAGGATGTACAACCCTGGTTGTTAGTGAGAGTACAGCTCTGTCTTGCCTTTGAGGTAAGGGTTTTACTGTTCATTTATTTGTCTTGGACTTAAATATACATATATAAGGCAGTTCCTCATCTTCCCTCGTTTCCCCAGGCTTTACCATCAGTCCTGGCGATTCCTCAACAGGAAGGCTGTTTAAACTTCAACAGCCTGGAGCACTTGCTCCTGTTTACAGCCTCCAGGAGTCTATTTTCACAATTGTTTGGTGCACAGAAACAGAAGAGTACAAAAGAGTCACCCTTGGCTTATCTGCACAACCAAAAATGGTCCTAGTGCCTGTCTAGCAGTGAAGGCAACACTATTTCTCCATCTTGCAGTCAAAAAGCCAAAATAGTAGGAATACTTATTTCCAAATGACCAGTGCACAGATTTTGAGGTCCTAAAATCCTAGGTTTGAATACTGGCCCATTTATTGTTTGCTGTGTGACCTTGGATTCATTACACTGCATTTCCTTGGATTCCTCATCTGTTCACCTGGGTGGATGTTTATGAAAATATGAGGCTACTACATGGCACAAAGTAGGTGCCCCATAAACACTAGTTGTTCTTCCATTTTCTCCTTTTTTATGTTTAAAAATGAAAACTTGGCCGGGCGTGGTGGCTCATGCCTGTAATCCCCGCACTTTGGGAGGCCGAGATGGGCGGACCACTTGAGGTTAGGACTTCGGCCAACAGGGCGAAACCCTGTCTCTACTAAAAATGCAAAAATTAGCCGGGTGTGGTGGCAGATGCCTGTAATCCCAGCTACTTGGGAGGCTGAGGCACGAGAATCTCTTGAAACCGAGAGGCGGATGTGGCAGTGAGCCGAGATCACACCACTGCACTGCAGCCTGAGTGACAAAGTGAAACTCTGTCTCCAAAACAAAACAAAACACAACAAAAGAGATTTAATTCCCAAGGCACAATTTAAGATGGCTAGAATGTAATCTCATTAGGTCTTGGTAAATTGGTATAATTGATGGCCAGGCACCGTGGCTTACGCCTGTAATCTCAGCATTTTGGGAGGCTGATGAGGGTGGATCATAACGTCAGGAGCTCGAGACCATCCTGGCCAATATGGTGAAACCCCCACCTCTACTAAAAATACAAAAATTAGCTGGGTGTAGTGGCGCATGCCTATAATCCTAGCTACTTGGGAGGCTGAAGTAGGACAATTGCTTGAACCCGGGAGGTGGAGATTGCAGTGAGCCGAGATTGCACCACTGCAGTCCAGCCTGGTGACACAGCAAGTCTCTGTCTCAAAAAAACAAAACAGAAAAAAACATAATTGACATGTTAAAGTAATTTTTTACGATGACGAGCATGAGGGTGAAAACATAAGATAAAAACCACAAAAGTGGTTTTGTAAAATGTTTGTTTATGGGGTATGAATGCAGCTTCCTTGCATGCATATAATACACAGTCTAGGTTTCTAGTGTACCCATCACCCAAATAGTGAACATTGTACCCAATAGGTAATTTCTTAACCCTCACCCCCTCCCACCCTCCCACCTTTTGTAGTCTCCCATGTTGATTATTCTACTCTGTATGTCCACGTTACCCTTTGTTAACTCCCACTTATATGTGAGAACATGCTGAGGATTGCGTTTCTCCTCCAAGTCCAACACAGAGTCGACTGGATGTTAGAGTTCCCAAATCTGAAATACCTATCAGTTGTTGGCTAGACCTGAATATCTGTTAGAGGGCAGAACTAAAAACACCCTGGAAACATTCCCAGAGCTACATTTCTCCTGGAGCCAAGAAGAAAACACAAGTGATCCATTTTGAACTTATTGATAACTGTCACATTTCTTTTAGGGAAACGGAAGAGCCAGTTTTGGGGCTTGGTATCTGGAGTTCTCCATATTAAGTCAGGATGCCAAGATGGTCTAGAGCTGTGGTTTTCCAACAGGAACCGCCCATCAGAATACCAGGGGTAAGGTGAAAAAATACAGATCCTGAGGCTATACTACCAGAGAGTCTTCTTGAGGAAGAGGGCCTGGAAACCTCTATTTCAAAAGCCTTTTCCATCCACCCCCAATCATTTTGATGATCAGCCATATGCATATCGGCCAAAAGCCTGGTCCCTAAAGTAGAAACAATAACCTCTGGATTTTGCTTATTCAGACTTTCTTTTAACCTCAATTAAATATTTTTTTGGGACAAGCAGTGGGATCATCAATGAAATAACATAAGGATTATTTATACACTTCTAAGTAGAGTGGCCCCTGGGAAGCTGACCCTAAGATTAGCATGCAGGTGTTTCTATCAGGGACTCTTGGGACTAGCACCTTTGAAAGGGAGAAGGCATCAGGGTCCGGCAGAGGAAGATGCTGATCTGTGATTAAGTCCCAGTGAAAGCCCCAGGGGACCCCATGGGGAGCTCTGGGGCTGGATGGCCCTCTAGCATCGTCCTGAGTTGGGGCAGAGGGTCTGGGCCTTTAAACCTCTGCATTGATCAGTCATTGAATGTGGGCTGCCTATGGAAAAAGGCATGATCTTTGGCGAGGTAGTTTTCTTCAGCCAAGGCAATCCCTAAAGAGGGCTGATGGCTGACAGCCACCTTCTGATAGCACTCCCAGCACCTGAGGGGACAAAGCCCTTTGTTTCTGAAGGGGGGATCTGGGCAGAGGGGCATAGTGGGTTTAAACTTCAAATGTGATTCACTTATAGCTGGCATTCCTTCAGCACCATGTTTAGGCAAGGATGAAATTCAGCATTCTCTGCCCTCCATAGACTCACCAGCTCTTCCTCTAAACACCAAGGAGGAGTCAGCAGCTGGTACCTTTCACAGCCCAGAGAATTGAGTGAGCAACCTATGTGTGGGAGTAAAACGAGACACTGGATGGAGCATTTGGCTCTTAAGTTTGATAGAGAAAGAAGCGCATCCGTGGTGAGAATACACAGCTGGATGGTGGGATGCACGAATGAGACCAAGAGTATAAGGGCAACCCCCGTGTAGGCCAGTGAGATTGATTATTCTGCTCTTTATTGTGGGGTGAGCATGCATTACACCATCCCAGGCAAAAGATTATATGGATACTCTGAACTGTGCCCTACTATCACTCTACCCCCTGCCCGGAAAAACATACCCCACCCCTAACAACACACTATCCACCACAAAGAGTTGGGCTTTCCCAACAGCTTAAAATCTCTGATTAATCATCATGAGCTTTCTTACGGCAGAAAATAATGTCATCAGAGTTGGATCTCAGATACTTGTGCTGATTTTGATATGCCTCTGCCAAATTTCACAGTGGTTAGAGTCCCCTAATCCCTCAGTAATTATTAGACGTGTCTAGGAAAAAAACGTACCACTTTCTTTTGATGAGAATGATTGTTTGGTATACCTATTTATTTATTCACTTGTAATGAGCAGGAGACACTTGGTGAGCCTGTTCCATTCCTCTATCAGATTCCTTTACGCATAAATTATTTGAGGGTAAGATTTATGCTCAAAGAATAATGAGGTAAACAGGAGCAAAGGGAATAATTTAAAAGCAATTCATCACAAAGAAGTGATCACATACATACCAAAAGCACGGAGAACCCCATACTGCTGCTCAGTTCTGTTTGAAGTTATAGGTCAAAGGAGAATTTAATCCCAAGGACCATTTCTCCAGTGAAGCCTCAAAATGCTTTCTCTTGTTTTAACCGTGTTGTAACTTGAGACCTGACTGTTGGGAAAGAGAAACTGTGTGTACCTTCATTAAGATTGTTTTTGTTTACTTTTACTTTCTAATTTAATAAATTCATTGTATGTATATGTGTGTGTGTGTGTGTGTGTGTGTGTGTTTTCCTTAAAAGTTTCTTCTTGGAGAAAAAGTGTTCATCATTAATCGAAACTATGTTTGGTTCACCAAATGTCTTGAAAAACAAAAAGTTAAAGGAAGCCAGGCTTGGCGTGCAATTTATATGCAAAGACCTTTGATCAGCCAAAAGGCATTAAATTATGAATGAATAACTGAGACTAGAATTGTAAATATAAACATAATTTGATAATGGTTTGTCCTTGAAGTCAGACCTTACTTGTTTTACCTGGTTATTAATATTGGGACATCAGGGAAATGAGATAGAAATAATATATCTGCAAGACATTTAGTCATTTAGAAAATTGACAGGATTTCTTATTTGAATGGATATAATATAGAAACATGTTTTGGATAATCAGTGGCCACCTCGAGGAAGGTCTTTAGAGCCACATTGCAGTCCCGAATTTTTTTCTTTAAGTGCTGTCTTGTAACTAAAACAGATGGATAAAATCTGTGAATAATAACCTGAGCTAAGAGGACTAGTTCTATAGCTTTTAACTACCACCTAGAAACCTCTAGGGTTCAAATTTGTCTCTAGCTTGCAGTCCTGTTGTTTTTGGTTGTTTTGTTTGTTTTTGTTTTTTGAGACGGAGCCTTGCTATGTTGCCCAGGCTGGAGTGTAGTGGTGGCATGATCTCGGCTCACTGCAAGCTCCTCCTCCCAGGTTCACGCCATTCTCCTGCCTCAGCCTCCCGAGTAGCTGGCACTACAGGTGCCCACCACCACGCCCGGCTAATTTTTTGTATTTTTAGTAGAGACGGGGTTTCACCGTGTTAGCCAGGATGGTCTCGATCTCCTGACCTCGTGATTCACCCCCCTCGGCCTCCCAAAGTGCTGGGATTACAGGTGTGAGCCACTGTGCCTGGCCTGTATTTTTTTTCTTCAAAGACTGTCGTGTAACTAAAACAGATGGGTTAAACCTGTGAATAATAACCTAAGCCAGGAGGACTAGTTCTGTAGCTTTTAACTACCACCTAGAAAACTCTAGGCTTCACATTTATGATTTCAGCCTGCTTTCTGAGCTCCACATTTGCTCACTAGACATCTCTACCTGCTGCTCCTGCAAGCACCCCAAACTCAACTCTACTAAAGCTGAATTTATCACCTCTACTCCACCTTCCAAGTGTTTTACCCCCTGTAATTCTTAATAAATAGAAGCTTCACATAGCTTTTCAAGCTGGAGCCCTTGGAGTCATCTTTGACCTTTCATGTTAATCACACCTAAATATCTAATGGATGAGCAAATTCTGTTGACTCCATATCTTTAGTGTCTGTTTTATTATAGGTGTTGGAATTAAAATTTAAAAAAAGAAGAAGAAAAGGGAGAACAACAGAGTATTGAACTTGAGTCATAAGTTAAACTAAAAGTCCAACTTCCAAAGTAAACAATGAAGATTTAGAGGCTTTAGTCAATGGTGAGTTCTTCATGAATCCATAGTTTAATTGGCCTCAAAAAAGTTAATGTGACATGAAGCTGCTTTAATCATATTTTAGTGTTTAGAAGGTGAGGGGATAATTTTGCTGTGCTCTACACTGTCAGATCACAATTATATGCAGTTCTTGGTGGCACATTTTAATGTAAAAATAGACATAACTATATTCAGAAGAGGAGATAGAATGTTGAAGGGACTCCAACCCATGTTATATTAGGGATGTTTGCGGGAATGAGAAGCTTTCCTTTGGAGCGGAGAACTCTTGGGATGGATGTTATGGCTGTCTGCAATTTACTAAAGGATGCCATTTAGCTCGCTAGTCCCAAACTCTACTCTGTAGACCACAGCCACACTGGCCCCATAAGAATATCCTGGGGAAAATTCTACACATTCTTTGTTCCCACTCCTAAGACATTCTTACTCAGATGACCTGGAGGGAGCACTCCCTCCTGAAATATGTACACTTTAAAAGTTCCCTAGGGCCCAGCATAGTGCTGCATGGCTTCTAGTCACAGCTACTTGGGTGGCTGAGATGGGAGGCTCACTTGAGCCCAAGAGTTTGAGCCCAGCCTTGGCAACACAGTGAGACCCTGTCTCCAAAAAAAAAAAAATCCTCTAGGTGATTTTTATTTTGACACACAGTCAAGTTTGGGAACCCCCACGCAAATGAGAAATCAAGTTTTTTCAGCACGCAGCCAAAAGTCAATGGATAGGAGAAGGGTCTTTGCAGACAATCAAGAGATACATTGTAAAACACAGAGCAGTTTAGAGACTTGACAGGCTGCCTTAGGAGGAAGCGGGGGAATGCTGAGTCACTAGGAATTCAAATACAGTTACATGAACATTCTATAGACATGAAATCAAACACCTTTGGGCAAGATGGGTATCCGAACTCTATGATTTTTAAGATTCTATGGTATTTGTCAAAAGAAACAAAGGCCTATAGATACAAAGGAACTTTAAAAGTATTTCATTTTATATTATGTCTAGGGTGCAAAATATTCAGCTGTAGCAAAAATTGTCAGCACCCTACCCATATTCCCCTGAGCCTTACTTCAGCACCTGTTGGCCTGACTTACATCTGCACTTCTTTACCTGAGAACTTCCTCTGGCCTCCAGAGTCCACTCTGCTTACATACACAGCAGGCCAGACAGGCAGGGAACTAACCACCCACTGTCCCCCAGCAATGGTTGACTAATGACTGAGGAGTTGGTGAATAAGCCCCAGCCATTCGGATGGGCAGGCTTTCCACGGGCTCCCAGAGTTCCCAGGTGGGATGAAGCTCTAATCTAATGAAGCCCACAATGCTAATGATATTGGCTACCATCCCTTCCCTTTCTTTCCCAGTCCCCTACTAGTGCTTCCGGGGATCACTTCACAAATTAATCGTACTCAAATCCTTGTCTTAGGGTCTGAGTCTGGGAGAACACAAAATAAGACACTAACCAATTATTGCCAACTAAGCAGCAAATAATTAACTGTTAAATCAAAATTTGAGGCAATCCAGATTGAAAAGACATCTAATTAAAATTAAAAAAAAAAAAAAAGAAAACCTGGCAAGTGACGACAGCACTTGCAGGCTGGGGTGATGGGGACAGCCACAGCTAAGTTAGAGAGTCTGCCTACCCTCAGCTTCTGTGATCATTTGTCTGAAAGTTGCTGTTCATTGAGCTCAGCCCTACCCTCCTCTCTGGGCTTATTTTCTACCCCTTGTCCTCCACATTTTGCATTTCAGGCACTCCTTATGATTCCTCCAGCATACCTCCCTTGTTTTATACCTCTTTGCCTTTGACTTTTCTGTTTGCCATTGTCCTAGAAATTTCTATTCATTCTCTAAAACACATTCAAACTGTCTCCTCTTCCAGGAGTACTCTTGCTTGCCTCCCTCTAGACCATTTGAGTCATTTACCACTCTGATTATTCCTGTATCCTAGAGTAGAATAGTACAATTAATAATTAACTGGTTATTTAATACGAAAATAAAAGTGAGTTAAATCAGAGGGCACAGAAAAGTTCTTCCCTACTTCTCTTGCACTCACTGCTGTGGAGCATCTCATATCAGGATAGTTTTCAATGACAATTAATTTACACACTAAGTTTCCTTTGTTCCTATGCTCTATAGCTAGTTGAATTAGAATGCAATCAGTCAACAAGTGTGCAGAACTTGAATCCAGATAGAGTCCCCTGAAAATAAAGAAGTATCATTCAGTAATTTAAAACAACCTTTGAGAATAAAAGTAAAATTCCCAGGCTATCACCTTAATTGAGAAGAGCAGCATACAAAATTTTGTGTGCAGTATAAATTCAAAACCTCTGAGTTTGAAGAAAAGCAGAAGAAAATACACTAATGGTAACTGTGGTGAATCTGGGGTATGGGACGCCAGTGATTATTTTTCTGCTTCTCTTGACTTTTTGTGTTTTCTAAGTTTTCAATAATGAGCGGGTTGCAGAAAATAACAATGACACCTTTTTCACCTGTAAGAAATGATTTCCTGCAGATCAATCACAATGGAAGAAATTTTATAAGTTATTAAAGAATTATCTACGAAACATGTCAGAGGCCATGAGGCTTCAGCAGCAGCATCACATCATTCTGCTGCCACATAATTTGTCCCAGAGCATAGAAAAGCTGAAAAGCTACACAATTTTATTTTTTAATGAAGGAAGAAGGATGCTGAAATCCAATCTTGGTAAAGAAGCACACACGCCCCTCACCTGCAATGACACTAATGAGTGTAGGTAGAAAAATATTAAATGAAATACTAGCCAATCACATTCAATAACATCTAAAAGAATCATCCTCTAAAATTAGATAAACTATACTAGAAATGAATAATTAAATATTCAGAAAACTAATACTATAATCAATAGCATCAATGGGGCAAAGAAGAAAAACCATCTCAATAAATACTAAACAAGTAGTAGGTAAAATTTAAAAGATATATTTTATGAAACTGGGAATAGAAGGATCCTTAACATGATCATCACACTTAGCCATATGGGATGTCGACTATGAATAACGTGCTCAAAAATAATTCTGACCTGTGTTTAAATTCCAGCTTCATGATTTTCTGGCCATGAGGCTTTCAGTAAGTTATTTAATCTTTCTGCTTTAGTTCTGTCTGTAAAATGGGCATGATGATTTCTTACCTCCTAGGGTTGGTGTGAGCATAATTAAAGTGACTCATATTAAGTGCTCAGTATAGTGTCTGGAACTTAGTAACAGTGTTATAATAACATTTATATATTAAGTGCTATGATGATGATGATGATGATGATGATGATAAGTAACACTAGTGATACTTGTAAAATTGATGTACTTCAGAATTTACTTGTGGAAATTTTTCTCTCCTAAACTTCAAACCCAAATATGTATGCCTGAGATTCAGCCATGGAGGGTCTTCTCTCAGGTGATTCTAATATATACCAAAAATTGAGAATTGCTAAATTTGAAATCATTCCTAGCAAAATCAGAAACAAGATAGATTATAAAATATCCCCAAATTGTTGCCTATTGTTTCAAAAGATCCAAGCAACACAAAGGCCATGAAGCAAAAGTGAGAGGTATAATTGCAGATGAGGAAAATAAATTTATCTTCAGATGGTCTTTCGTTAAACATAGAAAATTCAAGACACTTCAAACATCCCCTCAGACCAGCCATCTTAGAATCAAGAATAGGGTTCAGGATACAAATCCATATACAAAGTAGTTTTTCAGCAATATCCAACAACAATAATATACGGTAGAAAGAATCCCTTCCATGATAGTGCCAAACATATAAAGCACCAAGGAACAACCTGGTGAGAAACGTGTTCTATGAGAAGGAAAGTAAAATAGTTTACTGGGTGACATAAAAGAGGAGTTGAATAAATGCAGAGATGTACAATGGTTCCAAAAGTGTGGGCTGAATATGGTAACTTGGGAAGCACTCCTTATAGCCTTCATGCAATCTCAATAAACATAATGGTAGATTTTTTAAAAATTAAATGGTTTCTATTACACTTGAAGACTGGACGTGAGAGAATAAACAGACTGGAACTGACATGGAACAGGTGTTTAATAAATGCGAGCTCACTTTCTCTTGCTGCTTAGCAAAAGGTCTAAAGCCTCATTCCATGGCGACTTCCCTTCCTTAAATGCCTATAATTCCTACAACTGCTATAGATTTGAAAATTTCTGTACAATTTTTAAAGGTTCTACTTTACATTGAATTTATTAATTTACATGGTTGGGACTTTACTCATTCTCTCCCAAATAGGTTGTAAAAGCCTTGAAGTCAAGGACTAGGTTTTTGCATCTTTGAACCAAATGTGTAACATATGCTAGTCATCTGCAGGGAAGGAGGGATGAGACAGAGATGGCTGACTACAAAATTGTCATTAGCTCATTACAATAGAATAAAATAACATACAGTTAATCACAGTTTGGAAGTCAAGCTTAGGGGCCACCAAAGCAATGTGAATGCCAAGCATAGTCCCACGTTAGCAGAGCCTTCTTTTAGCTAGAGCAACTCCTGCTGAGTAGTAGCAGACGTGGTGGAGGCCACAACTCATTCCTAAAATACGCTAGAGCTAATAGGCAGCTGATGTCAATTCAATAGGCAGTGAAGAATCTTGCAAAATAGGGGTGACCAATCAGAAGAAATGTCTACTTAATAGCAGCTCATGGACTATGAATCCAAAAGAATGAATGAATTTCCAAATTCCCAAAGCTTCAAAGCAGAGTAGTTCAGATTCATGCTTTGAGTAGGCCTGGCAGATTCTCAAAGTATAGTGGCTGCAAATTACTCACTTGATATTTTAAGCATATTTTGTATGCTTAAATTTGTAAAATTTTGTAAAAGTTGAGGAGAAGATACTGTTAGTCAGGATGTATATGTGGGGAACATAAGTATTAAATCAGTATGTGTACAGTTTCCAAGAACTATGAGTAAGCAAACCACTTCTTGACTTCAACTGGATGTCAATTTTACCTAAATATATGCAGAGGATATTAATACTATACTTGTGTTTACTTTAACAACCACCAGGCCTGTGTGAAAATCAGCTTCACAGCCAAATAAAGTGACAAAAATGACAACTCCAAGAACATAGAAACCACTTTGCAAGTTTTGCTTGCATTTTCTGTGTAATCTCCAGAAAAGAGATCTTATACACTTCTACATTGGCTGCCTACCCACTTCTCAAGACCCCACTTAACACTCTGGGGAAGTGGGGGCTGGGGGTCTTACCAATCCTTGCCAACACTCACATCAGAAAAATACCTCCAGCTTTCAAAACTGGTCTAGTGTTCCAGCTATTGCTAAGAAGTGGGTAAATCTCACCCATAAATCACAACTCCAAATTTCTGAGCAGAATCACAAAGTTTCAGAGTGCCCATTCACACATTCCCCAAGTGGAGAGGACTATAGGAGCTCGCCTCCCTATGAGCTCAGCTTCCATGTGACTGATTTCACTGTGGCAGGTGACCAGATAATGATGATAATACCATAGGTCTGCCATCTCTCTGTTACCTCCCAGGTCCTCTTGCAGCATGGAGGGCTGTGACAAGCATAAGGCTATTTAAGACATGGCCTGCACTTTAACATAATTGTAGAACGTATTTGATAAGAAAGTTCAAAAAATAATCATAATTCCAGAAAATAAAGAAAAACTGTCAAAAGTATATTTGGTGAGAGGAAATTTCCAGATATGTGGTACAAGTGGTAAGTTAAAAGGGAAGCCAGAGGGACAGAGACTGCATTGTGGATGGGGTCATTAGGAGAGGTTTTCAGAAGAGTTGGGCCTTTAATCGAGAGGCCACATAGCTTAATGATTAAGGAAAAGCAAGCTGCAGTGATATCCTCTGCTTTCTGATTCTGTTCCAACACAAAGGAGCTGTGTGTCCCTGAGATTGTTATTTGATCCTCCTAAACTTCAGTTTTCTCATCTGTAAAATGGGAATAACAATAGTGTCTACCTTGTAGGTTAAGTCGGATAATAAATGTAAAGCAGCATCTGGTAATGTAGTAAGGGCTCAATTATGTGTTAGCACAAAAAAATAAAAATAAGAACTTGACCTTGAAAGATAGACTGTTTGGACATGGACGAAAGAGGAATAGATAATGCAGGTCAGATGATGTTCGGTGGGAAAGAGCTGAAGTCAGTAGCAGCTGCCTTATGTCACTTGCTTAAGATCCTGGCCGGGTGCGGTGGCTCATGCCTGTAATCCCAGCTCTTTGGGAGGCCGAGGCAGGTGGACTGTCTGAGCTCAGGAGTTCGTGACCAGCCTGGGCAACATGGTGAAACCCCATCTCTACTAAAATACAAAAAGTTAGCTGGGCATGGTGGTGGGCGCCTGTAGTCCCAGCTCCTCAGGAGGCTGAGACAGGAGAATTGCTTGAACCCGGGAGGCAGAGGTTGCAGTAAGCCAAGATCACACCACTGCACTCCAGCCTAAGTGACAGAGTGAGATTCTGCCTCAAAAAAAAAAAAAAAAAAAAAAAAAAAAAAGATCCTGGTTATTTCTAATAAAAGGAGTAACATCCATTTGTTCTTCTTCTTGGACTGTGACTTAGAAGAAACCACATCTTTGTTCCCGAATTTTTATTGAACACAGTTTGGGGCCAGCACAACACTATCAGAATAATACTGCAAATATTCAGAAACCCCAAGCTGAAAGATCAAAATAACTGCTCAACCCACAGGAAGGAAAGGCACCACTGAATTTTCAGGAAACCAGACTTAAGAGTCATTCAGACATGCAAAAGAGTTGTGTCCCTAACACATCACTGAGAAAGAGTTTTTCAATTTAGTGAAAACCTGAGCCAATCTAAATATTTAGAATGGTGAAGACAACCTGCCCCTTCCTCTTCCTCCTCTCTACTTGTACCACCCGCTCCCTCACACCCAGTTATTTTCATATAATTTCATTTTCAGATTATTCAGCAAACCATGGGCTGAAATTTTGGCTCCATTCATCAGATGTTTTGGCATTATATAGCCAGAGCCAGTAAGTAGAAAACAACTCACTCAAGAAACATTCTAGCCAAGAAAGGGCAATAAACGGGCCATTTCACTATCATCCATAATGACTCCCACATTCCACATTTCTACATATGATCTGGCAATTACGGCTACAGAATGAGGATTTTAAAGCAATCTCTGCCATTCCAGGTGCAAGTACAGTTGTTTAATTGGTGTTTGTAACTTAGAAGGTGGGGGGATTTATGGGACTTCTTTTCTATAGCCTCCTAAAATCCAGCTGCAAAAGCTAGAGTCCCTTACAAAACAATTTCACACCTAAGGATACAACATCAGGAAATATTTAGAGGAGCAAAGAGAGAGCTAACTTTGGAATAGCGGCTTTCAAAGGAGGGAGGGAAGGGCTAGCCACGACGTCCTTCGGCTCCATGTTTCTGGAAGACATCTTTGGCCGTGGCACCAGATTGCCAGGTTGGCAGAAGTTCCCAGCAAGTGCTGCGCCTCTGCCTTCGGGGTGAGACCTGTCACACTTTTTCTTCTCAGACACCACGGGGTGGGAGGCATGTTAGAGAATCTACAATCAACATAAAAGTCAATTTTTATAATCACTTCTGTGCCGAATGGCCCACTTTCCCCCTTGTGCTTGGGGATTTCATTATATTAAGGAGAGGCGGCAAAAGAGGCACGTTCTATTCAGCAACCGGATACAACTTCAGGCGATCTCTGAGAGAGAAGACGGGCTCGTAGACCAGCTTGCAACTCCCCAGTAACTATGAGCACAAGTTCTTACAGGTCACCTTCAAGGAGGGTACTAGGGATCAACGTCTTCCTTTTTAATAATGGGGAACAACTTTTAATACCTAGTAAGTACATAGCATTGCCGCAGTCCTAAGCTGATGGCATTTTAATTTTACAAAGCAACAGCTAGCCCAGGTTGAGGCCAACTCTGATCTCTTCAACCATAATCAGCCAGTCCAGACCCTCATCATATCTCACCTGGAATACTGTAACCCTTTCCTGCCTGTCTCACCATATACCAGCCTCCTGTTCCATTCTTCCTTCACACCAATACTAGAGTTATCTCAGAGACGATGTGAACCCATATGTTTCAAAAGCTCCAGCTGTACCCCATTGCTGTGGGATAAAGACCAAACATGGCTTAGCGAAAGACCTCACCCTCTATTGATTCTTCATGACACTGCCCTCTTTCACTTACTCTACCTCAATCTTACTCCAGCCCCTTTGAATTTCTACTTCTGAAAGATTCTAGATTAATATTTTTAAGTTTTTATAGATTCCATCTTCCATATTTCTGCTTAGAGAATTGATACTCTTGCTCCAAAAGTTACCTCCATAGTGAATGAAGCTTTCTCCGATGACCCTTAGACCTGAAAGATTAGTTTCTTCTTCCTTAGTGCTTCTGAGCTCTCATTACCCATGTCTATCAGACTAGTCATTATTCAGGATATAAAAGACTCGCAGGTTCCCCAAGGGTAAGGGATAGGTTTTACACCCTTTCCTTTCCCCTGGCACATACTGAGCATGCTAGACATGACCAGAGAAAGAATAAATGAGAGTGGATGTGTGCTGCGTTGGGAGTCTGGATTGCGTATCTTCAGTTTACCCAGTTTCTACACTCAACAGACTACACTCTGCTCCCAGTCATGTGCTCACAGATGCTTGCCACTGACCCCAGCACCTAGGCTGAAAACCAGACTCAAAGCACCTATTCCAGTGGGAGATGAATTCCAGTACATAAGACCAACCCACCTCTACTGTGGCTGAGCTATCTAGAGCAGATATTTGGATCTAGATCAGGGTCTGGTTTATAGTAAATGTTTGACAAATAGAACAGAGGGAAACTTGATGAGGACCAGTTTCAAGTCTGCGTTGGAGCAAACATACATCAGCTAATGATGAACTTCCAAAAAGCATTTGTGTTTGAAGAGAATATCAGTCCTCCTCTCAGGGGGTGGTAGCTCCGCTTCTCAGGCTCTGAACATGATTTATTTCTCTGGAAATGGGGCAGGCAGCTCACTCATTGGGGCCCTCACAAGCTTTATCATCTCTTTGAAGATCTCCCTGTATCAACTTGGTTCTTCCTTTTCTTAACCTCCCCAGCATACATTTTGTCAGTTAATTATAATCAGTTCTCTGGGTGTTTTAATCTTGTTTTCCCACCTGAGTAGGTGCCAATTTAGATACATCATTTTTAGATCTCATAGTGAGCAGCCTTGTGCCAAGCACAGTAGGTACTCAACCAATTCTCATTAAAGCAAAATGTTGAGGACTTGTAAGTCTGAAGGGATTACATGTTTGTGTGTGTGTGTGTGTGTGTGTGTGTGTGTGTAAATAACAGCTAGCACCAGAATTACTCTTTGAAGGGAACTAACGACATGGAGAAAAATACATTGTTGGGATATTTGGGAGTGAAAATATAATGCTTTAGAAGGTCTGGAAGGAAAAAGCAGAGCTGGTAGACTAGGACAGAACAAGAAGTGAATTGTTCCGCATAGAGAGCCAGAGGATTTGCTCTTATTCCCCAGAGGAAACAGGGAGTGGGGAAAGAGAATGAGGTCTGACTTGTATGGCCAGAGCCTGGGGCCCAGATTGGCAGGGATGGTCCTGCAAGGACTATGGTGTGTCAAATCAAGTCTTTATGGTTTCCCTCATTTTCCTTCCCAATGTTTTAAGTTTGCTTCCCACCCAATGGCCATGTGTGAGAAATCCATGTGACTGCTCACTAGTGACAGAGTGAAGTGCTGCATGGCCATCATCACAGCCCTGATTAGCACACCTGAGCAATAAGCTGAGTGAATTCACAAGAAACAGGAGCTCAGGGGCAGAGGTGAGAGCAAAGCCATGAGCCGCCTCCTCTTCTCATTTCCAGAGACTGGGAGGACGGGGTCTCATCACAAGTGGGATGAAGTTTAAACGAACTTCGGTAAGATTTCAAAGGGCAACATAATGAAACTGACACGTTCCTGGCCCACAGATGATGGGCCTTCAAGCCCCATAGCTGCAAACAATACAGATGGGCACACTGAGGCCTGCAGCAGGGAAGGGACTTAGCCAAGGTCATTCAGCTCTTTGGTGGAGGAGCTGGGACCAGAACTCAGGCTTTCCCTAAACATCATGTCATTTTCTTCCACTCTGTGTAGTGCCTGTGTCCTCAAATTGACCATGGAGGCCTAGAAACAGGGTCTGTCCAAGACTGTGGCATTTGCTGGATTTTATAATTGGACAAATTTAGGTTACTGTACATGCCAGCAAAAGCTATTGTTTATCTAAAGGTTGGGATCACATCTGTGCCGATTGGCCATCTGGGAGAGCCATCTGTCACTTGGGGGAATCCTAAGGGGATCTGGCAGGGGTAGATGAGGTCCTGGGAATGGGTAGAGTCAGGAATGCTGCTAGTAGCCTCCAGGCCTCAATTACCAAGAGCCTCTTCACCTTGTGCTGTCTTTACTTGTCTGTGATGAAGAGCCTGGGAAACAGCTCCTCCCAGCTGCTGCGATGTCACATTTGCAGTTATTGAATACAGAAGGTTTACTTTCACCAGTCTCAGGACCAGGACCCGGGAGAGGCATCACAACAGAAGGTCTTATCTGGGAGGCTACCTCCTTTGTGCATGCCCTGTATTCCAAGGTAATCAGGGTGGCTCAGCAGAGCCTATGAAATTCACTCAGTTCTCTCTGTTCCTTTCCTGTCACGGAGATTGCCCTGCAGGTACAGATAGGTGTAATGAAGCTGAAATTGTGGTTGAAACAAGGGGATGCTGCAGGTCAAGGCAGCCACGGGTTTAACCCTTAGCTCACAACCACCAGGTTTGAGCAATGGCTGTCCCCAAAGAGTGAGCGAGCCAGGCAGTTTGTCTCCTCATGGGTCTGGGGAGGGCTGAGGAAGGGAACTGCCTATCCTGAGTTGATTACTAGAGCAACCAAACAAGAGAGGAAGAAGAACGAAAATACTATGCAAATACGGCAGCCTGCTTTTGTCTCTTCTAACCACAAACTTTAAACGTTTGATAACAACATCAAAACAGCAAGTTTCTTTATCCCCGCTATTGTGTCAAATGATGGATTCAAGAAAGAGAGGTTAAGGAGATTTAGTCAGGGTCAGCCAGCAAATCAGTAAATCCTGGAAATGATTCAGTCTCTCTGCTCTCTCCTACTTCCCTTCACTGTTTTCTACTGCCATTTAAATAGGAAGCTGTGTGAGCAAACAAAACATCATAGGTCCTTTCTAGCAGGAATGCAAACAAACGCTAAAAGTCATTTCCATTTTTGACTGGATGCAAATAAATTTTAGGTATTCTCTCTCTTTATGTGTTTCCTGAATGATTGCCCAGTCATGTTTTGAAAGTGGGAGAAAGAGAATGTTTCTGAACCAGAAAAGTACCCTAGGACTAACTAGTTTTTCATAGGGGAAAACAGGTCTGTGACTGACCTGTGTATTTATCTATTAGCTGGTTAATGACCTGTTGCTACGCCGCTTTAGGATTTGGGAGAGTGCAGGAAGTATATTTTTGCTGACTTTGAGGAGAAGTTTAAAATGACCTCTGGAAACCTACTCAAGGCGGCCCTGTGATTTTTGTGGGGATGTAGGGGAGGGTTGTCTAACGTTAAAAAGTCTATCCCAACGTGGTGTACTTCAGGAAGTCTTCCCTGGACATACCACCCTCCCCGCACATTCCATATCCTCTTCCTAACTCTGTTTTCTCTTTCTCTTTAACATTTAGCACTATTTACCATATTATGTTTTTAAATTATTTATCACTATGTAAACATAGTTTTTATTTTATTTGTTTATCTTCTCCCCTAGTAGAATCTAAGTTTCATGATGGCAGATATTTTTCTTATTTTGTTCATTGTTTTATCCCCAGGATCTATTACAGAGCCTGGCACAGGGCATTGCTCAGGTATGACTGATTGAATAAATGGATGAAAGCGGATCAAAATGATAAATCATCAAAATGCTTATAAAACATCTGCTGTATGCGAAGCACTACAAGGTGATTTAAACAAGTATAAATCATAATAATTCCCTTGTATTAGTCTGCTTGGGCTGCCATAACAAAATACCACGGACCAGGTGGCTTATGCGACAGAAACTTATTTTCTCACAGTTCTGGAGGCTGGAAGTTCAAGATCAAGGTATCAGCAGGTTTGGTTTATTCTGAGGCCTCTCTCCTTGGTTTGCAAACAGTTGACCACCTTCTCTCTGTGTCCTCACATGGTCACCCCTTAGCCTGTGTCCAAATGTCCTCACATTTTAAGGACACCAATCAGACTGGATTACAGCCCACCCTAAGGGCCTCATTCTAACTTAGTCACTTCTTTAAAGGCCCTATCTCTAAATACCTTCTGAGATCCTGGGGGTTGAAGTAATCCTAAGAATGTTGGAGGGGGATATAATTCAGCCCATATTACTCCTTAAAAGGTATAAGATATATTAGAAAACCAAGACAGAGATCCTTAGATATAAAAAACCACCACATTATCGGGGAGAAAGAACACATGATATATAAGAAGTATAAGACATATCTGCAAGACAGATAATGACGCAGTGCAGTGTAGTAGGCATGCAGTAGCTCCTCCTCTTTTTTAGGTCTTGAGCAAAATACATACACTTCTGAGTCTTGTTCCTTGTCTGAAAAATAGGAATAATCAGATTGCTGAGACTAAATGGGATAATTTATGCCACATTCTCAACAGCTTGCGATGTAGTAGGTGTAGAGTAGATGCCGCTTACCTTCTTTCTCTCCTCTCTTCAAAAATATTCTGTTAGTTTTGGGTGCCACATTTTAACAGGGACCCTGACGGCATTCTGAAGACTATTGGTTCTAGGTGATTCTTTCCTTCCCCCTCCCAAAAGTGATATAACTTTCTTCTCTGATTATGTAACAATGTACATTCGTGTTGAAAAATCCTAACTAGAGACAAGTGAGGTAGAAAGTGAACAGAACCCCATAACAAATACCCACCCTGGCAGATGATAACCACTGTTTACAGTTTGGTGTCTAGCCTCTGGCCTTTTTCTGTTTTTATATAAACATATATTTGTTTTTCATATAAAAGTAAAGTAATTCATAATGGGTCTCTTTCTATGTCACTATGTATATATCCAGCCCATTTGTTTTTACATTTGCATTTCATTATATCGGGGAAGGGGGTGGGGAATGGGAAGACTCCCAGCACACAGTGAGGAATGCCCAGTTATACAAACTCATTTTTCTCTAGAACTGTTCAGGACCTTTAATATACACAGTGACTATCCAAGAGGATGATACAGAAAGTGGTATGTGCCCCGTTATTAAACTGTTTTGTCTCAGCTGTAAATGCCACCCCCCCCCCCCTCAACTCTGCCTGTAGTGCTGGGATTACAACTCTGCAAACCTCATTTCAGCCCGCCAGATTCCCTGTTAAACTCTGCCACTAAGGGGTGCTGGTGGATGGGGATGGGGAGAATGCAGGAGGGACTTCCTGTATGTTTCCTGCCTGTTTCCTGCCTGTAAGCATCCTAGCAGTGCTTCCCATTGACAGCAGCAAGTACTTTTGTAGCCCCAGCTGAATAGTTTGTTTCTTTCTCAACACTTACAGAACCAGCCTCTTGCATAAGAGGTTCCCCCACCAGGTGACTGGTACCCCTACTTCAGAGGTCTGGATCCTAGACCCTCGGTGCCTCTCTTCTTTTGAGCTCAGAGTCTAGCACCCAACAAGTGGCACCCCCTCCTCAGAGATCAAAGCTTCAGCTCTGTGGTGCTTTCCCACAAGCTTATAGGATTTAAAAGAATCAGCCCTATGGACACCAGCTAGTATATTTAGTAATACTAACCCTAGGGGTGAACACTCCTTCCTGCATTTGCTACCTCTGTGATAACTTGGTGTGCTTCTACATCTTCAGTTGCTTGGTTAATGATTTTATACCTTTATATTAAATTCCTTCTGTTCAAATGACTGGTAGGTTTCTATCACCTTTCTGGTCTGTGACTGATAGGAGACAATTAATATAGACCCTTCCTTAAGGAACAGCTCAAGGGTCCAGCATTTTGCTAAACACTCTTTGAGAAAGGTAGCTCTGAGCATTACTATTAAGTTAGAAAAAAAAATCATTTAAGAAAGGCTCAATTAGACTCCATGAGCCTCCCTGTAGAAATAAGGGAAAAGAGAGCAAAGGCTATATATGCTACCAATTTAATATGCAACCATCATTTTTCAGCAACTAGGTCTGCCATTAGTGAAAAGACTTTGAAGAATCACCAAGATGCATATTGAAAGTTAACCCTAAGGAGTTATGTTTGAGCCAAGACTTGCGGATCTTGAACATTTAATCTTCATTTGAGTTCATTTTATCATTTGTTAAAGTCTTTTAGTCATTTTGGCTTAACCATTTGTCATGCTCCTTTTCTCTTAGATGTGTGGATTGGGACACCTTTTCTTTAAAATATAGTGCTCAACCCAAAAAGCCATGAATATTCCCTCTCCACTTTACAAAGCTAATTAAATTCTCTTTCCTACAATAGTATTGATTCTTCCTGCCAACTTTTCCTTTAAAATATCATTCACACTCATCTTTTCCTACTCATTTCAGCTGCCACAACTTTCCTTTGCTTTCTTCTTCTCCTGCCTGGCCTGCTGTAGGAATCTTTCGACTATTCTAACTTCCAGCAGCTCCCTATTCCAGTTCACCCCCGCCATGTCATTACCAGACTGATTTGCTGTATTCACTAATTCCTCTGGTCGAAGCTCTTTCTTCAAAGTTTCCCACGTATCCACAGGTCCAACTTCCTTAGCATGATGTTCAGGTCTCCCTCAATCTAATCTTTGCAGTTTGATCTTCAGCAACTTATTTTCCTGACCCTATTACTGCGGTCAAACAACTTACTCATTGTTCTTAAATTGGCTGTTAGCTTTTTTTTTTTTTTTTTTTTTTTTTTTTTTTTTTTTTTTTTGCCTACAAGCTTTTCCTTACTTCATTGCCCTAATCAAGAATGTCCTACCTGTTCTTACTTCCCATCCAAATATCCTCTGGTCTTCAAGGCCTAAATCATTGCCCCCTTTTTTGGGGGGCAGGGGGACCGAGTTTTGCTCTTGTTGCCCAGGCTGGAGTGCAGTGGCACAATCTTGACTCTCCACAACCTCCGCCTCCAGGGTTCAAGTGATTCTCCTGCCTCAGCCTTCCTGAGTAGCTGGGATCACAGGCATGCACCAACACGCCTGGCTAATTTTTTGTATTTTTAGTAGAGATGGGGTTTCTCCATATTGGTCAGGCTGGCCTCGAACTCCTGACCTCAGATGATCCACCCGCCTCAGCCTCCCAAAGTGCTGGGATTACAGGTGTGAGCCACCGCACCCGGCCAATCATTGCCCTTCTTTAAGCAGTCTTTCCTTACTCCTCTAGTAAGCTCATCTTCTTTCCCTGAACTCCTACATCCCTCAGTGTTTTTACTCCTTAATAATACTAGCTACCATTTATTGAGCATCTACTACATGACAGGTATGTAGCTGGATACCTGATTATCACTAATCCTCTCTACCCTTTATCCTGTTTTGGATAAATAAATGGAGACTCAGAGAGGTTGAGAGTTTCCTGAGGTCATGTAGCTTGTAAAGAGGTAGAGTTTAGGGTAGAGGCTTCCTTCTTCAATTTTACCATGCTGTTACCTGTTGACCTTCAAGTCAGAAGGCCTGGGTATAACCCAGGCTCTGTCACTAATTAGCAGTCAAACCTTGCATGGATCATTTCACTTCCATGGACTTAATTTTTATAGCTCCATGGCTCCTCCTATCACTAACATTCTGAGATGCCATTCACAGAGGGTAGTGAATCTCATTATGCTTTTCTAGATGAGAGAAAAGGCCTCAGACAATCCAGACTGGTGTTTTTATTGAGCCTTGAATTCCCAGGAAACGGGAGATGTGGTGGGGTCGGGACACGGAAGCCATTGTTCTTTGCAGGATGCTTGGAGGCATCTTGTCATATTGAATTAAGCATTTATCTTTATTTAGAAACTCCAGAAATTTTACAGGAAGGGTTTGTTAAGGAGAGGGTTGAAATTGTCAACCTGCCATAGAATCGCAGATGAACAAAAGCTGTAGAGAGTTCCTTTTTCCCCTGGATAGCAGAGGGGTTTGCCTTTTCATTTTGTGGGCCTTATGGAAGAGCAGACACATGTCTCTTTTTACAGACGGGAGATTTTGTTCAGCAACTGCCAAACCAACCTGGGCCAAACCCCATGGAGACTATTTGAGAGCTGGAGATGTGCAGCTTTTGCTTGAACATATATCCTGACCCTTGAGCCTTGCGGGCTGAAATTGCACAGCACTGACAGAGCCATGCACACTGAAAAAGGAAGCTAATATCAAGGCAGAGAGGGGTCCATTTCAGTCACCGTTAAGTTGAATTCCTCAATGTCCTTACCCTGACCCTTGTTGTGGAAAGAATATGGCCTTTAAATTTAGGCAAACTGGATTTACAACCTGGCTCTTGTTATTCACCTTACTTTCAGTTTCTTGTTTAATAAATGAGAGTCACACTACTCACCTTATTGCATCATTTTTAAAATGAAAAGAAGTGATGAACATAAAGCACCTATATCAAAGTAGATACTCAACAAAGATTAGTTTCTCTCTCCACTTGTATCTTACATAGTTAACCCAGTACCAGCAACTAAACTGTATTTCTGAATTCAAATGGAGGTGTTGGTGGGGAGGGTAGGTTAAGACGGCATGTCAGAGAAAGAGGCCACATGAACACTATCCCACTCCATACATTCTCTCCTCATTTGAATATCCCATTTGTCAATTTTGCAAGAAAGTTAAAAAAAAAAACAAACCACTCATTGTTTAGGAGATTTCACGCTTTCCCTCCATCTTGCTTCTTGATGTAAATCCCAAAACAGTCCGTGCAGCATTTCTCAGCACTGCTAGCACCAATCCCAAGAAGTGGTTCTTCTAGCGCGCTTTTAAGGGCTCGCATGACTAATAAAGTGTGACATGGCTAAGATTTGCTAGCCTTCTCTTCAGTGCGTACATTCTAGCTGACAAAATATGGCTAAATTTAGCTGCCTTCAGACAACAAGCGTCTTACAAACAAAGAGGGCCGCAAAGGCGAAAATGAGCCATGACATGTCTCTGTCCTAACATGGATGTGCCCAGTATCGCCTTGGTACCCCAGCCCTCAGCAAAGACATCTATGCGTACGGGCAGTGTCTGAACTGGGTGCTGACGGTGGCAAGGTAGACTCTAGGTAAGGTGGTTTTCTTGTGGACTCTGACCCAAGGGTCCTTACCAAGGTGGAAGGATGGGGGTTTAGGCAGCAACAGAGTGAGTGAAGATAATAATCATAATGCCAGAGGTTTCCTTAGCCCTGACTGTGAGCCACCCTATGCTCTAACCACAACACCCCACTGCCTCCAATAACAATGCATTATCAAGACTGGAAGAGAGCCCAGAGAACATTTAACTTAACACTCAAATTTTGTGCTTGCAACCATCAAGGCCCCCAAATGGGAAGCAACTTTTTCAGGGTCCCATAGCCAAAGGGTGGCTGGTTTAAGACAGGAGCACCATGCTGCTGCCTCTCGGTCAACTTAAACTGCTTCACAGGAAAGAGAAGCGTGGGAAATCTGCCCAGACATATGGGAGGCACTTTGTGGAGGAGAATCATATGTTGCTAGAGCATTCTGAGAGCTAAAACTGTCTCCCTTCCAGTCCAAAGTTTGTGTAGCTGGATCCAAAACACTGTAAATGTATTTGGCATAGATGACACAAAGAAACTGACCTTTCTGTGGCAGGGAGGGGCACTGAACGTGACAGTGGACACTCCCTGAGTTCAGCCAGACACCCTAGAGCAGCCAAGTAAGGACCTCCAATCGACTGGAGGCTCAGATTCAAGTTCCACTGAAGCTCAAAGGAAGAGAGCCACAGTCCCCTGGGGGTGTCAGTGATGGAGCATGGAGGGAAATAGAACGATGCCTTTCGGTCCATTGTTGGAATTTCTGATCCAGGCACATCCTCTGAGTGCTGGGTATCACTTGTTGACAAGTGCATCTTTACCACCCCCTTATGCCCTCCCAGTGTCTCAGGGGAATGATGGCTGGGAACTGCATTGTTCAGACTCCTGTGCCAGCAGGGTTCCTGATACGGTTGCAGTTCTCCCCGCAAGATGCACTCATATGAGTGGTAGAAGTAGAAGCCATTGTTCCTCAGGCAGGGCGGGTGAACACATGGCTTTAGCCGCATGTTATCAGTCGCATCCATGTTCCTCTGACTGGCAGGGGTTACAGGGCCACCTGTGAACACCGCCTGTAGAGGTTTTCTGCAGTTTCTTGACCCCTGGGAGGTGGTGATAGCTTCCTGATTCTCAGAATCACAGCTTGGTGGTAAAGCTGAAAGCCAGTGGCTGACCCCTTGTTTCAACTTATCCAGCTGGTCCTTACAAAGCTTCTGAAAGCGCCCGATTCCCTGTGTTCCGTCCTTTTGTTTGAAATATATAAAGTGGCTTCTGTCCTCTTGACTTAGCTCTGTTGCTGAATACATTTAGTTATAATCAGAAGTAATTTGTAAAACACTTTCCTTGTGCTAGGACTATGCTAAGCATCATCTCATTCAATCTTCACTATAAGAACATAATCGTTCTCCTTATACAGATGAAAAAATGAAGGATTAAGTAGATAAAGTGACTTCCTGGGCTCACCCAGTTAGTGAATGGCAAGCTAAGGTGATCTGACTCCAGACTCTTAGCCACTTTGAAAATTGGCCCCCTTCATTTCCAGATGACAGCCTACCTCAGGAGCATCATGCCTAAGGCTACCATCTAGGATGAGCGGAATCTCAAAGGAAGGAGAAAAAAGTCAGGGTTTCAAAGAGGAAAACCAAGGGACTTATTCCTTGTCCCTCCTCTACAGCTGTTCCATAGCTGATGAAATTCCACAAATATGCGCCAAGCTCCATGTACCCAACCCCCCACCTTGCATGTCCTTACTCTGTTACTCCTCACCATCACCTGCGTGATAGGGATTACTGCTGTCATTTTGTGGATGAGGCCAACTCAGATCTCCTCCATGGAGCCTTCTTCACTTGACCACCTGCCCCAGTCAGAAGGAAGGCTTCCCTTGCATTAATTAGTGAAGGAATGGCAAACTGTTTCTAGCTCTCGTGTGGCAGGGATCTCAATTCATTTTGGATTGGGGTAAGCTGCATGTACGTTCACCTCTCCTGTTGGTTTGTGTCAGTTGCCAGGTGGCACCTTTAAATCAGACTACAGCAGGACCTTGAAGATGCCTCCTTGCTCTTTAATGGGGTCTCCAGAAGAACCCTGACCATCAGAATTTGGTTATACAATCCCCCAGCTCCTCTTCAAAGTCCCATTTCCTAACACATCTGCTTCCCTAAGTTTCTGACCTTGACTCCTGACCACCGCTCTGAGTCAGGTATGTGCTCACTTAGCTCTGCTTATCCTTTGACCTGACACCTGCTAATTGCCTGGTACATATAAACTGGAGCTGGATCTATACTGACAGATTGTTCTCACAACTCTCAATGGTCTGACTTACTTTTTCCAGGAATAATTCCAGTGCTCACATGGTATATTACTCCTCGACCCTATTTCTGATTGCCAGATAGCCTTGGGGTTTCTCACTGCCAGCCCAGTGACCCATTCTTGGTAGAGACTTGAGAAACGTCTGCTGAGTTGAAATAAAAGTGTATCTCCATAATTTGGGGAAAAAAACCTCAGAAATGAAAGATTACTGAAATTGACAGTTATCAAAGGAGAAAGAAGGTGTCATCTGCCATATCGGGGGCACTAGGTAGGTCAGGGAGGATGAGGATGGCTCAAAAGGTATTTGAGGAGGTGTTTGTCAGTTTGATTAGAGAATTCAGACAAAGCAGATTAGATAGGATCCAAAAGAAAGAAGAAAGATGCATGAAAGCGACTGAAAGTAGAGACCACATGGGGCTTTATAAAGCTGAAAGGCAGACCCGGGGAAGCAATTGTCAGGGGATAAGTGTCAAGAAAAGGCTTTGTAGGGAAAAGAGGCACAGGAGGGAAGGGGAGAGGAGAGAGTGAGCTCTCAGAAGATGGAATATAAAATAGGGAAACAGGTCAAAAGCTTAGGAAACATATTAAAAGGGAACAGAGAAGAATAAAAAAAAGAAGAAAGATGATAGGAAAGAGCAGGAGAAAGACAACTACAAATTCCACTAAGAATTAAAAACGAACAGGAAGATCACTGAAAAATCCTTCATGAGAGCAAAATGAGCTAAATGCATACTGGGAGATTCCTGTCATTGCTCCGAAGTTTTTGAGTTTTCAGAAACACTTCTGGCACTTCCATGATACAGGCATACCTCGGAGATATTGAGTTCCAGACCACCACAATAAAGCAAGTCACACAAATTTTTTAGTTTTCCTAGTGCATATAAAAGTTATGTTTGCACTATGCTGTAGTGTATCATGTGTGCAATTGCATTATGTTTTAAAAACCAGTACACACACCTTATTTTAAAATACTTTATTGCTAAAAAAAAATGCTAACGATCATCTGAGCCTTCAGAGAGTCATAACCTTTTTGCTGGTGGGAGGTATCGCCTTGATATTAGTGGTTGCTGATGGATCAAGGTGACTGTACTGAAGGTTGGGATGGATGTGGCAATTTCTTAAAATAAGGCAGCAGTGAAGTTTGTTGCATCAGTTGACTCTTCTTTTCATGAAATCTTTCTCTGTAGCACATGATGCTGCTTGACAGCATTTTGTCCACAGCAGTACTTCTTTCAAAATTAGAGTCAATCCTCTCAAACATCGCCACTGCTTTATCAGCTAAGTTTGGGTGGTATTCTAAATCCTTTGTCGTCATCTCAACAATGTTCACAGCATCTTCACCAAGCACAGATTCCATCTCAAGGAAACACTTTCTTTGTTCATCCCTAAGAAGCAACTCATCTGTTTAAATTATATCATGAGATTGCAGCAATTCAGTCATATCTTCAGGCTCTACTTCTAATTCTAGTTCTCTTGCTAGTTCCACCACATTTGCAGTTAGTTTCTCCTCTGACGTCCTGAACCTCTCAAAATCATTCATGAGGGCTAGAATCTTTCAGAAGATTTGAAAAAAGGAATGGATGTCTTTCAAATACCTGTTAATGTTGATATTTTGACCTCCTTCCATGAATCACTAATGTTCTTAAATGGCATCTAGAATGGTGAATCCTTTCCAGAACTCTTTCAATTTGCTTTGCCCAGGTCTATCAAAGGAATCACTATCAATGGCAGTTATAGCCTTACAAAATGTATGCCTTCAATAATAAAATTTGAAAGTCAAACTGACTCCTTGATCGATGGGCTACAGAATGGGTGTTGTGTTAGTCTTGAAAACAACATGAACCTCCTGGTACATCTCCATCAGAACTCTTGGGGGGTCCAGGTCCACTGTCAATGAAACCATGCAGTAAACACATGTGCTGCCTTCAAGCCTTTGTTGTTTTATTTCTAGGGCACAGGCAAAGGAGATTTAACATAATCCTTAAGGGGACTAGGATTTTTTCAGGATGGTAAATGAACATTGGTTTCAACTTAAAGTCACCAGCTGCATTAGCACCTAACAAGAGAGTTAGCTTGTTCTTTGATGCTTTGAAGCCAGGCATTGTCTTGTCCTCTCTAGCTATGAAAGTCCTAACTGGCAAATTCTTCCAATAGAAGGCTGCTTTGTCTACACTGAAAATCTGTTGTTTAGTGTAGCTGCCTTCATCTATGATATTAGCTAGAACTTCTGGATAACTGCTGCAGCTTCTACATCAGCACTTGCTGCTTCACCTTGCACTTTTATGTTCTGGAGATGGCATCTTTCCTCAAATCTCATGAACCAACCTTTACCAGCTTCAGACTTTTCTTCTACATCTCCCCCACCTCTCTCAGCCTTTGCGGAATTTAAATGAGTTAGGGCTTTGCTCTGGATTAGGCTTTGACTTAAGGGAATGCTGTGGCTGGTTTGATATTCTATCCAGACCACTCAAAATTTCCCCATATCAGCAATAAGCCTATTTTGTTTTCTTATCTTTGGTATGTTTACCGTAGTGACACTTTTTTTTGAGATGGAGTCTCGCTCTGTCGCCCAGGAAGCGATTCCCCTGCCTCAGCCTCCTGAGTAGCTGGGATTACAGGTGCACGCCACCATGTCCTGCTAAATTTTTTGTATTTTTACTACAGATGGGGTTTCACCATGTTGGCCAGACTGGTCCTGAACTCCTGACCTCAGGCTATCCACCTGCCTTGGCCTCCCAAAGTGCTGGTGGCATGAGCCACCACTCCTGGCCTGTAGTGGCACTTTTAATTTCCTTCCAGAACTTTTTGTTTGCATTCACAACTTGGCTAACTGGTGCAAGAGGCCTACCTTTTGGTCTGTCTTGGTTTTTGGCATGCCTTCTTCACTAAGCTTAATCATTTTTCACTTTTAACTTAAAATGAGAGACATGTGACTCTTCCTTTTACTTCAACACTTAGAGGCCATTGTAGAGTTTTAATCCTGGCCTAATTTCAGTATTGTGTTTCATGGAATAGGGAGGCCTGAGGGAAAGAGACATGGGAATGGCTAGTTGGTGGAGCACTCAGAACACATAAAACTTATATTGATTAGGCCAGGCACAGTGGCTCACGCCTGTAATCCCAGCACTTTGGGAGGCCGAGGCGAATCACAAGGTCAGGAGTTCGAGACCAGCCTGGCCAACATGGTGAAACCCTGTCTCTACTAAAAATACAAAAAAAAAAAAAAAACTAGCTGGGTGTAGGGGTGCACACCTGTAATCCCAGCTACTCAGAAGGCTGAGGCAGGAGAATCGCTTGAACCTAGGAGGCGGAGGTTGCAGTGAGCCGAGCTCGCGCCACTGCACTCCAGCCTGGGTGACAGAGAAAGACTCTGTCTCAAAAAAAAACTTTTATTGATTAAATGCCTTATCAGCTTGTTGACTTGTTGTCTTATATGAGTACTGTTCATAGTGCCCCAAAACAATTACAATAGTAACATCAAAGATCACTGATCACAGATCACCATAACAAACATAATAATAAAAAAACTTTGAAATATTGTAACAGTTACCAATGTGTGACAGAGACACAAAATGAGAACACGCTGGTGGGAAAATGGCACCATTAGACCTGTTCAATGCGTGGTCACCACAAACCTTCAATTTACAGCAAGTGCAGTATCTCTGAAGTGCAATAAAGTTATGGTGGTTAATACTGTCAACTTGACTGAAGGATGCAAGGTATTCATCCTGGGTGTGTCTGTGAGGGTATCGCCAAAGGAGATTATCATTTGAGTCAGTGGGCTGGGGAAGACAGACTCACCCTTAATCTGGTGGGCACAATCTAATCAGCCGCCAGTGAATATAAGGCAGGCAGAAAAACATGAAAAGGAGGGAGACGGGCCTAGCTTCCCAGGCTACATCTTTCTCCCATGCTGGATGCTTCCTGCCCTCTGATGTCAGACTCCAAGTTCTTCAGTTTTGAGACTTGGAGTGGCTCTCCTTGCTCCTCAAGCTTGCAGACAGCCTATTTTGGGACCTTGTGATCATGTAAGTTATAAGTTAATACTTAATAAACTCATATATATTCTATTAGTTCTGTCCCTCTAGGGAATCCTGACCAATACAAAAGTAAAGCACAATAAAATAAAATAAGACGTGTGTATATTGGTAAACCTATGCTAGAGTGAACATCAATAACAAACCATCCGCAAATTTCATTGCCTTGAATGACAGTGGTTTGTTTCTTGCTCATGCTATAGGCTCATTGTGGGCCAACTGCTATTCTGTCCTCACTTAGAGACCCAGACTGAAGGAGGCTGCATCTCACTGTGTCCCCAAATGCTGAGACAGAAAAAGAACATGGAGAATCACGTGCTGGCTGTTAAAGCTTCTGCCTGAGACTGAAGCATATCGTGTCCACTTACATTTCATGGACCACCAGTGAGTCACATGGCTATGGCTGACATCCCAGGAAGTGAGAGTGTCATCCTACTACATACTCAAAAGAGATAGAAATACTTGATCAACAGAATTAAAGACTAGTATGTGGTAAATTCTCTGGTTCCCTATTTCCAGCCTGGCATTTTCTTCTCCAGAATTCCCAGAGCCATAAAGTGGCAGAGTAGGAAGGAAGGAACCTGGCAAAGTGCCTAGCCTAGCTTTTCAAACTTTTTGGTAGGGAAACTGAATCTCAAAGAGATGAAGTGGCTTATTGAGGACCACGCTGCTGATGGAACAGCCAAGCCCCTGATTCTCTGCTTTCCTTGCTGCTTGGACCACACCAGGGCACTTGTATTAGTTTAACAAATATCTACTCATTTGAACTACCAGATTCATTTCATTTTGGAACAGGCTTTTAATTACTACTATAAGAAAAGGAAGGGTTCTTGCCAAATGCCTGGGTGCTGCCAAGTTCCTTGTACCTCCAATAACGAATCCCAACCATATAAATAAATAGAAGGCAATTAAGAGTTTGAAATAAGAATTTGGGTAGGATTAGAGAGAAATGTTTGATGATACACATTATCACTTCTGCAAAACATAGAATTATTTTTGGCCATTAGAAGAGACATGCATAACTATATATGCATATATATACATATGCATATATATACACACACACATATATATATACACACACACACACCACATATGTATAGAAATATATTTGCATCTATGTAGACTATTTCCAGAAAGATGTCCAAGAAAGTGGTAATAGTGGGAGGGCATCTGTGAGCAAGAGAGAGACATACATTTTCCCATATGCCCTATTGTACTGTCTGGAATTTTCTACCATGCGTGTATTACTTTTTCAATAAAAATAGTTAATAAAAAACACAAGTAAGATTTTTAAAAGTAACAGATGTCAAAACATGCTTAATGGGGCTCTGCAGTATCTTTCAGAGTAATGTGAAGCAGAACAAGATGAGGAGAAAGACGAAAATGGAAGCAACTGACAGCACTTTCCAGCAGGCAGTACATTTTTTAGCAAGTTGCAATATATTTTTATGTCAGACAAGCATAATTTAAATATCATTAGGCTGGGATAGTCAAGATCTGGGTTCAAGCCCCCCAAATGCACTGTAATCTTTTACTGTTACTCTGGGAGGAAATTACTTGAACCTCTCTGTGGTTCAGATTTACTATCTGTTAATAGGCCAAGATTTGGGTTTCTTCCATCGAGGTCTGCTTGTGCACTGGCCACTTGGATTTTATTAAAGAGCCAGCACATGCAGTAGAAAGATCACAGACATGCTCTGGTTTGCATTCTACACCACCAACTTACTAACTGTTACATTTTAGACCTTGAGCAAATTTTTTAAATCTCCCTCCATTTTCTATAAGGTTGGGTAATGTCTGCCTTCCAAATTGCTGCAAAGATTAACTAAATGGCAATACAGTCATGTGTTACTTAATGACAGGTATATGTTCTGAGAAATGGTCATTAGGCGATGTTGTTGTGTGAACATCATAGTGTACTTACACAAACCTAGACAGTATAGTCTACTGTATACCTAGGCTGTACAGTATAGCCTATTGCTCCTAGGCTACTCACCTGTACAGCAAGTTACTGTACTGAATACTATAGGCAATTGTAACACAATGGGAAGTATTTGTGTATTTAAACACATCTAAACATAGAAAAGATGCACTAAAAATACCGTATAAGAGATCAAACATGGTACACTGGTACAGGGCATTTACCATGAATGGAGCTCGCAGGACTGGAAGTTGCTCTGTGTGAGTGAGTGAGTGAGCGAGTGGTGAGTGAATGTGAAGGCCTAGGACATACTGTGGACACTACTGTGTGTACACTACTGTGGACTCTATAAACACTGTACACTTAGGCTACACTAAATTTATAAAAATATGTTTTCTTCAATAGTAAATTAACCTTAGTCGACTATAACTTTTTTACTTCATAAACTTTTAATTTTTAGCTTTTTGACTCTTTCATAATAACACAGCTTAAAACACCTACACAAAAATATTTCCTTATATATCCTTATTCTATAAGCTGTTTTCTGTTTTTAACATTTTTTACCTTATAAAGCTTTTTGTTAAAAATTAAGACACAAACGCACGCATTAGCCTGGGCCTCCACAGGATTAGGATCATCAAGACGTCACGAGGTGATAGGAATTTTTAGCTCCATTATCTTAGGGGACCACTGTTGTACGTGAAGTCTGTCATTGACCAAGTTGTCATTATATAGTGCATGACTATACGAAGAATTCCTGGTACTTGAGGGTGTGCAGAAATGTTAAATTCCATTCTGAAACCATCTCAGCAAACTAACTGAGGATCCTACAGCTGAGGACAGAAATTACCCATTTCTGGCATCTATTTCTTTCCTTTAAATGAGTCTGTGTTGATGTAAACAAGGATGGGACAGGCCCAGATGGACGTGACAACCTTCTGGTAATCAGAATCTTTTATGCCTAACACATCTAATGCCTGGTCCCAGCCAGTGTGTCTCTACAGTGTTTTCGCAGCAAGGAACAAGCATCCTAACAAGGCAGCCTAATCAAAACCATGATAATAATTTTATAGGTCACAAAGTGCTTTTATACATACTATTCCATTAAATCTCCAAAACAAGTTGTGACTCATTCATTCATTTATTCAGTCATCAATTCAATAAATATGTATTGACCATCTGCTATGTGCCAGGCGCTGTACTAGGCACCAGAGATACATCGATAAACAAAGAATTCTAGTACCTGCCCTCCAAACTCTTACAATATAATGTGAGGAAGCATATATTAATTGAATAATCATACAAATAAATGACAAATTAGAACAGTGCTGAGTGCTTTCCAGGCTGAGACGGCAGTGTGTGCAAAGACTCTGTAGCAGAAAGGAAAGGGATCTTACTCCTAGGGAACAGAAAGAGACCAAAGTGTTAATGGCATAGCTTGAGATGAAAAAAGGAGATGCTGGAGATGTGGGTGGGTGTGGGGGAGTCTTTGCAGGGCCAGGGAGAAATTTCCTTAGGAACTACGGAGAACTAACATTTGACAGTGGCCAACTTCAGAGAGCTGAGCTGACAAGGTACCCTAAAGAAGATGCTGGCTATAAACAGGTAGAGGAGAAGCATGCAGGACTGGCAGACTTGGGTTAAATCATCGATGCTTCCTGAAGGGAACTGTAAAATCCTGAGGGAGTCCTTGTCCTGTTTGTGTCTCCTAAAAGCTCTACAAGGGAGGGAGGTTGGGATTCATAATCCTTATTTCAAAGGTGACAAGAGCCAACGAGGTTATACGATGTTTAAGGGAAAGAGGTGACTTTAGGGCTCTTCTTTAATAAGAAATTCATGGCTTCAACACTTTGCTTGATACCTGTATCTTTTTTTTAGTTCTTTCTTCTAGTTCACAGATACTTACTTTTATTATTGTTGATGGCCTTTGGAAATTGTCCCAGTCCCCAGAACCAAGCAGTAAACTCAGTGAGTCTGCAACTGTGTGGCGCATCTTGATAAGTGGGGACTCCACAAACTCAAGACTGTGGAAATCTGTCAACATTTTGGCAGATATTTTAAGGGAGAGTGGGTTGTAAGTCTTGAGGTAGTCATTGGAATAGACAGCGGTTCTTAACCCTGGTTGAACTATGCCTGGGTTCTGCCCAAGACCAACTAAACCAGAACCTCTGAGTGAGGCCAAGTTTGAAAAGCTCCCGGGAGACTCTGCTGTGCAGCCGAGGGAAGAACCATTGTGTGGAGAAGCACACCTCCATCCATGTTCTCTGTTGTCAGTTATGTGAACTTGGGAAAGTTCTGCCTCAGGACCTCAGTGCTCTGTCTGTACACTTGTGGAGCTGTTCCAGATACTCTCAAAGACCCCTGCCAGCTGAGGCCCTGCAGGACTTTGGTTCACTTTAGGAAGCATGGCAGCAGCCACCACGATCCCTATGCTGGCCTGGGGTCTACCGCTGCCTGCCCTAAGTTCTTCCTCCAATTTGAGGCTATGGCATCATGGAAAAGGCGCTGGGCCTAAAGTCAGTTCCCAGTCCACACATGCAATGTCTTAGCTGATCAACATAGGAAATGGCTCTCGAACTTTCTAGACCTTGGTGTGCCTCATCTGTTAGATGGTGCTAATGTTAACCTTTATCATTTGAGAAAGCAGGATGCTGGACCAGAGCAACCCCCCAGACCCTTCCACCTCTAACAGCCTGAGAGAGTCCTAGTCTCCACCAAGGAATAACATTTGTAAGAATATAAATACAAACACGCAGAGCAGGTTCCCTAGGGTGAATGTTCTGTGGGCTCTGAAGCTAATGATCCACTCA
Source organism: Homo sapiens (assembly GCF_000001405.40). Lineage (NCBI taxonomy): Eukaryota > Metazoa > Chordata > Mammalia > Primates > Hominidae > Homo > Homo sapiens. The sequence goes on from NC_000015.10 coordinate 61,545,857, forward strand.
CAATATATTCATCCTTATCTCCACTATGCTATGCTGACCTGCAGCTTGACATTCCATTAGCAACACTGCCCAGAGCTCTGAAGCAAACTGGGAAGAACTGGGGCTACAGAATCTATTGTAATCTGCCTACCAGTCTCCAAGGTGCTGAAAGCTGCAGACGCATGGAAGCAGCATTGTTATTGCTGTTGGGAACACAATGTCACCATCAGCAAAAATGGGATGACGAAAGGGAGATCCCAAATTCGTGCAATGTGTGGCGTGGCCTGACTGATGGGCATCTGTTACCACTTATGTGCTGTGATCTCCGAAACTCCAGCCCTCTCCTGAGCTTCGTATTCAACTGTCCACTATGTTTTTAATGGCATTAATACCTCAGCCCGTTGCCCGAGGCATTACACAGAGGTCACCACAACACATACCTCTCCTTTACCTGGTGCACTGAGAGCTGTAAAATCTCATGCTGAAATATCTTGCGTATTCCTCCCCTCTTCTCTAAGCCCTTCCTGATCAATTGCACCAGCCTCTTAACTGCCCTTCTTACAAACTTCACCCCCTTCAATCTATTCTGGCTGAATGACTTAGGACACAGTATAAATGTCACCCTAACTCCCTAAAGGAGACCTTTCATGTCTTTTTTTTTTTTTTTTTTTTTTTTTGAGATGGAGTCTCGCTCTGTCACCCAGGCTGGAGTGCAGTGGTGCGATCTCGGCTCACTGCAAGCTCCGCCTCCCGGGTTCACGCCATTTTCCTGCCACAACCTCCCGCGCAGCTGGGACTACAGGCACCCGCCACCAAGCCCGGCTAATTTTTTGTATTTTTAGTAGAGATGGGGTTTCACCGTGGTCTCAATCTCCTGACCTCGTGATCCACCCTCCTCGGCCTCCCTAAGTGCTGGGATTACAGGCGTGAGCCGCCGCGCCCGGCCCATGTCTTTTTTCATCTGAAGAGATTGCCCCAGTATTTCTTTCTCACAACCCTACTTAGTTTCTTCATAGCCCTCATTACAGTCTACTATTACCTTCTTCATTTGTTTGTTGGCTTCCCCACTGTCTGTCTGTCACCCCACTAGAATATTTTTTGCTCATATGAGGCTCTGATATTTAACACAGTGCCTGGTACATGATAGGCTTTCAATAAATATTTATTGGGTGAATGAATGAATACAAAAATCTCATCAGATAAAGTCCAAGGTCTCATCCTTGCACACCAAGCCCCCCAGCATGTGGCCTGAGCCCACCTCTTTGCTCTATCCAGGGCACTTGCTCCCCATGCCCAACAATAAGGAGGTTTCACTATTCTCCAAATTGCCATGGCCTTGAATGTTCCTGGGAACTTTTATATGCTGGTCCTGATGCCTAAAATGGCATTCTCTTTCTTCCAGCAAACTCCTACTCATCTATGAGAAACCAGTTCACATTTCACATCTTTTAAAAAGCTTTCCTCGCCCCTGCCAATCTCTCTTTGGCACTTCCGTGGCACTCTGAGATACCTCTACTGGATCTTTTTTTGCACTTCATTTTACTCACTTGTTTAAGTGACTGCCTCCCACTCTGGACTGCAAGCAATTTATGAGCAAAGATTCTCTCTGTTCATCTTTGTTTTCCATCAGCACCTAGTACAGTCTCCAGTTCACAGTTAATGAATTTCTAGGAATTATGCCTGCAATTCCAGAAGCTGTCCCACATACATGTTGATTCCTTTAGAAGTCATAGAGACCTATAACTGGAAGAATTAAAGAGCTGATGCACCTGTACATCCTAACCATCCTCACAGGACACACCCAGGCACTCCAGTTATCTATGGACTTTCAATTGTGTCATGGAAAGCAGAAAAATCTATTTTTGGCAATATAGTCAGGTAGGATAGAAACAAGGAGATAGTCTTCCACTTTATCCTTCTGCTGGAGATAGATAGTCTTCCACTTTATCCTTCTGCTGGAGATAGCCATCTGTCATCTAACATTATTGAGTACCTGGTATGTATCAGGCCCTCCCAAAGTCAGATAGAACATGGATAGAACCTGCAGGGGCTCATCGCCCAGTAAGGGCAAGAAACTCTGCCTAGTTTAACTTAAAACCTAATCATTATTAAATAAATGAAGATTTCACCCAAGTTGGCTTTCCTGAAGGCCAATCAAGTAGCTCTTCATGGTTGCACAGGGTGGCTCACACCTGTAATCCCAGCACTTTGAGAGACCAAGGCAGGAAGACTGTGTGAGCCTAGGAGTTCGAGACTAGTCTGGGCAACATAGCAAGACCCCATGTCTACTAAAAATAAAAAGTAAAAAAAAAAAAAAAATTTGTCTGGCATGATGGCACATGCCTGTAGTCCCAGCTGTTCAGAGGCTGAGGCATGAGGATTGTTTGAACCCAGGAGGCGGAGGCTGCAATGAGCTGTGATTCTGCCACTGTACTCCAGTCTGGGTGATAGCAGATGGCACTGTGATCTGGAGCACCTGACCCACACCGACAAAGAGGCACGAGGGAAGGTTCCCACTGTGGCAGAGCTTCCAAAGTCCATGGTGCCAGGCAGCCTAGGACATGTTCATAAGCTACAGGGCACCACAAAAATGTGCTGATTTCAGAGCCTTCCCTAAGTTGCCCTTGAATCATCAGAAATATACAAAATAGCCCTTAGAAAAAGATCACTTGGATTTCCTGGATGGCTTGTCCCACTGCCCCAGAACACTGGCAGATGTCCTGATTGTTTATGGGCTTCACATTTTTTCTACTTTGGGGAGAAATGCCTCCAAGTGTGCAGAGCACAGGGGACAGATGGGCTGCCCCTCCAGGCTGCTATGCTCTTGGCTGCCAACTGGAAGAGATAAGCTTCCAGTATAGCATCCCCTATGCATCTGAAAGATAATGTCCACGCTCTTCACCCGGGGTGGACCTCGGGAAGGCCAGCATCTGCTCACAGTTATTCTCCCCTCCCTCATCTCTGGCTAATACAGGGACACGTATCCCCAGGATGACCTAACCTAACTCAGGCTGAGCTAACCTAACTCAGGCTGAGCAGGAGTCCTTTTGAGATCTAGAATCTTTTATGAGCTTTTGGCTTCATCTCCATTTTTGGTTTTAAAACCCAAATTACATCTACTGCGTTCCTCAACAGAAAAGCTCCACTGGCCAGAAGGGAATAATAAATTTTATAAATTAGCCAATTAATCGCAACAGCAAACAATTAAGCTGGTGGGAATAGTCAGCATTCTACCTTCTTCTTGGAGGAATATTTTAGGATGTCTATAATTTCTGTTGTTGATGTTGGTTAAATTTCTATCAGACTTTAGAGATTGGCATTAACTGGGCTAATTCATAATGAAATAAAGATGATTTGAGATACACCTCTCTGAAAGTATGTACCAGTGGAGTTTCTCAAGTTTGTTTCATTCAGCTTGTGAAATGGTTTTCTGAAGGAGACAGACAACTTTGATTGACCACTCCTGGGGCACAGTCACGGCACCTGTTACTCAAGGAACACACTTATGAGCACAAGACAAGACACTTTATCGGTGCTGTCTCATTTGGTTTCATGAACCTTCACGGCCCAAGACTCAGAGGGTCTGTGGCCTGCCCATTCTACTTCTCAGGGTCTCACTCAACCTCACCCTCTGCTAACGTTTTAAGAAGTGGAACTTGGAGACTTGCTCACATTTTTCTGGTCATCAAATGCCTATAATTCCTAAATTTCTTTTCACTGCTCTGGAGAGGAAAATGAGACCCTGAATAGTGATGATAGACATAATAAGCTACCATTTCTGAAGGGTTTATATGTGCCAGGGGTTCTACTCATATTTTCAGTCATCATCACAAATCTTCTATATTATAGATCACAATACCCATTTTATAATTACAAAGCAAAGGTTCAAAAAGGTTATGCACTTGGCCAGAGCTGCAGAGTGGATTTGAAATCAAGTTGATCTGCTCTGAGGTCTATATTTTTTTAGCTCTTCCATGGGCCAAGAAATGGGGTATTGGACACTCAGGAATACATGCTATGTGAAACAGGCCAGACCAAGTGGTTCACGACCTAGGCTGTTGAATAGAGGACCCAGAGTCCAGACATTGACCAAGCAGGTCAGGGTCAAAGGGCCAGTTTACTCTCTTGTAAGAGGCACACAGAGCCAGTGACAATTACTTCAGTCAGTAGAAAATCACCAGCATTTTTATCACAGTATCACTGTGACAAGGTGGGGTGAGGGCAATGGGCTGCTATACCCATATGCCTAATCATATACCCAATCACATACCCATATATCTATACCATATATGCATATATCTATATGCCCATATATCTAAAGTCAGAAATTTAGAGCTGGAAGGATTCTGAGAGACCATTGAAACCAACCCCTCCTTTTAGAGCTGAGAAAGTGAAAAACAAGAAAGGACAGGTACCTTGCCCAAGTTCCTACAGTCTACTGGTGGTGGAGTCAGGGTTAGGACCCAGGGATCCTATATCCTAGACTTAATACATGTGTTATAGCGTTGGACATCTATGAAGCAAGTCAAACATAGCCTCTATTTTTTTTTAAATAAGAGACTATGATTAACAGGGAAACACACATAATATACATAATTCCTTGTGACTATGGAAGGGAGCCTACTTTACAATTGAGGGGGTCAAAATTCCAGAGACGGAAAGAATTTCCCCAGGCCCTATAGATGGCAAATAGAGATAGAACTAAAGTTCAGGTTTCCCAAATCTTAGCCCCCTGCTCCTTCCCCTCCCTCATTCTTTTTCTTAAACCCACTCCCCTACTGCCATACATCCAAGTGACCTTGAGCTCAACAAGATACTATGAAAAAATAATCTCACTACGTACCAGCTAATAAGGACCTCTCTAGAAGAACAGAAATCTTTAATATATAAAATAATGAATACTTAATGATTACAAATAATGAAATAATACAGTAATTAAATTCAGACCAATACACTTCCTTATTGACATATTAAGTTCAAATATTCGTCAAGTATATCCTAGGCGTGCAAATAACAATAACTGTGCTTATAATGGTAATAACAACTTACTGGCCACCATTTTTATACACTATCTTATTTGACCCTTAAAACAATTCAGTAAGTAAATATCCTCATTCCTTACGCATAAATGCTAGCTTCCTATTTCAATATTCATTCTTCCCTTCCTTTTAGAAATAGAAACTTAATTTCCAGCAGGATATATTTTTGCCTAGTCAAATGTATTTCAGATACTCTTACACGTAACTGTGGCTTTATAACTAAATGAAGCAAGATAATCATATGAATCTTCCGTGGAGTTTCTGTGGCTTCAAATAGCTTCATAATCTTCTATGCCTTCTTCCTCATTCCTGCTCCTTAGAACATAACTCTAATGGCTGGAGCCCTCACTGCCATTTTGAACCATGAGGATAATGACTTTATCCTAGGCATGGTTAACCAGAGAATTTTAAGGATTCAGAGTCCTTGATCATTTTGAGGAGCTACTGAACAATTGCTGGACCACCTACCCTGAATATCCTTTTGTGTGTGTGAAAAAAAAAATTAAGCTTGTTTAAGCAACATAACCCTAGGCTTTTTATTAAAACAAAAATCTAATCCTAGCTGATTTAATTCTATTTTGCCAATGAGGATAAGGAAGCTTAAGGAGGTTAAGAAACTTCCTCCACTTCTATAGAGAAAAATAGCATCTACATAGGATGCTATTTTATGTAACATAAACCTATTTTACTTTGGGGGGGAAATAGGAAGAATACATATCCCAGGTTCACTTCCTGTTAGATTTGGATCATGTGACTGAGTTCTGGCCAGTGGAATGTGAGTGGAAGTGATATATATCACTCCCAGGCCAGGTAATAAAATCCCCTGCACTATCATCAATGCTTGCTGTTCCTATTTAGTAGTGATCATCTATGCTGAGGATGGAGGTCTCACAAAATAGAAGGACCTTGAGTTTTGCATGGCTTTGGGGAGCAGAAACTCCCACCATGCCCTACAGACCCATGTTTAACTGTAACATAATAGGGAAATAAACGTTAGAGTATTAAGGTACTGAGATGGTGGGGTTGTTACAGCAGCTGGTGTTGACTACCCTGACTAATTAAACTTCTTTCAACTAGTAAGTAGAGAAGCTGAAATTTGATGGCTGCAATCGACTCCAAAACGTATGCTTGGGTCTCTGCCCTGGAAAAGTTCATGGCAGGTCATGAGAAGATGAATGGGTACATTGTTAGGTTCAACGGAGTTTTAGGGTTGTATAACAGAAGTTTGCAGAGTATACAACATGGTGCCGAGAAGGTAACGGTCAATTTTGAAGGTCTGAGAAAGCATTGGTCAGGAGTAGGGAAAGGAGACATTATACTAGTTATTTTTAGTATATAAAGAAGCTTAGGGTAAAACTTCTGTCCTCCATTACCTTATAACCAGGCTACGACAGCAGAAAAACTACAGAGGAAATAGTGGGAGGCAGTGCAGTGTGTGATTAAGAGACAGACTAAGTGACACAGATACTGAGAGCTTTTCAAGAGCTGAGCAGATAAGTGGAGTGAAATATGGAGTGGGCAGGGAAGACTTCAAGGAAGAGTCTGACTCCAAACTAGACCTGGAATGACAGATGGGATTTGGGTTGGCGGAAGAAAGATACAGGAAGTATTTCATGGGAAAGAAACAGTAAGAGAAAAGGCAATGGTGAAATTTCTCATTTAACAAATGCATTAAACCCGTATAAAGTGCCAGGGAGTTTGCCTTAAACTTGAGACAAAGATAAATCTGACAAATTTCCTGTCCTCAAGAACTCCAGAGGGAGTGAGAATGTCTCTGGATCAGTAATTACCACAGAATAAAAACTGCTCTCAGAGGTGGTGCAAAGGGCAGTGGGAACATAAAGGACAGAGGAAGACCAGGAAGGAGTTGGGCAATGATCTGGCCAACAGTACATGGAAGACTTCACGGGGTCCTGAAGCAAGAGTGATAATTCTCCAGGCTGGTAAGGTGCAAGCAGGGAAAACCATCCCAAGCACGGGAAACAGCCTCTGCAAAGGGGGCAAGAAAGAGTATGGTGTGTTCACAGATAGTAATACAAGTCATGAGGCTATAGTAGAGATTTACACTAAGATGGAGTAATGGGAAGGGAGACTGGATAAAGAAGCAGAGGGGATTAGGAAGATTTTTAAAAATCTAGGCAGAAGAATGTACGTGAAATGGAACAATGGGGAAATGCCCACAGCATAAATAAGTGTTATGTGGAACAGGTACAAATAAGCTATTCCTTTAGAAATATGCGTGGAATCCAGACCTCACTTTTCTCACATTGGGGCACATGAGAGGAGAAGATACAGATTCAACATGGCTTAAAAATATGGAGGGAAAGTGTCAGTCAAGTTACAGGGCAGAGTTCCTTCCATCTCAGATCTCAGCCAACCGTGGCAAGGCTCAAACTGGGGAGTGGCAGAAGTAGAGGTGCATAGAGAGAAGGTGAGAAAAAGATATGGATAGTAAAGAGAATGGTTAGGAGACGTTAATAGTGGAGGTGACTGAAAGTGGAAAACTAAATAAGGCCTTCAGGAACCAGATGTTTTCTCCTCCTCTTCTTCTAAAAATATTGAATTCCTTACTCTGCCATCATTTTCCAAGTGTGTTTATGATTTAGCCGTGAACTGTAAGTAAAAGATCAACAAATTGGAGATGATCAAAATTTAAGAATCTGCTGTTCCAAAAATCACTTTTAGGAAAATGAAAAAAAAAAAAAAAGTAAGCCACAGACTGGGAGGAAATATTTGCAATATACAAATCTGACACAGGACTTCTATTTACAATCTATAAAGATGACTCAAAACTCACTAATAAGAAAACAAATTACCCAGTTAAAAAACAGGCAAAAGATTCGAATGGACACTTCACCACACCAGAGTTATGGATGGCAAATAAGCAAATGAAAAGATGGTAAACATCACTAGTCATTGGCAGTATGCAAATTAAAAACCATGACAAGATAGCACTACCTATTACTCTAATGGCCTAATTTTTTCTTTAAAGGACAATACCAAATGCTGGTAAGGATGCAGACCAAATGAGATTCTCATACATTGCTGGTGGAAATGCAAAGGGGTCACTTTAAAAACCAGTTAGCAGTTTGTATATAGAGTTAAATATACACTTACCATATGACCAGCAATTATGCTCCTAGGTATCTACCTATGAGAAATGAATAGTTATGCCTATATAAAAATCTATGTGCAAATGCATGTAACAAGTTTAGTCATAATCACCAAAAACTGGAAGCAAACTAAGTGTCCTTCAACTGGTGAATGGAAAAACCAATTGTGGAACATCCATACCATAAAATACTACTCAGCAATAAAAAGGAACAAACTACTGATACATGCAACAACATAAATATCAGCATTTTTCTAAGTAAAGGAAGCCAGACTCAAAGGTCTAGATACCATGTGCTTCCGTTTACATGACATTCTGGAAATGGCAAAACTATTGGAAGAAGAATAGATTGGTGATGGCCAGGGGCTGAGACTGTGGGAGGAGATTGACTACAAAGAGGTAAAAGAGAACTTTTTGGAGTGGTAGAAATATTCTAGACCATGATGGCAGTAGTAATAGCATGGCTGTTTACATTGTCAAAAGTCATAAAATTGTTCACCTAATAAAAAAAATTCATGCTATGTAAGTCACACCTCAGTGACTGTTACTGAAAAATAAGAAACAAACAAACAGAAAACACCAGTGCAGAGAGGCACAGTCTCTTGAAAGGTGGCTATGGAAGGAGCTTCAGCCATGTCTCTGGACATGTGGTTCATGCCTCTTCCTCAGTGGCCATTGGCTGACTCTCCTTAGATGTGGCCTTGAATGAAGTGCAGTAGAGCTCACGAAACAGGCTTTCCAGACCACTGGGAAACCCAGCAGGGGGCTTCATGGTTAACCTATAGAAGGGATTAGGCATGGCAAACTGATTGGAAGAGGGGTCTAAGAAATTAATGTTGAAGTTGCATTTCCCAGCAAGCCCATTATTCTTCCTCAGGTTGCAAAACACAGATCAATAACAGCAAAACCTCCAGAAAAACCATCATTTACACTCCACATAGGATAAAGAAATGGTCAATAGTCATACTCAATTATATACATTTTTAAAAATTTAGGTGGCCTCACTGAAGTCAGCTTCTACTGCATTCACTTAAAGAAGAAATGAGCTGCTCTTACCTGAAAAAGCAAGGTTCTTAACCTCTAGCTTCCCTCTTCTTGCCAACTCCTCAAGGAAGAGACTCTCTTGGGGGCAGGGACCTCAGACAGAAACATGTACAGCTCTAGGAACCAGGAGTATTCAAACGCCTTGGTGCTGACCTGGCCTTTGAAGAGACTCCAAGGGGGGTCGCCTCTAACACAAAGCGCATCACACTGCCAGTGAGATTCTCAGAAAACATTCCCTTTCCTCCTAAGACATCTGAGGGAAATATTTTACAAATTGAAGTATGTTTTCCCAGAGGGGACCATTTCTTCATCTCATTTGATTATCCATGAGGTTTTAAGCACCACAGTTGAAAGGGGTTTCGCTAGAATAAATTTTTGAATCAAATGGCCATGAAATCCCAACGGGCCCCCAACTGCTTCCCTTTGGTAGCACACCATGAGCAACTGGAATTAAAATGGAACCAGAGAAGATAATCTATGCAAAGATGAAGCCAGCTGAAAGGTAAAAATAAATGAGAACAAATCAGCCACGCAGTAGAACATTCACAGCTCCAGGAAAATATCAATTAAAAGTATTAGCTGCAAATATTTCCTGAGGAACTAACACTAAAATCGCCCACTGTGTCTCTCTTACTATTTACCTAGGTGTTTTAATTTGCACCTTATGCAAAATGCTTTTCTTCATCGTTTTGGTTTCCCATTTGCTTTATTCCTCGCTAGGCAGAATAATGACTGGATGCTTTAAAACATATGGCTGTTTTGACAACTTAGAATAAAATAAGTGAGTTACATCTTTATCACTAAGAAACCCTATAATTTGGTAATTTGGCACTTAGCTACTTTCAGTGAGAAGTCAGCTTAACTGAGCATCAACCATGCCTCACACATTGTGCCAGGCATTGCGGTTAGAAAAATAATAAGGACGTAGTCCTGCTTCAAGGAGCTCACAGCCTGGAAGAGAATGTGGGTATGCAAACAAATTATAATAAGTCACCATAAGGGATACAGCAAAGGTAGTCTATGGAGGGAGGGAAATGAGTAACTCTGTCTGTGAAGAGTCTTTGAAGTTGTCTTCCAAGCCTGCTATTTGAAGGCTGACCAGTAATTCCCCAAGTAAACAGGGGCAGAAAGGCATTCCAGACAGAGGAAATGCATGTGGGGAAAGGGTCAGGAATGTTGACAGCATGATGCATTTCAGAGACCACAAGAATTTAGATATTGTAGGACTATCAGGTGCAAGGTAGAAGAGGAATATGAAAGCAGCAAGCAGAGGCCAGATCATAAGGAACTGTGTCTGCCATGCCAACGAGTTCAGACCTCACTAGTCGGTAATGGGGTTGCCAGGGCAAGGGTTCTAAGCAAAAGACAGACTAAATTATCTTTCTATTTTAGAAAGATAACTTTGTCAGCTTAGGGAATGCCAGAGCCTGAACTAAAGCCTATGGCAGACGGAACAGGAAGAAGATGATTCACCGAAGAGATATCAGAGAAATGCAACCAACCTATGTGGTACCCTGGAAGAAGGAGAAACTGAAAGTTGGATAAGTCTCAAGTTTCTAAATTAGGAGGCTTTGTGGTTGATGATGCTACCAACGAGATGGAGAGACTACAGAAGAGACTTAAGGATGGAGGTAAGTGCTATGGTCTAAATATTTGTTCCCCCCACCTCCAAATTCATGGGTTGAAACCTAATCCCCAGTGTGATGATATTAAGAAGTGGAGCCTTTGGGAGGTGGCTAGGTCATGCAGGCAGAGCCCTTGTGAATGGAATTAGTGCCCTCATAAAAGTGGCCTGAAGCAGTTTGTTTGCCCCTCCCGCCAACTATGAGAAACCTGCCCTCATCAGACACCAAATCTTCTGATGCTTTGAACTTAGGCTTCGTAGCATCCAGAACTGTCAGAAACAAATTTTTGTTATTTATAAGTTACCTAGTCTAAGGGGTTTTCTTATAGCCGTTCTAATGAACTAAGACAGCCTGGAGGAGCATTATTCCATTTTGGATAAATTGAGTTTTCTATCTGGGTGGAGATGTCTGGGAAGTAGTTGTTTCAAACCCCATGGTGGAAACTCACCCAAGGAGAACAGGAGAGGAGCAGAAAACCAAAGTAGACCCTGGAAAATGCCACCTACCTGTCGTGACAAGCAGAGGATGCTGATGACAAGAGCAACGCGTCCAAATGAAGAATGAGTCCAGCACATGCTAGAGATCTTTAGATTCCTTAACTGTTTGAAGAGCCCTTTCCTCAAACAAAATCTCAGGTGAAGCCCAGCATGTAAAACAGAAGTTGAGCTGCTCTCCCTGAAGTAACTTCACCAACACTGAGCCCCTTCCTTACATCTTTAGCCAACAGTGTAAAGCCTCAGAAGCACAGGACTGAAGATACCATGAGAATTAGGGAGCGTGGATGCTCAACAGTAGAAGGCTTGAGGCACAGACCTCCCCCCAAAACTAGGTAAAGGAAATGAGAACTATATTGATGGGTGTCAACACAGAGTGCAGACTGTTTGCACCAGAGGACCATTTCCTTGCTTTCCACCGAAGACAGGGAGGTCCAGAGTTAGGTGGTTAGATTGGTAGTCAGGTTAAGTCTGGGCACAGTCTAGAGAGTGGCTGAGAGAGGATCAAGCTGCTAGTCCAGGAGTCTTACTACTGTATCCATTTCATTCCAATTTCCCTGGAACTCAACCTGGAGCTGAAACCGAAGCCCAAGGTAGAATGAGCAATTCCGTCATAAGCTCTTTGGAGGTGGAAGCTATGGGTTTGGACTTCTACATGGTGGGCTCCCTGAAAGAGCTTACTAAACACTTCCTGCATGAGTGGCAGAGTACATCTGAAAAAGACCTGGGCTTTCTCCGAAACTGTGCTGCTCTCCTTAGGACAGGGGACCTTCTGATCAAATAGAGTGTCTTCACTTACGCAGCATTATCCACCAGAATAGCTCCTTAAAGCAAGGTAGATGGCACTGGAGGAATTACTGAGACTCCTGCCTGTCAGATGGCAAAAACACTTATGGAAAGATTGTAGATGATTGTCACAATAGCATTTTAAAATGCTAACCTTCCCTACAGTCAATGGCTCCAAGAAAATCTCATGAGACTATCTGTGCCAAGGTGGCAAGATCAGGTACCAGGCTAGAATGGCAGCTAAATCTCTAAGCAAATAGAGGTGGTAGAAACAGGGCTGGAAGTGAGAGCTTAGAGCACGTCACTTCTGTCCCTTCCATGCCATCATGTGGCTTCTCAATGCTAAAATAACCTAGCGGGAGCCAGCCACAACTTAAAAATTCTTAGAAATAGGAGGTGAGCCTGAAAGATTTATTATGCAACAACCTCAAGGGCCAGTCTCAGACAGATACTGGAAGAGCAAGGAGGAGCAGGCAAGCAATTTGCCTTTTAATTTATCTTGCTCTTCTGGATGAAATTAACTTTTGGCTTGCTGCAGCACAATTTACCTCTAAGTTTGCCGCTGGAGAAGTTAGTGACATTGCTTGCTAAAGCTTTGCCACTATGCAGAGTTTTTTCCGACTGTTTCTCTTTTATACCAGGGGAGTGAAGATGAGGAGTTTGCTCCTTAGTCTGACTCAGAATCTCCCACTTGAATAAGTAATCTCAACCCAGATCATGGGACAACAAGACAGGGTAAATACACAACTCAGTTTTCTGTCCAAAGAAATCCAAGTCTCTTTCTTTTCCAAAGGTGAAATCAGAGGAGATTTAAATAGGCAAGGTGAAATTATCCAAATCCAATCTGGCTTGAGAGAAGAAATTCCACTTCCAATGTTCCCAAGCATCAAATGTGGATTTTAAGGATCAAATATAAAACAGACTAGCTAATGATTGCTCAATTTCCAAAACTCCTGGCAAGTAACACAGATGAGCCGATGTCCTCCTAATGCTGTTCTGGAATCCTGTTAGTGGAACAGAATGTCCCACAAGGTTCCACGAGTTTCTATATCTGCAACACAGGCACAAGTAATTTTCCCAGTATTCAGCTTTCTTTGTTCAATAGGAGCTGGTTTGGGAAGTGGTGTCTATAGGGGGTGCTTTTTGCTGGCTTTTTAAAATAAACAACTGACTGAAAGCCAAAAAAGAATCTCACAACCCACTACTGGAACAAGTCTCAGTGTGGATCTCAGGTTTTGGAGATGAACCACCAAGCAGACATTTTGGGGAAACCAAAGAACAGAGAAGGGTCAGGATACAACTTTCAGCCAACAAGTCACATTATTCGGCATGAGAGAGTACACACACAACTATCAGTAACCAGGGACAGATGTGGGTTAACCTCAGGATGTTCAGAAAAATCAAAGATGGAGAAGGATGCAGAAACATTTGGACTTTCTGCCTTCTAACTGAGGCATCCTTATCCAGCTGCCAGTTCTCAGGAGCAAGTGACACCAGGAATGCCTATAACCTGGATAAGTGCTCCCAGCCAGGCCAGCCTCAGGTACTGCATCTGAACTTGGCCTCAACAAGAAGGCTAAAGGGAAGGAATCTGATCACAGTGGCAGCATCGGGACTCTCTACCTGCTTGCCTCATCCCTGGAGCTACTCATTAAAGTCCTACTCCAGCTTCCAGAGGCTATAGAACAGTAAGTAGTCACAAGAGCCACCATCTCTTTGAGCACGATGCAGGCATTCTAGATGCAGTTGACCCTTACACAACACAGGTTCATACCGTGTGGGTTTGCTTACACTTTTTCTTTTATTTCAATAAAAGTTCCACCTATTTGCCTGCCTCTCCTGCCTCCCCTTCTATCTCTTTTCCACCTCTTCCATCTCTGGCACACCTGAGACAGTAAGACCAACCTCTCCTCTTTCTCCTCCTCCTCAGCCTACTCAATGTGAAGATGATGAGGATGATGATCTTTATGATGATCCACTTCCACTTAATGAATAGTAAATATATTTTCTTTCTCTTATGGTTTTCTTAATAACATTTTCTTTTCTCTAGCTTTGTTGTAAGAATAGCCTACAGGTCACCCGTGAACAATGTGGGGGTTAGGGGCACCACACTGCTGTGCCTTCAAAAATCCAACACTTAACCATGAATAAACTATCATTGACCAGAAGCCTTGTCAATAACATAAATAGTCAATCAACACATATTTCATATGTATTTGAAATGTATGAGTCCACAGGCACAGAGGTACTAAAACCTATTCTCAATTTTTAAAAGTTATATAGAAGCAGCAGTGGAAACTACTCATACCCCGCAAACACACACAGTTTCCTGGCCCCACACTCACGCTTGATGCTATGATCTTTCTTACCTCCAGGTGGGAGGATGCTGGCTCTTATTCCCATAGGCTGATTTCTTTTAGAGGGGGAAAATCCAGGCTCTGAGGCCAGGAGAGAAGGGGATGGACAGAAGTTCAGGTAGGTTCCCTTGGGGCTTAGAACTACGAACACTGATGAGGCCCCAGCTCAGCCCTGCTGTCAACCTATTGTCCCTAGAATCACTGCTTTGGACTGATGCCCTGGTCATCAGAAGGATCCTGCTGAAGTATAAGTATTTCCTTGGCACACTGTACTAACTCACGATCCTTAATCACTTACTCAATGGTTTGAAAGGCAGCATAGTATAGCTGTTCATGTGGGCCAGACTGAGTTCAAATCTTGACTCAACCACATACTAACTGTAATCTTGGCTTAGCTTCTCTGTACTTCTTTATCTGTTTCTTTATCTGTAAATGAGGATGCTAATGCAATAAAATAGTGCCTATAGCATAAGAAAGTTATGAAAAGTAATGGATCAAGTACCTATAAAGATCTTAAAACCATGAGTTTGCCATATTGAAACCACTTTACTTTTTGGCACTAAGGGCTACCAAATAAATTCCTAAAGACCCACCTCCAAGAAACTTAAATTCATCAAAGAGAAATGAGATAGGCACAACCATGTTAACATTCTAGGTCCAAAGTGGTAAGCACTGTAAGAGAAGTACAAGTAAATGTTAAGCGAGTTTTGAGAAGGAGTAATGTCTTCCAAAGTGTTGGAGCAGGGGCTGGGAAAACTTTGGAGAATGGAACCCAGCCTTAGAAAGTCATAGGTACTTTATACAGAGTTATGGAAAATTCGGGCACTTCACAAGAAAGAAGTGCATGATACAAGACAGAGGTAGAAGAACCTAGGTTTGTGTGAGGAAGAAAACATAATTTAGTTGGTCAGTGCAGAGTTGTTTTTTTTGTTTTTTTTGTTTGTTTAATGTGGTCACTATGATCTCTCATCTGGACTCCTGCAACGGTCTTCCAATCCTTCTCCCTGGTATCACTCTTGCCTGCCACAGAGCAGCCAGAGTGGTTTTGTTGACACAACCCAGATCCTATCTCTCCCTTCCACTAGCTTCTCATTGCGTTTGGAATAAAATTCAAATGCTGTACCTAGGCCTATGAGGCCCAGCTTGGTCTAGCCCCCTCCTCTCTCTTCAATTTCAATTCCCATGGTTTCTTTGGTCCTTTAAGTTCCAGCTGCACTGGCATGGTCTCTTTTTTGTTCCTCTGATATCTAAGCTCATTCCTGCTTAAAGTCTCTTCACTTACTCTTCCCTCAGCTCAGAATGTTTTTTTTGTTTTCAAATTTAAGTTCTGGGATGCATGTGCAGAACATGCAGGTTACATAGGTATACATGTATCATGGTGGTTTGCTGCACTCATCAACCCATCATCTAGGTTTTAAGCCCCGCATGCATTAGGTATTTGTCGTAATGCTCTCCCTCCCCTTGCGCCCCACCCCCAAACAGGCCCCAGTGTGTAATGTTCCCTTCCCTGTGTCCACGTGTTCCCACTGTTCAACTCTCACTTATGAGTGAGAATATGTGGTGTTTGGTTTTCTGTTCCTGTATTAGTTTGCTGAGAATGATGGTTTCCAGCCTCATCCATGTCCCTGCAGAGGACAGGAACTCATCCTTTTTTATGGATGCGTAGTCTTCCATGTTATATACATGCCACATTTTCTTTATCTATTCTATCACTGATGGGCATTTGGGTTGGTTCCAAGTCTTTGCTATTATGAATAATGCTGCAATAAGCATACATATTCATGTGTCTTTATAGTAGAATGATTTATAATCCTTTGGGCATATACCCAGTAATAGGGTTGCTGGGTCTAATAGTATTTCTGGTTCCAGATCCTTGAGGAATCACCCATCAGGCTAACAGCAGATCTCTCTGCAGATACCTTACAAGCCAGAAGACAGTGGGGGCCAATATTCAACATTCTTCAAGAAAATAATTTTTAACCCAGAATTTCATATGCAGGGGAGTTTTTAAAAATACCAATGCTTCAGCCTCACCCCCAGCCCCTTGATTCTGATTTAATGGGTCTCCATAGGGTTGGAGCATTTGTAAAGCTGTGGTTCTGTTGGCTAAAAGCCAGAGAGTAGACTAGAGAGGTACTTAGGAGTCAGCAATGGAAGGCCTTGAGGGTTGGGTGGGAGGGAGGAAAGGGGCCTGGGAGTCTCCCCAGGCTAAGGCTTAGATGACTGAGGACCAAGAGGGGCTGCTCAGTGAGACTCAGAGCAAAGATGAAAGCAGCACAAAATAAGGAATTGTGAGAGGGCTCTCGTGTCTTCCTTGATATCACATAAGAGATTCATCATCCATATTTGATGAGAATCATTGGTTTGGTGTTTTACCTCACCTGTGGACAAGGAGCCCCACATGGGTGATGCCTATATTCTAAGAAGCTTTCCTTGCCTTGGTTCTGAACCTGCCTCTCAGTCTCCTCTGAGTTATTTCCCTTCTGATCCCTACAGCTCTCTTCACGAGTTTCTCAGACAGTGCCCAGGGTTTGCATGGTTGGGCTTTGCCGGGCAGGTTCACGCTCATCTGCACCAATCCTTTCACGCATCTGCAGGCAGTTGATGCATCCCTTCTCTGCTTCAGTCTTTCCACTCCAAAGCTTCCTCCTTTCTAGTCAGCCTACCATCCCTTGAATGGTTCCCATGCTCTTTCTCTGCACCTTCTCCAGTTCTGCAGATGTGAGAGCCTGAAGTAGTATCCTGTATCCCAGGTGTGGAATCTGTGAGGTTCCAGGAACAACCATGATTCATTGAATAGAGACCTGCTCCTTTCTCAGTGAAACCCACCTTCTTCACTGGGAGCGGACCAGATTGCTGGATACATGAGCTTTTTTGCCCATTTTATTTAATATATACATATTACATATGTATATATGTATGTATGTATACACACACAGCATAATAATTTGTTCCAGCTTAAAACCAAGTGCCTATTACACTCGAAATGCAAAATATGACTATTTCAGATTAAAGGGGCTTATTCTGAACCAAGTGGAAGGATGTCCTGTCTTCAAGACATAAGAGGCTTTCTTTGATTTCATTTTCCTTGGTCCCCATCTATTCAAACACTGCTTAGCAAATGAAGTTCTGCAGAAGAGAAGGAGCTGGGACGGCGTCGCTGACATCCTCAAAGAACAGAGGAACATTTTTAGCACAAACACCGTCACACACATTTTCCACCGCCTCAATTAGATGACATGCACTGTACGAAAATGACACCTGCCATCTATTCTTAAGTACATCACAAAATACAGTGATTTTATACATAAATCTTTAACAGAGGAGGAACAATGCGACATAAGCTCAGCGTTCCTTTGTTTCCAATCACCCTGGGTGTGGCGGCCATAGGCACAAGGGCAGAAACACATTTGTTCCCACAGCCTTTGCTGCAAAGGAGACCGGGCGCCACAAACCCTTCCTGTACTCACCCAAGCCCTCTGCTTGTAAATGTTATTTTTTCCTTATTTCAAAATTATCAAAAGACCAATTGGTTCCAGGCAGCTCTTTCTGTATATTAATTTTTAATTGGAGAAATAGCAATTAGATGCTGCATTGATTGCCAGTTCCCGTAATCTTTTTTAATTTGAGATAACAATCTATTCAAAAAATGAGTTTGTCCCTAAAATATCTTTTCTTAATGGCAATGATAACTGAAGTTATATACAAAACCAGCAGAGCAGCCCACAGGGAAGGGGTCTAAATTATACATGGAATATTCTGCACCTGGTTTGTCAGTTACAACAAAAACTTTACCACATGTGCTCTAGGAAAATGGTCAATTTCATATGTCGTTTTTATTAATTTCATTTTTGAAACAACCAGATAATCTCTGAAGAGAAGATTTGCATGGTATTAAGCCTGCTTTTCTATACCCAAGAAACCTAAGATGTGTAGATAATAAAATTCTTATTTAGCTCCTTTCTGTAGACACTGGCAAAAGGCAGATAGTGAGGGAGAAAGAGGAATTAGAGAGGAATAGACTCCCTGATCTGGAGGAACTCCCAGTCTGGGGCTGAGCAGATAGGAATGCAAGTTCAATACATAGACCAGCACATCTCAAGTTTTTACCAGATCTTCCTGAGTAAGGAATGTTAAGGCCTCCAGGGGAGCCTCCAATAAATAATCACCTTCTTCTAGCCCAGTTCTAAACTGAACAATTTGAGAAAAACAGAAGCATCAAGGTGGAAGCCAAATATCACCTCTTTTATCACAGACACTAAGCAAGAGCCTCTGGCTTAGGGTGAGAGTCCATCAGACCAGCTAACTGAATCCCTGAAGTAGGAAGGTTTCAAGACATGACTGCCTGCCCAGAAAGGAATTGCATATGGAGGCGTAAGGGACCTCAGTTACTCTCTAGAAAGGAGGAGGGCACTCTCAAGAGAAAGAACAAAGGAGTTGCCATGCTGAACATGCTTAGTGACTCTTTCCACATTTACCAAGTTGAGATGCCCACTCCACCTCCCCAGGTGTGTGTGACAAAGCAGAGAAGAGGGGCTGCAAGTATGTATAGGAAAAATTGCTCCCCATGGAAACCAAGATCAGAGAAAATGGATTTTCCTCTAAAAAGGACAGGGAACTGGGGTCCAGAAAAGGTAACAAAGTGACTTGTTCCTACCCAGCATAATTTTTTGCTGTCTCATGTTTTATCTTAAAATTGCGTAAGATTTTTATATTCTGTTGCATAAGATTTCATGTAACATGGTTTTGGCCATGAGATATTTTACATTAGAGAAGTCTCTGAAATTGAGCACATCTGGGCTTGAATTCTGCCGTTCTGGTTTGGACAATTCTCTGTGCTTCAGTGTCCTTATCTGAAAAATGGGGATAACGACTGTCCATCCTTAGTAGAACATTAGAAAATGATTAGAAAAGATAAGTCAGAGAAAAGGCTCTGGCATGCAGTAAGAACTCAGTAATTATTACCTGAATTTATTTCCATTATTGTCTTCCAGGAAGATTTCCTTATTTCTGCTATGTGTCTCATGCATCCTGTCTGCTCACTGAGAACCCTGTGGTTCACATTTTCCAGCAAAAGAAACTTTGTTTTGCTACTCAACTGAACGTTCCTCTGAAAACAATATCCTTCCCTGCCTTCCATGCCCTACACCCTGCTCCCTCAATCATTCTTAGTCCATGTCTGCTGAAAGCCTGTGGTGCAAAGTGTTGGGGGTGGAGATGGAGAGGAGGAAAGAGGTAAAAAGATGAAATATACAGAACTCTGCCTCTCAAGAACTTCTGATCTGGAAAGAGTGATAAAACTTGTTTATCCACAAGGTATAGTTTATTCACAAGTTGTACAAGTAGCACAAATAGAAATTTATGATAATCTGGAGTGAGAACAGGGCCTAAAACCCTCCCTTCTCCATCCTACTCTGATCACTCAGGAGTAGGTCTCAATGCACTCACTGGAGACATAGTGTAAGGGGGTGACCACCCATGACTGAAGCTTACAAAATTAGGAAGAATATTGGTAAGAACAGATAAGTTTGCCAGAATTCATATGATAAATAACTAGCCTCCATTCATCTTGAAAGCTATAATTTGGGAGATGGGGGTGTATTCATTCATTCTCATACTGTTATAAAGAAATACCAGAGACTGGGTAATTTATAAGGAAAGGAGGTTTCATTGGCTCATGGTTCCACAAGCTGTAGATGAAGCATCTGCTTGACTTCTGGAGAGGACTCAGGAAACTTACAATCATGGTGGAAGGTGAAAGGGGAGCCAGTACTTGACATGGCTGGAGCAGGAGGAAGAGACAGAGTGGGGAGGTGCTACACACTTTTAAACAAGCAGATCTCCTGAGAACTCACTCACTATACAGTACCAAAGGTGCATGGTGCTAAACCATTCATGAGAACCCTGCCCCCATGATCCAATCACCTCCCACCAGGCCCCTTCTACAACACCGGGGATTATAATTAGACCTGAGATTTGGCAGGGACACAGATTCAAACCATATCTGGGGAAATTATACACAATTTATTGCTAAGGATAGTTGCCTCAGAAACATATGATCCACCAGGAGAGATAAAGTCTAAGATATCTATAATTTAAATATAAGATACATATAATTTCAATGGATACAAATCATTGATTATAATAGCTAATATATAAATACTGCACAGTTACTATAGTATTCAGCATTTGTCTTATATTATCTCACTTAAAAACTGAGATTCTCATAAAGTTTGGGATGAAAGAGGTGTGTCTTAAGTTGAGTTATCTGGGAAACAGTCTGAGGCAGAGATTTGTGGGTGGGACGTTTACTGAAGAGTGCTCGTAGGAATCACACCTGCAAGGCATGAGGAAGCAGGACTGGGCAAGGGGGAAGGTGAACCCAATTCAGTCACAACAAAGGTCTCAGCTGATTCCCACAAGGAGCTATGAAGCTGGGATAGCTCTTCAGAGACGTCCTCAGTGGAAGACAGGGGTCAGGACTCTGTATCCCTATATTACTAGCCATTGGATACTGGCTGCTCCTGAAGAAGGCAGGTGACTTGAACGAGGCAGCACCCTTTGGCAGATACTGATATCTGTTCGTATCAATCTTCTTCCTAATTTTATAATTTTACCTCTGCCAAAGGGTGCTGCTGCCTCATTCAAGTCACATGCCTTCTTAGGGAGCAGTCAGTATCCAGTGACTGGTAATGTAGGGCTACAGAATCCTGAAAGAGACTAAGCTGTGAGCTGTCAGCAGCCAATGCTCCCAGGAGTTGGGGAAATGGGTACCTCAGTCCTCAAGTGAGGATCCGAGTGACACACCACAGTATCCACTACAGGGAAAGAAGAATAAAAAGGAGGTAAATGTATTGAGCACCATCTACATTCCAAGCACTGTGGAGGACAATTTTCTTATTGCATTTAGTCCTGCTGTATAGACATCAGTGACTTATTTAAAGCTTCAGAGAGATTACAACATCCCTTCTTTCCTCTAACTTAGTCATTCTCAACAGGGAGTAATGTTTCCCCCAGAAGACACTTAGCAATATCTGGAGACATGTTTGCTTGTCAAAACGGGGAGTGGGGTGCTACTGGCATAAGTAGAGGCCAGGGATGCTGCTAAAAAGCCTATCATGCATAGGACAGGCCCCCATAGCATTTATCCAGCCCCAAATGCCCACAGTGCTGAGGTTGAGTGTGTTAGTCCATTTTGCATTGCTGTAAAGGAATACCTGAGACTGGGTAATTTATAAAGAAAAAAGGTTTATTTGGCTCACAGTTCTGCAGTCATACAAGCATGGCACCAACATCTGTTCAGCTTTTGATGAGGAAGCTTTTCCTTATGGAAGAAGATGAAGGGGACCAGGCATGTCACATGGCAAAAGAGGGGGCAAGAGAGATGCCATGCCCTTTAAAACAACCAGCTCTCATGTGAACTCGTAGTGCGAGAACTCACTCAATATTGCAGGGAGGGCACCAAGCCATTCATGAGGGATCCACCCCCAATGACAAAAACACCACCCACCAGGCCCCACCTCTAACTGTGGGAATCACATTTCAACATGAGATTTGGAGGGGACAAACAACCAAACTATATCATTGAGAAACTTCTCTCTAAACCCACAGAAAGAAAAACATATAGTTGGACCACAGTAATTGGTGGCTTTTCAATGGTGTGGCTCATTCCCTCGGCCTCTCCTACTCCTGGTTCCCTTGGAGTCTCTAGGCTTCTTGAAATTGTTGAGTGGAAGGGTTTGATCCACGTGCTTGGTACCATGAGATGGGCCTGGGGCTGCCTCACCTTTGGTACTTTTCCAGCTTGGCAGGACCAGGTGGGTCAGGCGAAAGGGGCCTAGGGATCTAGGGAGATGAGTTAGGCCAGTCTTGCTCTAGTCTCTAGCAATGGAGGAGGGTGCTCCATTCCTCTGCTTTATCTTTGTACCTCTTCTTGCTATTAGAGGAGTAAGACTCCAAAGGCTCAAATATGATGCCTGAGGGGGAAAGGGGTCTGAAGCTACATTTATTCTGGGTCTCCAACCAGAGAAGAAACTCACTCTGTTTGCAGGTTACCAGGGTAGAAGTCCACTTAGGGCTACGGTAGAAACATATCAACATACATTTTCCTGAAATGCTCCCACTGTTGATCATCAACAAACTTTTTAAGCTAATGAGGAAATCAGGATTGCAACCATCTCTACCTTTTCCATCAGAAAAATAACTAGGAATAGTCATTACTATCACCATGTTATAGGTTTAAAAAGGTTAGAAGGGTTAAGCCCTTTAACCATGGTCACACTGCTAGTCAACAGCAAGGCTGAAATTTATAACCACATCTTTCTGGATACAAGACCCATGCTCATTTATTTGGGGGACATATGTATTCCTTTTACCAAAGGGAATATCCACGTCTTACTATCTGTTCCTTGGTACCATAAACACAGCTAGAGTGGATGAACTTTGGGCTGGACCCAGGATCATAAGATTTCTATTCTTTTCTTAATTTGAAGTGTAATACCTCTGAGCTTTCCAACTTCTAAGGGAAGGCAAGAAATGAAAGACAGGCTGGGTGATTTATATAAAGTGATAATGTGAGCTCATCTCCTTGCGGCCATCATTTTAGTCTGCAATAAAAGTGACTGGTCTGACACCCTCCACTTCCTGAACATCCAGAAGGCCTAACTGCTTGGACTCCCAGACATAAAGCTCTCTGTTAATGGACCTGTCAATTTCTTAAAGTGAGCAGTTTTTCATAACACTCCATAAAACCAAAAAAATAAAAAATAAAATTAAAAAAGAACATAGCATTTAACATGAAAATATGAGTATCATTTATTGAGCATGAGCTAAAAGCAGCAGAAAAATGAACTGACAGATGAGCAGTGGTTGGTGATAGAAAAAGAAGGACTCAGGAAGGGGGTTCTTTACGTATTAAACAGGGCCCCTATTTTTAGCAAATTAAAAAAAAACAGACATTTATTATAAACTTCGAAGTAAAAAGCTTTATGTTATAATAACAATCTAGTATCCTTGTTATGATAGATTTACTAATCCCAATTTAGACTCTCAGAGATCAGATTCATGTCCCGTAAAACATATAGGGAATACATTACTGAGCAAATCTATAGCAATAGATTACATAAATATCTATGCCCTATTAAGTTTTCAGTTATAAACTATGGTTTATTTTTGAGCTGTTTTAATTCATGAAATTATTTACAAGTTTACAGACACCAAGAAACAAACTGGATATACTGTGTTATGCAAATGTTATTCCAAATATGGAAGTCATAAGAATAGACTGCATCTAGTGATCAACATATAATTATAAAGAATATTTCAGAGCTTCATTAATGGCAGCTGTTCACAAGATAGTTGGAAGTTTTCAATGATTTTATTACTTCTCTATAAATACAGCTGAACTTTACAAAGTTCATCCTCCTTTTACATTGTCCTATTGTCGTTTGTCCCCAAGGTTTAAGTTCATTCAAATGTAATTTAGAGTTTCTGTCTACATACTAAATAAAATCTGAGCATATAGAAGCTAACGTCAATATGATGGACTTGTCTTTTTGGAGAGGTAACGTAACACAATAAACAAGCACTAGAGTTTGAGTTAGTTGAGATGGTTAGAATCTCACTCTGATACAAACAAGCTGGGTGACCTTGAGCAACTCACTGGGTCCTACTGCGTCTGTCCCACATATGGAAATGGATGTCATCTCTGCCTTACCACTATCTTAGGTTTGTTATGAGGACACGGGAGATGGTTATATGAAAATACTTTGTCCCCTGAATGAAAAAAAAAAAGGACATCATGAGAAACACAATTATGTTTTTGGAGAACATTCCATTGACAGAGAAACAGCAATCAAGGGCAAACATTCTCCAACAAGAAGGTATTTTGGTTCTACATGCCTAGGGCTATCATAGAGTTATGAAAACATTTGAATGCCATAAAGCACTATTAAAATGGTATATAATAACAATAGCAAGAACAATATAGCAAGGAATCATTACTGAATCATGAAGCAGAAAAAATGCAGAACATCCAGTTACATTTGAATTTCAGACAAACTATGATTTCTTTTACTATAAGTATGCCTTGTATATTGCATGAAACATACTTACACTACAAATTACTCACTGTTTACTTGACATTCAAATTTAACTGGGCATTCTGGTTTGTTAGTTTGTTTTTGGGGAGGAAGAGGGCACTAAATCTGGCAATCCTAAAGGCAGAAAGGCTTTGAGAATTCTTTGTCCCCCTTCCCTGAGCATGACAAACCATCTCAATCATTCAGAGAATGTATTTCTTGCCTTATCTCGTTTTGCTCATCTCGAATATTAAGGGTTTCAAGGATATCTTCTTCTGACCACTCTTTTTATGTCTCCTTCAGCGCATGCACCACCATACATCGTTAGAATATTATCCTATAGATTCAATTATGAATTTGTCTCCCCAACTTAACAGTGAATCCATTGAGGGAGGGACTCATTCATTTTGAACACCCAATGCCTGATTCAACGCCTGGCACAAATTAGGTATTCTGAAAATATTTTATGAATTGAGGATTAGAGATTGTTTTTCTCATTCCACGCTCTCATTATGGAAAACCTTGCTCATATCTGCTACTTAAATGATGAACCAGTGTACAAGTCAATAATCCATGTCTCTCTGATCTGACCTTTCCCATTGACGTCCAGATCCATCACTCCAGTTGCAACAAACTATTGGCTGTCTCAACCTAGATTCCCATGGGCACCTCAAATGCAACATGTCCAAGGCTCGATGCATCATCTGCCCCTTCTTTGTTGGTGCCATATCCTGTAACCCAGGCCAGAAACCCAGAGTCCTTCTAGACTACTTTCTTTCCCTCATCACTAAGGCCTTTCATTAAAAACTTTTGAGGAGGTTTAGAAAGGAAAGTTCTGATTCAGTTGGTTTGGCCTGGGGCCAGGGAACAGGTGCTTTTTAAAAGTGCTTCATTTGATTCAGTGGTATTTAGAAATCAATGTCCTATAAAATATAGCAAAAGACCTACCAACAGCCTTTCTCTACAGGCTTCCTAATTCCATGTGAAACATGAAAATATCCCCATCTAATTTGTACTTATAATTGAGAACCTTATTAGATTTTGACATGAAATACTATTTTCATTCATGTATGGGAATGTTTTGAAAGTGTTCTTTGCATGCTAGATGTGATTTGGGATAACCACCCTCCCCAACCCCCTAGCACACACACTTCAACAAGTTATTTCTCATTACATAATGAAAATTGTTGCCAAAAAATTCAGTATTAAAAAGGCATGCTATAAGTAGCCCTTATTTGGTAAAATATTTGTTTTATTACAAGTTTTCCCACCTAGACTCAAAAAATACTACTCGTTAGAAACAAAGAAGATGGGAAAAATAAAGATTTTAGATTATTTGGAGCTATTCTCTCTCTCTCTCTCTCTCTCTCTCTCTCTCTCTCACACACACACACACACACACACACACACACATACACACACAGTTTGTCAACTGGGGATTTATGGTCCCCCCAACTTATCCATAATCTTGCTTGAAGTAAGCCCAGGCTAGAACTTAATTGTGAATACTCAACACACACTTTCATTTTTCCTTGGGAGAGTGTATGTGTCGAGGAATGTATCCATTTCTTCTAGATTTTCTAGTTTATTTGCGTAGAGGTGTTTGTAGTATTCTCTGATGGTAGTTTGTATTTCTGTGGGATCGGTGGTGATATCCCCTTTATCATTTTTTATTGTGTCTATTTGATTCTTCTCTTTTTCTTTATTAGTCCTGCTAGTGGTCTATCAATTTTGTTGATCCTTTCAAAAAACCAGCTCCTGGATTCATTGATTTTTTGAAGGGTTTTTTGTGTCTCTATTTCCTTCAGTTCTGCTCTGATTTTAGTTATTTCTTGCCTTCTGCTAGCTTTTGAATATGTTTGCTCTTGCTTTTCTAGTTCTTTTAATTGTGATGTTAGGGTGTCAATTTTGGATCTTTCCTGCTTTCTCTTGTAGGCATTTAGTGCTATAAATTTCCCTCTACACACTGCTTTTTCCATCCTTTTATTATAGATAGCAAAATAATTTAGATTTACCCCCAAACCTGCAATCTCTCATACAGAAATCGTAACTGAAAAATCTTGCAATCAGTGAAAAAAAATGTTTTTTCTAAACTTTTTAAATAAATGGTTTGCCCAGGGGTAAGACCTTTATACTGTCTTAGCCAAGAGCAAATTTCCCTAGACAAATTGGCTGGCTGCTTCTCGAATTCATCTCAGCTGAAATTCAGGCACTTTTATTATTGATATTATCTGACCATGTTTTTTTTTTTAGCCACATATTTTGTTTCACTGGAAGAAAATTAGATTATATTAGATTGTGTACAACACGGAGCTTCAAAACATCCACCCTGTCAAAATAATTTCTTAATTAGTTGTACAACATACTTTTTTTGAGACAGAACTTGTCAGAAAAACATCCTGCAGTGGGGAGCTTAAGTGAATTCATTCTCAGGATTTTAATAAGACTATATTTTGCCTTCTATATGTTGAGAGAAGAAAGTAATTGTCTGGCAATTCTTTGCTTCCTTGGAGACCTGCTTCAGATTTTTTTTTTTAAGTTTCAACTACTGTTTAGAAAGAAATTGCTTACGTTTTGGTTAATAAAATAAAAAATGCATTAGGTCATTAGATGTTAGGTTGGTGACAAGACTAATATAATAAGCTACTGAAAAGAAAATTAAACCCTCCTTCTCAAAACATTTGTCCATGAGTTTTTATAAAACAACTGATTAACTACAAGGGTCCAATTAAAGAATACACCATTCTTTATTGCAAAAGATTTTTAAACATTTTACCACTTGGTCTCTAAGTACTTTAGAGAGTTTGCTTCATCCACCAAAATTTATATTAAGCCCAATATATCAAAACGTTTTGGGTTTAGAAAACAGAGGATTTGAATTTTCAACCTCATTTAGTCATGGCATTTCTGAGTAATATTAAGAAAGCCACTGAACTTTTCCAGACCTCTTTTGATCCACCTGTAAAAGAGTTACAGAGTTCTCATGAGGAAGAAATATTGTCATAACTGTGGGCAAGCTTTAAAATTTCAAATGCAGTAACATCAGCAACCATTTACTTACTGGGTGTCTACTCTATGTAAGGCACCAGATTAGATGCTGTATTTTTAAACCTCATAAATGCAGTATGAACCAGGAATTCTTATCCACAGATTTTAAATGAGGAACTCAAGACTCAAATAGGTTAAGGCAAATTGCCCTGTGTCAAATACTTAAGCAGCAAGAAAACTAAGATTTGAACCTGTGTCCATGGGACCCAGGCCTGCCACTGCCACTTTCTGCTCCCTTCTCGTACTTTTATCCCTCAAAATTATGGCCTGTACTTTGATAGAGGGCAGAGGAAAGAGTCCACAGCTAACCCCGTTGGCTAGCACACATCAAGGGGTCATCGAAATAGCTTGCTCTTGAAAAATTCATGCCTTGGAGTGTTGCCAATCACCAGCATGAAGAGCAAACTGGAACTGGGGAGCTGGGCTCAGCTACTCAATCTCAATTCACAGAAAAGTTGTAAAATGGGACCCTTGGTTTTCAGCCTCAGGGTTTCCAAAGCCATAGATGGCACTCTTAAAAACAGAGGCAGTTCTTCTACTCATTATGATTCAATACAGTGGCCACATTGTAATTATATGTCTTGTTTGTCAATGCACATGTTTGATGAGTACCTGTTTTGTGCCAGGAGCACTGATAGGTACCCTGAGGACTCGATCCCTGCCTTGAGATAGGGCAAAAAAGCAAAAATAAAACATATGAGAAATGAAATGACAATACGTGATTAAATTGTTCAAGAGAATAGTCAGAAGCCATCAGTACCCATATAGCCATTTGTATGGTGCAGATAATAATGTGCTGTAAGGCGATGGTATCAGGGAGCGGGGAAGAGGAGGAGATCCTTCAAGCTAAGAGTGTTAGGAAATGCTTTAAGGAGATCAAATTAACCCTTTATGGCAGAACATTTTCATTTTCTCCCATCCTAAGAGCATCTATTCTTCAGTCCTTGTGATATCCACAACACATCTATTGGCTAAAGCTCCTCGTTCTATGCGTAAAAGAGCTACACGAGCACATTAGGGCTAGTGTATCATTAATGCCTATTTTGTTAAGAAATACAAATCCAGGTGACAAAGCATTAGGCACAGCCTTGGAGAACAGATGGGAGAATGGAGAGAAGATTTCTGGGAAGGAAGAGAACAGTACATACAAAAGCACAGAACAATAATGGTAATGCATCATCTAGCAGGAAGTGGAACTGTTGGGAGGAATGGTTGGAGGTGAGACTGGAATGCTAAGTTAGAAGCCCTTGGAGGCTAGGCTAAGGAGTTGCAATTTCATCATATGGGCAACTGAGCGTTACTGAGGTTAGGGGCTCAGGGTGACCAGAGATAACTTTGCTGATGAACCTAGGGAGAGAAAAGGTAGGAGCGGTGAGTAATCATGCCAAATGCACTGATAGGTTGAGCAAGGCGAAGATTAAGAATCCACCACTGGTTCTAGTTATGTGACATTAAAAGGGGTGTGTTGGTGCAGTTTTGATGGTGTATACGGGGCAAAGACCTCACTGGGGTGGTTGAGGAGAGATAAAAGAAGAGGAATTTTCGATGCCAAGTACTTAAAACTCGTATAAGGAATTTTTTGACAAGGGGAACAATGAAACAGGGGAGGGGAAGTGAGGTCCAGAGAAGGTTTTCTTAAGATGAGAAAAAACAATAGCACATTTATAGGAATTGTCCAATAGAAGAGATTCGTGGAGCAGAATTCTTGCATAAGCAGCAGAAATAGGATGTAGCACAAGTAAAGAGGGATGACTGGGCTTTGGATAAGAGCACTGACAGTTCAGCTCTGTTAATAGGTGGGAAGAGCGAGTCTAGGAGTCACTGGAGGGTCTAAGTCAGGAATGCTAATGGTGCCTGTTTTTAAAGGGTAGGGGCAATGTTAAGGAACTTGGTTTCAGAACATTTTTGTTTAATACTTTTTCTTAGGTAGGAAGTGTACTGAAATTTTTTACTGTATCACTTTCTGAGAATGATTTTGCTTGAGTCCAGATCAGACTGAGCCTCTCTCAAATAATTGGAATTCCACAAGGGAAGTTCTGAGTGGCCCTTACTGTCCTGCCGAATAGCATTTAGCTTTATTTATTGATTTCTACTTTGATATCCAAAATAACATTATATATTCTGTTCTAACCTAATTATATTCTTTCTAAACAACTTAGAAATGGTCCCACTTAGGTCTCCAAAAGAACCTGTAGGCAGTGACCAGATGCCTAAACCTCCCCTTAATCTATATTTATCAACTACAGTCAACTTGACTCATTTAGTAACGGCTGTCTGCCACTTTATAATCATCATCATGGAACATCAGGTATTCATTCATTCCACAAATATTCATATAGTGCCTTACTATTCATATAGTAAAGGCCCTGGGACAGCCCCTTTACTAGGCCTGGAGGAACAGCATGGACAAGGTAAAGGTGCTGTCCTCAGACAGCACAGTTGAGTGAGGAGTGATTACAGTTAAGCAACTGATTCCCAGTGCTAGGTCTGAGGACATTCAGAGAACAATGAGAGCACCTCAGAAGGTTTGGCATGCACAAACTGGGGAATAATAAGCATTAAAATGGTAAATGCATAACCAGTTTACAAACTCACACGGCATACTTTAAGTTCCCCCTTGAAAAAGAATCCCAGTAATTCCATGGACTTGGAGAAATTCATTGCTACTCTTGATCACTTTGGCTGATGACTTCACTGGTAATTTATTTATTCATTTAACAAGGATTTACCAAGCACAGAGATATTTCGTGTCCAGCTGGTACCCTGGGAATACAACGATGAAGACAGTGAAATTCTTTTCCTCAAAAAGCTCATTTTTTCTATTCCGCAGGTCCACCTTCACACAAGCGGGAGTTTGGAGCTTCTATGCCTGCAGAGTTTCTATCTCCCATAGCTAGCTATGGGAGAGTAAAAAAAAAAAAAAGAATCGATGGAGAGATACGTCCTCCCCATGCCTTCATGGTTTATCAACATCCTCCTTGAAATGCAAATCAAAACCACAATGAGATACCATCTCACACCAGTCAGAATGGCTATTAAAAAGTCAACAAATAACTTATGTTGGTGAGGTTACAGAGAAAACAGAACATTTATAAACTTGATGGGAGTATAAATTAATTTAGCCATTGTGGAAGACAGTGTGACAATTCCTCAAAGAACTAAAAACGGATATACCATTCAACCTAGCAATCCTATTACTGGGTTTATACCCAAAGGCATATAAAATTATTCTGTTATAAAGACACATGTGTGTGTGTATATTCATTGCAGCACCATTCACAATAACAGAGACACAGAATCAACCTAAATTCCTGTCAATGTTAGACTGGATAAAGAAAATGTGGTACATATATACCATGGAATACTATGCAGCCATAAAAAGAACAAGATCATGTCCTTTGCAGGAACATGGATGGAGCTGGAGGCCATTATCCTTAGCAAACTAATTCAGGAACAGAAAACCAAATGCCACATGTTCTCACTTATAAGGGGGAGCGAAATGATGAGAACTCATGAACACAAAGAAGGGAACAACAGATGCTAAGGTCTATCAGAGAGTAGAAGTTGGGAGGAGAGAGAGGATCAGGAAAAATAACTAATGGGTACTAGGCTTTAATACTTGGGTAATGAAATAATCTGTACAACAAACCCCCATGACACAAGCGTACCTACGTAGCAAACCTGTACATGTACCCCTGAACTTAACGTAAAAGTTAAAGAAAATAAGACATAAGTAGAGATAAAATTAACGACAATAATCATAAAGTGAAAACTGAAAGCAAGAAAAATCCAAAATAAAATCATCCTCACCCTCCATGGCTCAAATCAAATGCCAACTCCTTCACAAAGCCTCTCCTAATAAAGCCAAAGTGACCTATATATTGTTTAAGCCAAGGCCCCTCATGTGGGAGTTTCTGTGGTCTTTAATGAATGAACTCTGAAATTATACATGTTCTAAACACTTATATGCCCTGCTAAGTTCCAGGTTGAGGTGAAGTACTGTTTCTGATCTACTTTTACATCTGACAAAGATTTGATTCAAGAATTTTTATATATTAGGTGGTCAATGAACATTTGATGAATAAATGAATTAAAACCACAACTTACACCAATGGCCTTCTCTTTCTTTTATTTCTTCCTTATTTCTATTAAACGTACGTATTTTCAAAATATTGTTTCTGTATACTACCTATGCATTTTCTATCGGTAGAAGTAATATATTCATTGAATACACAGGTTGATAAAATAGTGAAAGAAGAATTAAAAACATCTATAATCTCATCACCCAGAATATAGACACTGTTTGACGTCTTGGCATGTTTTCTTTCAGTCTATGTGTATTCAGGCTTGAAACTAAAGTTCTATCATGCTCTATATAAAGCTTTGTATCCGATCTCAGAGATGGTATTACAACCAGAATGTCAACACCAAAAAAATTTTAGGCTGAATTAATGCAAATTAGAAGAGGAGGCTGTCCTAGAAGATTCTTGGATTAAATCAGAGGATGTGGTTCCATCCATTAATCCCACAATCTACTGATATAATTGGCCTCTTGGGACCTCAGGTGTTTCCTCATCTGTAAAATGGAGGTGGGGAAAATCAATGACTGAGTTCTCATCTCTGATGTAATACAATTTAACTCCATTACATGTGAAGAAGTGGCATGCACTATTATTTGGTGTAGTTACACAGAAATCTCAAGGCTATTAATACAACAACCTCCTTTCCTAAATGATAAAATTGACACTCAAAGAGGAAAGTCCCTGTCAGACTTTAGCTCCAAAATAGTAATATCCAATTCCAAGTCTGTTCATTTTTCTCAGTGCTGGGATGTTTATCAGAACCAAGCTAAGGTGGGGCCATGTCTAGCTACGGGTGATAGGACAAAGCAGGAGAGAGGCTCATCAATGCCAAATCAGCTTCCAAGCCATCTGTGGTGATGTGTTTCTCAACACTAGGATGGATGTTGGTTTGAGAAAGCAAGTGAGGTACAGTCGTTTTCAAAAGGAGCTTACATTCTCATCGAGAAGACAGACTTATCCCACTACCACATGCTGTCCGTGGTGATTTACTAGGCAAGAGCCAATAAGCTTTGCAGGACAGGGCTGATACAAGCTGTCACGGCCAGGTGGAAAAGGTAAAGCCAACAATTAGTGGAAAAGCCGGGAGAGAGCAGGTGGGATGCCAAAACCTGGGAGCATAGCAGGAGCTCAAGGCTGGGGTATGACCAGGTGTAGGGAACTAGAACAGCCAACAGAAGACATCCAAGTCCCAGCCTGACAAATGCCAGAGACCGGCTTCTTTGCCAATCTGAGTTCCAAAACCGGGGAGCGAACAGCCAAGGTGTACTCCCTAGGGTTGAAACATTGCTTTGGGCCAAAGTGCTGGCACTCCTTTTGATGAGTCTGCTCTCCTGAGCCCCCGCACCTGCAACTATCTTCAAGAATGACCTCTAACTCGACATGACCCCCAATTCCAGGACCTGCGTTATAATATGATGGCACTGTAGAATTGGGCTGATTTAGACAGGATGGTTTTAGGTAAGAGACCCCACTTCTCAGCCTCACACCCAACTCTGGTGTATCCACCTCTTCAGGCCCACCTGACAGATTTTAACAAGGTCTGTGGGGAAAGGATAGGACAAAAATTCAAAATCTCATATTTTCTTTTATAAAAGAGTTCATAGGTTAATCTCTAAGTTTCTAAGTATATTTTCAAATATATCACCAGATGGGGTCAGGAAACCAGGTTTGTGGTCACTTCCCTTCTACGGAAGTCAGTTTCTTTCTATATAAAATAAACGAACTAGATTTTGTTAATTTTCATTTATTATTATTTTTTATTTTTCTCTTTGAGACAGGGTCTCACTCTGTCACCTAGGCTGGAGTGCAAGGCTCATTGAAGCCTTGAACTCCTGGGCTCAAGGGATCCTCTCAGCTCACCCTCCCAAGTGGCTGACACTACAGGCCTGTGTCGCTACATCTGGCTTTTTTTTTTTTTTTAATTATTTTTAGTAGACACAAGGTCTTGCTATGTTGTCCACGCTGGTCTCGAACTCCTGGCCTCAAGCAGTCTTTCCACTTTAGAATCCTAGGATTATAGGTGTGAGCCAACATGCCTCAATTTGTTTTTTCTTTTGTTTTGTTTTGTTTTTGTTTGTTTTTTTTTGAGACGGAGTCTCGCTCTTTTGCCCAGGCTGGAGTGCAGTGGCACTATCTCAGCTCACTGTAAGCTCGATCTCCCAGGTTCACACCATTCTCCTGCCTCAGCCTCCCAAGTAGCTGGGACTACAGGTGCCCGCCACCACACCTGGCTAATTTTTGTATTTTTTAGTAGAGATGGGGTTTCACTGTGTTAGCCAGGATGGTCTGGATTTCCTGACCTCGTGATCCGCCTGCCTCAGCCTCCCAAAGTGCTGGGATTACAGGCGTGAGCCACCGCACCCGGCCTCAAATTTCATTTTTTAAAATAAATGTTCATTTGACATAATTTTAGATAAGAAAAGTTACAAAGATAATGCAAAGGATTCCTGTATAATGTTTACGCTGTTCCCCCTAACGTTAACATATAACCATGATACATTTGTCAAAACTATCATCAGACGTTATCAACTAAAACAAACTTTATTCATATTCCACCAAATTTCATTTTGACCCCAATACCATTGTTTAAAACATGAAGATCTTTAATTTATTTTGCTGTTTATTTTTTGATATAACTTTTAAGGGCCTATTTTGGGGTAGAGGAGATCTAGTGGTAATTAATTCATACTTTAGGAAGATGCTCAGGAAAAAATTCTGAAATGGCAAAGAGATGTCAGTCAGAGCTTCTGGTTTAGAGACTGAGGGACAAAGGCCTTCACTTGTAGGGACTAGGGCTGGTTATTGTAGGTAAAAGATGAGGCCGGGCACAGTGGCTCAAGTCTGTAATCCCAGCATTTTGGTAGGCCGAGGCGGGTGGATCACGAGGTCAGGAGATCGAGACCATCCTGGCTAACACGGTGAAACCCCGTCTCTACTAAAAAATACAAAAAAAAAAAGTTAGCCAGGAGTGGTGACGCACATCTGTAGTCCCAGCTCCTCGGGAGGCTGAGGCAGGAGAATTGCTTGAATCCGGGAGGCAAAGGTTGCAGTGAGCCAAGATCACACCACGCACTCCAGCCTGAATGACAGATCGAGACTTCGTCAAAAAAAAAAAAAAAAAAAAAAAAAAAAAAGGAATACATGGAATGGTTTTACATTTTACTCAGATGATTCTAATCTATGCCCACCCACCAAAATGTCTGAGTCTTAAAATATAGCATGGAACCCTTGCTCCTCACGTGCTGAAACACATTATGCATGTACTTGGTAATTCATTCTTTTCAACTTAGTTGTTTTTGCTTTGTATTTTCATTCTTAACAAGGATCTAGTCTGGATTAAGATGGTAAAATGTATGCAAGGAGCCTTTCATTTAAATATGCTCACTGGAGCCTTGCAATAATCACCATAAGATAATCAACCTTATGTTTTTAATCAATTTTGTATTTTCCTTCTTTCTAATTTTCTCATTCATTTAATTTCTTGGGAAATTAAGTATTGGGAATTCTGAAAGTGATTCTCTTCAAGTGATGCTATTTCTAGGGCAACTTAGTTAATATATAAAGATTAACACAATAATTTATTGAAGAATTAGGAAGACTTCTGATAAACACAAAGGCAAAGTAAAAATGTGAGGCATTGTACTGACATTTTATAAATGTTAGCTCTTTTGTTACTCCCAGGTTCCATTATTATTCCCATTCGACAGATGAGGAAACTGAGAATTAGTTTTCTAATTCTCCTAACTCTGACAAGAATAACTTGCCCAAATCACACAGCCATGGCAAACAGAATCAGGAATCTACTTTCCTCAACCTCCACATTGTACAGGGCCCTGTTCTCCCAAAGTTTGCCTACTAGTTATAGAGCCAAGGTTAACCCATACAAGACAATTAGAAAGTCAATAGTGTTGCCATTAAAAAGAATTAAGTGTGACTGTACTCTGGGAACTGTACACAAATTACATGAGTAACATTTTTATTATTGTTAACTGGTGACACCAAAGGCAAGAACTATCATCATTTGTCCCCCTAGTTTTAAACTGGCATATAATTAGTTAATGTTCCCATCTCTTCCTACTCTTTCGGTGGGAATACTAACTCCATATACCAATTATATAAAGAAAGATGAAGGAGATACAGGCAACAGGAAGGGAGGGAGAACCATTTTGCATTTTTCAGAATCTGAATAACAGACAACTTCTAACATTTCAAGACTAGCCTAAAGGCAGAAAGTGCTTCTGGAAAAAAAAAAAAAAAAACTTTCCCAAAGTTTTGTTTTCAAAGAGGTTATAGTTTCTGAAGACAAATCCCACTATCCTTTTTCAATTCATCCTTTATTTCCTTGATAATTTTTTTAAAATAAATACATCTGGACAGTTTACAAAGTCCTCAGAGGCTGAAAAACTAGCTATAACAAGTACTATATTTGACACATTTTTCTTCAGGCTAAGTTAATTCATTTAAGGTTTTAATGTTTAAATAAACTGCTGCCCAATCAATAATCTACAAAATCATTCACTCAGGGAGAGGTCTTCAATCATTTTGCCCCACTTAAGGCTGATTTGTATGACAAATGAACACATTTTATTATATTCCTCAGTCTGTTCCATGCACTCCTAAAACAGTGGTGTGTAAATTTTCAAAGAAACTAAGGCACCCCTCTTAATATTGTGTCACAGCAGTACTTAGTACAACCAAAACACTAAATATGGTCTGAGAATGTGACAAGGAGCACACATCAGAGAAGCATCCTTCGTTTCCTGTTCACCACAGGAAAAGCAGCAGGGTGACCAGGCAGGAAGACATTGAGCTTGCTGCACTGACACAGTGGAAACTCCAGCCACTGACACAGTTGAAACTCCAGTTTTGCTAATTGCTTAATGTGAGACTTCAGGCAAGTAGCTTAATCTCTCTGTACCCATCTCTTTATCTATAAAAAAGATAATAATAGAACAGCTACTTCATAAGGTTGTTGTACAGTTCATATACAAATGTTAGCCATTATTATTTATCATAGAGTTGCAGAAAAAAGTGTAAATCAAGTGTATCCTTAAAAATTATATCTAGGCTCAATAATATCTCAGCTAAATGCTATGCGAGTTGCCTCAGGGTAAACTGCACAGCCCCCTCCTGAAACAGCTCTGCAAACCACCTTCTTGCTTTCTTGTAGAGCAGAGGGTCATTACCATTGTAGGTCACGGCCATCTGCAAATTCAAAATTATACTCTGTAATGAAATCAAATTTTGTATCTTTCTGGTTATGAACAATTATTATAAAACCATCCATGATCCCATGACATATTATAGTGGGGAAGAGATAGTTCATTAAAAACATTTACAGGCAAAAAATCAAACCATCCCTTTAAAACTTGGGCAAAAGACATGAACAGACACTTTCCAAAAGATGACATATACATTGCCAAAAGCCTATGAAAAAATACTCAACATCACTAATTATTAGAGAAATCCAAATCAAAACCACAATGAAATGCCATCTCACACCAGTCAGAATTGCTATTTTTAAAAAGTCAAAAAAATAACAGACACTGGCAAGGTTGTGGAGAAAAAGGGAACATTTATATACTAATGGGAGTGTAAATTAGCTTAGCCTTTGTGGAAGACAGTGTGGCAATTCCTCAAAGAACTTAAAACAGAAATACCATTCATCCCAGCATTCCTATTATTGGGTATATATCCAAAGGAATATAAATCATTCTTATTGTAAAGACACACGCATGTGTGTGTTTACCACAGCACTATACACAATAGCAAAAACATGGAGTCATCCTAAATGCCCATCAATGTTAGACTGGATAAAGAAAATGTGGTACATATACACCATGGAATACTATGCAGTCATAAGAAAGAATGACTTTATGTCCTTCGCAGCAACATAGATGCAGCCAGAGGCCATTATTCTAAGCAAACTAACACAGGAACAGAAAACCAAATACAACATGTTCTCACATGTAAGTTGGAGCTAAAAAACAAGAACATGTGGACTCTAGGAGGAAAACAACAGACACTGAAGCCCACTTGAGGGTGGAGGGAAGAAGGGAAAGGATCAGAAAAACTACCTATTGGGTACTATGATTATCTGTGTGATGAAATTATTTGTACACTGTACCCTCATGACACACAGTTTACCTATCTAACAAACCGGCACATGTACCCATGGACCTAAAATAAAAGGTTTTTTTTTTAAATAAACAGATAAACATATAAAGATGTCTTAGGATGAAAGGAGTCCTGTTTTACACAGAAATCACTTACAGCCTCTCCAACAAAGTGGCTTTAGAGCAGAGGCCAGAAATTAGTAAGGGAAGAATCTTAGCAGAGGCAAAAACAAGTTCAAAAGCCTTAAGAGAGGGACGTGTCTGCTAAGTCTGAGGAATGACAGGGAGTCTAAAATAGCAAGGAATCTAGTCTAGGACCTTGGGCAAGAGGGAGAGTGGGGGAAATGGGGTCAGAGAGAGGTGAGACCTGGCCTTATAGGGGCTTGTAGGCTACACTGAAGGCTTTGTATTTTACACTGGGTTTGAGCAGGGAGTTGACTGATCTTTTAGAAAGTCATTAACTACTGGTGGAGAAAAGATCACTGGGGCTCACTGGCAAAAATCAACAGAGGGAATGTGGAGAAAGTGGCCACATCAAGTCACCTATGACTTATCTGTGACTATACAGTCATACCATAATGGTGACTTAGGTTGTGGTGGCAATGATGGAAGTGGAGAGAACTGTTAGATTCAGAATATATTTCAAAGAGAGTCAAAGGATGTTGTGACAGACTAGATATGTGTGTGTGTGTGTGTGTGTGTGTTTGTGTGTTAAAGGACTGTGAGATAAATAGAGCAGGCAGTTTTTGCTCAAAGCTTTTGTAACATTCAATGAGATAGGGCTGCTACATGCAGAGTTTCTCAGCCATCTTTCATCACCAAGACTAGTTAGTGTGCTATCTTTGTGCCATTTTTTTTCTCAAAGGAATAATAGTATCAAGTAATCACTTCACAAGAGCTTCTAGTTTGTATACAGAATATTGAAACCGTGTTGAGAGCTTGGCTGTATTCATTTACTAAGGGATCGGTGATTGAACATAGCATTCATGTCTGCTAAGTGTTGGGTACTGTCCTAGGTGCTGAAGAGGCAGTTATTAAATATGACCTCTCTGCACAGGTAATTCAAAACTGAATCTTAGCAAAATTTACAATTACTCCATGCCAGGGCCGCCTTTGGTGTTGGCTGAGAGTAGTTAAAAACGCAAAAATTAAGTGTAGAGTTGCAAATAATCCACCTATATATGGTTCCCCGAGGACCCCTGTAATTTCACTGTTCTGTGACTTTGCACATTCTGGCACTGCCTCCCTATCTGTATAGAAAATCCTGGTCAGTTTTAAACTCAACCGGCTCAACTCAATCAACTCCTAGGAAACCTGTCCTGAATTTCCTTGTCCACAGCAGGATTGAGTCACACTTTGTGACCTGTTCCGTTTTAGCACTTATCACTCTCTATTGCAATTATTAGTTTGCATATCTGTATTCGCTGATAGAGTGTAAACATCATCAGAACAAACACGTCTTAGTTTTTGTGTTTGGAGTGCCTAGAACAGGATCTTATATGTAATAACACTCAATAAATAGATGTTTTAAAAATAAATGAACCAACGAATCGGGATGCCCCCCCCTTTAATTCCATGATTGATTCCTAGAAGCCAGATACTATAATTTATACCTCTAAAACACTTATGTCATCTAGAACAGAGCAACTATTTTATATTTACTACTTAAACTTCCACCCAAGTAGCATCTCACATACTTCCATCTGTTCAGAATTAAAAATATGATCGAAGATGAGATCTGGCATGTTCACGGTGGTATGGCCATAGACATAAGTCATAGTAACAAAAACAGCGTGGTACTGGTACCAAAACAGATACATAGACCAATGGAACAGAACAGAGGCCTCAGAAATAACACCACAAATCTACAACCATCTGATCTTTGACAAAGCCTGACAAAAACAAGAAATGGGGGAAGGATTCCTTACTTAATAAATGGTGTTGGGAAAACTGGCTAGCCATATGCAGAAAGCTGAAACTGGATCCCTTCCTTACACCTTATACAAAAATTAACTCAAGATGGATTAAAGACTTAAATGTTAGACCTAAAACCATAAAACCCCTAGAAGAAAACCTAGGCAATACCATTCAGGACATAGGCATGGGCAAAGACTTCATGACTAAAACATCAAAAGCAATGGCAACAAAAGCCAAAATAGACAAATCAGATCTAATTAAACTAAGGAGCTTCTGCACAGCAAAAGAAACTATCATCAGAGTGAATAGGCAACATACAGAATGGGAGAAAAATTTTGCAATCTATCCATCTGACAAAGGGCTAATATCCAGAATCTACAAAAAACTTAAATTTACAAGAAAAAAACAATCCTATCAAAAAGTGGGCGAAGGACATGAACAGACACTTCTCAAAAGAAGACATTTATGCAGCCAACAGACACATGAAAAAATGCTCATCATCACTGGTCATTAGACAAATGCAAATCAAAACCACAATGAGATACCATCTCACGCCAGTTAAAATGGCAATCATTAAAAGCTCAGGAAACAATAGATGCTGGAGAGGATGTGGAGAAATAGGAATGCTTTTACACTGTTCGTGGGAGTGTAAATTAGTTCAACCATTGTGGAACACAGTGTGGCGATTCCTCAAGGATCTAGAGCCAGAAATACCATTTGACCCAGCAATCCCATTACTGGGTATATACTCAAAGGATTATAAATCATTTTACTATAAAGACACTAGCACACATATGTTTACTGTAGCACTATTTACAATAGCAAAGACTTGGAGCCAACCCAAATGCCCATCAATGGTAGACTGGATAAATAAAATGTGGCACTTATACACCATGGAATACTATGCAGCCATAAAAAAGGATGAGTTCATGTCCTTTGCAGGGACAGGGATGAAGCTGGAAACCATCATTCTCAGCAAACTAACACAGGAACAGAAAACCAAATATCATATGTTCTCAATCATACATGGGAGGTAAACAATGAGAACGCATGGACACAGAGAGGGGAACATCACACACCAGTCTGTTGGAGGTGGGGGGCTAGGGGAGGGACAGCATTAGAAGAAATACCTAATGTAGATGACAGGTTGATGGGTGCAGCAAACCACCATGGCACATGTATACTTATGTAATGAACCTGCATGTTCTGCACGTGTACCCCAGAACTTAAAGTGTAATTAAAGAAAATTCTTTTAAACAATAAAAATTGTACAAACTTAAAAACCAAAAAAAAAGTAAAATGAAAAGTAAAAATATGACCTTGAGAAGGAGATTTTTGAGTATTCATTATTCCTTGAATAGGACTCAAGCGCTGGTATTTTCTAAATTGAAGAATCTGAGAAGAAACTTATTTTTCTCTAATCATAAAAATCTTTTTTGCAGCAGTGAAAAAAAAAAATGGAGTCAACCCGTGAAATTCAGGCATCACATAAAGCTAGTTATGCCTGGAGAAGAGTAGTTCTGTGTTATTAAATAAGAATAGAAGAGAATTTTTTGAAAGAAAATTAAAAAGTAGGTTTCAGATATTATGCTTTATTTTTTGAGTCTGGATATTTGTGTGATATTAACATTAAACATCTTTTAAAATGTGATACTGAACATTGAACACATACACACACACACACACACACACACACACACACACACACACACACACGGGATTCCTGAAAAGGTGCCAATTTGAGGACATGTGTCTGACTCACTTCCATTATCATCTTTGAAATGACAAATATAATATGAAAATGAGGAAAATCCTGTATAAAATTACACACTGAGAAAAGAGGACATCAAAAACTCTGCAGACTTTTTGGTTGATAGCACTCGGGTGGGTGGCACGTAAGGAAGGCTGTTTCTCGGGTAAATTTTAAGTAAATTTCATTGCAGTATAACCATGCCCATTTGTTTGTTTATAGATTCTTTCTCTCTAAAACATCAGACGTGAGTAGTTTTGACAGAGATATCTTCTGAAAGACTTAAAATACTTACTATCTTGGTCTTTATTTAAAATGTTTGGAGACCACTGATCTATTCCTAAACTTCTCCATCTGGGAAGGAACAGCTCACCTAGGAAATAAGATGAAGACATCCACTAGGGAAGGATGAGGGCTGGAGGTGAGGGCAGGCCGAAGGACAGGTAGGAATGTGACTCCCACCATTGCCCTTGCAAGCATAAAAACACCCAGTGGCTATCCCAAGGAGGTAAATCACAGCTGTGTGACCCTGATCCATCTTTCATGCTGTGGGCCTCACTAGGCAAAGAGACGGAGTAGTAGCTAGGTCATACATGTTTGCCATAAATAATCATTAATTTTTCAGCCTAGAGGCACAACGCCCTGATACAGACTCTGAATTTGGCATCCTCCCTACACCCCCAGGCTACTGCAAATCCACATTGGCAAAGGAAAAAAAAAGAGAAAAATAAACTTCTTTTGGCTAGAATATTTGAAATAGAACATGCACAGAATCTGAGAAGACTCATGTTGGACTCCAATGCTAGAAAAGCATAAAACTCCTTTGGAAAAGGCAAGCAGGGGGAGAAAAATCAGCAGAAACAGACATTTCTGCAGCTTACAAAATGAGAAACACTGAGAAATCAGAGCCAGTACCTTCCTATGAAAATTACTTAAAGAAAAAAATCCAGCAACTTTCTAACTATGTTCTCAATGTATTTCAACAGGTAATTGTGTTTATAAAACTAGAACAGGTAGTCATAAAGAGAGAAGGAAAAACTGCATTAAAGTGGAAATATCATTGCTAAATTAGAAACTGCAATCAAGGCAGTAAATGGTGTTATCACAGAAGGAAACCCCGGCATCCCAAAAGACAAAGACCCTGCTGACTTGCAGAAGGTTTAAGATGTTAGAAACCTCAAGGTATATGGAAACAGTGATGGGGGCCGACACATTCCATTTGACACTTGATACTCTATTTTTTTTTTTCATACCTTGCCTTATGAAGTACTTGCCAAACAGCACTCCAGAAGACCCAGAGTGATCTGAGTTCTTCCGACGTTTAGTATCAATACCTCTAATTATATTAACGCATATAAAATATGTAATAAGTGCCACATTTTAATGAATCCAATATATCATGGGTGGGAAGGTATATTAGCCCATTTTCACACTGCTGTGAAGAACTACCTGAGACTTTATAAAGAAAAGAGGTTTAATTGAGAACACATGGACACAGAGAGGGGCACGACACACACCAGGGCCTGTTGGGGGTTGGGGGTGAGGGGAGGGAACTTAGAGGACAGGTCAATAGGTGCAGCAAACCACCATGGCACACATGTACCTATGTAACAAACCTGCACGTTCTGCACATGCATCCCATTTTTTCAGAAGAAATAAAAAGAAAAGAGTTTTAACTTATAAAGAAAAGAAGTGTGATTGACTCACAGTTCTGCAGGCTTCACAGGAATCATGGCTGGAAGGCCTCAGGAAACTTACAATCATGGCGGAAGGGGAAGGAAGCACGTCTTACCACGGTGGAGCAGGAGAGAGTGAGCAAGGGGGGAAGTGCCACACACTTTCAAACAACCAGATCTCATGAGAACGAACTCACCATCAGGAGAACAGCAAGGGGGAACTCTGCCCCCAGGGCTCAATCACTGCCCACCAGGCCCCTCCCCGACACGTGGGAATTACAACTCAAGATAAGATATGGGTGGGGACACAGAGCTAAGCCATATAAGAAGCGAAGTGCATTATTAAAGGGACTCTGATTCTGGCCCAACTATATCCTAGTCGAGTGGTTCCTAAAGTAGGGTCTCCAGATTAGCAACAGCAGCACCTGTGAAGCTGTTAGAAATGCAAATTACAGAGCCTTACCTCAGACCCTCTAAGTCAGAAACTCCGAAGAGGGGGGAACCCACATTTTGTTTGAAGAAGCTCTCCAGGTGATTCTGATGTACACTAAAGTTGGAAGACCACTGGAATCATCATCTCACACACACACACACACACACACACACACACACACACATGCACACAATAGATTAAGGCCGTGGTTCTTAATCTTGGCTGCATATTAACATGGCCTGGGAAGCATTAAGTATCTTTTATGCATTCTGGACCCCAGAATAATAATTAAATCTGAATTGCTGCGAGTGAAATTCAGGTGATTCCAATGTGTAACC
Source organism: Homo sapiens (assembly GCF_000001405.40). NCBI lineage: Eukaryota > Metazoa > Chordata > Mammalia > Primates > Hominidae > Homo > Homo sapiens. The sequence continues at coordinate 61,589,732 of NC_000015.10, forward strand.
AAGTTTAAGAACTACTGTTTCATAAGACAAAAGGAAATCCAGAGTCTAAGTAATGGCTCCATGGTAAGAAATGGAAAAACTGAAGAACGTATTAATAGAAATGAGAAACAAATCCAAACAATAAACTGTCGTAAATTAGGACTTGGACTGCTGAAGAAATACAAAGAGATAGCTATACGCTTACCTTACCCAGGGAGCAAATGGAGAGGAAATTGGGCTGAGACAGGCTTTAAACGTCTGAACCGTATGTTGTGGTGCCCAGTGGAGCACACCTGAAAACGATGAAGAGAAGACGAAATGAACAACAGATCCAGGGCAGGTAATACATCTGTGGTTTCCAAATTTTCCTGCATATTGGAATCAGCTGAGGAGCCTTAAACACTCCCAAAGCCTGTGCTCGTCTGATTTAATTAGACTGGGTGTGACCCTGGCTTATGAAGGTTTAAAAGATTCCCCAGGTGAATCTAACGTGTAAACAAGCTTGGGAACCTCTACAATATACGTAGAATAACCATTTCAGAAGAATTCCAAGCAAACAGGAGAGGAGCAAAACTAAAAAAAAAATAGAAGAAAATGTTCCTGAGATGAAGGAAAATTTGTGCCTCAATGTAAAAAGAACTCACTGGTGTTTAGATAGACCCAGTTAAAACAGATCAACTTTCAGACCCAGCCCTGTACATTGCTGAATTTTAAGGACAAAGAAAATATCACAGAAGAATACAGGAAGGAAAAGAAAATCAGGTTAATACACAAACACACAAAGATAAAGGAGCGATGTCTAGACAGTGCTGACCATAAATAGTAATAAACAGTAACCTGAGCACAATCACCAAATTCTCACTCATGTGCAAAGACAAGCAATGATACTAACTTCAGGTACTATCAGAATAAGAAGAGAATTAACAAGGGAAAATGAAAAATGAGAAGTTAAGAGTGGAGACGCTTTGTACTTTTGTTACTGGCATATTTCACTTAGCACACTGTCATCAAGGTTCATACACATTGTAGCATGTAACAGAATTTCCTTCCTATTTAAGGCTAAAGAAAATTTCAGTGGCGTATTTTATATATACCACTTATATGAGGTACCTAGAGTAGTCAAATTCATAGTAACAAAAAGTTGAATGGTGGCCGCCAGGGGCTGGGGCTGGGGCAGGGGAAATGGGGAGCTAGCGTTTCATGGGTAGAGAGGTTCCAGTTTTACAAGATGAATGCGATAGGGATGGTGGTGCTGGTTGCACGATAATGTGAATGTACCTAATGCCTCTGAAGTGTACATTTGAAAAAGGTTAAGATGGTGAACTTTATGTTATATGTATTTTACCAGGATTTTAAAAATAATTTATTAAAAAAATAGGTGAACTTTGATGCAAAAGATTCGGTGGTGAGTGATGCAACCACTAAACCAATGGGTTCTCAAATGTGGCTGCACACTGGAAGCTTGTAAGAGTACCATGGCCCTGTTACTACTCCCAGATATACTGATTTAATTGGTTAGAGTAGGCCCCCAAAAGTATTTTTAAGCAGTTCCCCAGGTGATTCTAATGTGTAGCTATGGTTGAGAATTGCTGTACTAAAACACAGTTAATTAAATAATGATTACTAATAACAGTTATTGAAAAAATATGTCAAATGAAAATAATAACCCACCTGTAAACTTCCGTATTATATTTACTCTGTCCTTCCATGAAAAATAAGTCAGTGTATTATTGCACAGCCTGAACAGCTCTGCCTAGGGAGATTCTCAGAGCCCCAACATCCTCTGAGCAACAACCCGGGCGTGTGCATGCACACATCCCTCAGAAGTTAGGGTTGACCCCCAGGTGAGGTTCAGAGTCCATCTGAATTAGAGATGCGGGGAAGCAGGGAAGTGCTGGGACTCAGGGGAGAGACTGGGAATCTCCTGATGCCATCTGTGCTTTCATTTGAATTAGCCTCAATGTGTGATGGGAATAGTGCCCTTATATGTGCCAACCTTGTATAATGTCTCGACTCCACTACAGCATGCCTGAGAGGGGTAGGGGCAAAAGTCGATAAATAATAGATATTTCATCAGAGGGGCTCACTGATTTAATTAAGATATGTAAGAGAGAACAAGAAGAGTGATAACATATACATGCAATTCCTTTTCTTTCTGTTTTCAATTTTGAAAATAGGGGAAAAAATATCTGTGGTGGTCAATTTACCTAGCACATGTAACCAGGCAAAAGTGTAAACCAGGGTTTCTCAACCGTGGCACTACTGGAACATTGTGCCAGACAATTCCTTATTGTAGGGAGCTATCCTGAGTATTGCAGGGTGTTTAGCAGTATCCCTGCCCTCTACCCACGCGATGCAGCAGCACTTCCTCTCCTCAGTTGTGGCGACCAAAAACGTCTCAAGACATTGCCAAATGTCCCCTGTGGGGTGGAGGGCAAAATGGCCCCTAGTGGAGAACCACTGGGGTAAACTAAATGTAAGTGTTTTCAAAGAAAAATCAGAGATTAATTTTCATCCGCTTAAGTTTGTATAAAATACGATGTATTTTTACATTTCATTCTTGACATTTTTAATTAGAGACAGAAATTAGTTCAAATACATTCTGGAACAATGTAAAGGTAAGTACTAATCGAAAGAAAACAGACTTTACATCATCACAACCACTTAAATTAAAAAAGGAGAAAAAAACCCAAAGTCCATCTGTCAAATGACATAAAGCATAAAAAGCAGAAAGTTAAAACAAGGTGACAGAAGACAAGCATAGCTAGAGAAAATAAATGTGGATGGAATAAACTTCTGCTAGAAGATGAATAACTGCAAATTAGGATAAACTCACAAATTCTGCTGTTCATAAAAAAGGTACAATTAAAGGGCAATAGAAAACATACTTGGCAAAAGCAGACCAATAGGAAAGAGGAGCAGTGCTATTCTCAAAGTTGAAGTTAAAGCTTACAGCTTGACAGAGCCAAAAGTTTACTCTATAGTTCTATAATTAATAAAGTTAAAATAGGCTTGAACTCAGAAGACAGTAGAATAATAAGCTATTGTTATTTTCTTCTTTATACATTGATGTAATTTCTAATTTAAGTTCCTTGAAGGCAGCAGCTGTATTTTATTTATCAATGTATTCCCAATGCCACTGTGCCTGCCAAGGAAATCACCCTCATTTATAAATGTTGGATAAGTGAATGTGTTTACATGATCTATGGACCCTAGTAGAGTTAAATGATTCATTGCCAGGGTCTCCATTTCCTCCTCTATACAATGAGGAGTCTTTGCTCTCCCATCTCTATAATGATATTTTTATCCCCTACCCCTTTTTTTAAACACCAGTTGCCAACATTATGCCTCAAAATTAGCATTAAGCTTATAGGACATGCGGACAGTAAGGATCTCCCACATTAAGCAGTTTATATTGAGAAACTAGTTATTAATTCAAAATGCTATAAGACCCATATTCAACAGAACGATAAGGTAACGTTGCTATGAGAACAGTCATGTCAGATGGGATTACATTTTGACAGCTCTTTTCAGCCTCATATCTTTCACAGAGAATATTGCCTTGAAATGGTAGTCAAAGCTATAAGCTCTTTGAGATTAGTGACACTGTGTTTTCCATTTTGGTATCCCCTTGCCTGGCTCATAGTAGGTGCTCAGTAAATGGGCATTGATGGTGAATTAAATAAAGACCCATCTTGTTAGTTCTTGGATGGGGCCCTTAAAATGTCATTCCTTTCTTCTACATTTCTCAACAGCTTTGAAGAGGGTGTTTAAAAAATATAACCTGCTGGGTGTGGTGGCTCACACCTGTAATCCCAGCACTTTGGGAGGCCGAGGCGGGCAGATCACGAGGTCAGGAGTTCAAGACCAGCCTGATCAACATGGTGAAGCCCCCGTCTCTCCTAAAAATACAAAAATTAGCGAGGCATGGTGGCATGCACCGGTAATCCCAGCTATTCAGGAGGTTGAGGCAAGAGAATCGCTTGAACCCGGGAGGCAGAGGTTGCAGTGAGCCGAGATCGCGCCACTGTACTCCAGCCTGGGTGACAGAGCAAGACTCTGTCTCAGAGAAAAACAAACAAACAAACAATAAAACCATATAACCTAGACGTGGGAAAACAAGACTGTGAGTATATGCAATAGTTATAATGGTGCCACCCAACTTATCACCACTCAGCTAGGATTACTGCACAGAGGATACTATAGGAAATTAAATCAAGACTCACTTCCAGCAACAGACTGAGGTGTGCACCCATCTCTCCCCCACCTTTACTGTTCCCGCCCCTCCAAATTAAGTAAAGCAAAATAAAAAGTTTCAGTCTAACAAGGTCTTATTTAATGTTCCAGACTGCCTCAAAGCCATATTGATCAAGTTTCAATTTGAAGCTGGAGCCTGCAGCAACAAGTGAGATCAATAAGAGGCCTTTATTTGAATATCTCATCTGCTAAAAAAAAAAAAAAAAAAAAGCAAAGCAAAACAAAAAAAAGATTCTAACGCTATAAAAACACTAGGCTGACGAGAAAGCCAGATTTTTTCCAAAAAAATAAACTACTCTAAAAAAGATACAACCAAATATTTACGCTTGTGATAGACTTAAACATTTTTTAAAGGAGAAGAAAATATATTTTTAGGTACAAAAAAAGAAAATCACTAAGACTTGCCTAAAGCCCTTACTAATTTAGTTGCAAGGTTTACTTCTGTGTTTCTATGTTTTTTGTTTTTTCTTCATGTAACTGTAAAACTACTTTGTGTGGATGCTGAATGTAACTTTTTACATTTACTCAATTGGTGAGTGCCCATTTTGTGCCCAGCATTGTGCAGAGTGCTAAGAAGGATCTCAAAGAAATGTATGACATTGCCCAAGAGTGTACAATCCAGTGTGCAAAACAGATCATCAAAAAAGACATACGTTGCATTAAATAAGTCTAAATAAGTGATCCTAATAAGGACTTTAGGAAGCCAATGAAGGGAAGGAATAGTTTAAATTTAAATAATGAGATGTGAAGACAGATGTCTGCCACTTACTGTTTCCTTAAACAAGTTTCCAATCTCTTTGTTTGTCTGTTTCTTCATTTGTATAACAAGAAAAGTGATACATCTACATCACAGGGCTGTTGGGAAGAGATATAGGTGTCAAGAACATTGACTACTGGCTATTAGAGTTAAAGAAGGGGGATTTCTGTGCATTGAAACAAGCCGAAAGACATGGTAGAGGAGATATGGCCTGAATGGAGGCAAAATTGACTAGGTGGAGAGGGGGTGAGCTTGGACAAGTTATTTGCGTTTTCTGGGTCTCAGTTTCCTTAGGAAGATAATACATGTCATGCCTTCAGCACACAGCCTGGTTATTCATTGCTGTGAAACAAATGACCTCAGAATTTAGTCGCTTAAAACAACATTGATTTTGCTCTCTAGCTGCAATTTGGGCAGGGCTTAGTAGGGACAGCTGTCTCTCTTCCACTTGACATCAACTGGGGCAGCTTAAGGCCTAGGGGCTGGAATCATGAGAAGGCTCCCTCACTCCCGTGTCTGGTGGCTGATGCTGGCTGGACCCTAGCTGGAGCTGTCAGCTGGACCACCTCCATGTGTCCTCTCTACATGGCTCTATACTTCCTCACAATTGATGGCTGGACTCCAAAGGGAAACATTCAGAGTAGCTGCATCCTATTTTATGACCTAGCCTTAGAAGGCACATAATATCACTTCCCCATACTGCATTGGTTAGAGCCTATGCAGATTCACCAGGAGAGGAAATTGACTTCATCTCTGAAAGGGGAGTGTCAAGGATATAGAAGAACATGTAGCACTGGAAATAATACTGTAGCCATTTTTGGAAAATATAATCTGACACAGTATGCTTTCTAAAACCTTTACAGTTAGTAGTAGTAGTAGTAGTAGTAGTAGTAGTAGTAGTAGTAGTAGTAGTAGTAGTAGTAATATTGGAAAGGAGAAGCTTGATGCAAGATAGCAAAAGTTAGCAAAGGATTCCACAAATGTGCATTAATTATGGGCATAAATGTAAATAAGACATAGTTCCTACCCTCAAGGAACTTATGATCAAACAAACAATTATAACTCCATATGTTAAATTCTAGAATGTAGAACATGAAAAACTTTGTAGCAAATAAAATAAAATTACTCAGAGATGGGGAAGCCTCAGTGATGCAGTGCCCACCATAGGATTCAGGTTTTGTGGGGCCTGAAGTTTATACAATTTGAGTCTCCTGTTTAAGAAAAAAAAATATGAAATTACAAATGCAAAATCAGGCACAGCACCTTCTAAGGTGCCTGTGAAAGTGAGGACCCTTGACACTTAAGCTATAGCATCACAGAAAATCCACTCTGACGAGGCTTAAACCAGAGAGGGAAGGAAGTGAGGCTGAGAGGAAACTGACAGATTCAGAGAAAAGGGAAAGATCAAGGGACAGAGGGTCTTAATAAGGTCAAGGAGCTCAAAATAGGGAAAGACAGTAAGACAGTGGAAGGATGGGCCGCATCTTTGCAGAGGAAGGCAGTGGTGGGAAACAACTTATTTATAGTTGGGTTGGGTTTGGAGAGCCTATAGGATGGGAAAGGAATTGGGATTTTACGTCGTGAGCAACTGAAATTCACTGGAAGATGACGAAAATGAGAGTGAAACGATTTATGAAGTTTAATAGGCAGAAAGAATTGAAGAAAGGAAATGCTAGTCATCAACAATTTTTTGATGCTTTCAACCTACTTGTCAATGTCCCAGACCAGATAATTGGCATTTAGCCTTATTGTTTCTGCTAAACATATCACTGGATCATTTACAATAGCTATAAATGGTATATCAGAGTATTTTAAAACATGGGCATTTGTTAGGTATATTTTTGGCATATTCATTCTTTGGGACATTATGATGTAATTATTAAAATCATATTTATGAAAAGTCTTTACAAACAGAAAATACTTAAAATTTCAAGAAAAAGGATAAAAAAATTGTGTGTTATATATTTACCTAATTATACTTATGAATATATATGTACTTATGTAATATACTTCAGTACAGAGAAAACTACTGTAAGAATGTACCCCAAAGTGTAACAGTAATATCCTTGATTGGCATGTGGTGAATTTCTTTTTACTTTTTTGTTTTTATGTGTTTTCAATAATGTGTGTGTATTGATTTAATAATTGGGTAAAAAAAATTCATTTAAAACCTCATGCTCATTTTTCAAGGTCCATCCCCAAATACCACCTCCTTAGGAAGACTTCCGTGATGCCCGATCCCTCTCCTCCCTCCCAGATACCCCAGACTAGAGATGCATATTGTTTCCTCCAAAATCCATTAGAACTGCTTATGTTTCTCTTGCCCCATATTCATACTCAGTATTCTGTGCTATCTTCTCTAGTACCCACCAAAGAACATAAATCCCATGACAGGGAACTCCTGCTGCAACCCCATTTCAATGCCTTCAACATAGTGGGTGTTAAGTCCTTATGGAATTGAAATGGGTTCAGACTATGTTGGCAATTGCGAGAAACAGTGTCCAAGTTATTCAAGCGATAAGACTAAGTAACAGTAACGGTTCCATAAAAAGGAAAGTGCAGACAATTTCCAAGTGACCAGTGAGCATTCCATGTAAATCATGGAATAATTTACGTGATATCAATAATAATACCTTGGTATCTAGCATCTCATTTGACCTTTCCCGGAGCTCTGTGAGGATATTTTTATCCACTGCAGATGGGGTTATTTGTGTAGTGATAGAAATTCCTACCATATGGAATTGTTCTAAGATTAAATGAGATTGTATATGTGCTTGTGTGCCTGGCACTGAATAGGTGAATAAACAGTAACAGTTTTATTATTTTCTGTGATTTGTCACAGAGCTTAGCAAAGTGCTAAGACGGGAGCTGTTTAGCCCTCTCTCTTACTTTTCTACTATACCACAATAGCAGACCTAGAAAGCAACCATCTTTCTTCTCTCCTAAGGATTCCTGGTGCTTATCTGTCCCTGCAGTTGACAAGGGTGAACAGCCTCTTGAAATCTTGGGCTTTTTAATCCAATGATTCAGTCACAACTTCAGTGACCCTGATCACCATTATGGTTCCAGAAAAGACAATTAAACATTTTGAAATCTGAAGAATATTATCATATATTTAGTGTCACCAGGCCACAAACTTTCCAATGAAAGATGCCATTCTTTCTAAAATGAATGCATCTCTCATGGCCATTATCCTGATGATAATAGTATTCACTTACTGAAAGTCGATTATGTATTCTACCAGGTAACCTGCATAGGTTAGCTCCATTTAATTATTACAGAAGCCCTATGAGGTACACATTATCATCTCTATTCTTCACCTGCATTTATTGAGGCTCAGGGAGGTCAAGGAAATTGTTCAAAGTTTCCAAGCTAGTAGATGGCAGATCTAGGTCTTTCTGGCTGCAAATACCATGCTTGTTTCACGTTTCCGTATAGGAGGTAATCAATACATGCATTATAATAATGAAAGAACTATAGGAATATGTTACTATAGTAATGACCTGTATAAATATACAGTTGTGACCTTCATGTCATCACTGATTTTGCCATCTTCAGGTAGGGAGGTAGCTGGGTAGATGAGAGAACAGGAGAAAAGGGTAAAATACGGTCTTGTTCCATCAAAACTGTTCTATTTATTCATTTCCTACCAAAGAGTCAAAAATAAACATCAAAAAAACAGCAACCCCATAATCAATCCAAGTCTAGTTTAACCCAGTTCCTCCCCAGGCCCTCTATGTGGAGGATGCCCATCACCAGTTTTTTTTTTTTTTTTTTTTTTTTTTAGACCTTGACCTTCCATTTTCCTCCCTTTCCTGGTTGTTCTGCCTGTGCCCTCCTGGCACATCAGCAGTCACTGCAGGCACATCGACAAAAGGTGAGTAAACACACTTAGAATGAACAAGAAGCCAAGGGGACAAGGTCAGGAGCTGTGTATCAGTACTGTCAGCCTCCCCTCGCCCCTGCCGCCATCAGCCTTGAGGCAACAGGAACAAAAATGGGAACTGCTGAAGGGGAGAAGAAGTCTGTGGCATTCAGTGGCTCAGTTTGGCTGGATGACGTGGCGGTCCGTTCTCTTTTAAGAGGTAGCAGGCAGAATAATCGCACTGCTCCCCAAAGCTGAAAGTTTGGGTTTTCTCCTTTCGTGCAAGCTGCAATGCTGTTTCTACCACCTGCCAAGGGCCAGCTGCCAGCTCCTTTGGGAGGCATTGTTTCGTTGCAGAGAAGGGGTGGGGGGAAGACGGTGCAACTCTCGCTTTTTTCTTTCAGGAGAGCATTTTGTTCCTTCGGCTGTCAGGAAGCCTTTGTACAGACAGGTCTTTATTCCCAGGGCAGAAGAACTGGAGACAAGTATTAGACATTTGCCAATTTTTGATCACTTTCCTCACACATTATACTTTGTTCTCTTGAAATTTGTTTAGACCATGTCTTTTTTCCTGAAAAGCTTTGAGACCTTCCCCAAAATAAGGTTTATCTACAATTAGTATATAAAATAGGAACAGAGAGGAGGAAGCCCAAGTCAAGCAAAGTAGAAGCAGTAAATATTTTAATTTTGTACTGGTATAAATTTAAGGGGTAGGAGTACAATTTTGTTACATGGATATTTTGTGTAGTGGTGAAATCTGGGCTTTTGGTGTATCCATCATCTGAATTTTGTACTTTGTACTTGTTACTTTAAATGTAAAGATAAGCATTGCTGCTGTGATTAAGCTTTAAAATTTGTCTTACTTTCTTGCCAGCTGGAGCGGGAAAGGAAATATGACATTATGTAACTGTCCAACCAGGCATCAAAGAAGAGTTTGGTGTTAAATGGCCAGTTTGGGCATTTGGCTACCCCGGCCTTAAAATGTTCAGGTTACAGCCATTCAGGACATGCTGTGCAGAGCAAAACTCTGTAACTCTGGTGAGCCATTTGTATAAGCATTAGAGAGAATAGACTCAATTATTTTTTATGGAATATCTTGGCCCAGCCAAAGAACAGGTGGACAATCTTCTGTTTGGGATAGTCAGTTCTCTTAAAAGGATATTAATTCCACCTCCTTTGGAGTTGGCTGTTACAGCAAGTGGCATCATCTTTAACTGGCAACATACACTAGCTATACCCTTGATATTCGATAAGGAGTATGATCTTAAGCTTTTTATTACTCTGTGTCTATCAAGTTTATGGAAGGAAGCAGTATTTGTGGGGAGTAATCCAAAAGATTTTTAGTTTCTCTTTATCCAGATGCACAAACCCTACCACTGGACCAAGTCAGGTCAATGGAAAGTATATCTCAAGATGGTGTTGGATAACTTCTTTCTCAAGGTCTCCCCGCCCCTTCTCTGAAGTGTTTAAATGGTTTTACTGAATTGTTCCCTGAGGTGATGCCATCATCCTGGGATGAGGGGTGGTCAAAAAAACTAGTCAATTAAACTCATCACCATATCTACCTACAGGTATTCAAGTGGTCCTCTGCTGGAGAATGCTTGAGAGAAATGTGTCTCTGATACCAGGAATAGGGAGATGCCCTTCTTAGGAGGAGCTAGCTTGCCCTGATAGTTTGGACACAGTTTGGTAGAATTGATCTAATTTTCCTTTTAGAATCAGCTGATGTGAAACTTACAGGGACTCTTGGGAATCTGGGTCCCAAGTAAGAAAGAGTACAGACCTTCCTTGTACCAATGCTTGAATAAGCTTCAGTGCTAAAGTCACTGGATGAGGCTACAGGAGTTCTCACTTTGCCTCACTGTTTTTATCCATGTTGAATTTTTAATTTTGCAAGGTTTTCTTTATTTAATTAAGCTGGCTAGTTCTTTCTGGGACAAGGTGGGATATAATAAGCACATGTATTAAAAGAAAAGAGGAAGCATATTAATTCCTCAAGAGAGTTGAAGCTTTTCTCTGGCACTAAATTCTAAAAATCATAGCAGGATGACTTAGAGGCCATTAAATAGTGTAACGGACAAGGTCTTCAATGATAAGTTTTATAAGAAGTACAGAAGCAGCATTTGTGTGCCTTTTCTTTCTTTTTAAAATAAGTCTTTGATAAAAATTAAGGGCCTAAGAAATTTCTCAGTGTCCATCAACAGCAAAATGGATAAATAAATCTTAACACGTTTACACAAGGGAATACTATACAGCAATAATAATCAATGATCTACAACTCCATATGAGATGGATCTCACAATCATGATGTTCAGCTAAAGGCAGACATGAAAAGAGTACATACGGATGATTCCATTTACATAAGTTCAAAATAGGCAGTGCGTCTCTGGTGTTAGGGGTCAGGGTAATTGTGTCCCCTGATGATGGTGGTTCCCGGTAGGGGCATGAAAGGTGCTTCAGAGATGCTACTATTGTTTTTTTGTTGTTGTTGATCTGGGTGCAAGTTACTTGGGAACATTTATCTTGTGAAAATTAATCAAACTGAATACTTATGATTTGAGTACTTTTCATTATATGTTATAGTTCAATAAAATGTTTTACCAAGCAAGAGAAAAAAGATGAGAACCTACACTAAATGAGGAAAGGAGTTCATTGGAGGCCAGTCTTCCATCTTGAAATTGGCTATAATTTTTTTTTTGTTTTTGAGACAGGGTCTCACTGTCGCCCAGGCTGGAGTACAGTGGCATGATCTTGGCTCACTGCAACCTCCGTCTCCTGGGTTCAAGCGATTCTCGTGCCTCAGCCTCCCAAGCAGTTGGGACTACAGGCGCACACCACCACACCCAGCTAATTTTTGTCTTTTTAGTAGAGATGAGGTTTCACCATGTTGGCCAGGCTGCTCTCGAACTCCTGACTTCAGGTAATCCACTCACCTCAGCCTCCTGAAGTGCTGGGATTACAGGCTTGAGCCAACGTGCCTGGAGAATTGGCCGTAATTCTGATTTCAGCTTCAGCTTCAGCTTCAGCCTTCAAAGGACTGAATCACCAAATGCTCACTTTAAAGTCATTTCTGGCTTCCCTGGTATTGTTCATGACCAATGATCATACGACCAATAACCATTACTTCTAATTGTTACACTATAATATTGTCAGTGATATAAATGAGGTGTGTCATTAGATTTTCTTGCTATTTTCAAATAAAAATAGCAAGTTAACTTACATCCTTTTTGAGCCAAAGAATTATTTAAATATAGAAATTTAAATAACAATACAAGGCAGAATATTATTCAATTGTATCATAATTCTAGTCCTTGTAGAATTGTCTGGTGTATTAGCATCCATTACATATAAAATAAAACCTTTAAGGAGTGTATTAAAATTGTCATTATTTAATTCAATTTAGGCCAAAATTCTTCTAAGAAAAAGTCTTATTTATAAGGGAATTCTTCATATCTTGTGAGGATAAATTAAAAGCAGAATGCCAAATTCTCCATATCAAAATTTCATGAGGAGGAAAAACTGCACACTCATGTACAATAACATTCATAGTAAATTATCTTTGATCCAGGCAAAATGAAAAATAAAAATAATATAAAGAAAAGAGGAAATTATTAGACACAAATGAGGAATTCAAACACATTTTATTCTTACCAAACTTCGAAACGACTGACTGGACGAGACAATTTTAGGAAGACAACACTTACAGTCTCCCTCTTCCCCAACCCTCAAGAAAGCTAAACTTCTCAACAAAAAAGCTTGTTAAAATGAGGCTATACCATATACTACTAAGTATATTAAATTTTCAATATTTAAAGATGAAAAGTTTTTGAGATTGATTAATCTGTGTCCTTAAAACAAAGTTCCTCCCAGAAAATGCTACTAAAAACCTTTTTCCTGAATTATGTGCTGTTGTGAACATAAGTCTAGTAATATTATTAAATACGTCAGTTTAAAGTGAGTTTCTATGTAGTGCCGAAAGTTCCTGCACTATAATGACAACCACTACTAAAATTTTAATAATAAAATTGTCACAATGATTTATTTTAAAATAATGTATCAGACTTATTCTTAACTCCTAGAAGTTTATTCAATGATGTGATATTTGGCTTTCACTGAGTACTAATTTTAACACTAATGCAGTGTTTCATTTGGGCAATACTCGTATTTTTGCCGCACACGTAATTTAAGCACATGTAGAAAGGTGAACGTGCCTGGGGCCAAAGTCTTATGGTCAAAGTATTTGGTCTTCTGAAAGTCTCAACTACACCCACCTTAGAAGAAAATAAAATAAACCCCCCTCGGGGCCTTTGCATTGGCTGTTTGCTCTGCCTGAAGCACGTTCCCGCAGGACTTTGCATCACGAGTGCCTTATTATCATCCAGGAATTAGATCAAAGTCTCTTTTCCAGAGGCCCACTCTGACCATCCTGGTGAAAGCAGAAATGCATCTGGCCCACAGGTACTTTTTTTCCCCAGGTCCAGCACCCTGTTATGTCTTCTTCTCTGGAGATTTATCAATAATTGAAGAAACTGTTTTCTCTCACGTTTGGTGTCTTTCTGTCCAATCAGAGGATACCAGTGGGAATAGACTCCTCTCCTTCTTTCCTTTTCACTAGTACCCTGAAAACTTCTATGCAGCAACTCCCACCACTGTCTAAGTATTCCACCCACCTGAAAGAAGAAATTGTGCCGACTCCAATACAACAGTTTTAAGACCAAACAGGCCAAGCAACAAGCCTGGCTCTACCATTCCCTAACTCGATGACTTTGGACAAATGACTCAATCTCTCCTAACTTACTTGAAAGACTAATTTTTAATAGCAATGTTTTATTCATTAAGCTATGCAGTTAGGTATACAGTCATATTAATTGTTGCATATATAATGGAAATAATATTCTTTCTATGCATGTAATATTTAATTTAAAAATATGTGAAGTGCCAGTACAAGATAACATAATCGGCAAAGGCTAGCATCCTCCCTACCTCTCCTCCTGTATGCATTTTGAGCAAGCTACCTTTCCCTGTCTAAAATGTCCTCTTGACTTCCAACTTACTTTTCTACCCAGTAAGTTCCTACTCGTCTTGTAGCCCTTCAAGGAAGTTTTCCCTACCCCACTGGAAAAGCTAGTTGCTCTTGACTCCCTTCACACCTTGTATATGCCACATTAACCTACCATTACTGTCTGCATGCTCATCATCGCCACTCAACTGGAAGCTCATTCAGAGCATGCAGTATACTTAAGCCATTTCGATAATTCTTAGGACTGACCCCAGTCTCATTTATATAACAGGGACTTGGTGTTGACTATATTCACAAAGCAATGTACTGATGATTACTCATGTAATCTGGGACAAATTACTTAATCGCTCTGTACTGCATCTCAGTTGCTCCCTTTATTACCTATCTTATTATTCTATTGTACCTATTACCTATTGTTGCTCCCAATATTGCCTGTCTTATTGGTCTATTATGAAGTATAACTTTAAGAGCTCTGTAAGGGTAGAAGTTTTATGGTTTTTGTTCACTGGTGAATATCCAGTATTTTAAATGATGCCTGATACACACAGTAGGCACCTCACAAATATTTTTAGCATGATCATTTAGTTAATCCATGTAAAGTGCTGGGCACAGCACCTGACCTATACATGCTCAGTCAATATTAGCTATTATTAGTAACTCTTGCTATTTCGGTTAGCATCTGCCTCGTTGAACACACATAGCAGCTGGAAAAATGATCCCTCTTTTAAGATGATATTTCCTTGGTCATATAGCAATTTTCTTAGTCAACTGCCCCAAGCCCTTTCTTCTTCACAGACACCCCACCGCCACCTGCCTTGATTCACAAGGAGCACAACCTCGTCTGAAGGACTCCAATCCACAGAGTTAGGAACCCTCATGGGACCCTGCTCATCCTGAGCCCCCAACTAGCATGTGAGTTCCCTGGGGCTCTTTATGGCACTTCCCTCAAGTGGTTCCATCTACTTAATGAGCCTCATGTCACCTTATGAACCACTGCCTTTAATATACCCTACCCTACACACACACACACAAACTCCATATCTTCCATCTCTCCCTACCCCTACCACAACCCCTTTCCTTCCTTGCAGAATTCTGCTGATAATTTACTAGATGCCATCCTTGGGGCTTGGCTCAATTCAATCCACATGAAGTTCACAAACATGTATTAAGACAATCTATTTTTGAGGTATAGAAGGTACCCCAGGTGACTAACACAAAGTTCTTGTAGCCAAGGAGCTCAGAGAACCTGAAGATACCTTCACTGTCCTTCACAGTTATCTCAACCTTCAGCATTCCCCCAGAGAAATGCTGCCCTCTAGGAAGTTCTCTCCAAGGAATCCCACCCCTGTCCTGAGTATTTCTTTAATCTACAACTTTCCTGAGGCTGTGTATTGCACAGGGGGCGTGCCAATGGGTTCTGCACTTGTGTCCAACACCCTTGGTAAATCGACCTTTCCAGAGGACTTTGGAGCCCTTCGAGGATTCTCAGCATCTGCATCTCCCAGGAGCTCCCAGCATGCAGTTGGCACTTGATGACTGTTTGTAGCTAAGGTACTTAGGCTGATTTTATTTAATCTTTAGTATCAGGCTGATATTTTAAAAATTCCAATTTAAATAAAACAGTTTTAATTCTAGTTTTTCATTTTATGGCCTGTCTTCTTCTTGACCTCCTCAAAGCCTTTACACAAATCCACTTGACTTTTCCATCACAAATTGTGGGTTTATTGTTTCTCTGGAATTGAAGGGAGAATTTATTCAAATTTGACCTAAAGCTATAGACAATAAGTCACTAGAAACAGTTCCCCCAGACATAACTATGTCTCTACCCAGTAGAGTAGCCCCAAAGGAATTCTTACGGCCTAGTTATGTCCTCCAGGTTAGGAGGATCGGGGGTAGGAGTGGGGGGAGTTCCACACCGAATATGCTGACACTGCACTAACTATATAGCAGGCACCCTGTAATGACACCTTTGGATAACACAGAAAATGATTGTGTTCCAAGGATGAGCTGTAATGAGAGGGGAGGGTACAGAGAGCCACAGGCGGCACTGTTTCCAATCTAACAACACAACTGGGGGCAGGGGCAGGCGTGTGCTTGCTTTCAAAATAATAAATACTGCTATGGTATTTCCGCCCAAGGCTTTTGAGGAGAGGATGAAGTTGGAAGAGCCAACAGGCATGAATGGATTTCTCATTCTCCTTCCAAGGTGGAAGTGGGAAGAGCAGCTTGACCAATTTAATAGTGTATGACACTGTTCTGTCACTGACAAATCTTCTACCAAGTGTTTATAGACTTCCTCTTCACTGATGTTCTACTACTTGGGCAAATGACTGGACCTCTTTCAGCCTCAGTTTCTTTATCTGTAAAATGGGGATAAATTATAACACCTAACTCATATAACAATCACACTCAAAATATTACATACATGTGTATCTACATGCACAGGTAGATACACATGTATGTAATATTTTGATAAATGGATAGATGGAATGAACTTACACACCTGGCTCATAGTAAATAAATAGTAAAAGTTATCCCTCCCCTGTTTCCCAAGTTCCCCCAACTTTTGATGGGAAAAGAAAAAAGCAAAATCAGCCCATTTGGAATGGCAATGAAACCCAATCTTTCACATGCTATATGAAGACAAGATCCATTCAGTTTAAAGAAAGAGCTCAAAGCCGCAAAGCATCATTCTATAATCCTTTACAGAATGGTGACACTTGGCTGATTTGTCAAAAATCCTTCTACATATCCACATTGGGTACTTTTAATGAATGTCAGCTTTTAAGAATCAATGACATTGACATTACTCCATGGAGCAAATACTGACGGCCCAACTTATAAATTCCCTGATGCCAGTATTAGCAAGGCAGCAAGATGAGTTTTCTGTTCGCTGGTCTTGTTCTGCTGTCAAATTCTGGGGGACTTGCATTTCAAGCAATATATCTAATCTCTTTAAATTAAATTATCTTTCTTTTGCCAGCCAGAAATTTTTTTGGAAGAATATTATCAACTAAGTGGATCAGAAAATATGGGTTTAAGACTTGCTTCCTGGGTGAAATGATATTAAAATGAATGTTATTCCCTAGATAAATGATGTGTTTCTAGGGTCATACACTATAGCTGTTAGAAACGTTTTTAACAGAATCTTCAAATCAAAGGAGGAGGGGAATATGAAATTAGAGGGAATTTCCTTCTTCAAAGGGATAGTGGGTATAATTTAGTTTTTATCAGAACAATAACTTTTCCCTCCTGAATTTGTCTTACCTACTGATTTTTTTAACTACTGATATTTAATTGTTAGAATATGTGTGAAATATTTTTCTGCATGAAAAAGATTCTCTGCCAGGCCCAGTGGCTCACGCCTGTAATCCCAACACTTTGGGAGGCTGAGGTGGGCGGATCACCTGAGTTTAGGAGTTCGAGAGCAGCCTGACCAACTTGGCAAAACCCTGTCTTTACTAAAAATACAAAAATTAGCCAGGCATGGTGGCAGGCGCCTGTAATCTCAGCTACTCCAGAGGCTGAGGCAGGGAGAATCGCTCGAACCCAGGAGGCCAAGGTTTCATTGAGCTGAGATTGCACCACTGTACTCCAGCCTGGGTGACAGAGCCAGACTCCATGAAAGGGAGGAAGGAAGGAAGGAAGGAAGGAAGGAAGGAAGGAAGGAAGGAAGGAAGGAAGGAAGGAAGGAAGGAAGGAGAAAGAGAAAAAGATTACCAGTTAACTAGTTCACTCATAAGCTGTTTTTACACTAAAATCCCCAAATATCTACTATAGCTTTCTAAACAATTGTAACTTCTGCCCTCAGCCTCATCCCCTGCTCATATGACCTGTCCACGACATATAGTTTGTTGATGGTTATAGTCACAAATGTTGATTCCTATTTTGGTGTAGCAAATACTCTCATTGAGTTCTCTCAAAACACATACTTACATGTTTTTTTTTTTAATTGCCATGTGTTTCAAAGCTAAAATAAACTAAGTCAAATTTGCTCGAAGGCTTGCATCTAGTAAGTGATAGCAGTAAGATGGAAATCCAGTCTCCTTGACACCCTAATGTAAAGCCATGTGGAAGTCACCAGCAATTGTCATTTTTACCTTTAACTTTAGGCTGCCTTCATCAGTGAAGTCTAGACCAGAGGTCAGCATGCCTTTTTTGTAAAGGGCACAATAGTAAATATTTTAGGCTTTGTAAGCCGTGTGGTTTTTGCTGCAACTACTCAACTCTGTGGTGTAGTGCAAAAGCAACCATAGACAATAAGTAAACAAATGAGGTGGCTGTGTTCCAATAAGACTATATTCATACAAACAAGAGCAGGCCGGATTTGGACCATGGGTTTTAGTTTACTTACTCTTTGTTTAGACCATATTTGTCAATCATGGCTTGGTTAGATTCGTAACACACATTAGCTGTGTTTATACCTTATGTCCAGGACAAAGTTGTAAATTTATTGAAGTTCACAGCTGGTCTCACCTGCCTTTCCAGCCAATCTAAGTAATCTAGCCCAATCCTGAAATTACGTAGTTTCTTAAAAGATACCTGATAATTGTTTAAGTAAAGGAGGGAGGAAGGAATGTATATACCTCAAAGAGCTTCTCCTAGAAACTTCTGGTCACTAGTGTCAAAATGGTATCTAGATAGTTTTAGTTCTACAAGTGATAATACATACATCTCTGTTTTGAGCAACTTCCAAGGATTTTAGAATGTTTCACTAATTTTCCCCTGAATTCACTCAATATTTATGTGATAAGAGGTGTTACTGCTGGTAACAATAGGAAATTAGATTGCTAGATTAAAATCACCAAAATTTATTTCTTGATTAGGAAATATCAAGGGCACACATACTTTTAAGTAAAACTTGCCAATAAATGAAGACTGAGATGATATAATGAATCCTAAAAGAGATTTTACCATGTTTGAGTATTGTGGACTTATGGAAAACCCTTAATGTGTTAAGTCTTTAAAGGCAAGACAGAAAGACATTTTTATTATACTTCACCCCTTTCTCTTTCCATATCGGTTTGAAGAAAGTTGGGTTTAATGCCTGGCCATGGATATAATGTCTCAAGATATTAAATACATTGTGCAACTTATGGTAACTCTTGCCATTTTACACTTAGAAACTACTAAGTAATTACTAAATGGCAGGCAATATTAAGTCAGCTACTATCACTGTTTGTTCAGAAACTTTCTGTTCTATAATCTAGTCAAGTCCAACCCACCATTGAGAAATGGGCAATAGCGTTCACCCCACAATACAGTAAGAAATAAAATAACCTTGAGAAGGCGGAATTTTTTCTCCTATCAATGAACTTATACATTGGAGATTATAGTGCTCTGTAAGGTAATTATTTCTGAAGGCATATAATCTATCACATGTGGATTTATCCCCTCCAAGGAAAGGAACAAAGCTATTTCCTAGGCCAGGTCAATAACACAACATATGACTTCCCCATGACCAAGGAGAACATGGATGAATTTTGAAGGTGAGATCAACAGCTTTTTAAGAAGAATATGAAATTCTATATGACTTTATGAAAACATCAGCTTTCTTTCTTAAGGTAATAGAGAGAAAGCCAAGGGTATGGCAAGAATGACAGGTATCTCCATAGCCCATAGAGGAACATAAAACCACAAATCAAGAATAGTCACGGACTGGAATCTAAGCTCAAGTTTCAGATTCCAGTGATTGATACTCAATGTAGATTTTATGAAACTTCTTAAATCTGAAAAATTGCTTAGTGTGGAAACAGTACAATGTGGTTATTAAGAGATTAGGCTTTAGCCCCAACCAACCCTTCGTTTCAACTTTGGTTTGGTTTCAACCTTTCAACTTTGAGTGCATGTCCCAGCTCAGTGCAGTTTCAGCTGCGTGACCTCTAATAAATTACATGAGCACTCGCAGGCTCATTTTATAAATGACGCTTTAATCTAAATGAGAGGGATAATCACAGTACTCCCCTGAAAAGGTTATGAGAATGAGTGGAATGATGCATCAAAAGCACTTGTCCAATGCCTGCAGCACAGTAAGCACAAACACTCAACATATGGTAGATTTTATGAGTTACTTGTAACCAGGGTGAAATGAGGTCAACCAAAATTTCTGTAACACCAAAAGACTACATAATGCTTCAGGGCATCTCCTCTATGAGACTGACCTGGCTGTGTCTGCCAGTGCTTATTTCTCCTTTTCTGACCATTGACAATTTATGCATCAAGATTTTATTGAGCATCTGCTATATTCTAGGGGCTATCCTCATCAATGACACCTCTGTTAGCCTTGAGTACTCAGAGTTATTAACTTGGAGAGAAAGAAAAATAGCTAAAGGCAGAATGTACAAAGGCTCACAACAGAGATATGAACACAATGCTACTGAAGGGAGAGTAGAAGATCAAGGAAATCTAACCAGGAAAATCATAAACAGCTATCTGGAACAGGTGATGTTTGACTTGGGCACTGAAGGATGGATAAGATTTTGACAGACGGAGATAAAGTAGGAAGCAGTAAATTCCAAATTGAAGGTTCAGTTGTAGAAGGGAGCAGAAGTAGGCAAGTACTGGGTCCACTTAAAGTCCAGTACATTGGGTGAAAAGCTGGGAATAAAAGAATGTTAGTAGGAGTGGCTGGAAAGGCAGGGTGGGGCCAGAGCATGGACCCTAAGTGCCAGGCTGACTCAGAAGAATCCGCTCTCTAAGAGGTTTGCTTTCTGAAGAAACACCCATCAGTGTTCAAGCAGGATGAAGAATGAGACAAGGCCAAAAATTTTAACATTGAGAAGCCATTGAGCAGAGATTCTACAGAATAACAGGAGTGGAAGCCAAATGCAATAGACTGAGGAGTTAGAAATTGGTAAGGAAATGTGTTTTGCCTTTTTTGTTAAGAGTCTGGCTCTTAACAAAGCCATTTGGAGGGTTAGAGGACAGGAGACATGTAGAGTTTTTTGTTTGCTTTGTGTGAAGGAAAAGTAGGACTAAGTATATTTTAGTCTGAAGGAGGAAAACCAGAAGAGGCTGCAAAAAGAGAAAGAAATAACATACAGTAGAACTACCTCCCATAAAAACATACCTCGTACTAGCCATTGAAACTTCCTTATTTTCAAGAGTTTAAATTCTGCAAGAATGAAGTTATTTCTTCTTCAGACTTAGGAATGAAATCAGGATGGCGAGTGAAAATATTGAACTATTCTATGGTTAGAAAGGGGTAGGTTGAGAGCTGTTGAGTTTCATAGACTTCAGTAGTAAAAGTGATGGGTCTCAATCTGCTGAGATTACAGGGACTGAAAATAGAAAGACGAGTCTGGGAAGCCTGAAGAAGGGCTGATTCAGTCACTATGGAGAATCCAGCAGGTGGCTGACAATAAATTTATGGATCCAGAGGCCAGCTGTGGCAATGTAGACCACCAATATTTAGTGGACCACATTACCACTGCTTTCATAACTTTTTCCAGACATGGGAGATAAGAAAGCAGGCAATAGAGGATACTCAGATTGGAAGCTGTCAAGAGGACAGGTGGACATTATTGGTACTGAAAAGGGGTAGGGAGCAAGGAATTCTACTAGAAAAAGAAGGCACAGATGGCCATGGGGTTTTGGCCAGAAAGGAAGGGAAGAGGATCCAGAAGAGCGGTGATGGTGTAGGAGAACAGGGAGGGCTCAAGGGACTATGGTCTCAATGCTGAAGACTAACAAGTCTCATATGGGTGAGGGAATAGAGAGACGTGGAAGGTGATGGAGACTGCCCAGAAAAGGAAAACTCAGGCTTCTTGATCTTTTCTGGCCCACAAATTTTTGGTACTGAGAATGCTAAAATTTTAGGTGGTCAAAACCTGCTTGTATTAATTTCTGTGCTTAATATATACTATCAAATATGTAAATACTTTTCAATGTAATAAGATGACAAGTTTCTTGAGGGCAGGTACAGCCAATCCTTTTTTTCATAATGCTAAAATATGTAATAGGATAAAAGTTTATCATCATTGACCATTAATTATTGATAACTTGAATTTATGTTCATTGAAAATCATAGTGCTTGCCTTCTCAAAGCCACAATTCCCCTTTTCTGTAACTGCCAAAACTTCTGCTATGAGAGAAGAAATTAGGACATCACCTAGGCTCCTTCAGAGGCGACTGAACTCCATTTACGGCACTTAGGATGAAAGATATGCTCCTGGATTGGTAGAACATCTCTTAGTAGTTTTAACCCATCTAGGGATTAAGGAACATATATTGCTGTAATTGAGCATGGATTTTAGAAACCAACAGCCCTGGGTTCTAGTCTGAGCTCAGCCACTTATGTACATCATGACCCTCTGTCATCTACTTAGCTTCCCTAATCCTCGGGTTTCAATCTGTCAAAAAAGGTATAACTCTCATGGGATTTTTGTATAAAGCATTTACCATGCAGCCTTCTACACAGTAAGCTGCCAATAACAATGGTGGCTGTGTAGAAACATGTACTTCAATGCATGTGCTACCTGAAAGATTTAAGCAAAGTTCTAGAGAATTTTTGCATGAGAAACAGAAATCTTATATCTCTGTAAGTCTTAACCTCTTTTTGCATCAGTTTCTTCATCTGAAAACAACAACAACAATAATAATACCTACCTCAGAGAGATGTCATGATGATTCACTGAGCTAATATTTGTAAACTGTTTAGAACAGTGTCTAAGGTTCTGGGCATCAGCTGTCATTTGTAGTTTCCTCTCTGCAGGAAGATCTATGAGCCTAATCATGTTAGAGATAAATGAGTAACCAGCATTCTGTAAGATCTGGACTACAAGCCAACCTCTCAAAATAGCTTGTCTGAACAGGCTGCCATCTTGTTACCTGTATATAATAGTCTAAAAGAAAATTACAAATTCTTCTCATTATTAACTTCTTTTCAATTTCCACCAAAGCCATTCTGGCTCCTCTCCCAAGTTCACTGCACATATCTCCCCAGTTCGTCTTTGCCGGGCTTCAGTGTCTTGCCCTACCATGGTAGCAGATAATCTGTGTTTGTGTCTGACAGTTCCAAGAAAGATGAGCAGTTCTACCTTTGAAGCTCCTTCTGTTTCTCAAACATGGGCATATTAGTGGGCCCATGGAGGGGTATAGTTGAAAATATCAGAATGCTTGAGTTTGGGTCCATTCTGCAATTTTCTAGTTGTGTAACCTTCGGCAATTTACTTAGCCTTTATGGACCCCAGATTTCAAATTTATGAAATGAAGATGGTGCCCGCAATAACTAGACTTACCTCAGAGAACTCCTTTGAGTTGCAAATGAGCTAATTTGTATAACAATATCTCACAGATGTAAATTATTACTATCAACATTCTCACTATTCCATCTTATTTTTAGAAAATGGGGCATGTTTTGTTTATTAAAACAAGCAAAGTCCATCCAACACAGTGAGAAAAGTGAGCCACCCTCAGCCATTTCTGTGGCAGGATGGTAAAGTAGACAGTGATCATTCCTGGTTCACATCTTCCCACTTCTTTTTACTTCCACCTCAGAGAAGGTGGAAGGGGATGCCATCTTCAGCCAAATTGGCCCAAAGGACTATCACAATCCATTAGTGGAGTGACAACTGCTGCTGTTGGGTCAACCTCAGAGCTGAGTTGTGAAGTTACATAACAGGAAAAAGAATAGAAAATAATTTGAAGGATTAAAGAGAAAAGGGAGGTTAGCTTCTTTTCATCCCTGAAAGAAAAACTACACAGGCTACTCTTATCAAAATTGCCAAGTAGGCACATTTCAAAGAGGAAACACTTTACTACTTTATCCACTCTCCTTCCACTCCCATGCCTCAGCCACCTTTCCATTCCATGTCTTGGCTCTTCCTGGATTTTTCTGGCTCCCAGAACTGGGTTTTTCCATAGGCAGGCCAAGCATATGTTTTTAGAACATTCATGAAGCAGGGACAGTGATATAAAATGCTATGGAAATATTATATTGTAATGGAAAAAAGTCAAAACTGAGTTCAAGAAAAGTGACATCAGCAGATGGTGGAATAGAAAGTCCCAGCCTTTGTTCCTCCATAGAGACCCTAATAAAACAATAATATATAGACTAAAATACATTAATGAGAATTCCAGTTAACTTCAGTTAAGAAGTCACAGTGCCCCAGCAGAGCACAAAGATGAAGAAAGCCACATTGAAATGGGTAATAAGAGCAATTTCACTTTATCCATGTCATCCTCTCCCCCTAGTTGGCATAGCTTAGTGCTGGGAAATAAAATCCCTGCTTGTGACTTCTCCCTCTTCAGGGAAAGAGAAAACAACTATGCATGCAACATTGCAGTTTTTTGGAGGACTGCCCAAGGGAATGGTTTCTGTTTCACTTCCCTCAAAATCCTCATGGAACCACATAGTTTGGATGCTTGGTGGCTACTGAGAACAAAGGAGAGTTTGTTCTTTGTTTGTTACTTTACAACCACAGAACTTGCAGTACCACAGAAAGGTACCAGAGGAAGCAGAAGATTATGAACCCCTGAAAAAGAAACTGGCAAGCCTCTCTGAGAAATTGCCTGCAAAGGCCCAGAGAAGTCACACAGCCCCAGCCCCACCCCCAACAAAAGATCCAGAGGCCCTCAGAAACTCTAGCCAAGATGATCAGTGAAGGTCTTCTCCTACACAAAACATATACATCAAAACTGGGAGAGATGGCAGTATTTTCAAATGTGCAAATCCCACATAAAGTTATGAGATATATTAAGAAAAAGGAAAACATGACCCAAAGACTGGCACAAAATAAGTCTCCAGAAACATCATAAAGAAACATAGGTATATAAGATACCCGAAAAAGGATTTGAAATTACCCTTATGAAAATGCTGTATGAGCTCAAGAACACTATTCATGAACAAATGAGAATATCAATAAGGAGATAGAAAATATTTTTAAAAACAAACAAAAATTTTGGAAATAAAGAATGCAATAACTAAACTGAAAAATTCACTAGAGGGTTTCAATGGCTGACTTGACCAAGCAAAACAGAAAAGAATAAGTAATCTCAAAGATAGGTCATTGGAAATTATATGATGAGAAAAACAAAAAGAAATAATAATGAAAACAGATAAAGGAAACCTAAGGGACTTATGTGACACCATCAAGTGGACCAATGTGTGCAATATGGGAGTCTCAGAGGGAGAAGAGGGAGAAAAAAGTGTAGAGAACTTCTTTGAAGAAATAATGGCCAAGAACTTTCCAAATCTGGGGAAAGAAATGGACATACAGATTCAAGAACCCCAAGAGATATTGACCTAGGATGAAACCAAAGACATTCACTCAAAACACATTAGTCAAACTGTCAAAAGTCAAAGATAAAGATTGAATTTCGAAAGCAGCAAGAATAATGTGAGTATTCATATATAAAGACACCATGAAATTATCGGAAGATTTCTCAGCAAAACTTTACACAATGGTAGGGAGTGGAATGATATATTCAAAGTTCCAAAAGAATAAACTGCTAACCAAAAGTATTCTGTCTGGCAAAACTATCCTTCAAAAATGAGGGAGAAATGAAGATATTCCCAGATACATAAAATCTGAAGGAGTCTGTCATCACTAGACCTGCCTTACAAGAAATGTTAGAGAGTCCTACAAATGGAAACATACAGATGCTAAACGGTAACACATGAGCCTACGAAAATATAATGTTTGCAGATCCAATAGGCATATACAGAACACCGAATAAACATTCTTAAGTGCACATGGAACATTCTCCAGGAAAGACCACATGTCAGGTCATAAAACAAGTCTTAACAAATTTAAGAAGACTGAAATTATACCAAGTATATTTTCTGATCACAATGGAATTAAACTAGAAATTAATGGCAGGAGGAAAACTAGAAAATGTGGAGATATGTGGAAATTAAATAACATACTCTTGAACAACTAATAGGCCAAAGAAGAAATCAAAAGGGAAATTAGAAAATATTTTGAAACAAATGAAAATGAAAACAAAACATACCAAAATGTATACAATACAGCAAAAGTAGTGTTAAGAGGAAAGTTTACAGCAATAAACACTTTCTTCATCTGTTTGGGCTGCTACAATAAAATGCCATTAACTGGGTGGCTTATAAATAACAGAAACTTATTACCCACAGTTTTGAAGGTTGGACTGTCCAAAATCAAGTCAGAGGCAGATTCTAGTGAGAGTCGGCTGCCTCCTGGTTCATAGACAGCTGTCTTTTTGCTGTAACCCCACATAGTGGAAAGATCTCTGGGTCCTTCCACTCTTTGGGTCCTTTTTTATAAGGGCACTAATCCCATCCACGTGAGTTCCACCTTCATGACCTAATTATCTCCCAAAGTTCCCACCTTCAAATACAATCACATTGGGGATTAGGCATCAATGTGTGAATTTGAAGGAGCCATAAATATTCAGTCTATGGTGAACACCTACACTTAAAAGGAAGAAAGATCTCCAATAAACAAACTAACTGTACACCTCAAGGACATAGAAAAAAAAGAACAAACTAATCCCTAAATTAAGATAAGGAAAGAAATAATTAAGATTACAGCAGAAATAAAACATAGAATAGGAAAAGCAACAAAACTAAGACTTGTTTTTTAAGAGATCAAGGAAATAAAAATCTTTGGCTATATTAACTAAGAAGAAAATAAATAACACTCAAAATCAGAAATGAAAGAGGAGATATTACAACTGATACCACAGAAATTAAAAGAATTATAAGAAATTACTATCAACAATTATACATGAAAAAATTGGATAACCTGAAAGAAATTTATCAATTCCTAGAAACATACAACCTACCCAGACTGAATTGTGAAGAAATATAAAATCTGAGCAAACCAATAATGAGTAAGGAAATTGAATCAGTAATTGGAAACATCCAATGAAAAGGTCAGGACCTGATAGCTTTGGTGATGAATTCTATCAAACATTTAAAGAAGAATTAATGCCAATCCTTTTCAAACTCTTCCAAAAATGTGGAGAGAAAAGAACGTTTCCAAATTCATTTTATGAAGCCAGTATTAACTTCATATTAAAAGATAGAAAAAGACTCTATAAGAAAAGAAAATTGCAGGCTAATATCCCTGATAAACATATTTGCAAAAATCCTCAACAAAATACTAGCAAACCAAATTCAACAACACATTAAAAGAATCATATAGCACAACCAAGTGGGATTTATTTCTGGGATGCCAAGATGGTTTAACATATATATAGAAATCAATGCATATTATACACCACATTAACAGAAGAAAGAATAAAAATTACATCACATCAACAGAGGAGAAAAAGCATTTGACAAAATTTAACACCCTTTCATGACACAAAAACAGTCAACAAACTAGGAATAGAAGGAAATTACCTCAATATAATAAAGGCTGTATATGAAACGTTCACAGCTAACATCATATTCACTGGTAAAAACCTGAAAGCCTCTGCTCTAAGATCAGAAAGAATGTAAGGATGCCTACTTTTGCCACTTCAATTCAACATAGTACTGGAGGTTCCTATCCAGAGCAATTAGGTACAAAAACAACAACAAAAAGGCATCTAAATTGGAAAGGAAGAAGTAAAATGATCTGTTTTAGAAGATGACACGATCTCATATGTAAAAAACCCTAAAGATTCCACACACAAAAATCTGATAGGACTAATCAACAAACTCAATAAGCATACCAAAGTCAGGATACAAAATACACAAAAATCAGTTACTTTTCTAAACACTAACAGTGAGCAATCCACAAAGAAAGTTAAGAAAACAATCCCATTTACAAAAGAATCAAAAAGAATAAAATACTTAGGAAATAAACTCAACCAATAAGATGAAATTCTTATATGCTGAAAATTATGAAACCTTGCTAAAAGAAATATTAAAAGGCACAAACAAATGGAAAGACATCTTGTGCTCATATATTAGAAAACTTAGTACTGTTAAAATGGTCATACTACCCAAAGTAATCTACAGATCAAACGCAATTTCTATCAAAATCCAATAGCATTTTTAACAGAAATAGAAAAAAAAATCCTAAAATTTATATTGATATCCACAAAGGACCTGGAATAGCCAAAACAATCTTCAAAAAGAACAACAAACCTGGAGGTCTCATAACTCCTGATTTCAAAACATATTACAAAGCTAGAGTAATCAAAACAGTATGGTACTGGCAATAAGACAGACATACAGCACAATGGAACAGAATAGAGAGCCCAGAAGTAAAGCCACGTATATACAATCAACTGACCTTCACAACAGTGCCAAGAATATACAATGCAGAAAAAACAGTCTGTTAAACAAATGGTGTGGCTAAAACTGGATATCCATCAACAGAAGAATAAAATTGGACCCTTACTTTATACCATTCTCAGAAATCAGACCAAAATTGATGAAGAACTTGAACATAAGACCTGAAACAATAAAGCTCCTAGAAGAAAACATTTCTTGGATGTGACATCAAAAGTACAGGCAACAAAAGCAAAAATAGAACAATGGTACTACAGCAAATTAAAAGCTTCTTGCTGCACAGCAAAGGGAACAATCAACAGAACAATGAGACAATCTATAGAATGGAAGATATTTTAAAACCATATATCTGATAAGGGGTTAATATCCAAAATATGTAAGAAACTCCTACAACCCAAAAGCAAAGCAAACAAGAAGCAGACATCTTGATTAAAAAATGGGCAAAGGACTTGAATGGACATTTCTCCAAAGAAGACATACAAATGGCCAACAGGTATGTGGAAAGCTGTTCAGTATCATTAATTATCAGGGAAATGCAAATGAAAAGCACAATGAGATCTCACCTCACACCTGTTATGATGGCCACAATCAAAAAACAAAAAACAAAACAGAAAATAAGTGTTGGCAAGGATGTAGAGAAATTGGAATGCTTATGTATTGTTGGTGGGAATGCAAAATGGTGCAGCTGCTATGGAAAACAGCTGAAGTGTCCTAAAAAAAAAATAAAAATAGAACTACTACCATATGCAATCAGGATCTCAAAGAGATATTTGTACTCCCATGGATTGCAGCATTATTCACAATAACCAAGAGGTGGAAACAACCAAATGCCCACGGAAGAATGAATAGGTAAAGAAAATGTGGTATATACATACCACAGAATATTATTCAGCCATAAAAAAGGAGATTTTGTCATATGCTACAACGTGGATGAACCTTGAGGACATTATGCTAAGTGAAATAAACCAGTCACAGAAGGACAAATACCGTCTGATTTCATTTACAGGTATCAAACTCACAGCAACAGAAAGTAGAATGGTGGTGGCCTGGTGATAGGGGAGGAGGAAATGGGGAATTGCTGTTCAATGGGTATAGAGTTTCAGTTATGCAAGAAGCAAAAGTTCTAGGGATCTGCTCTGCAACATTACAACATTGTCCTTATAGTTAGCAATAATACACTCTACATTTAAAATTATATGACAGTAGATTTCGTGTTTTCTTCTTACCTCCCAAAACCCCCACAAAACTCTTTTTTTGCTTACACTTATTGTCTAGTATAGGATGCTCTTTATTTTGCATTGCATACTGAGGGCAGGGACCACTGTATTTTCATTGCTTGGGGCTTCCATGTGTTAAAGCATTGCCTCTGGCCTGCTTCCCCCACCCTTTAGGCCCACTGGTCCCTCGGGGCCTTGCTTCAGAATGCTGAAGCTGATAAATAAGTGATGCCAAAGCATTTGTGACTTCCAGGGCTTTCTGATGGGAGCCCTACCCAAAAAACACTCTTGAATCTCAACAGGTGACTTCAAAGGCACAAATAGGTAAAATCAAGGGAGAATTCCACATACATTATAGGTCAGAAAAGTAGATACTTGTAGGGACAAATCTTTCCACCTGCCCCAAATCTTATTGCATTAGTGGCTGTGGTTAATCCTGGAGTCTGTCCTTACAGACTATTTTCACTTAACTCTCCAATAACAAGTTGGCCACTGAAGCTGGTGGGTAAGGGTGGGGGAAACACATGATCTGAGTCCTTTACTTCCACTGGATCTTCAGTTATCCACAGAAAGTAACCCTAGGCACCTTTCCAACTGTGCTGTTAGTTTATTTTCTTTCTATAGTCAGTACCCAAATATACAATTTTTCCTCTTCTTAGTTTGTAAACGGTCAGTCACTAGGGGGAAAAAAGCACAGTGATTACTAATGGGAGATGCCACTAAGGTTCCAGCTGTGAACAGGAGAAATCCAAGATGACCCATCATCTAAATGTCAACGCAAACACCATGCCATTCAGAATGAAACAAGGAAGCCTGCGTGCAGACAGCCAGAATACATTACCAATTGCATATTTAGCTCCAGAATTTGTGAATCTTTGCAAAGAAATTTAGGGGCTTCTCACTTGATTAAATAGCCTGTGATGGAGGATTCGGTTGTTCCCCACAATAGTTGCATGCAAATGATAGATTCACATGGACTACAGCATACAGAGCCCTTAGGGGGCTGTACATTTTTAAGTAATTCTGCCATTGTTTTTGCATAGTAATTGGAAACGTACATTCTGTTGGAATGTGATTCTTATTAGAAGAGAAGGTCGCTGCTGTCTGCTACAGGATTCTATTCATTTAGGGTCAGCGGGACTTAAAAACAGACGAAGAATCTGCATTTATGCACTAAATGAGGATCTGCCTTAAACCCCAGCAAGTTTCTAGCCTGCATTAAAAGCTAACTCTCACTCTCTACTTTCATCTGCCTCTTTTCCCAGCTTCCTAATATTTATTTAGCCTGATTCTGCTTTGTGAATAAGTGACTCCCTGATGACTGAGTAGCAACTAGAGTTAAATTAGTCATGTAAGAGCAGCAAATTAGTAAATGGCACCCCAGTTACCAGAGAGGAGCTATATCATTCTGTGTGTTTAAAGTACTATTACCATCTATCTAGGAGTCAGGAGCTGTCCTGTGCATACAATGAGTCCTCAGTGGTCCCACTCACAGTATGACACAGGATTTGGCCAGGACGGAAAGCTGGGGGGCGGGGCAGCCAGTCATTTATCTATATCCTCCCACTCATTTCCCCTGTACCCCTCAGATGTTTGGGTGAAAGGTGGCCTAGGTCAGGGTCACAGAACAAAGCTGATGGTCTCATAGGAAAGATCAAGTCTGTGATGTTGTTAAACTCTGCTAACACAAATGAGGACACTCAGCCAGTCATTTAGAGGAGGAAAGGGAACAGCATTTCCTCACGTTCTTGTTATGTGAAGGATGGGGCTTGGGCCAGCAGCACCTGCATTACTGAGGAGCTTATTTCTTAGACCTAAGAGCGATGGTCTGTAGCTCCTCCTCAGACTTCCTGAATTGGAATCTGCATTTTCACAGACCCCAGGTGGTTTTAACACACACTGATGTTTGGGAAGCACTGTCTTACATCTCTAAATGTCAGCACCCAAAACACAGAGACCCCATGAGTCTTAGTCAATCCTATAGTGGCAGTACCTGAATCAGTGCCTGGTGCATAGTAGACACTCAAATATGTGTGGAGTGAATTGAACGGGAATGAAGAAAGAAAAGGAAAAAAATCTTCATGGCAACATAAAATAAATTTCGTAGCAACAATAAAAAAAGGAGGGAGGAGAAATCAAGTTCTAAAATAAAAATGAAAATCAAAGAAAGCAGCCAGAAAGCATCCAGGGAGATGCACCTGGCTGGTGGAGATGGGCTGTGGCCCCACCTGCTGGCCACAGTCGCTGGAGTGCCATCCTTGTCCACGACCTTCATTCATGAGTCTGCCTCTCCCACACTTTGCCTTAGGAGGCTGGCCCCTATCTTGCACACTCAGGCCTATTAGCCACAGTTATCTCTCCCATACAGCACTATCAGGTTACTTTAGAGCTGAAGCCTAATTGGACCAATGTAGACTCTTTACAATGTGTTTAAAGTTCTGAGCTCCTGGTTTAAGTGGAAAGAATGTCAATGATGATTGATCATCACCAGTCTCCTGGGGACCTCATGTGCCCAGAGCTTGAGCCTTCACCTAGGACCCAAAATACTTAGAGAGAGAAAATAAGTCACTGTATTTGGATAGGCAAAAAACAAAACAAACAAACAAAAAACAACCACAAACCCTGCTTTGCTGCTCAATTCCTTTTCATCTGGTCTTAAGAGAGTACAGCCACCACAAACGCAGCAAATTTAGTGTACATGAGACTGGAGGATATGGGAGAGAAGGGTACGTCTGTTCAGAAAATTATGGATTTTCCTTAACATGAGAAAATGAAAGAGAATAATTCAGCACCCAAATCATGTTAGTGCAAAGATCGATTGTTTTCCAGATTTCTTAATTTGATTGGACTGAGAATTACAAGCTGAGTAGATGTACTGTAGTGAGATGCTTTTGATATGATAATTGATAATATTTATTAGAATCACATGGGCACTCTGCTGGACTCTTTATATGCAGTATCTCCTGCAGTCCTCACAACAACCCACTAAGATAAGAATTATTACTATCACCTTTTTACATGCGAAAGCTGCAGCACAGAGAGGTTAAGTAACTTACCAAGGGTCACACAGCTGGTAAATACGTAGGCAGTAGAAAATATAGGACTCAAACCCAGGTCTGTGTGGTTGCAAGCCAGTGCATTTAACTGCTCCACTATCCTGCATCTCTCTTATATTTTCTTAATAAAGAGAAATTGAATGAAATGTGGAAATCAAAGCTAGAGAGAGAGCAGAAGACGACAAATTACCCCATGTGGGTAGGACTTATACACTGCATAAAGAGAAAAGGCTTAAGGAGGATGATGATTTTAGATAACTTCGCAAGGTTGAATTCACCTCTTCTGACTACTCAGAGACAATTTTTTAGACTTCAAGAGTTATTTAGCAAATGGATCTTGGTGACCCACAGAAAGAAAAAGCTGTTCTTAAGGAGGAAAAAATGTATTATTTTCCTCTGGTGGGATTAGGAGCTACCAATGATTTGAGAAGAGGAATGGTCTCTAAAACCCAGCAAGACAAGACAATAAGAGAGAGTCACAACTCTGTCTATATCTGGTTTTTCTAGGCTCGTTGAGCCAGGCCAGTAATTAGTATAACTCCATGTAAACTGTAATCACCATTTCTCTGATGTGATCAAGCTCACAGTGGAAGGATTCTGCTGTCTAATGTGACTAGCTTCTCCGATTCCATTTTCATAGCTGAATCGAGGTAGATCTCTTCCTGCAATGCAGTTTAATAATTGTTTTAAGAAACCCTAGAAACTAAAAGTAGCATATGAAAATTTGCAATGCATATAATTATATTATGACTGGGGACTCCAAAATAAGTCATGGCATTTATTTATTCATGCACTATGTACTCTGTGGTCCCCTGGGAAAAGAAATGTTTAAATTAAGATGTATGATAAGACAGATTCCGGTGTCTTATGCACTGAATTACAACTCACTAACATGTAGCTTTTACATAATACTTGCTCTCTCACTCTGACCTTGACTCTGAACATTTTTACAAAATATTTGTCTCCTAAGCCTCACCCCAACTTCGAGAAGCCCATATCATGAACATCATCATCATCATCATCATCATCACATATACTTTAATTTCACTTTTAATTCATCTCTGGCCAAGAAGATCTAGTAAGTTGATAGGGGAGAAACATCAAAAGGAAACTCACAATACATGTAAATATAAATTAAAATCCACCTTGCTTTGTTATAATTTTCATTCTAAAAACATGTACATAATTCATGATGGAGGATGGGGGGACTAGAAGATGCAGGGCTGGGGACAACCTTTTAATAGTGAATAGTGCCATGAAAAGTTTTTTTTTTCTAATGAGCCAAGAGAATGAGGGAGGAACTCAAAGAGGCAACGACAGTTTGATCTTTCACTTCTACATCTTTGGAAAAAGAGAAAATAAAAGAGAAGTTTCCTCTTTGAACTTTCTGAAATGACCCTACATTTAATGAACTATAGTGTCAAATATTTGAAACTTTTAAGAAATCTTGCTCTTTTGTTTAACATACAAGGTAGTGTTAGAAAAAAAATACTCAGCAGATAGTCACATTTCTAACCTTATCTTTCTATGAGGAAAAAGAAAAAGGCATTGAACTCTATGGGGGCGCCCGGACTGCTGTTTTACTGCACTTCCACCTTGCCCAAGGACGAGATTCGCCTTCAGGAAGTGAGACCTTGACCCAGCCAAAGGGGAATGGCCACTGCGAGAGCAGGTCCCTTCTTTTTCCTGGACACAAGTGCAAACTTAATGAATCCTCTCCCTCCACCACATGCCCCAGACGGCGAGGGGAAAGCGGAGTGCACCTGCTGCATCTCCCTTCATATCACGTTGCTGTTATGAAAAATAGTTTGCTATTTTGGAACCCCCTGGCAGCCAGAGTGAATCGCCGAAGGCCCCAAGCTCGTTTATCTTGTGTCAGAAGCAAAGCCAAATGAACACCACCTCGTCCAGCACCTGAAGAATGGGAAGAAGCTCAGAGAGAGTAAAAATAACCAAGGGCTCGGGAAACGGTGCCGAGACGAGCGGCCTGTACAGGTTAAGTAGGGCTTCTCACAGCCCACTCTGACTTTTAGAACTCTACACGTTGGGACAGGAAGGGGAGCGCTTTTTCAACCAAGCAGACTTTGTGGGTCTAAGGTCTAGGATGCGGGGGGCCGTTCCTGCCCAGTTTCCTGCAGTTTGGGCAAGCTGTGGCTATGATGGGGAATAACTGAAACCCCCAGTGGCATCTGGTGTCAGCTTGACTTCGACTGGAGATGGGAAACAGATACGTGCCCATTCCTCAAGATCTGGGCAAATCAATCATCCGTCCAATATCACACTCCCTCCCCTTCCACAAACCAGAGAATGGCTGAGTCTGAGATCATGTGATTGAGAATGATCCAAAAGGTTTAATTTCTTTTTAAGGTGGAGAGACAGAAAGGGAGAGAGAGAGATCAGAGTAGCTGCGGAAGGCTTATGGCAGAGGCAGAGTTGGTACAAGATTTTCAAGAATGGATAGAATTGAGATGGGTGAAGAGGAATGATGAAGGTGTATCAGTGGGGGGAAAGTAAAGACAAACAGACAGTGGTGAGAATGAGCTTGCTCCTTGCAGAGTTGAGCAATTCTTAAGGAAGGTTCGAGGGGGCATGTTAAATGTGCAAATTCTTGGGCCTTGTGCTAAACCTACTGAATCAGAATCTCTGTAGCCCAGGAGTCTATGTTTTACAAATTCTCCAGATGTTTCTTTGTACATGGTAAATTTGAGATGAGGGCTGAATACAGAATGTCAAGATCTGTCCAAATGGAGGAGAAGGTGGTCTGGGGAGACCCATGCTCTGCAGACATGAGGCGCAAGCTTATTCAGTGACACACATTGGCATGAGTCCTTAGCTTCCTTCCTTCTTGGTTCTGTCATGTCCTGATTGTCATCCTGAGGAATAAGTTAGGCTTTGTGAAGTGATGAGGAAAGTCACTTCACAAAAATTAAAAGCACAACTCAACAACGAGGCAGGTCGTTTTGGTTTTCTTCAGTCCCAAATCCTGGCGCATTGCTAGGTTTGTGTCAGGCATGAGAAAGTATTTGAGATTTTGTATAAAGACTACTGGCCTAACATTATCATGGGTCAGCAAATTCACTTAGAAGTTGATAAATATGTGATTTTCTAAAACGTATGTCTTTTCAAAAAGAAAGCAAATCCTAAAAAATAAAACCTCATGAGATTATGATCACACAATTTCTTTCCAATAATTGAGTCACATAGATTCCTAAAATATGATAAGTCCTAGGACACAAAGAATGTGCAGGTCGGCCAGGCGCGGTGGCTCATGCCTGTAATCCCAGCACTTTGGGAGGCCGAGGCAGGCGGACCACCTGAGGTCAGGAGTTTGAGACCAGCCTGGCCAACATGGCAAAACCCCGTCTCTACTAAAAACACGAAAATTAGCTGGGCGTGGTGGCAAGCACCTATAATCCCAGCTACTTGGGAGGCTGAGGTGGGAGAATCGCTTGAACCTGGAAGGTGGTGGTGGCAGTGAGCCGAGATTGTGCCACTGCACTCCAGCCTGGGCGACAGAGCAAGACTCCGTCTCAAAAAAAACCAAAAAGACAAAAAACAAAGAATGTGCAGGTCCACAGAATAGTGTAGAAGCTGAAACTGACCTTACCTAAGCCTCTTGTCAGCCTGGCTGGGTTCATGAGGAACCTTCTACCCCTACCCCACATCATCTCAAACATTGAAAGCTCTCACGTTGAGAGGCTTGGAAGCTGCCAAACTTTTTTTTAGAAGAATCCTGTGGCTCCACAGGAAGAAATTCTCCCTCAGAGAAAATACTGCATTAATGTGTCTAGAATAATAATAACAGGGAAATCACTTGATTGCTGCTTTAGTTCCTCACATGTTGAAATTGAAAAAATAATAGTAACTCCTTTTACGATTGTCAAGTTACTTAAGTGACTTAATAAACGTGAAGTGGTGGCTGGGCGCAGTGGCTCACGCCTGTAATCCCAGCACTTTGGGAGGCCAAGGCAGGTGGATCACAAGGTCAGGAGTTCAAGACTAGCCTAGCCAAGATGGTGAAACCCCGTCTCTACTAAAAATACAAAAATTAGCCAGGCATGGTGGCGAGTGCCTGTAATCCCAGCTACTCAGGAGGCTGAGGCAGAGAATTGCTTGAACCTGGAAGGCAGAGGTTGCAGTGAGCTGAGATTGCACCACTGCACTCCAGCCTGGGTGACAGAATGAGACACCATCATAAAAAAAGAAAAGAAAAGAAAAGAAAAAAAGCAAAGTGGTTAAAACAGTGACTGGTATATTTAAGTGGTTTATTTTACTTGATTCTCACATAAGCCCTAGAAAATCAGCATGACTGTCATTCCAATTTTACCGATGGGGAAAATGAGGGTTGGCAGGATTAAGTAACTTGCTAGTGGTCATAGAGCCATTGTTCATATGCAGGGATCATGCTTTTAACCACTTGGCTATATTGCCCAATCAACACCAACATGACTATGCCCTTACTATAGAAACCCAGACACATGTAAGTGGGAAATAATCCACACAATTATATAATAGCATATACTGTGAACAACTGGAGACAGCACTTTTCCCAGGGGGATCCAGGCACCTTTCTGCAAAAGTAAGAAGGAGTGCTTAATGCTGATGATGGCTGTCATCTTCCATAACTCCCTAAAAAAAACTGAAGTCCCCTTGGAGACCTCCCTCTAATATTCAGCTACTTGACCAATTCCTTATATAACCTGATCAGATCACTTGAATCCTGGCACCCCAGCCAGATGACACCCAGCTGAGCCAATCTAAAAAAAATTGGTGTTTTAATGATGCCACCCTCTCATGGGACTTGTCTTGGAATTTGAGCCTGGAGGGAAGTCTCTTCCTATAGGCATTGAATTCAACTGTCTTTGATGGCACAGCTACCATAGTGAAGGTGTAATATTCTGCACTACTGTGAATACTTAATGCCTTTTCTCAAAGCATGTGAACTGCCATTGTCACTCATGGGTCTTTCTATTAAAATTCTACCTATCTTTCAAGGACTGGGACAATGCCCACTTCTCCTTTCCTTTCTAGAATGGTACGTGGTATGTATACCACATACTGCCATTTTTCTGAATACAAACCACTTTAGAGTAGGGTCAGCACTGATAGGAGAGGTGAAATGGATTTGCTGTTGTTGATTGGGGGCTAAAAATCTTATTTTACAACTATTTATTTATATATCTACTTATTTTTGAGACAGAGTCTCATTCTGTCACCCAGGCTGGAGTGCACTGGTGCCATCTCAGCTCACTGCAAACTCTGCCTCCCAGGCTCAAGAGATCCTCCTACCTCAGCCTCCTGAGTAGCTGAGACCACAGACATGTGCCACCATGCTTGGTTAATTTTTGTATTTTTGCTATAGACAGGGTTTCACCATGTTTCACCTGACGCCCAGGCTGGTCTCAAACTCCTGAGCTCAAGCGATCCTCCCACCTTGGCTTCCCAAAGTGCTGGGATTATAGGTGTGAGCCACCACACCTGGCCTATTTATTTATTATCAACTTATTTATTTATTACCAACTTCTTTGTACCCCCCATAGCACAGCACAGAACACAGGATTTGTTATTAATAATTAGTTCAAAGTAATTTAATTCATAAGCCATGTCCTCAGGGAGCTTATATTCTATTTAAGAGGCCATAGATTCTGGAAAAGTTAAAGATTGAACTTAAACATGAGCACAAGATATATGGCACAGAGCATTACAGCATTGCCCCGACAATAGGTCAATCAGGAGTGCAGGATAAGAGGAAGAAGTCCTTTCAACAGTGGAGAAGAGTACAGGGGAGGAGTGGACCTAAGCTTGTTCCCTAGCTGTGAATCAATTTGCACAGAGAGGGTGTAACAGCTTACCTGGAATTGATGGTGAGAAGACCAGACCAGAAAACTGCTAAGATCTTTCCCATCTGAGAGCCTATCATTCCGTGGACCAGACCTAAACTAAAGGATTCAGTACCAAATTGTGTCTCTGAGGTGGATTTTTTCACAAAATTTGAAATTTGACATTTGGGACACATATCGAACAGATGCAGAGTTTTCCCAGCTTGTGCTGTTGATTCCGAAAAATTCACCAGTAGATGTTAAAACTTTGAGCCAAATAACTTATCTGAGAGGAATGTTATAGCAAGACTTCTCAATAACTTAGTTCTTAGGGTACAGGAATTTGCCTGATCCTTTTCTGAGAACAGGTTGGCACTGAGGTAGGATAGTAATAGCTAGTATTTATTAAGTGCCTACTGGGAAGTAGCACTTTAAAAAATTTAATTGGCACTATTTTATTTAATCCTCACAACAACTCTATAAAGTAGCCACTATTATTATTCCCATTTTTCAGATAATGAAATTAAATGAGAAATTAAATGATTAGTAAGTGGTGGAGATGGGATTCATGTCCAAACCTCTATCTCCAGGGCCTAAACACTTGTCTCTAAGTTACATTGAATGAAAAGCATTTAAAACAAAAATGTGAGTGTTATAAATTAACAATCACCACCACTATTGAGCATTTGTTATGTCTCAGGCACTGTGCCAGGCATTTTATGTATATTATCTTTGGTTCTTACAACCCTATAAAGTAGAAATTATGTTCACTTGTAATAAATAGGAAACTCAGGTAAGTAATTTGCTAGCAAATGTTCCTTTTAGGATTCATGACCAGATGTTTTGGTTCCAAAGCCTTAATATTCAAATTCTAAATTTGCAATTTACTTTCTGTGGCCTTAAGCGTGTTACTCCTTTAATAAACTTGAGTTTTTCTTATCTTTTGAAAAAGAAAGGACAAATATTCCTACCATATACAGTCAGTCACTGTATATGTATATAGACTTAACTTGGAAAAGGGAATGTGTCTAACAAAATGCCTGTGTAGAATGACTGTTTAGTAAATGCTGTTGAATCATGGAAGTAGAGGTTTGAGAAGGGGCAGTACCTCTGAGAGGAAAAGATAACACAAGAAAAAAAGATAACATAGAAATCATAGAAGAAGTCAGGAACTACCTCAGGTCTGCCAGGAACTACAAAAACTGAAGCCACAAATATATTGACCTGACAGACCTTTAGTGTCTTCAATAAGCAAAACATGGTTCTAGAATTATTCAGAAAAAAAAAATACCTTGCAGGCTCCCAAAACCTTGAAACAGGAAATATGCTGGGTTAACACTAGAATTTAACACTTTTCTACAATTTCAGGTTTATATTTCAGCATTCCTGGTGTCAATCATGTACTGTAATTAAATAGTGTGATAACGCTGAGATTATGTAGGCTACAAATAAATGTGGGTCTTCAGCGAATGATCCAAATCTGATACAGTTGAAAGGTACAAGAAGGCATTGAGATTTTAGGGCATGGAACCCCTCTTCAGCTTTAAAGAAAATCTGCCCAAGTCAGCAGAAACAGAAAGTTTACCATCTGCTTGTTGGCTTCTGACATGGTTATTTCAGTTCAATTCCAAAAGGAACGTTGTTTCCAATAAAATTATTTATAGAGTATCTCAAAATTATTTTTATTTGTGAATAAATAAAACAAGATGTTATTTAGCAAAATTTAGCCCATTGGTTTCAAATACTGTGTCCTATCTTTCTGCAAGCAATACAGTCTGGGGACAATTACAATCCTTGGATTTGGGGACCAAGGACATGCAACAGGGAACTTCAACTTTTTCAAATGCCCCAAACTGCCATTCCTGTAGAAATAAGATGTATAGGGCATACAGCAAACGTAGCCAGAGAACTGGAATAAGTTGCTTGAGGCAGACCTTCAATCCTAGTGAGTTCCATGGTGTGGCTGAGTCACATGTGCTTAACAAATTGGAAGTATTGCTGCAATGGAAGAGGATGGCTCTTTGTAACCAAAGTCAGGTAACGCAAATCCAGATGTAATGTGGATGCTTCAGGTATTCAGATTACAGGTAGACATTCATAGGAGGACCACGTGAAACAAGCTTCAAGCTCAGAAATCCCTCACAGTTCTATAGACAGTGCCTTCAGTGTATCACCTTGTACCCAAAACAATGTAATAACACCACTGGCTGTGGGTCTCCTTTCTTGTCAGGGTTATACAGAATGACTAACTTTATTTTCCAGAACAGGCTAATATCCACTTTTGGAAATAGTTAACCTGAGGAAAACTTTGTGTAAGGTGACTGTTTGCCGAAGGTATAGCCTGGGTATAGCTTGTGTTGGTATGGATTGTCTGTGAATTCTTTGCAGGTGTTTTGTGCCTGGATCCTTACAAAAGCTACGTGCAGGCAACAGTTCATGGATACTGGCCTATGGCTATTCTTCCACCGTCATACACAGAACTTCATCTTACACAACCAGTGGTTTTCCTAAGGAAGATTCATCCATAATAAATTTGTTTCTGATACTGAAGCACCTGAACTACTTGAACACTGTTATTTTATCCTTGACTATCTTATTCTTATAATTCAGACTTGCTTCAAAGGTTCATTTGCACCAAGCCTTTTGTTCTCAGAATAAATACAGTCATGCATCACTAAATGACAGGCATACATTGTGAGAAATGTGTTGTTAGGTTATTTCTTCCTTGTGGGAAAACCATAAAATGTACCTAAACAAACCTAGATGGTATAGCCTATATCTAGGCTATATGCTATAGCCCATTGCTCCTAGGCTACAAGTCTGTACAGCATGTTACTATAGTGAATACTGCAGACAATTGTAACACAATGTTAAGTATTTGTGTATCTAAACATTCCTAAGGAAACAAATATGGTATTATTATCTTATAGGGCCACCATCGTACATGCAGTCTATCATTGACTGAAATGTCAGTGTGTGCCATGACGGTGGTCCCATTACAGAAGTATGTTAAAATATAATTTTATCTGTACACATTCTGAATGCTGCTGTTAGACATCAGTCTTTACGTCCATGTTTCTTCAGCCCTTTGGTAAATTCCTGAGGAAAAACTCAGGAGAACACCGCTCCCTGAGTTTTTGCATGTATGTAATACTCTGCCACAACCTTTATACTTGAAGATCAGTTTGGCCGGGTATAAATTCCATTGCTTATCATTTATGTCCTTGAGTATTCTAAATATGTTTCTTTATTGTCTTCAGGTTAAAGCACTGTTTTTGAAAAGATTGATGACAAACTGATTTTTTGATTTTTTTCCCCTCTCTTGTGAATGCCAGTATCAATGTCTGGGTGCTCATAAAGAAGTCTTTTCTTTAATTTTTAAGCCAGTTTGGCCACTGTGAATTGATTTTCTCAGAAATAGCATGCCCTTTTTCAGTGCATATTTTTTGTTTACTTTTATTTCAGGAAAGCTTGATTGAATTATAGTTTTTAATATTAATTCTTTTCCATATCTTTGTTTTCTTCTTTGAAAACTCCTATTATGCATGCATTGGATCTTCCCTGTCTAGCTTCTGTATCACTGTCTAATCTGTTTCATCTCTTTTGAATTCCTTTCTGATTTAAAGTTGTGTCACTCTCTTCAATCTCCTATTTATCTAAGGAATTTTGTGTGTTGCTTATTCATGCTTGTGTTCCTTCTCATTTAGACTTTATTTCTGAAATAATGTTTTAATTTTCATTATTTTCTAAGCTTAGACAGGTCCTTTTTCAAAGCTTTTCTTTTTCTTATCTTTTCTTCAGTCATACCATTTCTGAGTTTCTCTAAGCTTATTTGTGTTCCTTCATAGCTTCTTTTACTCTATTTGCATTATTTCATATTATTTTTCATCTCTTCTGAAATATTAGTTTATAATTTTCATCTATTTTGTAAACATAATCTTCTGATTTCTTTGATTGTCTATATGAATATTGTGTTGGTCCTGGTTTTTTTTTTTCCCCC
This sequence comes from Homo sapiens, assembly GCF_000001405.40. Taxonomy (NCBI): domain Eukaryota; kingdom Metazoa; phylum Chordata; class Mammalia; order Primates; family Hominidae; genus Homo; species Homo sapiens. Next base: position 61,631,908 of record NC_000015.10, read on the forward strand.
TTATAGTGACTTTATGTGGGATTTGCCTGCAATCATTTTCTGTTGCTCATTTTAAGTGAAACAGGTTTTTCTTTGCTAGAAAGGAAAGATGAACCAGGATAGATTTCATGCTATATTCTGTAGAGCTCTCTTTTCTGTTGTTCTCAAGCGTTTTTGAAAACATATACTCTCATACTTCCTGAGATCCACTGGCTCTGCTCATTTTCCTTTTTCCCTCCTTCTCCTTTCTTTGCCCCTATTTTCCCTAACCTAACTAATTTGGATTCTGCTCACAGAAGTTTCTCCTTCCTGGTGAAATCATCTTGAAGGGAGATTTGGATGATTAGTATCAAGAGTACAGAGGTCCCAGACATCTCTGGCTACATCAGTCTTACCCGGGAATTCTAGTCGGCTAAGCTCCCACCCAGATTTGACTGCTCTCCTTAGATTGGCTTGCTGAGCTTTCAAGTGACTGTCTGTTGTCAGTTTGGGATTGTTAGTCAGTACATCAGAAGTACCTCTTTTACCCCTCTGCCTCCTCCTTACTATAGTAGTCTGGTTAGTATGGCTCAATGCTTGGCATTTGTAGGGACATCTTTTCACTTGGTTTTGTTGTGGATACCGTACATGGTGTTTTGGCTTTGTTATCCTACTCTGACTTTTTTTAATGGGTGTTTCCAGAGATTTAAAAACTATTGCCTTGACACTGCCATTTCCTAGAGTCCTCTTAATACCATTTTAAATAATATAATTCTGGAAATATAACTACTAACTTTAAAAAAAACTACTTACACATGCAACATGGATTAATCTCTAAAAGAGTATATTCGGTAAAATAAAGCAAACATACAAAAAAGCATATGCTGTATGATTTCTTTTATAAAAATTGATGAACAGAAAACTAATATATGCTGGTATAAATTAGAATATGCTTATTTACATAGAAGAGGTAATTAACAGAAAAGCCCATGGAGGAACTTTCTGGGGTGATGAAAATATCATATAACTTGATCTGGTAGTAGTTATATGGGGACATAAATGTAAAAACTTTAGCTGTACATTTTACATTTATATACTTTATTCTGTGTAAATTATACCTCTGTTGAGACATAATAATTAAAATTCATTTTAAAAATGTAATTGATTGATCCCAAAGGAATTTCAAACTACATTCTAGTTTCCTTCAACTTAGCTCAATGCCTAGAACATAATAGGGATTCAATCAATATTTATTAAATGAATGAAATAAGGAACCACCCACTGAAGTTACAAATGACATCATCTTTCACTACTATGTGTCAGCATCTTTTCCGGAGTTGAATCTCTCCATCCAAAATTGATCTCACCATTAGATAATATGTTGATAACCACAAACGGCCATAGTCATTTCTTTTAATTTAGAGAATTTGGGTCATGTATCTACCATATTTTAGGTACTATTTTAGGTACCATTAGGTATAAAATTATGAAGTCAACTATTCCTTGCCCTCAAGGTTTGATATGGTTTTGCTGTGTCCCTACCCAAATCTCACCTTGAATCGTAATAATCCCCACATGTCAAGGGTGGGACCAGGTGGAAGTAATTGGATCATGGAGGCAGTCTCCCCCATACTATTCTTGTGATAATGAGTGAGTCTCACAAGATCTGATGGCTTTATCAGCATCTGGCATTTCCCCTGCTTGCACTCACTCCATCCTGCTGCCCTGTGAAGAAGGTGTCTGCTTCTCCTTTGCCTTCCACCATGATTGTAAGTTTCCTGAGGCTTCCCTAGCAATGTGGAACTGTGAGTCAATTAAACCTCTTTCTGTTATAAATTACCCAGTCTTGGATATTTCTTCACAGCAGTGTGAGAACTGACTAATACAAGGTTCTTACATTATAGTCCAATCTTTTAAACAGTGCTTAATCTATAAATCTTAAATAGGAAGATCTTCTCCTAATATATAAGAAAAATATGGCAAATTATGGACTTTGAAATCATTATTACAAAAAAAATTTGTCAATGAACAGCTACAAAAAAAATCAGCCAAATACTAGACATCATTAGGAAGGAAATACTGAGTAAGAATGAGGATTTGAGTATTAGTAATGCTAGTTGGATGCCGGTGACAAAATACAATATTGGGAGGGGAACATTTGCTTCAATTCTCAGTGCGCCAAAGACCAGCAATTTTGGAACAATAGAAAACAATACCCTGGACATGGTGTTCTCATGATGACTACCTTCAGCGCTGGCTGGACCGTCAGCCAGGTGCCTTTGCATAGTTCCCATTCTTGCCTAATTAAACCAGTGACATCAGGATAAAGAACAGTACATGGAGTTTTTATAAGTGTAGATTCAGAGCAAATAAATAAAGGGCAATATTTCTTCACACAGCTAGGAATCAAAACAGGGAACTTATTGATTCAAAATGACATACTAGCTGAGATGATACCCTGTAAATTAAGAGCTGGATAATATAGACTAAAGATGTATGAGAGGTTGTTTGATTTCTGTTCCTATCCTCTTGATGTTAGCATTGACAATCTTGAAGCTGCTGTTAGGGCATATTTTGAGCTGAAAGGAACATGTGTCTGACCCTGGATCCCGTGTCTTATACTCAGTTAACACTCCATGGGTGACATGAGAGAAGAACTCTTATGAGAATAGGAAAGGGTAAGTTAATATTATTCCTCCTCCCATCAGCTCTTAGAGCCTCTTCTGAAAGGCCAAATAAGCATCTTTTACATTCTACCATTCTCTCTGAACATTAAAATATCCAATACAGGGATAACAAATAAGAAACATCTGTCAAAGGCAAAGGTATCTTTGGTAACTTCTCTTTTTCTGGCTAAAGGGGCAAAGTCACTTGGAAAAATGAGCCAATAGATTAACAAGGTTTTAAATCATTCTTAAGTCAGTACTGCAATTAATTTACTGTCACAAGCCACCAAAATATTTATAGCTATTTTTCAAACCTTAATGCAGATAGAAAGTAGTTTTTACAAATAGCAATTAAATACATCACTGATGTTAATTATAATAATTTGCATTAATGGAGAGGAAGTAATTTTAGATTTCCTAGCCAAAGATCAGAGACTGCTGACTATGCTCTCTACTCTAGGTGAAAAGTATCACTTCAGCCATGTACCATGAGAGTCAAGTGGCTGATATGGCTCTTAGAATTTATGACTGATTAACTCAGCTAGTTACTACACTTCTAAGGAGATCAATTTCAATGATGTGACATTCACTTGAGCCAGTCAGAACTAGTCTGCCTATCCAAGGAGAGACGAGACCTATGCTCTAATCTTGATTCTTCCACTTTCTAACTGTGATGAGCCTGGATACTTGACTTCAGGGAGACTTCATCCATAGAATGGGAACAATAAGAATCATTTTAGCTTCCCCTGCATTCTTTTGATATAACTTCCAACTCTATATAACCCTCTGATTCCAACTTACTGACCCTCAAAAAACAGGGTCAGCCATCTTGAAAATGTGGCCCCAAGAGATGCTGGGTGAGCTTAGTACAACAAATCCTTACCTTCGTTGTGAAAGCGTTTCAAAGCCATCTTGCTGTTCAGAGACAGTGTTCTGGGCTGGAAGGAATAGTTCTTTCCTAATTGAAACAATGGAGTTAATTAGTGGGAAAAAGATGCAATTCCCTAAATTAGGTTCTGGCAAGGACATTTTGATTCAGGATTGCCAAGAAATCGTTAGTGGCCACAGAAAGGCCATTTCTACACTAGCAAAGCAAAATGTACCTTGGCAAAAGCTCCACAGAGTAGTAACAATGAAGGTATTTTCTCAAAACATCAAGCCACACACTGGAGTGTTGAGAATATAATTGCCAAAAATATTTTGCATATATACTTCACTTAATCACAGAAAAAACCTTTGCTAAAGTACAAAATCACCCCCAAATAATTGTTTATTTATTCAGGATGACATAGGACATCATTATACCATATTAGGGTTATTGGCATACTCTCACTAATAATTCTTCTTGAAAAACAAAAGTATAACCTCACTGGCCTTGATTTACAAAGGTATCTCATCTTTACGAAATGAAGAGATAAGAATATATGATTCTCGGCAGCCATTTGGCGGTAACAATAACACTCAAGTGTGAGTTAGTGGACACACTATGGTGACTTTTATAGTTAACACTTAATGATCTTACACTGACATCCAGAATATACGAGTAACTTAAACAAATCAGCAAGAAAAAAAAATCCCATCAAAAGTGGACAAATGACATGGATAGACATTTCTTAAAAGAAGATTTACAAATGGCCAACAAACATATGACAAAATGCTCAATATCACTAATCATCAGGGAAATGCAAATTAAAACCACAATGAGATACCACCTTATTCCTGCAAAAAGGGACATTATTAAAAAGTCAAAAAACAATAGACGTGAAGGTGGATGTGGTGAAGAGGGAGCACTTGTGCACTGCATAAGAACTGAAAGTAGATCTACCATTCAATCCAGCAATCCCACTACTGGGTATCTACCCAAAGGAAAAGAAGCCATTATATCAAAAAGACACCTGCACACATGTGTTTATTGCAGCACAGTTTACAAGTGCAAAGATATGGAACCAACCTAGTGCCCATCAACCAATGAGTGAATAAAGAAAATGTGTTAAATATACACCATGGAAAACTACTCAGCTGTAAAACAGAATGAAATAATGTATTTTGCAGCAACTTGGATGGAGCTGGAGGCCATTATTCTAAGTGAAGTAACTCAGGAATGGAAAACCAAATACCACATATTGTCACTTATAAGTGGGAGCTAAGCTATGAGTATGCAAACACATACAAGTGACATAATGGACTTTGGGGACTCAGAAGGGAGGTGGTAAGTGATCAAAAAACTATACATTGGATACTATGTATACTACTTGGGTGATGGGTACACTAAAATCTCAGACTTCACCACTATACAATTCATCCATGTAACCAAAAACCACTTGTACCCCAAAAGCTATTGAAATTTAAAAAAAAATTTTTAAAGAAAAAAATACTTAATAATCCTACAGTATGTGCAGGCATGGTGTTAAACTTGAGAGAGAGAGACAAGAGAGAAGTATTTACCTTCTAAGGAATCAGCCATATATTTAGAGAGACAATGTCAATAAGGAATATCATACAACAATGTATAATATACATTAGTTCATGTTATACAGATTATGAGTCAAAAATTCTCCAGCTCTTTCCCAAGTAGGAGCCCCTTTTCATTTTCCTCAAGTCTTACAATTAGCTATAGGAAAAGGAGGAAGAAAGAGCTATGGCAATGTTTCTTTCAATCAAATATATAAGGCTTTGAGCACAACCAGATTTTGGAAAATCCTGCCATGGGAACTTATGCAACAGTACAATGGAGAATGGAAAAATTGTGAAAAGTGAGAGAGATTGGAGGAAGACTCACTGAAGTCTGGTTGTAACTAAAAGTTCCCATAACATGAGGCTTATCCACCTAGTTTCTTGCTAAGTCATATTCAAGGGGCCAGAAGGACCAGGAGAGAAGTGATGCTTTCAAAGGCCAAGCCAGGCCAGAAGAGGTTACCCAGCAGGCTTGACAGCTTGCTGAGAGAGATCTAGAAAATAGATCTATTTAGAGGGAGAGATCAAGGAAAGCAACCAAGAAATGCACAGAGAAATGAGACCAAGTGAAGCTCAGCTTCAAGGGATTGGGTCACAAGTAAGAAGCTGGTAAGACCAGAACAGGAGGTATTCAAGGCAAAGTCAGTTAGGCAATTAGTTCAAAACTGAGATTCAAACAATGGCAGGGTTTGAGAGGCCTATTCCAATCTAGTGCCCACTTTGCAGCTTCCATATGCATGTAACATTTCAAAGAATAGAGCAACATTGAAAAACCAGAAGTAGAAAGTCTGCAAAGAACAGTGGCAGAATGAAACATTTTAAAAATAAAATCAACAGCAAATGCAACCAGATTTATCTAATAGGACATTTTGCAATAAAAATCTTTTCACTATCCCAGCCAATTCTTTTCTAGCCACTTTTTTAGACTTCTTCATTGTTTTGGGCTGTTTTATGTCATTTTTATCAAAACTTATTTTCCTAACCTCCCTTCTATGAGAACTTGAATATATAGAAAACCATATGAATTATATTCCAACAATATAATCTAGGTAAAAGGACATCCAAATATAATGTCAAAAAATGGGCCAGATGGAGTCAGGGGTGACCTAGCACTGCTTTTGCCTCATGACATGGACCCTAGCCTTTGACCTCACCATTGCCTCACTGTTCTACCATTTTCATGTGCAATGACTTCATTTGATTTCTGTATTTTTGGTATATTCTCTGCAAATCATTCAACTAGGGACCAATTTCTGACTTCCACGTTATAGCCATCAGAGTATTTGATGTAACTTAAGTCATGTGGTTAACCCCATCCTACCTTCATTTTATACCTGAAAACAAGAGTCTTACATCAGGTTCTGTGTAACCCCATCCTACCTTCATTTTATACCTGAAAACCAGAGTCTTATGTAAGGTTCTGTGTAATGCCCAAGGACAGAACCTAGAGAACAGATCAGGAGGGTTCCAGTTTATCACACCCAACTTGGAGCTATACGTCTTTTAAAATGGATTTTATAGTATTTCTAGCACCGGCAGAAAAATCATCAAATATGTCAAAAATGATTGAATTTGACAGATTTAGTGCCACTAATTAAGGTTAATATTGAATATAACTTCATCATAAAGTAAAATCACCTTTGTTTCATTTGCTTAATGTCAAGGCTCTTCAATTTAACATATATTGAACATCTGCGATGTTTCAGGCCCTGCTAGGTACTGGGAACATAACTATGAATAAGATATTGTTCCCATCCTCAAGTCATTCCCAGTCTAGCAGAGGGAGATGGATCCATAAACCCATGACTAAACTATAATGTAAGACTATTGTTGCAGAAAAAGAGAAATATATATACATATAATTCTATAAGAACAAAAATAAGGAAGCAACTTTTAAATTCTACTGGTATCTAGATGGGAGAAGGAAAAGAAAACTACAGGGAAGGGAAAAATATCTGTCTTTTATTATTAAATTATTTTATCATCTGACCTATCAGATTTACTCATTTCTATCTATTTCATGGGTCTAAAATTCTTTATATATTATGCTATACATGACACTTTTTAATAAATTATCCTATTCCAAGATCACAAAAGCCTTCTGAGTTAAACAGTTGAGAGATTGTACCCATTTTATAGATGAAACCATGAAGAGGAGAGGGAGATGAACTGAAGTTTGGGAATCAAAGCAATCAAGTCCAAAATATTCCAAATTCTGACCCTTTTTTGAGTTTCCCTTGGAAAGAATGGTAAGGAGAACAACAAAACCCCACAAGTCTAGATTCTGTGAGCTGTGAAAACAGATTCTCCTCCTCTGCCATGATCAACCATCAAACCCATCCTCACCCAGCCAGACTTCTGTTAAATGCTCGCTGCCACCCCGAGTTGTAAATTATTTAAATAATTAACAAGCGCTATAGATGTAACGCTGTGAATGGCCTTGTGATCTGGGAAGACAGTTACACCTTTGGAGATCTTTAGCAAATAAACTGAAAACTCGGCTCTGTGAATTTTCTTTCTGCCATAATTAGCAGCAGATGGACGACTTTTATGGAGCCACCTGTCAGCAGGAAGACTCTCCTTACAGTTTCTAGTTTCTAGAAGGAGCAGGATTAAAATAGACCAGCGCCGTTTGCTTCAAGTACTCTTAAGGGTCCCAGATGTAATCGGATCTGCCGGAGACTGACAGGATTCAAGAGGCAGCCACTCCTCATGGCGCTGGCTCACCTGTGAGGCACGAGGCAAGAATAAGACAGAACATTATTTCTTAGCAAGTCTGGGCAGCCGATCATTTCCGAAAACTTGGAGAGCAAGCCGGGAGTCAGCCTGTGCTGTAACGTTCCATTTTACTAACCTTTTTATCCAATTTGAAAATACAAATAGAGCTCTCAGGGTGTAATTAGCGGCAATGACTCTTAATACCTGCTTTCCAAATTTGACCTTAATGGACATTCATTAAAATGGGCTCTGACTTGATAGCCACGTTAGCAGAAAATGGAAAAGTCCATCTATCACTGTCTGTTCCCATTTTCTGCATAATCATTCCTGGAAGAAAGAGGCCTGCAAGTGTGTATGGGGGTGGTGGAATTAGCTAAAGAGGAATTTCAGAAAACGATGGCAAGAGCTGGTGTTTGAGTTTCCCTAAACATCTCTGGTGCCTAGAGAGAGGTGTAGTGCAGAGTCCTGGCCAGCCATGAGAGATGTGGGTGCTCCATCTTGGCCTTGCTGTGTGAGCTGAGGGAAGTCTGTGCTTTTATCACATCTGTAAAACGCAGATAATCATACCACACCTACTGCAGAAGGTTTTCTGGGGATCAACTGGAATAATGTATATAAAAGTGCCTTGAAAAGCAAACTTTGCTATGTAATTGCAGAAGGTTTTTTTAAGAATGACAGTATCAATGGCAATGAGAAGAAGGCAATAAAACAATCATAGGTTTTGGTAAGTTCACTCAGGGGAAATGGAGATGCACTGATCCTATTTTTGCAGAATATATTTTAGATGGGCTCCTCGTATCGGCTGTAAGTGAATGGGGCATGTGTCCAAGACAGGGAGGGGCTGGGGAGGGTGGGGTGGGGGTAAGACTAAGTGGGCACCTGAACATGGAGCAGAGACTGAGTGAGGAAGGAGAGCACGAGACAAGGAGTCCCAGGACACCAGACCCTGCCGGGTCCTGACCATCACTTACTGTCATTTTCCCAGCCTATTTTAATCCTATGATTCTGTGACTTTCTGGTATCAATTAAAGTAAATAACCATTGTTTTACAGAAGGGGCAAAGGGCAGGAGGGAAATCAAGGGAGTTGAGGATAAGTTGGTTTCTGTTTTAAATAGGCACTAGAAGAAGCTATTTGAGGCAGATACTAATTATGAAGCTTCAAAGTAGATTCACTTCCCTGGCCCACAGACTTCCTAATTCCTTTGTCAATAAAGAGTTTAGGCCCACAAGAACAAAAGAGTTCCCCTTGGAGTTTGAAAGAGGCAAATGTTGAGTAAATTAAAGGAAAAACAACTCTACACAGTGGGTGGGCAAGTGAAGGAGCTAAAATACTGAAAAGGAGACACAGGATTGAAATTCACCTAAAAATCTCCAGGGTGAATTTTTCATCCAATTTAATTTGGATAATTGAAGAGCCATCTGCTCTAAGTCATGCTGCCTGAACCTTATCTGATGTGAGATTTGTTTGAAGCTTCTGACCCTCTCTGCAGCCTCTCCAAATTCAGTTTCAGCCTCCGTTCACCAAGCACTTGTTATGTATCAGGCCCTGTACTAGGTGTTTCCAAGAACCTTACTGACTTTAATCTTTTTAATGAAAATACCATAAGGAAAGTATTTATAGTTCCAGTTTTACACAGGAGGAAACTGGGGCTCAAACAAAGTACTTATCCAGAACCAAAAGTTGGGATTTAAACCTAGCTACCCCAAGTTGCAATCCAATTCTTTTTCCATTGCTGCATAGGTGATTGCAGCAAAACCTAGTTCTCCCTTCTAAATGGCCATTTTTGAAAGCCATTTCCTGATTTGCTGACATGCAATTGTTTTCGATTGTTGCTTGGTTATTTTACCTATTTCAATGTAACTTTCTATCATTTAAGTGCAATATTACTTTGTAAACATTTTGGTTATTCAGTGCCCTATGATCATTGTTGTATCCCCTGGGCTTAGGATTAAAGCGGATATTTGTAAATGTCTGATGAAAGACTGAATGATTAGGAGAAACTTAGTCTATGAGGTTGCTCAGATGTGAGGATCCCAGATGTGAGACTGAGAAGAACCAGGACTCAGGTATATTCTGGCAACTGGCCACCTGCAAGGCCCGCAGAGGGTATGCCACCATGTTGTTTTGGGCTTCGGCCCATCTGAGCCACGACAGAGAACAGAAACCATCACATTCACAGGGCACAGCTGAACTTACGAAAAGCCCCTGGTTTGCCTCATGTCAATGTTCACAAATGTGCCTTCCCAGCTCCTTGTGATGGGTGCTATGTCCTTAAGTGACATGCGTTTTTCTCCCTGATGTAAAAATAGCTGAACTTGACATACTGTGTTCATTTCAGTTTAATGACAACTTCAGTTTACAACAAAGTAGTGCCAACTCCAGGCTCAAACATCTTTGTTTGTGTAATGGCAGCATGTAAATGATGCCAAACACAGTCCAGAATCCTGTTCGTAAATTGATTACATTCATTCTTGTGGAAGGAAAGAAAGAAGTAGCATTTACTGAGCACCTATCATGGGTCAGGAATTTCACATGCATTTTCTCATTTAATTTGATGAGGAAGATGTTATTACCTCCATTTTAAAGATAAGAAAACTAAGACCCAGAAAGATTATCTCATTTGACCAAGGCCACTCGTTAGTGAGTGGCAGATGTGGGATTCAAGCCCAGATCAGCCATCACAGTGGAAGCTCCTTCCACACCCCAAGATGCCCCCCGTGGCTCAGATGCCAAAACAGAGCCCAGATGTATTGAGGAGCTATTAGTAAAGGCTGGACTGAGGAGGAAGAAGAGGAAATCGTTTCCCATAAGGTCATAGAGATACCATGTTCAGAACCAGGAGCTATGCCAAATGGTTTAGATTCTGTGCTAACAGCTATGTCACTTTGGAAAAGTGGCTTCGCTACCCCTGGCCTTAATTAAGTTACCCATGTGGGATGCAACAGGGATGGTGGTGTTCAGACTTTCTCTAACTCCCTCCTTCTGCCTACTCCTGGGAGAATATCCCCTTTTTCAAGTAGGTGAGCTTTGGTGTCCATTGTGCTTACTGCTAAATGATGTTTCCATAGAAAAATGTAAAGCTTTTTCATATCTAGCTGGCCCCTATACCATTTGCCGCTAATGGATCTGAAAGTGATGGCCCTGACCAAAGGTCCAGCTTCAGCTCCACCCTTGGAAAGAGAACAGAGTAACAACAGAAGGCAGAAGGGCTGAAGAAAAGGAGGCTCCTGGCCCAGGCTGTCCTGATGAATGGAGGGAAGGGAGGGTGGCAAAGGCTGAATGAAGCTGGGCAGATCTCTTCCATTTCCCTATCCATGGCACGGGGCTCCCAGGATGGTGCCAGCCTCCTGCAGGGGCTAGGGCAAGATGATAGTCATCTTAGGATAAGAAACCTGTGCTCTGTATGCTCTCATAGCACACTACTTCATTCTCTCTTTCCTTTTCTTCTGGTAAAAATCCAACTTACTGTCCCAAAGTAAAGGGAGGGGGAATTTGTCCATACATAGAAGGTGTCACCTCTGAATCTCTGAGTTTTCTTCTTCCCTGCATCTTAGAAGATCGTGGATGGAACTCTTTCATGATCTTCTCCAGACTTTGAAGTGACATTGCATTGTATCTGCCACCATGGTTTTGGCCAACTTAGATCTCTGCATTGGCAAATTTCCGCTATGCTTCCAAAAGGCAAAACAGAAAAGGTCTTGAAAAGCTGGTCGGCTTCTTTCCTCCAAATCACATCTGAAGGGAATGGAGATGAGGCGTTACCTTGTCACTGGCCTTCTGCCAAAAGAAGCTGACTAAGGGAGCAATCAGATGTCTCTCTGCAAAGGCTGCGCTCCAGTGGGCATACTCTCTTGCCCCCTGATGCCGAGGACTTCTCATTCAGGAATAGCCGCCTCTGAGGAGATACTTCCCCTGCACTTCTGGAACTTCAGGGGATCACTCTGCCCCGTGACTGGATCTCCCTTCCAGCGCACAAAGAATGCCCACCGCTGAGCTGCAAGAGCTGATTATTTCTTCATAAAACATGAGATTTGTGCAGAGGTTGGTGGAGAGGCAGAAGGGGGAGAAAGGGAACGTTTGTGAAAGGGAACATAAATAGTTAATTTGATGATGATTTAGAATGACTCTGGTTGCTGTTTGAGATAAAAAAGCTGCAGTGAGTTCAGAAAATACTAAAATAGGGCCTCATACAGGCATTTCATTTAGATTTAATAAGATTCATTATTAAGAGCATATTTCATGACGATTAAGAATTCTGACAGTCTCCTATCCCCCAACTTTAATGTGCACCACAAAAATTAAAATACTTATTTATACAACTAATGTGTTAATAAGTTCATTTTGAGAAATTCTCTGAACTTGTACAGGCCTTAACTTTTTACACAGGAAAGACAAAGACTCTGAGATGGTAGGATGTGAAAGCCAGAGGCAAACTTATGAGAAACTGCAATCAGAGTCCCCTGCCCGTAACTGAGTTATCAAAAAAAAAAAAAAAAAAAAAAGAGTCAAGTCCCCCGTCTCCCTCCATCTCTTGATGGACACACACATGCACATAGACTTGTGCCTGTCAGCTGCCACCTCACTTCCTCTCTACTTTCTCAGGGCTGGGGGCACTGAGGCCCATCCCCCTAGCCCATTCCCTTGCCTCCAATCTGCTCCTGAGCTGATCTTAATTGGAAGCAGGAAGAACCAAAATAGCCCACACCCTGCTTTAGGAAGTTCCTAGTAGAGAGACAGTCTCCTCGCACCCAATCATCAAGCTGCTTCCTTTGCAAGAATGCCTGCCTTACTTTCACCATTATTCCATGAACAAGGAGCAAGCTCTGGGGTGTGAAAGCCCCTACACACAGCCCCTGCCATCTCCAGGGCTAGCCCATAGCTGAGTCTGCAGGACCAGCCTCCTGCCTCTGTCCCCGCCAACTGGTCTGGCTGGTTTCCTTGACTAGTCCCCAGCTTGAGGCTCCATTGTGAACTCCAGTGTGCTTGATGGAGGCCCTAGTTTTTTATTTCTCTCCTCCCAGGGACTGACTCAGCATCCCCTTGTACTCCTAGGCACTGGCTGGCCCCTGCCAGATATGGGCAGATCTCCACCCATTTGCTCAGTCAAGGACTAAACAAAGAAACACTAAACTCATGTAATCCAGATTTTGAATACTAGCCCTGCCCCCCAGTGGCTGTGGGATTTAGGTAAGTTCTCGAACGTTTCCAAGTCTCAAATTTTCCCTAAAAAATAACGCCTACCTCATAGGCTGTTGTGAGCATTAAATAAATTGATCTCAGTAAAAATGTTTAGCACAGAAGCTCCTGATACACAGTAAACACCTGGTCAATGGTACCTTTTAATATTACTAATGATAGCATTTATCAATGATTAATCTAATATTTGGCCTCCCTTGCTTAGTGTTCATTGCTCTATCCTTTGCTGAGCTGTCTTTTGGATTTGAAACCATTTCTTCAGCCACCATCTCACTGCAACATGGCTTCCTGCCAGCCTTCACCATTGTGATGTTACCAAGGTCCCAACCTGGTTTGCATCCTGGGACCACCTGAGTTACTATCACAAAAGGGTTCCTTCTTCTTTGCTATTCCTGTCATCAATCTGCAAACCATGGGCCTCAGCACCGGCTCAAATGTCTTGACTTCTCCCATAGGACCTCACAGAGTAGAAACGTAATGCAGTTTGGCTGTTGAAATGTATTTAGGCTTTCCTGCCACAGCCCTGGGCCCTGGTGCGCCAACTGCTGCAGCTCTCCCCAGTAAATGTTCCCTTCCTTCCCCAAGTTCATGTCCTGCTCCTTCTCTGCATGCTGTAGTTATTTCCCATGTTTCTTTTGGTTTCATCTATGCCTGTGCACATCCAGTGATCTTCCTAGCCCTGGCTGAGCCCAGCTGGTGGCATCCAGGACTGTAGTGGGTTAAATGGTGGTCCCCAAAAGATATGTCCATAACCTATTTGCCAGAACCTACAAATGTGACCTTCTCTGGAAAAAGAGTCTTTGCTGGACTCTTTGTTTAGGATCTTGAGATGAGATCCTCCTAGACTTAGGCTCTAAATCCAATGACAGGTATCCTTATAAAAGAAAGGCAGAGGGAGATTTGCCACTCAGATATACAGTGAGAAGGCCACATGAAGACAGAGGCAGAGACTGGAGACATGCATCCCCAAGCCAAGCAACTCCTGGAGCTACCAGAAGCTGGAAGAGGCAAATAAGGATTCACCCTTAGAGCCTTTGGAGGAAGCCCTGCCAACATCTTGGTTTTGCACTTCTGAACTCCACAATTGTGAGAGAATAAATTCCTATTGTTTTAAGCCACCCAGTAGATGGTCATTTGTTGCGGCAGCCACAGGAAACTAATATAAGAGCTAAAGACATGTGGGTCGTTAGTCAGCAGCTGTGGTTACATGAAGCTATGAAATGCCCAGTCTTCCAGCTCACCAAAGGCCGATGAAGGAGAGCTCAAGTAACTCACATGAGCTAGATGAGAGGGCAGGGAATGCCGCTACCAACCTGGACTCTGAGGAGTAGAGTATGACAATGGCACATATGTGCACCTTGTAAAGAAGGCTCCTATGGGGAAAACATGAAGGTTGACTTAGAAATATTTAGATAAATGGTGTCCATTTACTCTCTTGCCCTAATCCCCACAGATATTAGGGCAGGCTGGCTGTGGAGACAGCAGCCAAGCTCAAGTATAGAGCTCTGTACACCAGGGTTTTTCTCTCTAGTGGCATCACAAGTTTGGGGAAGTGAGTTTACATCTCTGAAATTCAGTTTCTTCATTGTAAAATGGGACAATTAATACTTCGCTTGTGAGTTAAAGGTTAGAAATAGCAAAGGACCTCGCTCTGTAGAGATACCTATGTTTTTCACCAACATGCAGTATAAGGGATATTTTTATATTATTAATATTTTCAGGTATAACAAGACCTACCGTTTCTTGTACTTCATTTTTTTCTTGCTCCTTCCAAAGAAAAGCTAGAGAGGCTGGTAATTGAAAAAGTGATAAAGTATTAATTCTACATTAAGCATTTAAGAAGGAGGCCTCTGTGGACTTCACACATGGCCATTATCAAGAGCCATAGAATCATGAAATGTTAGTGCCAGAGAGTCTTTAATAACCACCTAATTCCAGTCCTTCATTGTGCAGATGGGGGAAACGGAGGCGCTGGGGGAAGGAACTTGCCCCAGTCATTCAGCGCATCTCTTAGTAACTAAGCTGGTGTCAGCAATTGTGCCTCCTGATCCCTGGCCCTATGCTCATTTTATTTCATCAGACTGCGACGGTGCAGCAAGTACTGTGCATGGCTCTGTCTCCTGAGGACCGAGACAGACTCTGTCTGGCATGGTTAAGGCCAGGTTAATATAAAAATTCAGCTTTGTGAGCCAAGGTCCAAAAATCCATTTTAAGACTTTCCTCTTGAAAAGGAAAGATTAACATTTCTTTTGAAAAATACCTACCCTACATTCATCAGAGGCAAAACAATTTGTTGTTCCCTTGTAATTTATATCAAAGACTATTGTGGGAGAATTAGCTGGGTTTCATCTTTTTAAATGTCAGCACATATGACCCATATCTGTGTAGGCATGTGAGTATAAGGTTATAACAACATTTGAAAGGATCTTAAAAAAGTGTTTTGCCACAGTTAAAGTGTGATCAAAACACATCAGTTCAGGAGTCACAATATTTATCATTTTAATATTAATAATGTCATTTTGCATAAAGAACCATACAAGAAATAATTCTATTAGGACTATAAAGATTTCCATGCTGGGAAAAAGGGTAAAATATTCAGAATGTGCCAGAGAGAGAGAGAGAAAGAAAGAGAACCAGCAGTGCCACTAACACAGAATCCAATTTCTTTTCTTTGCAGATATTTAAAGCAACCATGCATTCCCAAAGATAGGGACAGAAATCGACAAGGAAAAGGAGCAATTTATTTATGAGTCATCTATCCTGCAAGTCAGTAAATGAAACCTATCCAAAAAGAAACTGTGTTTTATGGCTTATGGCCATGTAAATTAAGCTTACTCGAACTCTTACAGGATGCTTAGAACAAAACCTTCTGAATTAGGAGTTGGTCAAGGGGAACACAGGGATGGCATTTCCCACAGCCTGAGACGACATACGTAAACAGTATCTTTATATGCAGGACAAAACGGATCTAAAAGGAAACACTAGACCCAGGAGCTGTGTTAGTGAGAAACAGAAGCATCATCTCAGTGGGAGCAGGGAGAGCTCTTTCAAAGAGCTTCTCTGGGTGGGTTGTTGAGAGCCAGGCTGTGTGGCAATGGAGCTTTGCTCACAGGTTTTAGAGACAGAATGCCCAAGTTTGAATCACAGATTTAGCATGTGCTGGCTATGTGAGCATGGCTAAATTATTTCAGCTCCCAGCCTCAGTTTCCTCTTCTAGACAGTGGGAATTATTCAAGCACCTACCTTAGAGGGTGGTTATGACAGTTAAATGAGATAAAAATCTGTGCAGAGTTTAGCACCATGCTCAATAAACATTAGTTAGTATTATTATGATTATTTGGGTTTCACTCCGTTATTCCCCAGAGGCAATACGGTGAGTAGGTCAGACAACCTGGACCTGAGAGCTGGCACCATCATTTAAGCAATGAAATTCTCTGTTTCTGGTTCTTCATCTGTAAAAGTGGAATAATGCAACAACATGGATGTGGAGACAGTCAACCCTAAATCCAAATTTCAGACCTGCCATTTATGAATTGCCTGCCTCCACCTCAGCCATAAAATGGGTTCAGTAAAGCTTGCTTTGCAGGACTGTCATAGGAGTGAGTAAAATGCCGTATGTGGGATGCCCTGTACAAATCAGATACTTAATAAAATCTACTTCCCATTTTCACGTTTTCCCTTCCTTCAGGCACTTCAAGGAGAGAACATCTTCCTCAATTCTCAAACCATACACATTTTTTAAAAAATTACTGTCACATATACAGAGAATATCTCAAGAATCTCAAAACAATACTGATTTCCTCTTACATCTTCACCTTCAGAGCGTGTCCTAGGAAGAAACACTCAGCATGTATTTTTGCTTTATTTCCATGGCTTAAGTGTTCCAAGCTACAATGTATATTTAACAAACTGGTCCTCCCGTTCCCTTTGCAGAATGGCTACTTTCTTCTGCAGAGGTTCAACCATTTGGTACCATTCAAGCACATTCTCCATGCCATAAAAATGCTATCCTAGGAAGATGTTTAAGATTTTTCCATGAAGTGGGAACTTGAAAATTTAGAATTGTTTCAGTTACCTACTGGGTTTTAGAGACCAAGAAATCTCAAACTTGAGAATTCAATGCAGCTATCACTTTTCCAAATGCATAATAAATTTAGCTTTCATTTGCTTGCTTGGGAGACTCCCCCAGTAGTGCAGCCTCATCCATGATCAATGGCAGAGCAGGAGGAGAACGTCTAGATCCCACTGCTTTGTGGGATTAAGATGTTGCAATTCTTCTGTTTCATAGGAATCAACGCAACCAACCCCAACGTACAATGATGACCAAAGACACTCCCACGCCAAAAGGGGAACCAAGCAATAGTTTCTTTCTCAGTAATACAAGTTATGCAGCAATCCTTGTTTAAAATCCCCGGCTGTACAACTGGATATGGATGCCAGAAGCTAGAAATGGCTGGGCCACTTCTGGTGGAAATCTCAGGACTCAAGTTGCAGATAAGATCATGCTATACCCTTTCCCCAAAACTCTGACTTTCCACTTGATAAAACCTAGACCCTCCAGTGTGGTGGTTCAGCTCTTCATGGTTTGGCTTCCCTTAGCTTTTCCAGTCATTCCTTCAAAGACATGAAGCTTCTGTCATACCCGCAGCTTACCACTCCCCAGGCACCGTGCATGCCTTCGTTCTTCTGTGTTTTCCATCTTCGGCGGTTCCCATGAAGGTCCTTCTTATTCTTTAACAATTGAGCTCCTACATATCTTGCAAAAGTCAGCTCCAAAGCATCTACCACATGAAAACTTCCTTGATCTCCCCAGTTGAAATGGTTTGCTCATATATCATATCATGTTCCCGCTTAAAACATCCCAAAGGGGCTGTGCATAATGGCTCACACCTGTAATCCCAGCACTGTAGGATGCTGAGGTTGGAGGGCTGCTTGAGCCCAGGAGTCCAAGACCAGCCTGGGCAACATAGCAAGACCCTGTCTCTATAAAAAAAAATATAAAAATTAGCAGAGCATGATGGTACACACTTCTAGTCCCAGCTACTTGGAAGCTTGAGGCTGGGGGGAATTGCGTGGGCCCAGGAGTTCAAGGTTACAGTGAGCTATGATCTTGCCACAGCACTCCATACTGGGTGATAGAGTAAGACTCCACCTTAAAAGAAATCCTGAGGGCTTGCCATTGAATAGCAACATATAGACCAAAACCCAAACTGACCCCTTGACAGTCTGGCTGCAGCCTTGTTCTAGGCAGTGCTCCTCACTCTCTGGATTCCGGCCTCCATGGCTTTTCTTTCATTTTCTAACAGGAACGAGGTTACCCCTTAACACTGGGCCTCCCTACGCGCTGTGCCTTCTGCCTGGAGTTCCCTTATTGTCCTTGCCCTCTTCATCCTATTAATTCACATTTTTCCTTCCTTAAGATCTCAGTTCAGGCATCATTTCCTCAGGGAAGCTTCCAAGATCTCTGTGACAAGACCCAACGTCCCTTGTCATAGTCTCTATATTTGCTATAGCGCCATGTCTCCCCACCTTATGGCCCACATCTCGGTCATAATTTTATATGGTTTGACTTAATTTGTGTCTTTCTCCACCCTAGGAAGGAACTCTGTGTGTTTGCTCAGCCATGGATCCTGGGACCTAGTGCAGTGCCTGACGTGGGATGGGCACGCCATCAATATTTGTTAGATGAGTAAATGATGACACCGAGAACACAGGGCAGGCTCACCCTTCTACAGTGTTAGTGTCACTAGACAGCTCTGACAAGATAGGGACCACAATTCCATATCATTGCCCTTTTACTACTTATAATGAGTTGCTCATTTGTCTGAGTCCTCTGAAAGGCAAGAGCTGCTTATCATCATTTTTTTTTCCTTCTTTTTTTTTTTTTTTTTTTTTTTGAGATGGAGTCTCGCTCTGTCACCAGGCTGGAGTGCAGTGGCACAATCTCGGCTGACTGCAACCTCCGACTCCCGGGTTCAAGCGATTCTCCTGCCTCAGCCTCCCAAGTAGCTGGAACTACAGGCACGTGCCACCACGCCCAGCTAATTTTTGTATTTTTAGTACAGACGGGGTTTTACCGTGTTGGTCAGGATGGTCTCAGTCTCTTGACCTCGTGATCCACCCACCTAAGCCTCCCAAAGTGCTGGGATTACAGGCATGAGCCACCGGGACCAGACTTGTCATCATTTTTTATCTTCTATCACCTCCCTACACCTAGGTCCTAGCACAGTGCCTGGCACCAACAGGTGTCAACTGACTGCTGAAATGCAAGTAGCCTGGGTTGCCTGGCATGCACATTGCTTGCTCCATTTGTGTAACTGTGAAAGTCATGTCAGCCATCCATAGATAAAGCAGGATTTACAGCAGCAGCCACAGTGGGTTTCAAGGACTTTGCAGGCCACAGAGGGAACGAGGCATCACAGAGAAGCTGCAGCTCCCAAGAGCAAGAGGACCAAGCAAAATCAAAGTCTTGCTGATGAAGCAGCATAGCCACGGTGCCTCAGACAGGCTGCAGAACCCCAGGGGGTCCAAGGGAGTGCCAGAGCCCCCATTCAATGAGCAGTTGTAGAGTGAATTCTGCTGGCCAGGGAGTTTTTTTCTGGATGTGATTCATGCAGTTCACAGAGACCAAAACCTACTTTGTGGCTTAGAGCAACCTTCCCCTCCTTCAAAAAATGCACCTATGCATACGCACAAAAAAAATATGCTTTTAATTTCAGGCAATTTCTGGACATGTAAGGCATATGCATTGGCCCCATAGCCCCACCTTAGTGAGTTATGCAGTCCAGGTTAAGAATGCCCAATTTAATGTATAAAGAAAAAAAAAACCCCTGAATATATTAAAAGATATTTAGACTTTGCAGGGCTAATTCTTTTTTTTTCTTTTTCTTTTCTTTTTTTCTTTTTTTGAGATGGAATTTTGCTCTTTTTGCCCAGGCCAGAGGGCAACGGTGCGATCTCAGCTCACTACCACTTCTGCCTCCCGGGTTCAAGTGATTCTCCTACTTCAGCCTCCCAAGTAGCTGGGATTACAAGCATGTGCCACCATGCCCGGCTAATTTTTTTGTATTTTTAGTAGAGATGGGGTTTCACCATGTTGGTCAGCTGGTCTTGAACTTCAGACCTCAGGTGATCCACCCACCTCGGCCTCCCAAAGTGCTGGGCTTATAGGCGTGAGCCACCACACCCGGCCTCTTTTTTTTTCTTTTAACATTGGACAGAATTTATCCAGATGTTAGACTCAAAGCATTTTTAGCTACAGAAGAGAAAGGCAGTGACAGTCAGATATGTTTTTCCTGCCTGTATTACAAGGAATAATGTAGTATTAATTTCATTGAGTCCAAATCAGAAAAATAGAAGAAAATTTTGAAAGTGTTAGTTTAGGAATTTGTATCCCAGAAAGAATTCAGGATTTAGTCCAAATTGCAGAAAATAATAAAAACTCAGAAACAACAGCCTAGAATCTAACAACAGTTGAGAGTCAGAGTCTCTGACAATACTTGCAGTTTTTTAGAATGTCTGTCCCTGCTATGTTCGCCTGTTAAAAGGGGCCTAGGTGGCAAATAATTATTGTTGCTGCATGTTATACAAATAACCAGGCCAGCATAATAAGACTAAAACTTATTTTGTAAATAAATGTGTCCCACCATGATGTGTCTTTAGTAAACACAGGGACTAGAGAAATATTATGATTCAAGAAAATAAACAAAAAAGCTGTTCTCTCTTAGGCTCACCCAGGTTGCAAAAAAAATAATGGTTTAACAGAGACCTGTATGTCCTGAGCCAAAAGTGGGACATATTGCCTGACTAGGGATTTATGCTTCTTTTTTGTTTTCTGGGTGCCATGAGCGTGATGTTTCTGTGCCAAAATACTAGGATTTTTACCACTCTGATAGTTTTTGTGAGGACAAAGAGAGAGAATAGTTGAAATTAGGGCTGCCCCAGAAAACCTGGGCCACATGATTATCTTCATTAAACTAAATCACTTCAAATCAGGTGGGTATACACCTGGATTGCTCAATGAACTAGTTGATTAAATCTCAAAGACTGTCAAATTGTGAATAGGGGCGTGGAGGCGGGGTGGAGGGACCACAGAGAGGAATTTCTGGACTGAGTCAGGGAGGGGTGAGCAAAGCTGTGCAGGGAGGGAGCCATACTCAGGGACCCAGGGTCATGCTTGAGGGTGGGTAGTCAAGGCAGAAGCAGCAGCCAGAACCCGAGGGAGCAGGGAAGGATCAAGAAACACAGAGGACCCGAGACGGAGACATCCAGGCCCAGTAACACCTACTTGCTGGAAATCAGGGTAGCGGGAGGTCTGCAGTCAGCCCAAGTGTCCACAGCTGTCAGGAAGCACAAGCTGTGAGGAGATCCTGGAGGCAAGGCCACACCCATCTCCAACGCCACTGCCTAGGAAGTGGTCAGCCTGGGCTCAAACACAGCAACTGGGAGCCATCTGGCAGGAGCTTAGGTGGGAAGGAAATGGCCCGGCAGACAAGTCCACCTCCTGCGTGGAAAGAGGGGTATGCTTGAGGCTGGAAGGAAACTTCTGGAACACTTAGGAGACTTCCAACAATCTTTCGCTTACAAAACGAAGCAGCATGAAATCATGAAATGAGGTTGGCTTTGAAGCCTGGCTTTGTCACTTACTAGCTGTGTGATCCTGGAAAAGTCACTTACATCAGGGCAACTGCAGAACTGCCACTTGCCAGACCTGGTTTATGTCTGTTGATTTTTTGAGAAAGAATTTTATTCTTAAGAGTTTTTGAGTATAATTATTTTGTACATTCAAAAATATAATAAAACCAATTTTTTTCAGATGATAAATACTGTATAAGTATTTTTAGCACTCCTTTTTACTGTTCAAAGTGTCCCAAGTTGGGTGACTTATCTCTAAGCTTTGGTTTACCTATCTGAAAATAAGAAAATCAATTCTTTTGAGAGTTTTTTATGGATCATACAGAACCCAGAAGAATACTTACAATTCTCTTTTTCATGATAATTTCCTCCTCTGGCTTTCTTAGAAAACTGTATGGGGGATGGTTGAGAAGATGGGGATCTCAGCAGGAAAGAGGGGTGAGGGAAGCTGGTGTGAAGCCCCTCCAGAGGCCTTGTGTTCCCCTGAGGCCCACTGGCAGTTCTCACAGCTGCAGCTTCTACTAGAGTTTAAGGAGATGGAAAAGCTCCCGGGGACGGAGATGGAAAAGCAGCCAGCGCTTCCAACAAGTTCACCTAATCCTGAGGCTGGGTTCACTTAATCCAACACCAGGTCTCTGACATTTCTTTGGTTCCTGTTCTTCCATGTGCCCCACCCCGCAGCAGCCTCATTTCAGCTGAGTTCCTGAACTTTGACCCCCACCTGACTCCCAAGACAAGACGGTGCTACGCCTCATTCTGCAGATTGATGCAACTCACTTTTCAAAGCAACTACAGGCATGGCACTTGCTAGTCCTGGAGTTACCAAGAGAAAAAGACCTGGGCCCTGTCTGCCAGCAGGGACCTACCTTCTCTAGGGATCTCGGTGGCTGTCTTTAGCCCACAACCCAGCCTCTGCAGCACCATCCCACACTGGCTGGTGTTAGAGCAGAGGGAAATCAACATGCAGATGTCACTTGTGTCCTGGGGACTCCTCAACGTGTGCTACCCATCAGGTCAAGCACTTCAGGGTCAGGGAGGTGACAACATGGTGGCCCTGGATTTGTGACAGGACCCCAGACTGTGGCTGAGGGCCCAAAGCACAGCCTCAGTGGGCAGGAGAGTTTTATTTAAATCATTTCTTCACAGTACTGCAGGAACAATTCAATTTAAAATCGTTCAGCATCCCAGATGACTAGGAGAAGAAAAAACCCATTAGCTGCTCTTTGAAATTAGCAGTAAATGTCCCACAATGTGTGTGTGTGTGTGTGTGTGTGTGTGTGTGTGTGTGTGTGTGTGTGATGTGTGTTTGGTAGATGAAAACAAAACAATCTTTCTGCAAACTGAGCAGATTATCAGAAAATTTCTCATAAACTATTCTGAAAATACTGCTCTTGGAAGCCTCACAAAGTGATTATTTAGGTAATAGGACAGGGGTCTGGACTGGTCCCCTGTAGAGCTGGAATTTCCTTTCACAATCAGGCCTGTCCTATCCAGAGGGTTATTTTCGAGGCAGT
Organism: Homo sapiens; assembly: GCF_000001405.40. NCBI lineage: Eukaryota > Metazoa > Chordata > Mammalia > Primates > Hominidae > Homo > Homo sapiens. The sequence goes on from NC_000015.10 coordinate 61,655,050, forward strand.
GAGGAAATACTTCTGAGAGGACGGCCTGTCCCAGCTTTCACTCAGATCAAGCAGACCTCTGGAGAGAAAGCTCCAGGCTCGGGTCGGCCTGGACGGCAGGCTTCTTCCCACGTTCACACTGGGTTCTCAGCCTGTGGACTGGCCTGCCGACAGCTCATGGCTGAAGTCAGAGCAGAGCGAGTGCTCCAGGCTGAGGACACCTGTGAAGGTCACAAAGACAACAGTGTGGCGTGTCCAAGGAGCGTGCGAGGCCTCCTTCACTCGAACTTGAGCTACTCTTGCTTTGAAATCTTCACTTCAGTCTCTACTTTCTCTAGTCCCTGCCTCTCCGGATGTACTTCTGTTCCACTAAATGTGTGTGTTAGCCCGAGCAGGCCAGAGAGTATTTTAGATGACTCCCCTCCACTGGCTGGTGGGATCTGGAATTATTCTGCTGTCTGGACTCCGTTTTCTTATGTCAACTTCCCCTACTCTGGATTGGCCCAGTGTACACAGCAGCTGAGCTGTTCCTTCCATGAGCCCTAGCCCATTTCCCTAGGACCCTGGCATTAGGCCTTGTCTTGGGCAGCCCTCTCCTGCAGAGGACTAAACCCCGAGTCCTGTTTCTGTAGCAACAGCGTAGGGTCCTGATCACCCAGAAAAGGCCACCCAGCACATGGCATCAAATGTCACTACCACCAGGAAATTCCTATGGGCATACACTGCCCTCAGATCAGACCCTCTGATACCTGTGCAGTCTGAATCAAGCCCAAGTATGCCATGTACCTTTGGACACCATGATTTGAACTCCAGCACCCCCTCAAAGCCAGCCTACATCTGGGGCGGTCCCCCTGGCTTTGGTCCATACTTCCTGGCCTGGTCCATCAGGTCCCCACAACCTGGTCCATGATCATCTCTCCTGCTTCATTGCTTACTGCTCCCCACATCCTCCATACCCCAGAAACACAGAACAACTACAGTTTTCCAAGCATGCCACACTGTTTTCTTCTTGTCTTTCTTCCCACCCTCCCCCTGCAAGTTGAAAATGGCACAAGGGTGAGGCCAATGACGTCTGTGTTCTGGAAATCTATCCTCTAAGCTGCCAAAAGAAATACATGGAAGAAGAGCTCTCACTTCAAGGCTCCTAAATTTTCATGAGTGCTATTTTATTGCACAAAACACTGCATTATGCCACGATAGAGATTGCCACAGACCTGGGTTGCATTACAGACCTAAGAAAACCAACACCCCGAAGTCAAAGAGCTATTGATTTTTATCAATGCTTCCAATCCTCTTTGAAGTTAGATTTCTTGACATTCCTGGGGTCCCTAAGAAGTAGGTTTTTGGTTTACGTCTAAGCGTTTGGCGTAGTCCTCCCATGAGCCTTTCTGCCAAGTGGCTTGAGCACAACACAGCCCCTGAGAGATCTCCAGCAATTCCTTCTGTAGAAACAATGTCACAGCTTCCTCCTTATCACCCTGCCTATTGAACTGCCCCGGTTGGCTTATTCACCAGATCCATTCATGGCCCTGACAGCCCCAAGAATTTCTCCACAATAACACACTTCGCAGTCCCCAGCCTCTCCTCTGTTCATCCGCCCACTGCCGTGCCGAAGGCATCAGCGGGTAACTTCAGACTTTATGCTCAAGAGAAGAAAAGCGCCAAGTTCAAGCGAGCATTATGATTGTTGCTGCTTCTACAGGAAAATGGTTCCCACGTGAGGGTCAGTTCATATTCAGCGTCTCAGTGGTATGTCTTCCTTCTATCAAAAGGCTGCTCCTCTGATCCCATGAAGAAAAGAACTGGAGAAGATGGAGTTGGATGTAAATGGAGAGAAAATTAATGAAGTCGTTTCTCTGAGGAGTACAAACCTTACTTCTTATTATTTCCCATCTACCACCCTATCCATTGACTTACACCCTGCATAAACTGCTGAGCCTTGTGTGAGCCACTTAAGCTTTCTCTTCCTGGGCTTCTTATCTATCAGATGAAGGTATGAATATTTGCTCCAACTACTTAACGAGGGCAGATGTCACAAGACAATATCATTGGAACTGCGCTTGAAGACATTCATAAGCCGTTAGAAACAATGCTTCGCCAAAGCATCTTCACTATAAGCCTATGGATGCAATGTCATATTAATCATGTTTCTGTTCAAATGGAAATAATTCCATTTCAGTATAGCACACATTTATTGGACTGATCACTGGGGATGGAGACATGAGAAATTCGCGAAGTCTCTGCCTTTCCTGTGTTCTCTGTCTACTTACAAATAATTGCCATAGAGAGCTATGAGTGGCAGGGGAGCAGGCAGGAGAGTATGGTTAATCCTGCCAGGGAATTCAGGGCAGAATTTACAGAGAAGGTGAGCTCTGAGCTGTCTCTTGAAGGTGGAAAAGATGAAAATTTTATTTAGGTTAAAATATTCACTAAGGAATTAAAGGCCACTGAAGGAATGTTTAAGATGGAAGGGAGCTGTGGGGTCATGGAAGAACTAGAAAATTGAGGTCAAGGTTTAAAACCACCAGTCTGTCATTACAACAATGATAGCTGAATGCCAAGAAAATGGTTTCTTGAATTATCAGCTGAGGCAGCCAGCAGCCACCCTTTCCACCCGCTGCAGGGTGCTGTACTCACCTCGCCGTGACTGAGAGTAATACTGAATGTTTATACAGCACCGAGCACCCTTCAAAGGGCAGGCATTTGTATCATTTGCTCCTTAAGAGGCCATGCCCTCCATCAATATCAAAAGTATTTGCAAAGGACATATATTTATCCCAGAACCAATCATCCCATTTGTGAAACAAATCCAAGTTTATTAGGACTGATGTTGCAAACAATTTTCTAATTATGTAAATGAATAAAATCTGTTTAATTAATCTCTAGGCTTTACTTGCATTATAAGAATAAAATCTGTCTTTATCTTATTATGGGCTTGCTATTTTCAACAACTACCAAGAAGGGAACATTGAAAATTGTTAGATATGGCAGAACTAATTCATCTAACAAGGTCAATGTCCAGTGGCAATTCTAGAAATTCCATGGAATGTAACAAAACTCCCAACTCATGATATAAAATAGACTTATACGGAGGGGGAGTCCATTTCAATTCAACTAACTGTAGTCAGTATGCCCTGCTTTAGCATAAGCCTCCTGCCTGCCTGCACAACACTCTAGTTCTTTATTTTATGTGTGTGTGTGTGTGTGTGTGTGTGTGTGTGTGGTGTTGTGTGTGGAGAGAGAGAGAACCAAATACTTCCCATGTTGTATATACACCTTGCTATTTAATATTCCTTTGCTGTTCATTCCTTCTTGTACCTCAGTCCTGTAATCATTTTTTTCTTTTAAGAGTACATTTTTAGCAATTCCTTGAATGACGGTCTGTTGGTAGTAAAAATCTGTATTTTTTAGTTTTGCTTTGTTTGCCTAATGTTTAAATTATTATTATTTTGCCCTCATTCACTCAGTTAATCATTTTAGGTTGAGAGTTACTTTCTTTCAAAGGCATTGGTGATATCATCATACTCTACCAGCTTGCAACATTACTGTTGAGAAGACTTCCTTGGTCTGACCATCCTATGTAGGCAATCTCTATTTTCACCTGGGCAGTTTCTAGGTTCCTTGGCCTGTAGTTTTGCTGTGATGCATTTTGGTGTAGATTTCTTTTATTTATCCTGCATGGAGTTTATTAGATATCCTGAATCAAAGGATCTGAGTCTTTCTTAGAAGTTGTTTATTCTCTATATCTTTTAGAGTTCTGCTTAGACCTCACCCTTGCCTCATTTGTCTTTTAACGTCTCTGTCATTTTCATGTCTTTTCCATTCTGTGCTGAATTTTGTGTATTTCTCTCAGTTTCAGTTCACTAATTTTCTCTTTGGCTGTGTCTATTCTGGTCTTGGGGGTCAAAGGAACTGGAAGATAGGGCCATTTAAGTTTTTATGCTTTTGTATTGAGATACAACTCACATAATGTACAAGTACAAATCTTTAAAGGGACAGCCTGATGACACTACAGGTGTACACACTCATGTAGCCACCATCTGTATCAAGATGTAGAACATCTCCAGCACCCCAGAGGCCCTCCCTCTAGCCACTTCTCAAACAGCACCCTACCACATGAGGTCACCTCTATTCTGACCACAATCAACCTAGATTAGCTTTGCTTGTTTTTGAACTTTCTATACATGGACTCATATAGTACATATGCTCTGTATCTGGCTTGTTTGGCTTCATATTTTGACTATGATGTTTATCCATGGTGTTGCATTAGCAATATTTTTCTCTTTTCATTGTGTTGTAACGTTCCATTATATGAATATATCACAATTTACTCCTTCTGCTATTGATGAATTTTTGCTTTTTTTTAGTTTAGGGCTATTATTTCACTGAATTTTTTATTTCAATTACTTTTTTATTTCTAGACATTCTATTTAGTACTTCTTCAGGTATGACAGGTCATTTTTGATAGCCTTTCACTCCTTATTCATATTTTTGCTTTCCTATTTTATTTCTTTAAATGTATTAAACATGTTAAACACTCAAGGTAATTATTTGCTGTTACTGGCTGTCTCTGTTGACTCTCACTCATGATGCTTTATTTTCTTGTATGTTTTGCCATTTCTGAGCTCATGCTCACTGGAACTCAGCCTATGAAAATTCTTTATGAATGAATCGAATCTGAGTTCCTTTAGAAATTTGTGTTCACTCCTGCTGAGTCTGCTTTAAATTTGAATTCTTCGCTTGTGGTTATTTAGACCATGCAAACACTGTGAATTCAGGCCTTGAACCTATGTTAAAGCTGGTATATTGCCACATTCTCCACCCTTCAATAGCCAGTTTAAATCAGTCAAGGTTCTTTGCCATCTGACTCTTTGGCATATACATTTTTTTCCAGTTCACTCTTTCCCTGAGAATGTTGTCCTTCATCGGTCCCAGCTTTACCACAGGATTACACCACTGGCTTCTCTCCCGAGTGAGGTCTTTTTATCTGCCTCCCTTACACATAGGCACAGCTACTGAAGCCAGAGCTCTTGATTAACCTGGAATTTATTGGTACTCAGCAACTTTGACCATCACTTACCTCTCCGGACTCCTACTCCCCTTACATTCTCAACCATGGGGAGTTTCTCTTGCTTTCTGGTATGCTTAACTTTTATTTTAAAATTATCATATATCAACATTTTGTTAAGTATATTTAGATAGTCTAGCTGTTTTGTCAAGCATATTTAGGTAGTTAAAAAACTAGTTCACTGTCTCTCCAGACCTAGTAGTCCGCTCAAGCTTTCTAATCTTCAGTTTTCACCAAGTCAAACAGAATGTCCTTTAATGTTTATCTTTCAAAATACCCCTTAAACATCTCCTCTCTGTTCTCCTGCCTCCCCACTCTACAATGTATTCCTCTCTTCTGGGTACTTCTTGGTATCTTTATCAAAGTTGTTATTTCATCCCACAGGCCTGCCTCTGTCACTGAATTCTACCAGATTTGAAGCTTCCACAGGTCAGGGCTGTGTATATGCCTGGCTCAGAACCAGCTACAGAACCTAGCCCAGAAGGAACTATACTAATGCTTATTGGAATGAACTCAGCTGATGGTTTAACAACAACAACAACATGTCCCTAGGGCACTGAATCCTGAAATCCTCAAACTCTCCTTAAAGGTATCTATGGAAACTGTAAGCAAACTGCATATGCAAAAGGGGCCTTTCCACGCAAGGTCTGTGGCATCAAAACTGCAATCAAAATCCAGAATTTGATGACACACAGCAGTAGCAGCAGTAAACACTGCTGAGCCTGGATGGATGCCATCATCTCATTCCCATGGAATCCGATCATTACATTTTTGTTTTCAGCCCCAAGTTTCAGGGTATGAAAGTATTATCATACTATTTCTTAAGATATTTACAAAGAGCTAAGGAATTTTTCCTGTTCTGGTGGATTTTATTATAATACCGACATTTATATTGAAATCACAGGAGGACAAGAAGTACTTTTGAAAAATTATTTTCACCAGACTCTTTATTGTGTTTCCCAGAATGGCCAGCATTGAGTAATGGGTTGTATCGTTATGTGTGTGTGGCTGGATACCAGATACTAAGGTCCTCAAAAACCCTACAGCATTTTCTTTCTTCATGAAATAAAATGGGACATAACATACGGTTGAGCAAAAAATAAACTACAGAAACCATTAATATGGTAACTAAATTGAATGTAAGCCTGAAATTTATTACCCAAGTGAGTTTGTAGGGTGATACCACCACAATCTTATTTCAAGGGTAAGCAAGATCAACTTAGGTGGTCCTTTAGAATGATAGTGATTGGAGAGGGTTGCAGATGACTTTATTGAGATATCTTAAGTGCTGCATAAATTCTAATGGATATATCAGCTTTTTCTTCAGGCCATGCCAGCCTGTGTGCACAAAAAATAATAATAATAAGGTAAAGATAATAGTACAATCAGTCATTCCACAGCTCAGCCCTCACTAGCTACTAGAATGCTGTCTCTGGTGAGTCCTCCTTTAGATTGAAGGGCTGGACATGGAGGGTGGGAAGGGGACAACTTAAGAGTGTATGGTCCCTGATGTGTCATGCCACCTTCTGGTACCATCTGATACCACGGTCACACCAAAGAGGTGTCTAACTGCTCCCAAGTAAAAGCTGAGTACCCAGTGCAACTTAACAAAAGATGCTTTCCTCCAGCATCCTTCCAAACCTGTGACTATGCAGCCGCTCTGCAGAGCCACTGTGGCTAACTTTTTAAAGCCTAGGTGGTAGATTATTCCTGCATTGCATCCAAGTTTTTCATGTGCCTGCATTACTCCCTTCAGCAGCCTCCTCCCACACTGACTCTCAGAGTGGTCATGTGACTTGCTTTGGCCATGGAGACAACAGCAGACTTTCAAAATGTGGAAACGTTAAAAGTACTTGCACACTGGGGTTTGTTCTCTCTCTTCTAGTTCTTGGAACTGTTCTCCCACCACAAGAATAAACCCAGATTAGCACCCTAGAAAAATGAAAGACCAAATGAATCATCCCCACTGAATATCCTATCAGACCAACAAGCCCCAGCAGATCTGGCAGCTGACTTTATACATAACCCAGCCAGGATCAAAAGAAGAATCACAAAGCTGAGCCCAGCCTGGTCTGCCAATTTACAGAATCATGAGCTAAATAAATGGTTGAGGGTTTAAGTCACGGGATATCAGGGTAGACTGTGAAAGCTAACTTATATAGCCTTTTACAAAGATGTAAAAAAATAAAATACGTTCATGGAATGGCTGGTAAAAGAGTTAAGAGTATGCAAAAAGCAAAACCCTAGACCTTATACAAGAGACTACAGACCCTTCAAGAGGCATAAGACCCAATAATTGGGTTATCATCTCGTTGGTGTAATTTCAAGAGGTTGTTATAAAGCCCATTTGTTCCAAATATCTCTCTCTCCAGTGAACCTCCTGTCTACATCAAAACTTGCTGAAATTCCCACGCAGTGTCCTGTAAAGGGGACAGGGCCACATAATAGTTAAGAGCTCTGGAATCAGACACTAAAATCAATACTGTATTCCTCCTCAGTTTCATCCTTTGCAAATCAGGGAGATAATAGCAGCTGCTTCATAGAGCTGTTGTTGTAAAGAGTAATAATGCCTATGTAGTGTTTGGTGCCATGCCCGACACGTATCAGTGCTCAAAAAATAAGCTTGTCTTATTAGATTGAGAGTTAATCCAAATAATTAGCAACCATTTATTACTTATCATAGGATAGGTATTACCCTTAATGCCTCTATGTATACTACGCCATTGAATCCTCATAATATCATTGTGAAGTGGCTATTACGCTCCCATCTTAGAGATGAGGAAACTGAGGCACAGAGGGATTAAGTAGCTTGCCTGGTGTTGCACAACTGGGAGGTGGCAGACACTGACCCCAATCCTCATGCTGTCTCCCAGCGCATCTTCGCTTAATAGTTAAGAGCTAAGTTCTAGTCTGTGTGCACTAGGAATTAAAGTCTCACTCTTTGAGATAGCAATTATAAAACCTTTACGAAATGTGGCTCCACACTGCGTTTTTATCATGTTAATAGGCTTTCAGTACTTTGTCTGTACTGGGCACTGCCTGGAATGTTTTCCCCACAATCCTCTCCCACCTCTTATTTAAAATAATTCTTATCATTTTAGGTGTAGTTCTGAAACTACTTCCTGGTAAAATGTTCTTAGATTTTCCTAGAGGATAAAGGTGTGAGTCCTGGAGTCAGACTATCTCTTCTGGAATCCCAGCTTCTACTACTGCCAGCTACTAATTGTGTGAACTTGGGCAAGACACAACCTCTCTACATCTTGGTTTCCTCATCTTTAAAATGTAAGAAATGATGCCATTTCACAGATATGGATGGACAAATAGATGGATAGATAGACAGGCAGCTAGCCAAGCACAGTGATTGCCTTAATCCAACCATGAGTTCTTACTCTAGGCATTTAAGCTCCCTGATGGAAATTCGGTTTGTTCAGTCATAGTTCAAACTTTAATGGGTTGGACCACATCGATAATTTTCAATGACTGTTGCTCAGTGTTTTACAATGACTCTCTTTTTTCAAACAAATTCATACATGGATACTAAAACATGAAACAGATTACCTGCAGAGTGGCTGTGCTTGAAAAGGGCTGTGAAAGGCAGATCTTAGCTTCCTTCCCCTAAGACTTCTCGGGCACCTCTGAGAAACCTGGAGAACACTTAGAGCCCCCAGCTGGACCTGCCCTTTTGTACTTCAGACTTCTCCTTAGAGAGGAGCCAGATCCCTGACTTCCCATCCCCCAGGTGAATCTTACTCCCAAAACTAACCTGTAAAACATGAATAAAGATATTTCTGAAGGGCAAAATAAGCTCCCAAGTCCCCAGAAAATTCTGCAGGGAAAAAGATGAGTAATGTTCAATCGACAGCCCTAACATAGAGTGATCCTGGTGACCTAACTGTGGCCTTATGAATTCAGCCCTCTTGAATTGTTCTCTCAAGACATGGAGATATTTGGCTCCTGTTAGCTACCCATGAGCCTAAAATCTTGCAGCTGCCAACTAGTCTTAGGTATCAGTAGGAACTGACAAAGATTTGTAGTAATGAGGATATAGGAGCTACTTGAAAATTTCAAAAAACTCAAATGTCAATGTTCAGTCTGAGACACCAAAATCCTTCGCAACTGATAGGAATTACATCAGTGGAAGAACTTAAGCTCATCGGAACTCTAATTGGCAGATGTATATGTCTCTGTTGAATAAACATATTATTGCTTCATAAAATCAAGTTATTTCAGACATAAAACCTCTTTAAACATAGCATCTGTTGAGAAATCATAATAGAAAATGTTCATCAAGTGCTCGCTTTGTACCAGGTGATTTCTATTCATACCTCATCAAGCCCGTGAAGCAAGCATTAATTTCTTTGCAAATGAGGAAACCAAGTCAGGAAGGCTAAATTGATTTTGTACGGCCCCATAGCAAGCAAATAATGGCACAAGACTTAAAACTGCTGCCTCTTTCATTCTTAACGTTTCACACCTCACTCTGCACTGGAACACTTCTCTGCTGATGAAAAGACTGCTGTCTAATTCCCCAGCCTCTAAGAGTGACCACTGAATGAATTCTTTAATAACATTACTTCTTTCAGAGTATTTCTCACAATGCATAGAAATCACCGGGGCAGGTTTTAAAATGCAGATGGAGCCCTGAGATTCTGATTCAGTGGGGCCTGGAGTGAGGCCTGGGAATGCCCATTTTAACTAGCACAAGAGATGATTCTGGTGCAAGTGGACTTCAGTCCCTACTTTGAAAACATTGCCTCTAGGATGTAATCCATGTTCCCAATAAAGAATGTCTTCAGAGACTATGAGGCTTGACTTTTATTTTTCTGTCTGAAAAGTTTCCAAACAGTTAGAAGCTTCTACATCAAGAGTTGCTTCTTAGAGTTAATAGGGATAGAACATGGCTGATATAGAGGACAATCCTAAATTTGTTCCGGTCTCCCGTCACCCCGGCCAGGAAGATGTCACGAATTCTCAAGGCTAGCTGTCCCAAGACAGTGCATGAATAGGAAGAGAAAGAAAGAGCACTCCTGTCTTTCCCCTTTGAAACATAAAAGGTAAAGACTGCAAGGAGAATGCTGATGGTGACAGATGTAAGGAGTTTATTATATATTGCAGAGATCCAGATTAGGAAAAGCGTTCTAAATCCAATTTTTCTACTTAAAGCAGAAAGCAAATAAGTCCATCCTGGTGTGCCACCCGTTTCACAGAACTCACTGACAGTAAGTCTGTAGGTTGTTTGGGAACCTGGCCACAGTGCCAAGTGGATGGAGTTTTGAGGATGTAATCATGGAACTAATCTTTTGCACTTAAAAAGAATCTGATTAGGGTGAAGCCTGGTGGGACGATGTTTTGCTGAGTTTCAGGGTAAAGTGACCAGAGACTGCAGAATCTGAATGGGATGGGGAGGGTCCCAGCAGGCAGGATAGAAGTGACCTTGTCTTCGAAGTGCTAACAGATGACACCTGCACCATTCCTTTTCTATTTTCTCTCTGAATTTCACATTAAATTGAGTGTCAGATGGCAAGGTGCTGTCAAGATTAACCGGAGCCCTCAAACAAATGCCTTTTACAAGCTCTCACTCCCTAGATGATCAAACTAATCAATTTATCTGCCTGGCTGATAACTTCTGTTTCTCCAAATTTAAAAATAAAGTCAGAAGAATTCCGGGAAGATGGCTAAGCAGTAAAAGTACAAGGAAATCTTTTTCCCAGAGATTCCTTATAGTACCTGTTAAGCCTTATAAAAGAAGACTTTTGTGTAGCCACAACGAGAAGCAAGAAACAACCATATGCAGATGCTGGTGGGAATTTATAAAGTGGTGGGTCACGGATTAAAAATCAGTGACTGTCAAGCTAACTTCTTGGAGTCCCATGTATCTTTCTCCAACTCCAATGAGCATTTGGGTCACTATACCGAAGCATGTGTACTTTCTATGCAGGAAGTTCAAATATCCTTTGAATCTACATTTTCTTAAACCAAAAGACCTCTCAGTCTCACTGGAAGCTTCCTTCTGCTTCTGTGGACCCAGGATCTTAGAAGGCCATTGGCTTCTGGCTGACATCTCCCTTCCAACTGAAATAAGAATTACTCCTGCAATGGGGACTTTCTCCTCAATCTCAATGCTGTGAGTTGCCTAGAGCTCTGTTCTCCAATATGGTAGCTACTAGCTACATGCGGCTATTCAAATTCAAATTAATTTAAATTAAATCTAAAATTCAGATCCTCCATCACACTAGCCACATATTAAGGGCTTAATAGCCACATGTGGCTACTCTATTGGACAGAGCAAATATAATATTGTGATGATATAGTATCATTTCAGTAAGTTTTCTTGGACAGTGCTGACATGGAGGTTTGGAAGTACCTGGAGCTGAGCATACAATTCTTTCTACAAGACAGGAATTGCTCTGTTTGACCTGAGAAAAGGAATGCACAGTGCTTGGGCAGAACATGAAGTGGCTGATGGCGAACCTCATTTCCTGACTCCTTGCCACTACGGGGCCAACACTTCTCCTTGCTTGAGAATGAACCAATAGGAAAAGAAGAAAATGAAGTCTATGAAAATAGTCAGGCTGGGTATGATGGCTCACATCTGTAATCTCAGCACTTCAGGAAGCCAAGGCGAGAGTATCACTTGAGCCCAGAAGTTTGAGACCAGCCTGGGCAACATAGAGAGACCCCATCTATACAAAAATATTTAAAAATTAGCTGGGCATGGTGGCATGTGCTGGTAGTCCCAGCTACTTAGGAGGCTGAGGTGGGAGGATCGCTTGCATCTGGGAGGTTGAAGCTGCAGTGGGAACTGTGCTTTTGCCACTGCACTCCAGCCTGGGTAACAGAGTAAGACCCTGAGGAAAGGAAAGGAAAGGGAAAGGGAAAGGAAAAGGACCCAGTGAAAGACAGTAAGAACGAATTCTTGCAGCATCAGAATAGAATTCTTTCTTTGAAATTGATTTACTCCAAAACAATACCAATGTTAGGAAATAACTGCTTCCTGTTCTCAATAGGATAACATTGGAGATGACTCTAGTTGAATCAAAAAAGACTGCTCAAAAAAAAAAAAAAAAAGACTGCTCCAAAATAAAATTGAAGTAGCCAAATAGCAACTGTCTTTTGATGAATGACGAAGAGAATAAGCTTAAGAAACACTCCTACAATTACAAGAATTCCTGTAATTCTTGATGAAATCTGTAGCAGCTTTCAGTCCTGATTGATCTATAAAAATGAGACTTTCAGTTATGAAAATTTCCACTCATAAAATAAGATAACAAAAAATTGTGGGATAAGTGAAAAGACCAACAGTTTGAAAGAGGTGAACCAAGCTGAAAATTTTGAGGCAAATAGTTCCAATTGAAATAGACTGAATTCGGGAAATTATATATCACTCTTCTTGAATATATATATTTGCGTATTCAATAAAACAAGAGCAAGTGGAGCAATGGAAAATACAGAAAAGTTATTGCATAATACAGAAGAGTTATTGGAAAATGTTTTAAATCATTCTATCTTTAAAAAAGAATTGAATAAAAGTAGTGAGTAGCAAAAAAGTTACTAAAAAAAGACAAAGAGGAAATCATTTAAAAGGCATGCTGGTGAAATTCTTTTATAGCTAAAAGCACAAATGTAAATTTCAAGAGAACATATAAGAAGCAAAGAAAATGGATTCAGTAGATCTAATTCTTTTACACCAGAATTTGACAGGGAAAGAAAACCTAAACTAGCAATAATCAGATTTTTTTTATTAAGTAAAGAAATTTGAACACGCATTTAGCAATACTAGAACCCCATTGAAATGACAGTAAAGAAAAGGATGAAATATAAAGTTGAGGAAATCTCACAAAAAGTAAAACAAGAAGACAAAGAGATAGAAAATAAAGGGAAAATGTAAGAAAATCAGAAGACTAGTTCAGGTATTCTAATATTTGAGTAACAGTGGTTTCGTAAAGTATTGAAAAGAAAGATAAAAAGCCATAGCAATAGAGATTGCAATGATAATAGCATTCTAAACACAAATACCACAAGTGAGAAGACAGTGAAGCAATGCCTTTCCAATGTATAACTGTATGCCCAGCCAAACTTTCAGTTAAATATATAAGTACAATAAAGACATTTTCACACAGCAAAGGTCTCAAACATTTTACTTCCACAGATTCTTTCTCAGGTAGTTTCTAGAATACGTGCTTGATTAAAACACAGGAAAAAATCAACTAAGAGAAGAAATGGAATTGAGGAAACGGATTCCGTACAAACAAAGAGCTAAGGAATCCCCCTTAGCTGCCGACTCCAAGACAACAGCTTTGTCGCAGGCCTTTGGGCAACCAGTCCAGTTTGGAACTGATCAGAAGATTCCAGGAAAGGAGACAAAATAGAATAGTTAATTTGCTGAACACAGCTGCGATAGCCCATAGTATCATTCATCAGATATTTCATTTCTCCTTCCTCTGGGCTCACAGTTATAGTGCACGTTTCTCTGTCTCTTGAAATCAGAGATGGCAATGTGACTGACTCTGGCTAATGGTGCAAGAGGAATCCTGTAAGAGCTAGTGCCTGACCACGTCCCCCTTCCGCGGGCGTCAGCAACTTCTCACGCTCCTGAAGATAGAGGCTCATCTGCCTAGGCCCTGGAGTAAAGAGATAAGGAGCAGAGACCCTGCCAACCCGCAGCGCACTCGTAAAGCGGGAAGGAAATAAGCCTCTGTTATTAGAGTCCTCTGGTTCTCTAGCGTTGTTCATTATAGCTTAGCTTAGCTTAGCCTACACTGATTAATACCAAAATGAAAGGAGCTGTAGAAAACCAGTGTAAACTTTGGAATTGACTTGCAGTTATATCCACAGAAAAGTAAGCTAATGAATAAATAAGATAAACATTGGCTCTAGAGAAAACAAAACGACGTAGCTCAAGAAAGGAAAAGTAACCATATTAGATGGTTGGTTGCGAAGAGCTTTCTAATCATAAACTGGCTTATATTCGGTACCTACAAACTGGTATATTAAAATACTACTGATTGGTGAAAATCTGCTGCCCGGAGCCCCCTTTCATCCTAAATTCTTCCCAAGGAACCCTAGGTCCTTCTCATAAATGAGGAACTAGAGGATTAATAACTGGCATAGTAAGAGTCTTGGGGGATCCTGTCTGGTTGGTGCCTATAAATATTTTGTTCAATGTTTTGAATAATACCCCATTGTCATCATAAGATAAATAATAAAAATGATCTACTCAAAACATTAATATATTAAATCAGGATAATGGGGAACAGGGCGTGTGCATGTGTATGGAAGGAATGAGGAGGAGGAGTGCTAAAACAACTTCAATAATGAGAAAGCAACAGAAAATGCCAAAAACTGAAGACTCAAGAAGTAATAAAAAAAAAAGCATGTTATTGAAAAATATGGACATGAAAGAACTAAATGTTATGAAAGTAGAAAGCCTCTGAGAAGCAGAAAGTTATGCGGGGGTGGGATTGGCTGGTGGGAAGAGGGATGTGTTTCATAGCAAGCTTTGTAGAATTATTAGACCCTTTAAACAATGTGCACATAAAACTTTGAAAAAAATAAAAGCTACATTTTAAACAGAAGCTACAGGACTTTAAAAGAATAGCAGAAAATGTTTCCAAGAAAGATTTGACTCTATTTTAAAAAGAGCCAACTGAGTTGAAAGAGTATTATTGTTGAAGAATTTGACCTAAGCGTAACCAGGGGAAATATACATTTTGAGGATAAAAAGGAAATCTTTAGTTTTCCAGATTGAAGAAAAATGATTATCTACAAAGGAAAGAGAAGACTGGCATCAGATTACTAATTTCATTTAATAATTCTACTGCTCATTTCCTAATCATTTGTGGGCACGCAGCTTTTGTGTTTGGACTTGTAAATAAATAGAACGAGTTCCTGGATATTTTTTAAAATTACAAATAAAATCTATGGCATATGAAATCAGGGAGAAAACCAAAAACCTTTTTAAAATGAAAGGATCTATGACATACAATATATAGGTTAAAAGAATGAGAATATTGTTATATACAAAAACATTAAAGAAATTAATAATATTCTGAAAAAAACTACCAAATTAATTTAATATAAAACTTAAAGATTATAATAAATAGGCCAGGTGCGGTGGCTGACGCCTGTAATCCTAGCACTTTGGGAGGCCGAGGCGGGTGAATCACAAGGTCAGGAGTTCGAGACCAGCCTGGCCAACATGGTGAAACCTTGTCTCTACTAAAAATACAAAAAATTAGCTGAGTGTAGTGACGGGCGCCTGTAATCCCAGCTACTCAGGAGGCTGAGGCAGGAGAATCGCTTGAACTCAGGAGACAGAGGTTGTAGTGAGCTGAGACTGTCCCACTGCACTCCAGCCTGGGCGACAGGGTGAGACTCCGTCTCCAAAAAAAAAAAAAAATAAAAATAAAAAAAAAAAAAAAAAATATATATATATATATATATATATATATATATATATGAAATAAGCAAAGGTAAACATGTTTAAACAGACAGCTGTGCCTCTCTCACATCTCTGGCATAAGTTTCTCTTATTGGTGAGATTTTTAAAACCTTAAGAACAAACAAAAAAGACCATTACAAATGTCTATAAAATTTGATGAACATAGAATGAGAAGCTACACAGTTCCAAGCAAGTATAAAAATGACACAAAACCTGCAATATGCAGGATAAAAACTTATAAACCAATATCATTTACAAATACAGACATAAAAATCTCAACTATAAGAGTAAATGAAATTTGAAAGCTAACTTAAAGACCTGACTATTATAATCAAATAGGGATTATTGCTGGGAGACAAGGACAGATTAGTACCAGAAATAACAATAATTTTAGCAATATGCCAAGTAAGAAAAACCATATAATCTTATCATAAAAAGACAGAAATATAGCAGATAAAATTCACTACCCACTATTTATAAAACATCTTCAAGTAGTGAAAATAGAAGCATGTGTCACTCAACATATAAACATTTGATTTAAACCAACAGGCAATATCATGCTTAAAGCTGATGCCATTAGAGATAGTACTAGTAAAATCAGGCACAAAACAAATATGTTCATAGATAGCTGGCCAGTAATAAGAGGGAGATGGAAAAAAAAGTTATATATATTTAAAAGGAAATAGGAAAATTACTACTACTTATAACAATCCATTGAAAAAAATATTTGAGTTAATTTTTAAAATCAATAAAATTGCTACATAAAGATATAGAACATTTCACAGAGGATGAAAAAACCATTCCCAATAAAACCAAAAATACAAACTACTAAGATAGAATCTTAATGGGAAATGTGTGACCTAGATTGGGAGAAGTGGGGATAGAAGCCTCAAGTGTTTTACTGAAAGATATAAAATAAAACTTGACTAATGGAAAGACTCAGCATGTTTCTTTATGAAAAGCCTAAATATTTTAAGGATGCCAATTCTTTCCAATTAACATATTATGCTTTAAAGCAATTTCAATAAATATCCCAATAGGGGTTTTATTTGTTTGTTTGTTTGTTTGTTTAAACTGGATCCAATTATGGTAAATTTAATTTGGAAAAATAATCAAGTTTAAGAAAATGTAATTATATTAAAAACATAAAATGGGATGAAAGAAGCCCTTCCCAAAACCAGAACACAGAGTAAAATGTCAATAATTCAAACATTCTGGTACTGATGCAAAAATAAACAGCTTAACCAAAGCATAGAATAAATAGAAACTAGAAGAAAATACAAGATTACCAATCAAGGGAAAAGGAATGATTTCTCAACGGGCTGGCTTCCAATCTGGTTGCATAAGGGCCCCAGAGCAGCAGAACACTTTGGACACATGGAAGGGGACATTTTCTTAGCATGACCTTACTAAGTGGGAACTTGCACACCGTCAGTCAAGCGCTGCTGCACATCCTTCCTTAACACGGAGTTATCTAGCTTCATTTTCACCGGAATAGTTTAATGCATCAGAAACCAAACTCAACAGAACACTCTGACCTGGCTTCCTTGATCCACCTCTATCAACTCTGCTCCTTCCCAGCGCTGGGCTTTATCTCCCAAATTCCTCTCTATCTTGTCAGCCCAACTCCACCTCACCCCTTTCAACTAACTTTTACAAATAAAACAGCGCTGTCATACCTGGTTAACTGTTTATATTCTCATATCATATCACAGGTAAGATAAATTCTGAATGAATTAGTTGACTAAAAAAAAAAACAGAAAAATTAAAAGAATAAAAGTGAATATTTATGAGAATCCTTAAGATGATATGAGGTACTATGCTATAAAATGAAGAATGTGTTACAAAGTAAAAGATCAACAAATACAACTACCTGAAGACCTAAAGTGTTATATAGCTAAAGCATAGTGTAGAATAAAGCAAATAACAGGCTCACAAAGCATGATGAATAAAGCATTGGATGAATAGTATAATTATATAAAGAACTCACAAAATTATTTTAAAGCATTAATAATATCCCAATAGAAGCAGAGCTTGCAGTGAGCCGAGATTGCGCCACTGCAGTCCGCAGTCCGGCCTGGGCGACAGAGCGAGACTCCGTCTCAAAAAAAAAAAAAAAAAAAAAAAAAAAAAAAAAAAATATCCCAATAAATATGTAGATAAAGGGCATGAAAGGATAGTTCATGAAAGAGAGTATACTACAGTATTAGTAAATATTTATAAAAATATTCAATTCACTTAAAGAAATAGAAATTGAAATTATTCACCTGATTTTGATAAAAAAACTGATAATACCCATTATTGATACAGCTTCAGGAAAATTGATATTCTTAATATTGCTAGTGGCCATAAAATTATTACAATATATTTGTAAAGCAATTTAGCACTCTTAATCAAAAGCTATCAAAATATTTTTAATTCAGTAATGACACTTCTGGGAATCTAGCCTAAGAAAATAATCTGATGCCTGGAAAAATACTGATGCATGAAGATGTCCAATTCAGTATTATAACTGCAAAGACATGAAACTATACACAAAGTAAAAATAGTAAATTATGATCAACCCACTGGAATTACATTTGAAGCACCAATCAAAATCATGGTTATAAGGATTATGTGGCAACATGAAATATATGCTTAATTTTAGCTGATTACAACTACAAAAAATACATGGCAAAGTACTATAAAGATATACATACTAATATTAATACTACTATTAATAATAATACATTGAGCACCAACTCTGTGCCAGGCACTTTCCACATTCTCTCTAATCTTCATACCAACTCTAGGAAATAGAAAAGCAGGTAACAAGGTAATAACTAGCAAGAGTTGCTGGCATCTTCCTGGAAGGCACAAATGTGCCCACATCACCCTTCACCCAGCTAGCTGCACACAGTGCCTTCAGCTGTCAGTGCTCTCCAGAAATTGTCCTCAGCTGAAGAGCTCAAGATCATACCCCATTCCCAGGGCAAACTGTACCCAACATCTGGTCATTGCAGAGGTATAAGGAACCAGATCCTCTGTCCCAAAAGGCCAATGGGGACAATGCCAAAAGGCCATCCCAGACTCTCAGCTCTTTCTTGTGTGGTTGGCTGGGGCCTCTGTTAAAACTGCACTGCAGCCCAGATTCTCCTTCTACTGATCCTGCTGTCTACCCTACCCCGATGAGGCTGATCCTCAGAGTTTTTTCTAATAAAATCCCTACACACTCATCTCTGTCTCAGAACATGCTATTGGAGGATCTCAACCTACAACAGGTACTACCAAGAAAGGTCCAGGACAGTAGACACTAAAATAGAATTTTGGAGTCAGATCAAGGACACCATCAGGGCAGGTGGAGGAGCACAGACTGCACCTAGCACAAGTTTGCTGCACAACTGCTAAAATGTTCACAAGTGGTGAACTGGGATGGTATACCGGTGGAAGGAGTGCAATAGTCAGCTGTTGAGGAAATATAGAGGAAATAGGAGTTTAAAAACAATGGAATTGAAGGGCTGTTGCTGGGGACAATTGAAACTGTAGAGAAAGATGGTGATGGTGATCATCAATTAAAAGCTGGGTGAAAACCAGAAGGCTTCCTTGGGGGATGGAAAGAAAACTGAAGATCAGGACTAAGATCCAGAGAAGGTTAAGTTCTCAACACAGGCAAAATTAGGGCCCCGATTGGGAAAGACTGGGACCCTGACATGATGGGGTCAACTGGGTTAGTGCAGTAACATGTTTTGATCCCTAGATTCCCCTGAACCATTGGACCTGCAAAGGTGTCCAACTCTTCCCTACTTCAGGCAAGTGCTTCCATTACTTGCAGATGATGCAGAGGCTTCCCCCACCAGACAGTGTATTCACTCCAAACCCCAGAATGTGTCTCTAATTTTCCTCATGCCCAACAAACAGGGTTGAGTCAAAATATAACCTAGGATTTAAGGCTAGAAATTATAGTAAGAAACAAGAACTAATAGCCTACGCAAATAAAAGGCACAGAAGCAAAAGAACTTATAACGGTGGGGATGCTTTGATTCTCTTTGCATCTCTACATCTGAGGGTTTCTGTTGCCCACAAACTTCCACTGCCCTCTCCTGCTTATCCTATGACTGGCCCCTGGTCCTGTCTTCCCTATCCAACTTACCGCTTATTTAGTTAAAAGGCACCCTTCCTGCCTTCCTACCAGCCAAAATCAAGTATTTTAGTCCAAATCTTGTGCCCACACCAAGAGGGTACAGAGCCAGATCAAATAAAGGCAACACATGGCACTGAAACTTAGCTCTTTGGCCCGTGACCCTCTAGCACAATGCTCTGCAGATCTGGTCAGGAATGATAAGTGTTATTGGCAAGTCACAATTATGGGACCTAATAGTCCATATCAAGTAGTGCTTACTTTGTGAAAATTTATTTTCTTATAAATCAACCTAAGGTTGCATTGAAACCACTTAAGATTGCACTTAAAATAATTTATCATCCATATGTTAACAGTAACGGCAATATTTGTCTTGATATTTTAACATCAATGTAGTCTGCTTAAACTATTTCAAAGGTTCTTTTATCCACTATTTTCCAGTGCTATGTGATCCAAACGAAGATAACCCTCTACTATCAGAGATTGCCTGAAAATCAAAAACAAAGAAAAATCAATAAAATATCTTGGGGGCAGTTTCAGAAGTATGACATGCAATGATACTACTTTAATGTTAGAATAGCCTGCATTAGGCCGGGCGCGGTGGCTCATGACTATAATCCCAGCACTTTGGGAGGCCAAGGTGGGTGGATCACTTGAGGTCATGAGTTCAAGACCACCCTGACCAACATGGAGAAACCCTGTCTCTACTAAAAATACAAAATTAGCCAGGTGTGGTGGTGCATGCCTGTAATCTCAGCTACTCGGGAGCTCTCATGAGAATCGCTTGAACCCGGGAGGCAGAGGTGGCAGTGAGCCAAGATTGTGCCATTGCACTCCAGCCTGGGCAACAAGAGTGAAACTCTGTCTCAAAAAAAAAAAAAAAAAAAAAAAAAAAAAAGCCTGCATTACAGGAGAGATAAACTTTAAATAACTGGCACTTCTTAATTTTCTAATCTGGCAACTCTCCTATATGAATTCTTCTTTTACATTTTAATTTTTTTTACATCTCTTTACTCAAGTACACGCTCAACCAAAATGACTTGTTTCTAACTTTGGACAGTAACTGCTTTCAGAAAATGTAAAGCTGTTGCAAAAGAATAGGTAGCTAAGATTCAGAATTTGTCAATATGGAAACTTGTATATTATGTGTCCAATACTTCAATCTAACTTAGTTAATGATGCTAAAACCATTCCTCACTGCTTTAACCTGCTAAGGAGATCCTCTGAGCAGCAGGGAGATGAATACTCAGGTGTCACATGGGAGAAGCATCATTGCTGTAGCAGCATCCATCTTGTTTAAGCCCTGCAGCAATAGAGACTTCATGTACATGATATACTTTTTGCTCATAACTGAGGTGGCTAAAGAATTGGTGCTGAATATATAGCATAAGCAAAACAAAACATGATATATGTTATGCTTGTCAATAAAAGAATAATCTGTTCTTGGTCTCTAGAAAAATAGAAGTTGTGGAACACCTTGATTCAAAAATAGTCTTCAACATCTTATAATTTCCATTTAAATTGTTAGAAGACAACACAGTTAGTCTATCTTCCAATATAATCTTTAATATATCTTACCTGTGAATAAGTGTTGGAAGTTGTCAATGGAAGAGTGATCATCTAATACCTCGGCTGGTAATTGATTTATTTTCCCTTAACCAAGTTGCATAAGCTTATGAAAACAAAAGAATATATAATTGCCATATACATGTATGTACATAAAACATAGCCTTGAAGTGACAATATTATGGGGATAATATATGAAACAAAATCTATAGTTGAAAATTTAATATACTTCTCTCAGAAACATAACACAGACGATAAATAAAATATAAAAAACTTTAATAACACAATTTAATAGACATTTATACCAAATGTAGAACATAAATTTATTTTGAGAACAAATGGAACCTTCAGAAAAGTTATCTAAGTACTGGACTTCAAGGAAAGCTTTTATAAATTTTAAAGAATTAACATTTTATAGTCTATTTCTGTGACCCCAATGCAGATATCAACTACAAAATGATAGATTTACAAAATCTCCTACATGTCTCAAAACTCCTATATGTCTGTCTCATACCTTTGGGTTAAAGAGATGATCATATGGGGAATTATGACATACAGTCATTGCTCTTATAGTATAGTTTATGAATTTCTACAAAAGTACCATGTCATGGAATTTCACACAATAAAAATAACAGGACTCAAGGAGAAAAATAAGTGAGGATTTATAGCAGGCAAAACTTCTAGACATGGCTCCCAATATTTTATGCTCTAATCTCTGGTACCCGTGAATTTAATGACATATCATTCCCATAGTTCTAACATGCTATATGGCACAATGGACCTTAAAATGGGAGATTACCCAGGTGGGCTTAATTTAATCATATGTGCTCTTAAAAGGAGAGAATTTTCTCTGCATAGTGGCGCAGACAAAGATAGAAGATGAAGTCAGACAGGTTGGAAGTGTGAGAAGAATGACATGAGCCACTGCTGGCTTGAAGATGGAGGGGGCCCTCTGAGAAGGAATGTGGGCAGCCCCAGGAGCAGAGAGCAGAGACCAGCTGCAAGGAAACGGGGATCTCACTTCTACAACAGCCAAAAACCAAATTCACTCATCAGTGAGCTTGGAAAAGGACCCTTATCTCCAGAACTACAGCCCCTGAGGAGACCTTGATTTTAGCTTGGTGAGACATTAAGCAGAGGATCCAGCCATACCATGCTGCACTTCTGACCTACAGAAACCTTTGCGTTGTTTTAAGTGACTATATTTGTGGTAATTTGTTACATAGCAACAGAAAACTAAGGAGTGAGACAATAAAAACATGTATAGTTTTGTAAGTAACATGCGAAAATAACTAACACATTCGAAATTGCTACCCGGTTTAAACTCCTTAAATACTTAATAAATATTATAATAAATATAACATGTATTTTCTTTAATTTGTGGCTACAGACTTCCACACATCTTTATTAGATTCTACCTGTTAATTTTGTTATTCAAACTATTGGCACCTTTGCTAATTTTTTTGCCTGTTGGACCTATCTGTAAACAAAAGAATCAGTCGAAATCTCCCAACATGGTGGGAGATTTATCAGTTTATCCCTATGGCTTTATCAACTTTTGCTTTATATATTTTAAGGCTATTTTATTAATTGCATATGCGTTTAGAATTGTCACATCCTTTTCTTGATGGATCAAACGTTTTTTATCATTGTATATTACCCTTTCTAACGCTGATGTTGCTTTCTTGTTTTAAAACCTACTTTTTCTTTTACACTGGTTTTCTTTTGGCTAATATTTACCCAATATATCTTTTCCCATTCTTTTATTTTAAAATTTTCTATTTCATTCTGTTTTAGTCTCATAAAACACATAAAACTATATTTTTAAACCTAATCTAGTAATCTCTGTCTTCTAACTTGGGAATTTAGTTAGATGATTTATATTTATAATGAGTATACAAGGATTTGTTGCTATAACTTTAGTTTCTACTTTCAATTTACTAAATTCTTTGGTTTTTTATTAGTCTTCTTTATTGCCTTTTTTTTAAAAAAAATTGATACCTATAACACTCCTCTAACAAAATAAGAACTTTATCCTGTTCTTATATCACTTGGTCTCTACCCACCCACATTCTCATATTCCAGACTTCCCTCTCAGTGATACTACATAGAATTTTAGTAATGAATTATTAAGCATATGCTTTCTCTTTTCCTTTTGCTTAGCTTTTCTTTACAGTCAAAAAATACCCAATTTTGCTGAAATACTTGATCATTCTTATTTTATATATCTCTTGCCATATCTGCAGGATTTGTTTCTCTACTGATTTGAATACTTCCTTCCAAATTTTTTTCAATATGGATCTTTGTGTTTAAGCCCCATTCACAGCCCTGTAGGCTGAAAATACTTTTATGTTTTCATATTTAAATAATAATATGTCTGGATACAAAACTTTATATCTAAAATACTATGGGTCCTTATAAGAGAAAGACAGGAGGATTAGATACATGGAGATGCAGAGAGGAAGGTCATGTGAAGATGGAGACAGAGATTGGATTCATGCAGCCCCATGCCAAGAAATGCCAGGGATTGCTGGAAACCACCAGAAGTGAGGAGAAAGGCAAGGAAAGGAGTTTCCTTCAGAGCTTCCAGAAGGAAGCAACCCTGCTGACATGTTGATTTCAGGCTTCTGACCTCCAAAATTGTGAGAGAATAAATTTCTGTTGTTTTAAGGTACTTAGCTTGTAATTGTTTGTTAAGGCAGCCCTTGCAAACTATTATGTAGAGATTAGCATCTGTTCATTGTTTCTTCCCATGAGACCAGGTCATAGTTTCCTGGCTCTTAATATGTTGAGCAACATCCTAGATGTTGTAAATATTAAATTGTAAATACTCTGGATTATGTTATATTTATCCAAAGAGTGTTGGCATTTTTGTTTTAGTAGACTACTAATTTGATTCAACTTAGACTACAAACTATCACACCTCAGGTGGGGAGAGAGCATTAGGACTTCAGTTTAGTTCTTTAAGCTTTAGCCGTATTACGCTTCCAATTTGTCCCATGAATTCATGAAACTCAGCCAGAAACTAGGACTGAGTTTGAACACAGAATTTGGAGCTTCTCTTTTTTAGTTCTTTTCTTTTCAGGGTTTCCCCCTCATACTCTGGCCACCCTGGTTGATCTGAGCTCCTTCAACTGATTCCTCTGTCCAAATCTTCAGAGGGGTTTGTTTTAGAGTTTTAGCTGCCACAGAGCCATGGAACTTACTCTGTGGAAGTTGCTTGTTTCGAGATTCAGCACGTCTCCAAAATCCACTTATCTGATTTCAGTCTTGAAAGACTTCAAGGAATTGTTTTTGAGATTTTGTCTAGGATTTATAGATTTTGTTTATGGGAGAATTGGCTTGTTAGATGCCTGCTTCTCCAAACTTAGAGCAGAACTCAGCCTCAGTGTTTTTTTTAAAAACTCTTTAGGTGATTCTAAGGTAAAAGGTAGAAAACTGCTGTTGTAAGGTTTAATCTGGGGTTGATTTAGGAGTGGAAGCCAATAGCCATGTTAACAAGCTGTCTACACAAGAACTGGAAACCAAGCTAGAACAGGGGCTCATGTTCATTTGCCTCTGGTTCAAGAGCCCAAGCTCTTAGAGACTCTTATAATTGGCTGAAATTAAAAGAAGTAACTTTAGTTTCAAGACAAAGTAATCGTGTAAATATTTTATCCTTTTTGAGATTAGGACTCAAGATTCTGTTTTTCCCTCCTTTAAAACCAGTTTGACTTAATATTCATTTTTTGAAGTAACGTAAACAATATATTTATTTACATTCATAGTCCCATCACACTATCCATTGAAAAACAAGAACAAAAACAGAAGCCAACTTAAGCCTTTTATAAGCAGATACTCCTCTATGAATATCAGCAATCTGTATTTACAACTATGCCGTTCGGAGCAGTGTGGGCAACACAGCGTTTGACAGAGTTAGATCAGTGAATGCTGCATTTATCAAATGGCTAGTAGTAATTAATAGCTTCCATGTGAAATCTCATATTCTTAATAGTAGAAAGAATCTTTCCCAGATCCCCTAAAGGCAACTTCATCAACCATTATTTCCTTTGTCACTTAAAAAGCAAAATAGCCCAGGCAAACTCCAATTTGAAGCTGTTCATCTCAGCCCCTGCCTTGCATCAAAATTGAAAATGTAATTTCCAGCCCGTCTTCACAAATGGAATTGTTGTTATTATTCAGTTTTCCATATGTGAGGAGCTGTCACCTCTGTCAACTTCAGCACATCTCCATTTGTGACTCCAAAACCATACTTACAGGTCTGAACACACGCTGTGCATCTCAAGTGAAGAGGTAATTTCTCTCCTAATGCACCAACAGCCCCACTGATCAGAGCCAAGTCCCTGGTTGGAATATTTGCTCCTATCATTTCCTAATAACATATTAATGCATCTAATGTCCTCCACAAATGCCAGACATCTCTGCCTTTTGGATATTTCCTGACAGGAGATCCAAGTATTGTTATTACCTAGTGCCAGAGGGATGCCACTTAGGATAAGATTATATTTTATTATCAGTCCTGCTTCATGGAAACCAGCCTCTGGATGCGACAGTTTTGCTCAGACATCCTCTCTCACCCTAACTATGACCATGACTCAGTCCTTTCTTATGTAGAACAAAGTCTATCCCTCTGTAGTTTCTATCCACTCCAGGGGCTCACCAGTTGGGAATAGACAAACGAGATTTGGCATCAGAAACCATCTGAGACCCAGGAGATAACTTCAGAGGTGGGTGTGGAGGTTGGTATAGATAGCCCACCCAAAGGGCATCAACTAATAATCATCCTAAGCATAATAACAAAACCAAAACAAAACCCAGTATTTCCAAATTCTAGGAGTGAAAAAATTTATCTCAGGAGTGAAGACAATTTTTGAAGTTATGAGTCTGCTGTGGGTTTTTTGCAAAGAAGGAAAGGGACTGAAACAAAGAACTGAACTGATCTGCATGATAAAGCAGGTCATTTGGAGGGAGAAGCTATTGCATCATAAACTGAGTGGGGGGTTCCCTGGGATATCAGGAAGAGGAAGTGCCAGAGGAGGCAGATGTGTGGGGAGGCAGAGTTGAAGTAAGAGAGAAAATGAAAGGGAGGGTTCTGCTGCAAATGAATTAAGGCATTGGC
Organism: Homo sapiens; assembly: GCF_000001405.40. Lineage (NCBI taxonomy): Eukaryota > Metazoa > Chordata > Mammalia > Primates > Hominidae > Homo > Homo sapiens. The sequence goes on from NC_000015.10 coordinate 61,681,340, forward strand.
CCTTCCCATCACATAGGATGGTGCATGTCACTGATGGTCTTCGGGAGCGAGTATCTGAACAAGTCTTCAGTTCCCATCCCCCTAGTGCTCCCTGGTCCTCAAGTACTCAACTGTGTTAAACACAAGAGTCCTGGGATGTGGTGGGGAAGCCTGTGTCCATACCTGGGATAATGAGTGGTGGGGAGGACAGTGTTGCTTTTGCTTTTCATCTCCTGTGGTTAGCTGGAAGTGGCAGCAGAGAACCTTGAGAGGACGAGGGTCTCAGAGCACTGGCCACAAAGTGAATGGAGCAAGTGCTGGTGAGTTACAAAATGACAAGGAGCACAAAACAGACTACTCTTTCTTCCAAAACAGTCCAGCCTGGACCCTTCTATGATGTGTCTAGGACACAGGCAGGGAGTGATAACTAAGTTATACTGAGTACAGGTGGTGAGCAAGGATGTGTCATGGGAAGTCAAACATGGGACAGAAAAATCTGAAATCAGACAAGGAGGGCTCAGATGCATTTTACCTAACTGCTCACCAGGTGCTACAATGCTTTTATTGACTCAGCTGTTGGTAAGTTTTCTCTTGTCCTGGGTTCAGATACTATCTCTTCTTGATGTGTTTGCAGAGCAGCCTCTTAACCAAAAAAGACATCTAACCAAGGCAAAAAAAAAAAAAAAAAAAATCGTCTTTCTATATAGTAAGATCCCTAGCCACTGAATTCTTTGAGAGCAAACGATATTTAAGCTCCCCTAGCAACTTTAAGATTATTGAAATTCAACCCTAAAGAAGCCCCTCAAAGCAATCAGTGCGGAGAAGCAACTCTTTTGTTTTCCTTCAAAGGCTCTCTGAACCTAACAGGCGGACATAGCAAGGACAGATGTTCTAAAAAACTGCAAGTATTGTCAGGGACTCTGACTCTCAACTGGTTAGAAATAAGAAGGGAGTTAATATTTATTGAAGTCCTACTTTGGGCCAGACTATGTCAGGCATTTTCACATACACATGATCACCCTGTCCTTACAACTCCTCTGTAAAGTAGGCATTGTAAGGAAAAACGGGCGTAAGTCAGGAAAGGATAGCATTGGCCCTCAGGTCTAACACCAAAGCCTATGGTCTTTCTACATTGTCATCCTGTTTCAGAAGGTGCACACATCACAAAGGTACAGCTCAGTGACTGTTCACAGGACATTGCGGTACCTCTGGATGACCATAGAGCATTCCTGTGGTTCCAAGCTGAGGGTTGCAAACTTGTTGTACATCATGACTTTAATTTAATGGGTCTTGATCAACATTTTTTAAATAAAATCAAATAGAATAGAAAATATTACAGTACATTGCACAAAGTATAGGTAAGAAATAATTTGTGAAAATGTGTATGTGAAAGAGTTTATTTCAAAACACTTCAAAGACAGTTAATAGAAATTAAGATAGAAACTATTGAATAGCAGTCTTAGGACATTTTATTGGTCTCACAGTGTTCCTCATGCAATGAGAGTCAGCAAATATCCTGAACCAATCTCATTCAGAGACAGAAAAGCTTAGAAAAGAATGCCGATAGCCAAAATCTCTGCAACATCCCAAGCCCCACATTATTGGTTCCAACCCCCATCCAACACATTACCATAACCCCTACATCCATGAAGAGGAAGGAGGAGTGGGCAGGTGGACCCCATCTATGTTGGAGAGCTATGTTGGGCAGGAGCCTCTGGTCCTAGAAGGCTCTGACCCCACCTTCTCCACTGGCCATCAGGGTCCTTATAGGCCTCATCCTACCATGCACCTGACCCTTTGATGTTCCAGATAGGCCACAACCAGTAACCATAGGCCTAACCTCAAAAAGTCTGGCTTTCATATGCCAGATAGGAAAAAAACAGATCACCTTCCCCTTTCTCACCAGTGACCTTTCTGGCAGCCATTGGGCGCTGTGTTTATCTAACAAAGGTATCCCAGCTTTATCTGGACTGGCTAGAAGCACTCTGCCGGTGTTTGTCCTGTAAACACTTTCCTGCCTTGAGACACTCTCTAGCAATGATGGGGGAGGGGGATACTTTGGAACATGTTCCATGCCACCCTCTCCAAGTTTATCATTAATTCTGTTTAATATGACACCTCTGTGTGCTACTATAACTACAGTAAGCATTTGCCTTCCATTCCTTCCACACTCTCCATTTTTCAAGCATCTCTAAGCAAGGCTCTTGGCAGTACATATACGGTATTGGCAGAAAACGGAGGAAATGATCCTTGCTCATAACAGTAATTCCTCACATTTATATACAGCCTTATAATTGACAAAGCACATTCCGTGCTTTATCTCAATTTATCATCGGTACAGTAGGCACTAACCTAACACTCAGAATTCTTAGAACCTCAAAAATCCCAGAGGCTAAGCAACTTGCCCATGCTCACAGGCAAGTAAGCACTGGAATTGGAACCGAAGCCCGACCTTGCTAACTCTAACAGGGCTCACTGAAGACAAGCCCACCATTCTGGGGCTATAATAACAATAAAAATCACTGACACTATAGAGAATGGGATGGGCTCTGCTCTCTGTTAAGCATGGTCCACAGAGCATCTAATTTGTTCTTTGTAGCAACTCCTTAAGGTAGGGAGTATTATTTGGCCCATTTTGCAGGTGAGTTAAGAGAAGCTTCGAAACAGTACATGTACTTGTCCAAGGAACCTCAGCTAGAAAGCGGCCCAGCTGGGACTTGGGCCCGGGCAGATCATGTCCTACACCTATCTTATACGTAGTCCTTCCTTAGTCCTGTAACTCATTAGATTCTCTTTACATTCTTCAGGCTATTTAGGGTAGGTATTATTATTCCTTTTTATAGATGAGGAATTGAGGCCTAGAAGAAAATGTTGATAGACACAGAATTTCAAGGGTTGAAAAGGATACTAAAGGTCAATTATTTCACTTTTTTTTTCTTTTTTTGTAAGAGATGAGGAAATGAGCCTAGAGACATGCAGTAACTCTCCTATGTCACACAGCTCATTAGTGACACAGCCTGGATGCAAACCCAAGTCCCCTGAGCCCATGTTTCTGCCTCAGAGGGCTTCTCCAGGTTCTCAGTGGGAGAATAGCCATTTCTGTGCTATTGATTTAAATTCCCTGAGCCTCAGTGTATTCGTGTGCTCAGGTTGCCATAAACAAAATATCAAAAACTAGGTGGCTTAAACAACAGACATTTATTTACTCACTGTTCTGGAGGCTGGAAGTCCAAGATCAAGGTGTTGGCAGGTTTGGTTTCTCCCAAGACCTCTCTCCTTGGCTTGCAGATGGCTGTCTTCTTGCTGTGTCCTCACAAGTCCTTTTCTCTCTTCACACCTGTGCTCCTGCAATCTCTCCCTTTTCTTGTAAGGAGGCCAGTTCTATGGAATTAGGGCCCCACCCACTATGATCTCATTTAACCTTAATTACCTCTTTAAAGGCCTATTTTCAAATACTGTCACACGGAGGGTTAGGGCTTCAACCTATGAATTTGGGGGGCAACATAATTCACTCCATAACATTCAGTTTCCTGATCTCTACCATGGGGACACTATTACACCTCTCACCTACCACTCTTCCAGGACTATTGTGAGGATTAAGTAAATAAGAAATTATCTGACACTATGCCCAGCTCAGGGCAAAGGCCTGATTCATGGATGTTTGCTTCTGCCCTGCACTCCAAGTTGGGTAGAGAGTGGAGGATGGAGAATGGAAAAAGTGCAAATGCAACACTCAGAAGCCAGAGTCTTGCTAGTGTCAGGGGAATAACAAGCTCTTGAGAGTAAGAAAGCAACTTACTGTTCATTATGCTTCCAATTGCTACAGTTGGCATATTATATTAAAGACAGTTAAGAGTTGGAGAGAAGAAAGCTGCTTTGCAGGCATAAAGAACTTCACAGAAGCAGAGGTTTTAGCATGCTTCATGCTGATTGACGGGATTCTTCTCTTTAAGTGAGAGGCTGTCAGGCACCATATTGTTAAGAGCTTATCAAATTTGTACACAGGATATTTTTTATTGCATCATTCCCTCAGATCCTTGCAGTATTTATGTAAAATCAAATGGAGAGTCATGCTAAATACTGGACACTATGTGACTAGATCTCCATGTCTCATCTTTTTAGAGACCAATGACCATATAATTTGCACTACAGAAATGGTGCAAAACAAAACACGGCCCTTTCTTGGGTTTTAATGCTTGTCTAGGTGCCCTCACTCTCTATTTAAAGAAGACAAATACAAAGATGCACACCAGTGACAGTAGACACATTAAATATTTGTTCATGGGTAACTATGAAGAAATCATAAAAAAGGGAGGTATAGGGGCCCATGAACCAGGGTTCTAGCATCAGCTCAGCCACTGACTGCCCTGTACCTCGAGTAATTACTTAACCTCTCAGTTCTGTTTGCTCACTTGCAAAACGAGGTGGCATGCTGAATGATCTCCAAGGCACCACCCAATCTGAATCATCCAAACAACGCTAAGAAGATCACTTGCCCCAGACCCGCAACTTTCTCCTTCCCTGTTCTCTCTGTGTAGCCATCTCAGCTCCTTCTCCACTCCCCATGGTGCTAGAGTCTCCTCTTGAGCCCTGAACTCACTCCTTGGTGTCAATCCTGTGTCTTTTTTTTTCCTTGGAGACACAGGAAATCCCCACTATCATTGAACCTCAAGAGGCTTAAAAATGGATTTCAATCTGTTTAAGTTGTTTACTCAAGATGAGACAAATCCATTGTCCTTACAGAGCTTAGAATCTCTCTAGCCTGAAGTTTGCCATCCTTACAGCCAAGTGGCTGCAATCCTTAACTGCCCAGCTTCCGTGTGCCAGGAATAGTGAGAGATTTAGAGAGATCAGGCAGCCTTTGCCCAAAGAGGGCAGGCCAGGCAGAATGTGGCAATGCCATATCCTCCAATTCTGCCTCTGGTTCTGTCAGTGGAACCCACCGTGGAACAGAGGGAAGACCACAGACCTTGGATTCAGACAGGGCTGAGTTTGAAACCTGCTTAGGGCTGAGTTTGAAACCTGCTTTCAGCACTTCATCACTTCTTTAATTCCCAAGGACTGATGGGGCATTACCTCTGTACCAGGACATTTTGAAGATACACAGATGCATAAGACACTCCTGGCTTTCAAGAAGCTCTGCAGACAGCTGTGTGACACTGAGAAGAATCATCGACCTCTCTGAGGCAGAACTTCTCATATTTTAATTAGGATACTATCCCCCTCTTAGGGCTGCTGTGAGCTAAACAGGATAAACGGAATACCAGGTTTCTCTTCTGTCCTTTCTCTCCGCTACCAGCCCACACTGATTTCCTGCTGTCTTCCCAGGGACTTCGGGCCTGACTACGCTCTGGCATTGCCACCTTATGCCTGGTGGGCAGAGGCTGCCTGACCTCTCTGGATCTCTCACCATTCCTGGCACCCAGAAGCTGTGCAGTTAAGGATTGCAGCCATTGTGCTGTAAGGATGGCAAACTACAGGCTCGAGAGATTCTAAGCACCCCGGACAACAAATTTGTCTTTTCCTTTTGTCCTCAGTGCTAAACACCTAGCCCAACCCATAGTAGGTACTCAATGAATAATAATTTTCATCCTAACTCAGAGAGGAGCCTGGATGCTCATCGTTCTTCATTTAAATACAGGAGCCCTCATCTCCCTCGTGCATGTGTCAAGGAAAATGAACAACGTGATTTAGACGAACAACAGGGAAGCCAACGCAATTCCCCCAACTTCCCATCACAATTACTAACAGACTCATTCCCTCATTTATCCCTCTCTTATATTTTCATTGTTCCGTAAAGAATGAAATGTGCTGATGAAAACTCACAAAGGTGCTGAAGCCAACTGAAAAGGCAAAGAGGGGAAAAAAAGATTTTTAGGAAAGAATGAAGTACAATAGTAGGAATAACAAACCAAGACACCAGGAAAATCTCTGCCAGGTGGCCACAAACGGTTTTCTATTTCTGTCCTTGTCAAATGCCTCGTTGGATGAGGCCACACACAAATACTTCCGCTCTGACAAGGGACACTTTGTGCGCCGAGTCCTTCATTAGTTCTGCTATATCAGGTGAGTTCATGTTCCTCTGGGCAGTTTTATTAGCACTTGAAATCCCTGAAACCCTTAAACCAAGTCACCATCACACTGATCATAATTAGCGTTGCTCAAAGTACACATTCTGAAAACTCATATTAAAAATGCCCTGATCATTTCCAACTAAAGAGTTTTTAGCCCAAGGAACTTGGCACATCTGCTTTAGAAGTCAGTCATCTATGAGAGGCTTTTCTCTCCTGTATAATCAGTAGGCACAGAGCAATAGCCCAGCAGGCTTTCCTTTATCTTTGGGAAAAAAGAGTCAAAATTACATTTATGAAATAATCCTTAAAATAACTTAGAGAACATCTGGTTCTAGTGAGTGGCCCAGGTCAAGAGGACAGTCAGTAATTAGTTAACCATAGGAAACAGATGGATTTTCAAGTCCATTTGTCAAGAATTATTTGTGTTAGGTGTCCCTGCCTCCAGGTTTCCCTGTCTCAACTGGAAATATGACAGTGGCAGGGGAGAAATCAATGTGAACAATACAGGACCAGGTGGTCATGGTGGAAGACATGTACATGAGCTGGGCCTCAAAGGCTGAGCAGAAACTGGATAGAGTGAGGAGAAGGGAAAGCATTAGAGGGGCTAGAATGTAAAGAAGGGCTTGGAGTAACCCTGATTCACCCAACTGACCTTCTACCAGGTACAAGATGGGCAATCCTAGAGACAAAGGGACAGAGGCAGATTATCCATGATGCCAATAAAATTTAAGATTATAAAATTTTTATAAAATTTGCAAAAGATAGTTCGACTTCAGTTGGTTTACTGCTATTGCTTCCCAATCCAATTTACCTGCCATGATCTTTCCCCCTCAGAGTTAAAGGCTACTGGAGGAATCTTGGGCACTTGGAGGATGTAGCTTCTGGGAAGCTGAGTTATGGAAACACGTCTGAGTTTAGTGAAGTGTTTTTAAGTGGAATGTGGTCACTCCCAAGCATAATTAAATGATCACTGGCCATGGGCACTTCCAGGAACAGTCCTAATATCATCAATTCAAGGAGTATCGAGAGTTAGTCCATGAACCAAAAAAGTGAAATGCCCTGAAATCCTATAGTTCACACAGGAAAGAAGCTTGATTGATGTTTTCCCAAACTTGATGAAAATCATAACAATTTACATGAATTCATGGTGAGAGAGCTCACAAATCATCGTCTCATTAGGACCAAGTCACTGGATTTTTGTTTTGTCCTTTTGGGGAGGTCAGGGTTCTCTGCTGTTTTTTCTTAAGGGTATGCATCTATGTCTTTGCATTGAAGGATCAGTTATGTATTCCAGTTTTCCCTATCCACCTTGTTGGATTTTTATTGGATATATTCACATAGTGAATCTTTTTTTTTTTTTTTTTTTGAGACGGAGTCTCGCTCTGTCGCCCAGGCTGGAGTGCAGTGGCGGGATCTCGGCTCACTGCAAGCTCCGCCTCCCGGGTTCACGCCATTCTCCTGCCTCAGCCTCCCAAGTAGCTGGGACTACAGGCGCCCGCCACTACGCCCGGCTAATTTTTTGTATTTTTAGTAGAGACGGGGTTTCACCATGTTAGCCGGGATGGTCTCGATCTCCTGACCTCGTGATCCGCCCGCCTCGGCCTCCCAAAGTGCTGGGATTACAGGCGTGAGCCACCGCGCCCGGCCCACATAGTGAATCTTTACCGCTAAGTCACCGCCTCCTTTTTGGCTCTAGGTGGTGCCTTAAACCCAGGTTCGCCTTGGCTCCAGTAAATGATTAGAGCACTTCCTGTCCTGAATTGGGGAGGTCCCACAGGCATTATCTCAGCAGTGTGGAAGGCTGGCTTAGGGGTTCGTGCCCAGGGGACCTGCAGAATGTACCTCCTATGGCATGGTGCTGCTAAGCAGCCACTCTGATGAGGCATCTCATTTGGCCAAGTTACACAGCAGAGTTTCCAGGGCTGGGGATAGTCATCCCACCTTCTCCCTTTGTCTCTGGCTGTCCTCGGGGACAGTTCTTTCTCCCTTCAGACAATCACGATGTTTGTGGGGTAAGGGCAAGACAGACCTCCTGCAAGTACACCCAAGATGGTGAAGAAGCTGGTTGACCACCTCAATCCCACTTTTTCCGGTGTAGAAACCAGGAGTTGGGGGGAGATTTTCCACATGCTTGGTGCTGAGTAGAATGTTGGGGAGGAATGTTGAAGTTGTGGAAGTCCAATTATCCTATTGTTTGCTCAAAGTTTTTTATTTCTCTGGGGCCCCAGGAACTATCTCATTCTTATAGTGAGTCTGGGTTGTTGCTGGTGAAAATCCCAAAGCTGTATATTTGTTTTGAGTTTTCTGTGAAGGAGAGCGAAGCCAGCTTGCTCTATGCTGCCATTTTGGGCTGGTCCTTTAAAAATTTATGTGATGAGTTGTGAAGTTGAATGAAACTATTCTAAATCACAAATAATGAAAATAATATTCAATCAACTATGATAAAGAGCAAATTATCCTTCTGCTTTCTCTGCAATATTGTAAGATCACTATCACAGGAAAAAGTAATCGAAGAATATGAAACCAAAAAAATATAAAGGAAAGAGGTTTATCAGTTGATTTATTGATTAAAATAATGAACAATTTCCCCAAAGTTTGTGATGTCTGTAGTATTTCCCAGCTTTTAAATGTGTAAGTTGTTACGATTTCTTCTCTCATCCTAAATAAATATTTTTAGGCCTAATTTTGTATTCTTTTTCTTAAAGTGGACCCCTCTCCTCTTAAGTAATCAAGGCCTCTGAATTCTGCAACTTCTATCCATGTTTTCCTCTCTTGCTATTTTCTCTAGGGCATGTTTTCATTTGCCAAAATTTTTAAAATAAATGTAATCACCTTCTATATTAGTAGCAAATTATATGCAACCAATATATGCTGTTCTAACACTTGTCCCATTATTAACACCCGTGAAGTGAAACACCTTTTCCTCAACCTGTCCTCACAGAGGACCTCTGTCACAGATCTGGCATGTATCCTTAAATGACATCCTGCCCAGTTTTTGTGGAGGCTCTCCTGAGAAAGGACATAAGGACTGCCCATTTGTCTGCCTTCTATAGTCACAACTTAACTTCCTCATGAACATGTTGCTGTTGGTTCAAACATCTTCATTCCATAGCATGCCCCCCAAAAAGTAAAACAAAGAGATAATCACACATTATCTCTCTGTTTAATTTTTTTTGGGGGGGCATGTAATAGTAATTACATTTTGGCAAGCATTTTCTTTGTAGAAGAATCTATGATAGTGTCTCTGAAAATGAAAAAAGAACATTTATTGTATACCTACAATGTGTTGCACCTTGTGTAAATACTACATTTATTTCTCATACCAACCTTGTGCAATAGGTATCATTATCCCTGAGAGATTAATTAACTTGCCCAAGATCACACAGCTAGCTAGAAGTAATTGGATTTACCTGACCTGAAAGCCATGCTGGTGTTAGCACTTTCATCGACTTTCCTCTCTACCCCTGTCTTCCTTACCTCTCTATTTGGGTTTCTCTACCTACAAGTGGTTGAACATAAAATAGTGTCACTTTGGGTAATGTTCCCTAAAAGTTGGGGTCAGCAGATTTTTAATTTTCTTTCTCATTGGCCCACCCTTAGTGAAGTCAAGTCTTTGAATTGACCTTCAGTTGTAAGTATGGAGGAAAACTTAATTTTAAATCAGAATTTTGCCAAGAACAAGCCTACCTTTTCAAGGCTCACCCAACATTCAGTGTTGACAAGCCACCCTTTAAAGGGAGCCGGAATGGCAGGGTTGAGAGATTCTAAACCAGGCACCACAAAGGCTCCTGTTAAAAAGGAAGAACTGAATCCCCTGCCTCCCGCTGCAGATGCCATTCGCTCCAGGGACTGGATGTCAGAACAAGCCAAAGCAGGTTTCATTCATCCTTGTCCAAACCCCAGGGAGCCAGGGCACTTTATTCAAGGCAGAATATTCAAAGTCTTCACCATTTGCCTCCTCGGCCATCTCCCTCCAGCCAGGTGGCCAGCAGATTCTGATTGATCCCAACAATGTTTCTTCTCATATCTGAATTTCACAAGCATGTGAGAAGTCTCAGGTGTGGGTTTTTCCCCTAGTGCTTCTAATAAACCAGGTCCTCATGCTTGAAATAAAGCGTGCATCAAGAGACTCTCCCTGGCTAGCCATGCAGCTTCTCGGCAGGTGATTCCACTCTTTGGGGGCTTTCAGAACTTCAGAATCTATAATCAGACGCTTGGAATGACAGCAAATGACGTGACCCCAGAGGAAATTTGCTTCCCCTTTTGTGGGATGTTAGCTGCTTTAGAATTCTAAGAGGGACACTCTTCTGGCTAAAGGAATCTTCGGGGGAATAAGAACTGAGGAAGATGGGGCCAAGAGATTTCATTATTGCTGGCAAGGAGTGCAGGTGGGGGGTCCTGCCTGGGAGGACCCCTGCTGTCCTGGGTGCCACACTTCTAGAGCTTTAACAACCACAGCAGACCCATTGTGAAGGAAAGCCAGATGATCAAGAGTAGGCAGCCTCTGTTGTGTTAGAAAAGGTATTAAATGACACAGCTTCCTCACTCTGAAAAGATCAGGACTCAGAAACAATCCAATCAAAGTCTCTGCAGATAATGATTAAGAGGAGTGAGAAGTTGTACACGGCCTTGTTCAGCTAACCCTACACATGGGGACTAGGGAGCAGCCTCCAAATTGGAAGGAAGCCATTTGGGAAAAATTGAAAGGAAATGTAACTTTACACAGCAGGTAGGAAACTTATGGGACTTACTAGCCCTTGAGGTGGTACAGGCCATTTATTAATAGAATCAAAGCATGTTTAGAAGAATGTGTGAAATAAGAGATCCACTGTGGACCAGTCAGGGAAGTCAGGATATTTGACTAGGGTTTGCCATGATCTTTTGTAGTTGACCTAATAGATGGGCTATTATCAAACACAGCACAGGTGGATGATATTCACAAACATGACACATATTCCCATGGGTATCTCCGGATTTTGGCCTCTGCCACAGACAAAATATGAGCTGTACCTCTACCCTTTATTACCTAATGAAGCAAGGATACTGAAATGAGTGAGAATTAAAGTAACATAGTGTGGCTATAACCTGAAATTTCTTAGCGAACAGATGAACTCCAAATTCACCTCAAGGGTTCTCTGGGCTTTTGTCCTGCATATATATTCTGTCTAACTCACGCAGCCATGGCTGTGAAGCACACCAGGATCTCAATGATAAGACTTCAGGCACAGGGGAGTTAATTGGGCCTGGGCAGAGATTGTAATGCTCTAGGAGGGAAGAAATCATGACCATGGAATTGATTACTGTTAAAATGACACATGCTCAAAATATTTAATTAACTAATTATCCAAAATAGTAATTATCCCTCACTTGCCAAGCCCACTGAACCTAAGGGATGCACAAGCAGTGGCAATCATAATGTCCAAGAGGACCTGAAAATTTGAGGGTGTGATTTGAGCTGAACTTGGTCTACGGGGAGACTGCTTAAATAGGCAGAGTCCCATGTCTGCTAGCAATTTCCACTACAAACAGATTCTTCCAAATAGGCACAGAATCATTTCAGTAGCCAGGCTTTCAAGAGCAGGATCCCTTGAAGAGGCTAAAATGAACAAGGCAGGGACTTGGATACCAACCAGATCATCAGACCACCAATTTGATCTGTGGATGTGATGATGAGCTGAAAAACCAACCAGAACTAAAAACTGTTTTTAAATGGGAAGATTCTTGGGTATCTAGCTCTAAAGGCTCAAAGTGAATAAGGTTGTACTGATGAACTCCCCAAGGCAGATGACATACCAGGTCTGCAGATGATTCCAGACTGACTCAACCACCCCAGTAATTTTCTGAGATACTTCAAGGCATGGATCTCTCTGTACTCTCTATGACCATGTACAAGTCTCTTAAACTTTCTGTACCTTGGTTTTCTAATGTTTAGAATGGAAATCATAAATAGTGCCCCACAATGTTATTCTAAAGATTCCATAATATATCTATGAGGACTCTGGTATAGCCCCTCGCATATCATGGGAACTTAATATATGGTGACTATTATTATTTAATGCTTCCCAACTAAGCTAGACCAGGACGCAGGGCTGAGACCTTGCCCTGGAAACTCATACAACCATGAAATCAGCTCCACAGAACTTAACTGGGTTACTTGCTGACGTCTCTGATGGCTGTTTTGTCATTGAGTACACCCAAGTCAAAAACATAATGTGGATCTTGAGACAGACGGTTGTTAGGTCCTTCTAGAACAGTGAAAATTTAGCAGGTTGTTATGGGTTGAATTGTGTTCTCCAAAAATTCATATGTTGAAATCTTAACCCCCAGTACATCAGAATGTTACCCTATTTGGAAATAGGGTCATTGCAGTTGTAATTAAGAAGGGCAATTTTAGTTTTAAGGTGGCAGAGAACATGGCTGAATTGTGTTCTACTGTTTGTGGAAGGTAGAATTTGTAAGTCATAAACTTGGCTATTTAGCTGAGGAGATTTATAAGCAAAATATTGAAGGTGTGGCCTGGTTTCTCCTTGCTACTTATAGTAAAATGTGAGAGGAGAAAGATAAATTGAAATAGGAGCTGCTAAGCAAAAAGAAACCAGAATTTGAAGATCAGGAAAATTATCAACTTATATATATTACAAAAAATTTAAAAAGTATGTTCTGGAGAAAGCACCACGGGTGTGGCTGAACAGGTGTTTGCTATAGAAACTAGGTGGAGCCAATCAACCATCTCAACAAAAATGTTGCCAACTTGGATGGAAGGGGACAGAGACAGGAAAAAATGAAGGAAAGATGCCAGACTTCTGGGCTTCTAAAGGCAGCAAATGGGTTTATAGAGATGTCTGGTTACAGATATGTGTTATCTTTCAAGAAGAAGGAAGAATGACCCCAAGGATGGGGCCACCTCCTTGGTTCCAGAAGGAGAAGCCACCTCCTCCATTCTAAATGGCAGAACTGTTACCTAGGGTGGAGGGGGTGAGGTCGCCGCCCTGGCAGGCCTAGAGGATGGAACATTCAACCAAAGAGGATAATCCTCAAGCCTTAAAATCAAATGGAATTTACCCTGCTAGGTTTCAGGCTCACTTAGAACCATAACCCTTATTTTTTCTTCTGATTTCTCCCTTTTGGAATGGAATATCTATCCTATACTTGTCCCACCATTGTATTTTGGAAGCAAATAACTTGTATCACAGGTTCAAAGATACGGAGGAATTTTGCCCCAGGGATGAATCATGTGGTGAGTACCACCCAGACCTAATTTAGATAGTATGTGAATGAGATTTTGGACTTAGACTTGATGCTGGAATGAGATTACTGTATTTTGCATGTGAGAAGGAAATGAATTTAGGGGTGTCAGAAGGCATACCATTATGGGTTAAATTGTCCTCCCCATCCCCCTCAAAATCTACATGTTGAAGTATTAACTCTCAAAACCTCAGAATGTGACCTTATTTGGAAATTGAGTCATTACAGATATGGTTAGTTAAGAAGAGGCCATACTGGAGCAGGGTGGACCCTGCCCAAGACCATGGGAACCCACCTCTTGCATCAGCGTGACCTGGATGTGAGACCTGGAGTCAAAGATCATTTTGAAGCTTTAAAATTTGACTGCCCCGCTGGATTTCAGACATGCATGGGGCCTGTCACCCCTTTGTTTTGGCCAATTTCTCCCATTTGGATTGGCTGTATTTACCCAATACCCCCATTGTAACTAGGAAGTAACTAGCCTGCTTTTGATTTTACAGGCTCATAGGCAGAAGAAACTTGCCTTGTCTCAGATCAGACTTTGGACTGTGGACTTTTGCGTTAATGCTGAAAAGAGTTAAGACTTTGGGAGACTGACTGTTGGGATGGCATGATTGGTTTTGAAATGTGAGGACATGAGATTTGGAGGGGCCAGGGGCAGAATAATATGATTTGGCTGTGTACCCATCTAAATCTCAGCTTGAATTGTATGTCCCAGAATTCCCACGTGTTGTGGGAGACACCCAAGGTGAGGTAATTGAATCTTGGGGGCCAGTCTTTCCCATGCTATTCTTATGATAGTGAATAAGTCTCATAAGATCTGATGGGTTTATCAGGGGTTTCCACTTTTGCTTCTTCCTCATTTTCTCCTGCCACTGCCATGTAAGAAGTGCCTTTTGCCTCCTGCCATGATTCTGAGGCCTCCCCAGCCATGAGGAATTGTAAGTCCAATTAAACCTCTTTTGCTTCCCCGTTTCAGGTGTGCCTTTATCAGCTGCGTGAAAACAGACTCATACAGACCCCTAATCCAATTTTACTGGCGTCCTTATAAAAAGAGAAAATTTGGATGTAGACATGCACACAGAGAGATTACCAGGTAAAAACTGGAGTTATGCTGCTACAAGCCATGGAACTACTAGAAGGTGGGAGAAAAGACTGGAATGGATCTGTCCCTAGAAACTTCAGAGGGAAGATGGCCCTTCCAACACCTTGATCTCGAACTTCTAGCCTCTAAAACTGTGAGACAATACATTTCTAATGTTTAAGCCAGTCAATTCTCAGTTTTCAGTACTTTGTTAAAGCAGCCCTAGCAAATGAATACACAGGTTCATATGAAACATCTAAACACAAATAATTTAAAATATACTTGAAAGAAAGAAAATTAAACTCCTCACTTAAGAGCAATTGAATGCTGTCTACATGGAATGGCTCAGTCTTTCTGAAATTATTACTGACTTGTTAAAACTGAATGATTACATTACATAGCAGATTAAGACGAGAAATAACCCATTTTGAAAAACTCCGAACTAGAATACAAACTTGTCTACACATTCATACCAAATTCTGTGAACCAATGAGCGAGGGAACTATGGAAAATCTGAGAGCTTTTGTATAAAGCAATGATATAGAGGATGTAGACATAGACACACATATATACTACATGCATGAACACACACACACACACGGTTGTCCATTGGTATCCTCAGAGGACTGGTTCTAAGACCCTTCACAGATACCAAAACCCATGAATTCCCAAGTCCCTCATATAAAATAGAATAGTATTTGCATATAACCTATACTTATCCTCCCATATACTCTAAATCATCTCTAGATTACTTCTAGCACCTAATACAATGTAAATGGCAGGTAAATAGTTGTTATACTGTATAATTTCTATTTGTATTATGTTTTATTATTATATTGTTATTTTTATCATTTTTCTCAAAAATTTTACATTTCTTTTTATTTGGTTGAATCTGCAGATGTGGAACCCACAGATATGGACATGTACATCTATGTATACATACATATATACTCATACATTATCTTAAAGCTATACTGTCTTCTCAATGTTAAAGAAGTTTATCACTCTACATATTGATGAGTGTTTACCTTTCTCAGCCTCCAGTCCTTGTCTCTTCTAGCATTGCTCTGTTTTGAAGCTAAGCTGGCTAGCAGGGACTGCTCCCAGAAGCACCGGTTATCAAAGGGCCCATTCCTTCCTGTTGATTCTGGAGACCAACAGCCACTTAGAACATTCAGCCTTTACAATTCAGACGCGGAGAAACAAGTTCAGAAAATAGTTGCACTTTAGATCAAATGATTTTGAAGGGAAAAAAATGGGAGACCAAGAGCAACTAAGAGAGTTAGAGGAACTGATTCTTTCCTCACAAATGAAGTCAAGTTTATTCATTCCTGCCCTTTTTTTAAGGACAATTAATGGGAATTTCTAAAACTCGGAATGTTGAAATCGTTAGTGGCTCATCACTTGAAGCAAGAATACAGCTGTTATGATTAATGGCTGAATTTTAAATATTTCAGTGGGATCCAGGAAATCTCCACACTGCCGTGCACTCCACTGCTTGTCATATGTGCCTCCCCAGGATGCTACAGAGAATGTGATGACATCTCAACAGGTTCTTTCCTCACTAAAATATTATGTAATTCCAAAATAAAATCCTAACTAAAACTCACATTCACTCATTCATCAGCCAGCATGAAGCGGGAGAGTGTAGTAGAAAGAGTATTTATGAACCTGGAAGGGAAAAAAAACATGAATCTTGATCTCTGCTTTGTCATTTTATGCAAATGTTCAAATACTCTGAGTCTTGATGGTCTCATCTGCAAAACAGAACCGGGAATGAGAAAGCCTTCCTTTCCTGATGTACAGAGAGTTTATGCAAACTATTAAGTGTTATTCAAATGTAAGGTATTAGTACCTGCTACTTTCAAGGACCATGGACATAGATGAAACAGAATAGGGAGTAAGGAGTGCTAAGGTTTTAAGAATATACAAGACCTGGTCCTGCCCTCAGGGAGATTTCAGGCTTGTGGACACATAAGCTCATTTTATAGATAATCATAATTTCAGGTAGAAAATGTAAATACCATAGAGGTGGGGTTGCTTCGGCCTTGGGGGCTGGTAAAGAATTAACAAAGGCTCCAGGTAAGAAGTAATATTTGTAATAAAAGCAGCTGAAACCTGGAGGTCATGCTTTCTGAATTTTGCCAAGTTTGGGGAGTCAGAAGGGAAACCAAAGCCACTGAGGCAATGTGAAACCTTCCAATTCCCTTGTTGATGCAGGAACCCAGTGTTCTTGTGAAGCCGCCTGAAAGCATGGCAAAAATAGAACAGGTCAAGTGTGTCTCCATATCAAACCATTTCCATCTCTCCAGCATTGCTAAAAATGAAAGTCAGGGTGACATCTGGATGGGGATGATACGCCCTTGTTCTTGTCTATCAAATGCTCTGACTCCCAAAACCAAAATGAAGAAAATGAGACTGGCATGGTGAATAAGTCTGTTGTAATTTGTCTAAAAAAAGAATGGAAAAATATAAAGAAATAGTTAACTAGATGGACACAGTGGGGGACCATGCCTGGCCTTCTCCCTTGGAGCATGAGAGTCCTGCAGGACCTCCAGCCCAGTACACCCTCACACCTTGCCAGGTTAATCTCCTTCAAATGCAGTTCTGATCACATCTCCAATATGCTCAAGGACTTAGGCATGGCTCCCTGGTGCCTACAAAATTAAGCTCACATTTTTAAAATTAAAATCTGCCACAACAGGGTCCTAACCAATCTTTGCAACATTATCTTCTTTATTCATCTTCATTATCTCTTCTCTTTTTTTCCAGCCTAACTGACAACATGCCCTCCCCTGAATCTGCTCTGAATGCTCCTGCCCGCGGCTCAGGTTTTTGTTCTCTGGTTCTTAAGGCCTCTCTGTCCCACAACTACCTTCTGAAATTGTAACCATTGTACAAAGTCCAATTCAAATTTCATCCCAATCTGATTAAACAATCATTTGCTGAGCCCCTTCCATGAGCTTTTTCTATTGGGTCACTGAATGAAAAGATGAGTAATACCTCTCCTGCCTTCAAGTTGCCTCCTAAGAAGAAGGAAGATAGACACATAAACAATTAACCATAAGACATTGTGCTGGTATGTATAGTGCACTGTGTAGGCATGGATAGACTTCGAAAAATTAATTATTATTTCTGCTAGTGAGAAGGATCATGGTAAGGCTCAGAAGAGGTAGCACTTCAGCTGTAAGGTACAACAGTGGATTTCCAGGTAAAGACAAGAGGACGGTGTAAGCCAAGGCACAGAGGCAAGGACAAAACATAGTCAAGGACAAGGACAAGGTTCCAGATTGTTGGATCCTGGAGTATGTGGAGAAGGAATGAGACCTGACCATAGAAAGGAATTCTGGGACAAAGAATGGTCAGTTTTCCAAGGCATGAGTTCAGACTTTAGCCCATGGATG
The DNA here is from genome assembly GCF_000001405.40 of Homo sapiens. NCBI lineage: Eukaryota > Metazoa > Chordata > Mammalia > Primates > Hominidae > Homo > Homo sapiens. Next base: position 61,699,126 of record NC_000015.10, read on the forward strand.
TGAGGGTATTTTCAAGGCTGATTTTAAGAGTGTTGTCATATTATATGGTTGATGCCACCTGATAACTCTGGTAGTAGTATTGAGGGCAGACTGAGGACAAGGACAGTAGTTAGGAAGCTGTTAATAGTCCACACAAGACATAATCAGGGCTTTCAGCACAATAGAGGCAGTATAAATTAAAGAGGGGGGTGTATATAAGAAACTCTCTTCTATTAGGACTCTCCTACTCTACCCCTCCTCCTGGTGCAGATATTATTTCTTCCTGCTATTTCATTTAAGCCACAACTCATATTTTTATGTGTATTAGCATTTTTGACTCATATCATATTGAATTTTGTTTTATCCTCACAATTTAAAATCAAAAGTTCCTGAGTCTGATTTATAGTAGGTTCTCAAGAAATGAATGCAGAAGGGATGTGCATAAAATTGTCTCAGGATGGTTCTGTTGCCAGAAATTAAATCCCACTTAATATAACTCAAAGAAAGGGGGGTTTATTACTGAGATATAGGGAGAGCTCACAGAAACTGGGGGCAGGAAATAAAATAGAATCAGGCCCAAAGAAGGACATGATACTTCTTGGTTCAGGGACAATTATGAACCAACTCCCAGGCTCTGAGTCTGTCAGTTCAAATTCTTAAAAGAGAAGATCTATCTATCCCAGAAAGAGTCAACTGTGGCCAGAAAGAAATGGGGCCCCATGTTACAAACATGGCAAAAAGAGTCCACCCTTTGGCTAGGGTTGATTGTTTCTCACCTGTAGAAAACATCTTTGCTAGAGATAGTAATACTTTTCAAAATACTTCACAAATGTTGGTCTCAACTATGCACAAACCTCAAATCCTGTGAAATAGGGATGGATTTTTTTTTTAATTTCTCTTTTACCAGCAAGTAAAGAGGCTCAGAGAAGCTAAGTGATTTGCTCAGTATCACACAGAAACTCATTGGTAGAGCAAAATACCTAAATCCAGGAATCTACCTTCCTCAAACCCAAGACTATTTTGATCACTTTCAAAACATTCCTTTCCATTCATTCACTGACCAATATTTGCTAAGTATATATATATGTATATATATACACATATATATGTATTGTGTATATATATATATATATATATAAGTATATATAAGTGTATATATATATAATACATATATATGTGTATACACACACACACACATATATATATATGGGCTAACTCTTGTGCTTGAGACTAGAGAGGTGAATTCTTAAAAATCATTTTACCCATGCTGATCACTGAAGAGACAAGGTGATATCTTTCAGTTTACCACTCAAGAAATGTGACAAATGGAAAATGGTTTATTAAAGTACCGAAACTTCTCCTGAAAGTTTCTATAATTAGTGCAGGTACTTAGTGATATTCTAAAGTTATTTTATTCGGCAATAATATTTAAAATTAATATATTCCTCTGGTATCTATAGTAACCGGTCTTTCGGCATAGTATTAAGGTTGGGGATTTATTTATATTTAGGCTTCACCCAAGAGGAAGATTTTTGTATAATGTATTGCTACATTTAGAGAGCATAAAACCTTTAGGCCACAATGTGTAGTTAATATTCAGAATTAAGTCAGTTTATTATGCATCAACTGGTAGGTCAAATTCAGCTTTGTGTGCTATAATTTATAATACAGGTTTTTGCCTGGAGCAACATGGAAGCCCTGAAGCAGTGTTGTGAATTATTACAACTAAATCGGGCACCACCTGCCAAAATATACGCCATTGCTTGTATTTCTATTGCACGAAGACTATAAACATGATTTCCAAGAGCTCTGTGCTGCAAGGACATCTAAATAAAATATCAGTTTCATGACCGGTGTCAGCATTTAGAAACTTATTTCCTGTACTTGCAGCTGCTGCAGGTCTGGGTTTCTGTGGCAATTCACATCTTAGCCACTTACAAAATGGCAGTTTATAGGTTTTATGACTACACCATGTAAACATATTTCTCTCTTTTAATGGGTGCACAAACTACACTGCAGTATAAGCATTATTAAAACTATTCGGAAAGCGACCTTAAATATGGCATTTAATAAGCCAAGATATTTTAATAAAAGATTTAATGCATACTTAAACTATATTACAGATTTCTTTCCCTGAATACCATTTGTGTTTTTGATAACTGTTTACCTAGTTCCTTGGCTAGGATTTTGAAACTAAAACATGAACAAGCTCTTTTTGGACTGTAGCTTTCAATTGCCTTAATTCCAGGGGATATTTTATGGTCTGCACTAAGTCTAGCAAATGCAGTCACCTCTTGATTATGTATGAGTGAGTTTCCTATTTTATGGATCTGTAAAAATTACAGAAAATCATTTAAATCTAAACATTCCAAAGTAGGAGAAGGTTAAGTAAACTCTGGGACATACAGTCTATGTATATGGCCATTTACATGATGTTTACAAAGAGCATTTAACCAATTTTTTAAAATTGTTGAATTCTGGCCTAGCGTTTCCCGGTGAAGGTCAAAGTCCAAAATTAATGCCAGAAAAACAAGTGAAGGAAGCTTACCTACTGTAAAATTACATCACACATTCCAGGCACTGGGGAGATGAAATAGGTTTCAATAATACATGTCTATCTCTTCTCTCTAAAAGGGGTGCCCAGGAGTCCGTGCAATTGGCATTACCGGAAAAACATCAGCCAAGAAGGAAAAGACAATGGGGAACAGATTTTGCCCTAACCTTAACCCTAATTCTAAAAAATTTAGACATTTCTAATAGTCATAACTGACCAAAAGTCTTCAAATAGAACAGTGAGGGCAAAGCCCCTCGAGTGGGAATCAGTTGGCATGTACTAGGGACACGGAGAAGGTCTTTATTTGTAAGGAGAAAAGTCCTGACTCCAACTTTTCATAAACTAACAATTTCAGTCCAAGACACTAAATTTTTAGTAACTTTTAGTAGAGTACTTTTTAAGATTCTACTAAGTAAGCCTTAGTTCTATACAGAAACAGAAATGAAAAAAAGGGAAAATAAAATCTTTCTACAGACACAACATTTGTCAATAAGAACCAAAGAAAAGGAATGGAATTTAAAATCAAATCAGGAAGTTGAACACAAATCAAGCTTTAAGAACCACTAGATAAAACCAGGATCTTTTCCTTTTCTTCTCAGTTAGCATAGCAGGGGTTGGCTGTAGCTGGGAGCCTATGTCATCAATGCTGCTCTGCTGCTCTCCCTAAGATATCTAGGGATTCCAGGGAAGACACAATCTGCGATGTCAGCATCAGCTGTCTCCTGTGATGCAGCAGACAGAAGGCAGACAGGCAGAGACAGCCATCCAAATAACACTGGTCCCCTGGGTGGCTCAACTGGATGACATTTAGGGTCTTTTCAACACTGCAATTCTACACAACTATGCCTCCTGACTAAAAGGACAGGATGTACCACTTACTCATCAAACATGTACAAGAACATCCTCCACCATGGCACACTGCTTCCAAAATGGCAGGAAGCAACCTCAAAGCAGCGATTGTAGTTAATATGTGTTTTATGTCCTTTTGGCTTGAGTATGAAGCACACAGGTGTGGGGAGAGATTACCCCTGCCAGCCACAGGGGCCCATCCTGGCCCCAGAGGTGCAGTTGCTGCTTGTCACCTGCAATAGGTGCTCTAAGCATGTCTTTGAAGGAGAAATTTGGCTCATGCCACGAATGTATTTGCTTGCCTGACTAAAGAAAACAGGTGTGTAACCACCTCATATAAGGGAAATTGCTGCTCCATGGGCCATGTGATGAGCAAGCTGGAGCAGGTGTGCAGCCTGGCAGGCAGACCCCATACATGCTCCCAGAAAGATACTGGGCAACAACTGCAGCATGGTAACTGGCTGTTCCTTTGTGCTTGCCTCACAAGCCATGAGGCTGAGAACATGCCAAAATCCTTGCTACTCCCACATGAGACAGAACTGCACGCAGCAGCCAGTAGGTTTGGGATCAAAGGCAGATAGATGATCTTTAGGGCAAGTAATCACCAACTTGAGGGTCTCCACGCTTCAGGAACCCCCCAAAGTTCCAATTCATACAGCTTATATATAGAAAAAACTTGATAGAGCTTTTTCCAAATTTTACAACCATTCTAGAAATTTATGATATTGCCAATAACTATGTATGAAAATGAAACTAACTTTTCCAAACCACAAAAAATAAAAATTACATTTTGATCAAATATGGTATAGAAAAGACTGAACTACCTTTCTATTTTCTCTTTAGAAAATACTATAAACTTGTCATATGAAGAAGATGTCAACTACAGAGATGTGTCAGGCAGTTAATTATTAAAGTATATTGTTATTTTTCTGGATTTTGTATAATGTTTGTGGTATTTGTCAGCTTTCTGAATCCATAATTTGTTGTGATTTCTTTCCTTGTTCTAAATAAATATTCACTATTTTACCTAATTTTGTATGTGGTTGATTTATTACTTTTCTTAAAGAGGGGACTTCCAAAGTGTATAGGCTTCAGATTCTTCAAAACCTTGATCTGCCCCGGTTTGAAAGTTAACAGCAGGAATGAAAATTACATGGTAAAAATAAGGCAGCAAGAAAAAGAAAAGATTTAAAAGAATCAAATTTCAAATCTAGAAATAAAAATATACAGTCAGTGAAAAAAATCCAATGGGTGAGTTGAACAGAAAACTAGACAAAACCATTGAGAAATTAAGTGAATTATAAGAATAGATATAAGGAAACTGCTCAGAATGCAACACAAAGAGAAAATATGAAAAAGGGTTAAATACGTGGAAGATATAATGTCCAAATGTACATTAGGAATTCCAGAACACAGGAAAAGAAAAAATAGAAAAGAGTTAATATTCAAAGAGATAATACTTAAGAATTTTCCAGAATTTAAGAAAGAAGTCCTCATATGGCAGGAACATAAAAATTCTTAGACAAATAAATTAAAAGAAACCCACCTCTACACACATAGCAATAAAACAATAGAGTATTATAAACAAAGCCATTCAGAAACAGAGAAATTAACAAGCAGTAACATTAGGCTAAGACTTTCTGCCACAACAAAGGATTCCAGACAATAGAGTATGTTATCTAACTAAAACAACATTCAAGAGTGAGCACAAAACAATGGTGTTTTCAGAAAAAGAGAGAGTTTACTACACAAATTCTTTTTGAAAGATCTGCTAAAAGTGTATTTCAAGAAGAAAGACAGTGAACCTCAAATGATAAAAAGGCTTCAAAAGTAACACTAGGCAAAGATATTGGCAAATATCTTTTGAATATTTCTAAAATATCCAAATGAGATTTTTCTTACTTAGATTTCTTTTGGAAACATCTAAATAAGCATTGAGTACTAATCATAATAACAACGACAAGAGTGGGAAAAAGCCAGGAGCAGTGGTGAGCATCTGCAATCCCAGCTACTGAGGAGGTTGAAGTGAGGATCCCTTGAGCCCAGGAATTCAAGTCCAACCTGGGCAACATAGTGAGACCCTCATCTCTTATGGGAAGAAATCAAAGAGGAACTTAAACACTGGAGAAAAATAAAATGAATAGTGTCAGTGCAGAGATCAAAGCTTAAGTTCTTATATTGTTCTGGAAGAGAGTGAAGGTAATGAATGAGGGTTAGAGTTTTGCTAAATCAAAAAATGTGTGCTCATACAGAAATCAATAGCCTTCACATACATAATAACCAGTTATAGAAAATAATGGTTAAGAAATTTACAATAGCAAAAGATTAAATATATAGGAAAAAACCCAGCAAGAAATGGGCAAAATCTCTATAAACAAAACTTTAAACCTTTTGGAAGACACAAAAGTAAACTTAAACAAATAGAAAGAATCCATTCTTAAGTAAGATGACTCAACATCACAAAAATTATCAGTTCTCCTTGTTAATTTATAAATTTAATGTTAACTCAAGAAAATTCCAACAAGCATTTTAGTGAGTTACACCAGTTGATACTAAAATTCATATGGGGAAAATACGTAAGAATAGCCAGGAAAGCACTTTAAAAAACATCAACAGAGGCCAGGCGTGGTGGTTCATGCCTGTAATCCCAGCACTTTAGGAGGCCGAGGCAGGGTGGATTGCATGAGGTCAGGAGTTTGAGACCGGCCTGATCAATATGGTGAAACCCCGTCTCGACTAAAATTACAAAAATTAGCCAGGTGTGGTGGCATGCACCTGTAGTCCCAGCTACTCAGGAGGCTGGAGGCAGGAGAATCACTTGAACCCAGGAGGTGGAGGTTGCAGTGAGCCAAGATCGCGCCACTGCACTCCAACCTGGGCAACAGAACGAGATTCAGTCTCAAAAAATTAACAACAACAACAAAAACAACAGAAAAATGAAAACAATAAGGGGGTACTAACTCTGTCAGACAGACATTAAACTATAATGTAAAACCCATATAATTAAAGCAGTATGGTATTTGCTCATGCATAGACAAATAGACCAGCCAAATATAATAGAAAGCTCAGGAATGGATCCAAGTACACATGGAATATTAGTGTATTAAAAATATGACATCTAAAGTAACTGGGTCAAAGATGGACTTTTGCTTTTTGGGTTTCTTTATTTTTTATTTTTTGTTTTGTTTCTTCCTTTAAAGATAGACTTTTGAATACATGATGCTTAGAAAACTGGATAGCCATTTGGAATGAAACAAAACAAGATCCATGCCTCATTCAAGAAATAAAAATGTTTCATAAAATAAATAAAAAACAAGTTCCAAATAAATATAAATTTTAAAATAGAACCATACAAGTACTAATATATATATATATATATATATGTTTATATATGGTCACTTTTCCCATGCTTAGGTTAAACAGAAAGTCACCCATATATATGGTATACATTAAAAAGTATTCTAATTATGACTCAAAATCCAGAGGTAACAAAAGAATAGATGGATAAATGTTTCTATAGAATTTTTAAATAAGAATAAACAAACATTTATTATTAAAGTTTTAACTATTTATGGGAAAGACAAAACATAAGCAAAGTTAAAAGACAACTGACAGAGAAAATACTTTCAGCAGATACTACGGACAGGGCTAATATCACTAACATATAAAGAACTTTTAAAAATTGAGGGACAAGGTACCAAAACTGCAATACAAAAATGTGAAAAAGATGAACAGACAATGTACCAAAAGAAAGACATAAATATGACCCTCAAACATAAAAAAGATATTAAACTCACTCATAAGTAGAGAAATGCAAATTAAAATGACAATCCATTTCTTATCAGATTAGTGAAAATCAAAAAGACTACTTCTACTGACAAAACGGTGGTGAAAAAGAAAACAATTGCTCTCAAATACTGGTGTGAAAATGGAAATCACTACAATCCTTTTGGAGTTCACAATATCTGATAGATTACACGTGCACTTACCTTTTAATGTAGTAATTCTACTCTTAAGAATTTACCCTGAAGATACACCTCCATCAATACAAAAGTACACATGCATGAGGTTATTCATTGCCACATTCTTTGTAATTGCAAAATCCTGGAAACATTTAAATACCCACACACAGAAGAGTAATTGAATGAACTCTGGTACATTCACACTATGGAATTCTGTGCAGCCATAGGAAGAAAGAAGAAGATCTCTATGAACTGACATGGAACAGTGTCCTAGTTTTGTCTACTAAGAGAATCTAGAAGCAATGCAAACCTAGCAACCATATCTTGTTTTAAAATTTGGTCTCCACTAATAGGAACCAGAACTCCTGAGAGAAATGGCAGACTTTAGGGCTAGAGCAGGAACAGTACAAGGTGAGCCTGAAACATCTCATGTTGACAAAAAGTAAAGAAACGCTCAAAAACTGATGGGGGCATATCCACAGCAGCCAACTTGAAAATGTTCCCAATGGCCAAATCTGAAACATTTTAAGCAGTAACATAAATCATGATTATAATGGATTATGGCCCATAGAAAAAACAAGTGAGTACGTAATAAGAATAAAAAAGTTGAATAAGGAAATGCAAAAAAGGAAAAACTCTTCCTTATAGTATACTTTAGTTAATAAAAACAAAAGAAGCGATGGTGATAGAAACATTACCATTTTGCAAACACTGTCATAAGTGTTGCAGGCAAGAATCATCAATGGATGCTAACAGTGACAGATAAGAGTATGAAGATGAAAATTAGGATGCTTTCCTGTTTCAAGGCATCTTCCTACAAGATATATCTCAATTGGAAAGGAGAAATGGTAACATTACAGTGGAAAAACCTGACAGACATCACCATAACCAAGTGACCAAAGTTAACATCACCAGTAATGAGAAATTGGTATCGTGTAGTACTAAGAACCCATAGTGTTTGCGGTATTCATGCCCAAAATGCATAACTTGAATTTAATCACAACGAAACATCGGATGAATCCAAAGTGAAGATCATTCTACGAGATGTATTTGGCTAGTATTCTTCAGAATGTCAAGATCATGAAAGATAAGGAAAAAGCAAGAAACTGTCCCAGATTAGAGGAGACTAAAGAGATAAAACAACTAACTGCAATAAATGATACTGGATTAAACCCTGGTCCAGGTAAAGGACACTAGGGGGACAATTGGAAAAATGCAAATAAGGCCTATAAATTAGTTAATAGTATTATATCAATGTTAATGTCTTCGTGTTGATGATTTTACTGTGATTATGTGAGACGTTACTATCTGCAGATGAAGAAGGATACGTTGGAATTCTCTGTACTATTTTTGCAACCTTTTGTAAGTATAAAATTATTACAAAATGAAAATTAAGAAATAAAAAGTACATTTAAAAGATCGCATATTAAAATTTCAGGAATACCACCAGAAAATAAAAACGAAGAAAATAGAGAAAATGAAAGCAATCCAACAGAAAACAGGAAGCAGGGTGGGTGTTGGGGTGGGAAGAAGCAAAGAAAAAGCTTGTTAAATACAAAACACAAAATGAAATAGCAGAAATAAGACCAAATACATCAGTAATCACAACAAATTAAATTCATTATTAAAAAACAGAGACACCTAGATGAATTTTTGAATCCAGCAATATTCTGTTTTGTTTATTTGTTTTTTGAGAGGGAGTCTCACTCTGTCACCCAGGCTGGAATGCAATGGCGGGATCTCAGCTCACTGCAGCCTCCACCTCCTAGGTTCCAGCCATTCTCCTGCCTCAGCCTCCCGAGTAGCTGGGATGACAGGCAGCTGCCACCATGCCTGGCTATTCTTTTTTGTATTTTTAGTAGAGACAGGGTTTCACCATGTTGGCCAGGCTGGTCTCGAACTGCACATTTAAAGCAAGGTTGAATATGAAGGAATTGATAAGTAAAATTTGAACAAAAAGGCATTAAAATATATATGTGATATACATATATATCATAAAGGAATATATTTCAAAATAATTAACGCTAGCTTTTATGACTAACAAACCTCTGATATCCCGGTGGGTTAATATAAAAAGATTCATTTCTCACTTACATATGGTCAGTATAAGTTAGGAGGCCTGGTTACATATTTTAGCTATGTCATTTGAAATGTAAGGCCTCCCAGATCACCATGGCAGGGGAGGAGAGAAATGAATGAGGCACTGCAGAGCCACACTTTTCCTCACAGTTTTGAAGAAGCACACTTTTCCTCACAACTCATTCTCCAGAACAGGTCACATGGCCCAACCTAAGAGCAAGAATGTAGAGTACTAACTCTCTCTACCACAAAGGGGGAACACCATGATGATAAAAGGGAAAAACCACCCAGGAGATATACCAGTCATGAATTGTGTGTGCCCAACAGTATCTGCTTAGGTAAAGCGAAAAATGACAGAATTACATTAACTTGACAAATCAACACAGATAGCAGGAATTTTTTCACACATTTATTAGTAAGCAATTGTATTAGTCCGTTCTCACATTGCTATAAAAATATACCTGAGACTGGGTAATATATAGATAAAAGAGGTTTAATTGGCTTAAAGTTCTGCAGGCCGTACAGGAAGTATAGCGGCCTCTGCTTCTGAAGAGACCTCAGGAAGCTTCCAATCATGGTGGAAGGCAAAGGGGGAGTGAGGCATCTCACATGGTGGGAGAACGAGCAAGAGAGACAAGGGAAGTGCTACACACTTTTAAATAACCAGATCTCATGACGACTTACTCGCTATCATGAGGACAGTACCAAGTGAGGTACTTCTTATGAGTGAGTACCACTCATAAGAAACCACCCCCATGATCCAGTCATCTCCCACCAGGCCCCACCTCCAACATTGGGGATTACAATTTGACATGAGATTTGGGCAGGGACACAGATCCAAACCGTATCAGCAATCAAGCAGACAAAAAAATTAGCAAAGGAATAGATTTGAACAGCACTAATGTCAATCTTGATCTAACAATGACACATAGAACCCAAGTGCAGAATATATATTCTTTTCACACACACATAAGTTGAGCACCTACTAGGTCATAAAGGTTGTTTTAGAAATTGCATAGACTCTACGTTAAAAAGAATTCACAAATCAACAACAAAATAATTAAAATAAAATTGAATAAAAAATCATAAATTTGGAAAGCAAAAATCACACATCTAGGTAACCAATGAGTTGTTTGTTTGTTTATTTGAGACATTCTTGCTCTGTCACCCAGGCTGGAATGCAGTGGCACAAACTCAGCTCACTGCAACCTCCACCTCCCGGGTTCAAGCGATTCTCCTGTCTCAGCCTCCAGAGTAGCTGGGATTACAAGCGTGTACCACTAAGCCCGGCTAATTTTTGCATTTTTAATAGAGATGGGGGTTTCGTTATGTTGTCCAGGCTGGTCTCGAACTCCTGACCTCAAGTGACCCACCAGCCTTGGCCTCCCTAAGTGCTGGGATTACAGGCGTGAGCCACCACACCCGGCCGCCAATGAATTAGAGAAAAAAGATCACAATGGAGGTTATAAAATATTTCAAACTGCATAACAATGAAAGCACTATATATCAAATTTATGGGAGTCAATGAAGACAAGAATTATAGAGAAATTTATAGTCTTAAATCCATGTGTTAAATTAAATATTGAAAATAAATGAGTTAAGTGTTCAAGAAGAAAAAGAAAACATTAAATTCAAAGAAAATAGAAAATAAATAAGAGTAAAAGTAATGGAAAAAATATTAATGATCTGCAAAATTAAAAGCTGCTAGTTACATTACTAATAGAAAAGGAAAATCTCAAGCAAGGATGCCCAATTAGAAAGAAAAAGGGATGAACTACACATACATAAAAGAATACTACAAAAAAGTGAATTCTTATAAATTCAAAAACTTAGATAACATGAAAAATTATATACAAGTATATAGATAAAAACAGAAATAGGTGTGTATACACAAACACACATAGATATACGTACGCATGCAAAATTTACCCAAGAAAACGTAAGAACATCTGAATAAACCAGTCACCATTAAGTAAACTGAATTGCTAGTCAATGTTTAGTTTTCCATATAGAAAGAGATAAAATTGAATACCCAGCTCATACTGTACACAAAAAAACTCCAGAAAAATTAAATGCCTATATGTAAAAAAATCCCAAACTTTTATAATTATCATAATATAATGTAAAATAATATGTTTAGGAAGTTAAAGACTAATATCTTAAGACCTCAAAAAAGCAAAAATAATAAAGAAACAAACTGATAAACTTGACTACATAGAGATTAAAATTTCTAAATTACAATACACAGCCAAACACACAAGTAACAAACTGGAAGAAGATATTTGCTGTGATATGGATTTGAATGCAGGATAAAATTCCTATAATCATTAAGAAAAAAGACAAATATACCATTAGAAAAATTAGTCAAAATATATGAACAAGCAATGCAAATTTTAAACTATAGGGTATCATCAGGTATAAGGTGTCATCAGGTAAGCTAAATAATACCAAATGTGGAAGAGAATATGAGGAAACAGTTCTCATACAGTGCTGGTAGGTGCATAAATTGATACAATCACTTTGAAGAGAAATTTCGTAATTAAAAATGTGACTATTTTTTAGTTCAACAATTTCATTCCTAGTCAAATATCTTCCAATCTCATCACACTCTCATCCTCCTGAAAAAGAAAGGCAAACCAAATCCAAATGACTTCACAAGTTATTTTATCAAACCCTAAAAAGAAAAGAAAACTCAGAGCATCTCATCCTACACTAACCAGTTTCAAGAAATTCGGGAAAAATGAAAAATTATCCTGTTCATTTTATATGATAACCTTGTTATAAAAGATAGGATAACTTTGATACCAAAACCAGAAATTCTCACGTCTTTATAAGAAGAATAGTACAAAAATGTTCACTGCAATATTATTTGAAATAGCCAATATTTACAAAATGGAAATTTCCATTGGTAAGGAAATGGACACATTATAGAATGTTCTCATTATGGACTACTATACAGCAGTTAAAATGAATGAACTACTACTCAGCCATAAAAAGGAACGAATTAATAGCATTTACAGCAACCTAGATGGAATTGGAGACTATTATTCTAAGTGAAGTAACTCAGGAATGGAAAATCAAACATCGTATGTTCTCACTCATAAGTAGGAGCTAAGCTATGAGGATACAAAGGCATAAGAATGACACAATGGACTTTGAGGACTCAGGGAAAGGGTGGGAACGGGGTGAGGAATAAAAGACTACAACTTGGGTTCAGTGTATACTGCTTGGGTGATGGGTGCATCAAACTCTCACAAATCACCGCTAAAGAATTTATTCATGTAACCAAATACCACCTATTCCCTAAAAACCTATGGAAGTGAAAATTTTTTTAAAAAATTACATGAACTAGAGCCATGTGTATCAACATAGACTGCAAAAACACAAAAATGAGAAAAAAAAAGAACACTGAAGTTGGTATATTTGTGTAAAACAATAGGTAGCTACATATTCTATAAATGCACGCGCACACACACACACACACACACATACACACACACCACACCACACCAAATATACTTTAGTGGAGAGGAAAGGAGGAGAATGAAATCGGGGAGGGGTACAATAAGCTTCGACTTGGCTGGAGAAAAAAGTGAAAGATTAAAACAAAACCAAGTTTTCTCTGACTCTTTCTGCCCAGGCCAGTGCCCCTAGTCAGGGCCTTCCCCAGGATACCAGTTCAGGAACAGCATTTTCTTTCACCAAATTTGAATCACTTGCACATATTGCATCATCGGTAAATCAGCCAGCATCCCATAGGGCACTTTGATGCAGCCAAAATATTTTAAGTTTCCCATCCTTCTCCCTTTCTAAAGACCAAAAGACTACAGCTGGCTTCCCTGGCTTCTGGCAGCCATGAGAATTCTTTTATTATTGCCTGGGACCCCGGCAAACAAACATCTCTAGTCTTCTCTTTCCTTTTCAGGCTCTGCATTCATCTTCCGAGACCTGACCACATACAAAAGTTAGTGTTCCCTGCTTCTCCTTGGAGGGCCCTGTGCCTTGATGGAAAATTCCTTCTGGACAGTACAGCATAGAATTCAGAGTGCAGTCTCTAGAGGCCTACTCTGTCTGTGTCTGTGTGGGCAAGGCACCTCACTTTTATGTGCCTCAATTTCAGCCTCCATGAAACGGAAATAAAAATAGGACCTCCTGGGAAATGTTTTGGGGAGCTTAAGTAATAAGAGCTCACCTTTGGTACATGCTTGCTCTGTGTCAGTTACCAAGCTAAATGCTCCACCTGTCTTATCTAGCCCTCTCAACAATGCACTAAGGTAGACATTTTTGTCTCTCCTTTCAACAGATGGAGAAATGAAAATACTCTGTCTAAAGTCACACAGTCAGAAAGCAGTTTTGGTTTTGGGTCTTTGACCATTATGCTACATTGCCTCCCTGTGTGAGGGAGATAAGAAGAATCTCATGCAGTACTTCACAGAGTGCTTGGGATACAGAAAACACTCTACAAGTGTTAGATGTTGTAGTTGAGAGTCATACTCAGGCTATGCAACATATAAACACAAAGCTTAACAGAAGTTTCCAGGCCCCGTCCACCAAGTGGGTCGCTGACCACGACTCACTCCTGAGGAACAAACCTGTGAGAGAGATCTGCTTATGAAAGGAAGCGTAAGACAGGTAAGAGAGCTGTCTATTTTCATCACCATGGCTCTGCCCCCGCAAACCCATTCCATGAGCTTTCTGGCAGTAAGGATCACAGCCCAGCAATGAGCATCTGCCTTAACTTGCTTGTTTCATAGGCTTTAGTCATCTAAGCTTCATAATACTGCAAGCTCTTCAAAGGTAGCGACTTATGTATCACCTCCTCCCTGTCCACCTCAGCCCCTGTTTTCACTGATGCTTGTTTTGTCTTAAATCAATAAATGGTTAGATTATTTAGAGATAAGTTGTTTCAACCTACAAGACTGAGAATCTATGGAAAGAGTTGAATTTTTGAAGCAAGGAGCCAGCTGGGATGCTGCTTTGGTGTCTGTGGAACCTGAAGAACAAAGTAATACGAAATTCCTCCCTAAACTAACTGATCGATAAATAGAGAACACTTACATCAATTTCAGTATGCTCACATAAAGGAATATTATACAATCAGTAAAAATTACAGTTATAAACAAGAGGGTTTTTTGTTTGTTTGTTTTGAGATAGGGTCTTGCTCTGTCACCAGACTGGAACGCAGTGGCTCAATCTCAGCTCACTGCAACCTCTGCCTCTTGGGTTCAAATGATTTTCATGCCTCAGCCTCCAGAGTAGTTAGAATTACAGGCACACACTACCACACTCTGCTAATTTTGGTATTTTTAGTAGAGACAGGGTTTCTCCATGTTGCTGAGGCTGGTCTGGAACTCCTGGCCTCAAGTGATCCACTTGCCTTGGCATCCCAAAGTGTTGGGATTACAGGCATGAACCACCCACACCCGGTCAAGAGCTTTTAATAATCAATGTTAAAGCAAACTAAATATGGCCTGAGAAGGACTCTGTACTTCTATATTTGAGCCCTTCTGGATGAACTGTAACTTAGCCTAATAGTCTGACAAAATTGACAACCTAACTTAGTAATATGCACCTGTAACAATGACTGAGTATTGGCCACTCCCAATGGCTATACTTCAACCACTCAAAGACTAGTGAATGTTCAAACTGTTCAAATAAGGCAAACGCAGTGCTGTAACCAATCTCACTCTTTCTGTACCTCATTTCTAATTTCTGTATGTCACTTTACTTTTTTTGTGTATAAATTTGTTCTGACCACGAGACACCCCTGGAGTCTCTGAATCTGCTGTGATTCTGGGGGCTGCCCAATTCACGAATCATTCATTGCTCAATTAAACTCTTTTAAATTTAATTCGGCTGAAGTTTTTCTTTTATCATAGAGAAGAATGTTTATAATATAATGTTAAGTGGAAACGTAGGATACATAATTACATATAAAATGCAATCTCAGCTATACAGAACATAAGCACAGAAGAAACAATGGAAGGAAATAATGGTAAATTCACAGTATTTGTCTGAATGGTGAGATTCTGAGTGATTTGTACTTTTCCTTTAGACTTTTCTGTGCTGTTAAAATTTTTACAATAAGCATTTACTTATTGTATTAACTGAAAATGTTAACTTTTCAAATGGTTCCTTCATAGAATGCAGCTTCCTAGGCGCACTGGCACCTCCTCTTGTCCCTCCACCAAAGACGGTGAAAGAATAGAGTCTGAAAGCTTGATCTGGGCTTTCAGTCTCCCAGCCACTGGTTAGAGGAGCTTGGATGAGCTCTTGTAAGCCTCAGTTTCTTCTTTAGATAAATAGGAATATAGGAATAACAGCTCCTCCTTACCCAGATATTGTAAGGACCACCTGTGATGGAACAGAAGTGGAAGCACTTTGTAAATCCAAGTACCATCTAAACCTTAGCTGGTTGTATTTGCTCTGCTGTGATAGCACAGTTTTTTACTATTGCGCCCCCGCCCCCAACACATACACACACACACACACACACACACACACACACACTTTGACTCATACATGCCTTTCCACCTCAGCATGCTTTTGTGGGAGAGAACACTTACCATGGCTGCCTTTTATCTACTCCTGTCCCAGGCCACACACTGCTAGTCTCACCTCTCCACTGGCCTGCTGCTGAGGGGCCCAGAGCCACACCTGCTTATCTTGGGTGGTAGCAGTTGGGGGTGGTTACTGTTGGAACAGAAGAAGGGTGACATCATCCTGGGTGCTGCCCATGAAGTGACCACAGGGCAGGGGCAGCCAAAGGCAAGTGCAGAAAGAAAAGCAAACACAGGAAAGGAAGCACCAGAGTAGAGAGCAGGGAGGGCAACATTTCAGGAATTGCAGCTGCTATAGCTCTAGGTTCCCCATAGGGACCTGCCAGTTCTGGACACAGAGAAAGCTTTGTTGCCCATCTGGTTGACTTCTCAAGATCAGCCCTGTTGATCAGAGCTCAACACACCATCCAGAGCAACACCTTAATGAACTGTAGCTTTTTATAGCCCTTATATGTTGTAAAATATTTGGACACATATTTTCTCTCTTGATCCTCACAACACTGCTGTGAGAAGTGTATCTTCTCCACCCAAATCCTGGATAATTGAAGTGCATTATCCAAGGTTATGCATTCTACTACCAATAATCCAGTTGTGTCTTAGCTAATCTAACTGTGCCTGGTGCTAATTCTTCTAGTCTCCAGGTGACTAATATCTTGCTATGTAAAGACCCAGCTCTGTTTTTTCTTTTAATAAATTGTAGGAATTATATATAATACTTAGAGTTGGCCAATCACAGTGGCTCACACCTGTAATCCCAGCACTTTGGGAGGCCGAGGTGGGTGGATCACCTGAGGTCAGGAGTTCAAGTCCAGCCTGGCCAACATGGGGAAACCCCATCTCTACTGAAAAAAAAAATATACAAAAAATTTGCTGCACTTCGTGGCAGGAGCTTGAGGCAGGGGAATCACTTGAACCCAGGAGGCAGAGGGTGCATTGAGTAATTGTGTCATTGCGCTCCAGCCTGGGCAACACAGTGAGACTAAAAAAAAAAAAAAAGAAAAAAAAAGGAGTTATTCATACATTTCCATAGTTATTAAGAGCCCACAGTGCATCAAACACTGTTCCTTGCAATACAGGGTTGGAAGAATAAGGATGAATTATACAGGACTGGTATCTCACTTTCTTTCTCTTTCTCTTTCTTTACAGCAAAAATACATCTGTCAAATCTCTCTCGTCTCTACCCCTTCATTATCTCTCTCTTGGACTGTTTCAACAGGCTCATAAGTGGTCTGCCAGCCTGCAGCCCTGCCCTGTGCTTGTCTATCTTTTTATAGCCGCTCAGGGCCATCCCTAACCCTCTGGGTTAGCCCTCCACTTGTTCCATATGGCTGCAGGATAAAAAACAAGATCTTAAGATGGGCTGCAGGGGTCCCTCTGGGTCTGTGTCCTCCCTTAGCCCCCATGTCTTTTCCATTCTCCCTGCACTTTAATACTGCCCTGCTGGTAGGTAACCACTCCCAGGCCTCCAACACAGCTGCCTTTGTCCATTCCCAGCCTTTGCGAACACAACTTTCTGTGCCTGACATACTCCTTTCTCAGTCTTGCCTAGCAAATCTCTATTTAGCCTTTACAACAAAGCTCAGATGGTCCCTTCTTCTAGAATACATTTCTGGTAGTCTTCCCTGACTCCCAGCAGCCCTCATCTCCTATGTGGAGTTAACTCCTTGTCACGTTACACTATAAACCTTTTATTATTATTATTATTATTATTATTATTATTATTATTATTATTGTTGTTGTTGTTATATTTTCTAGTCAGAGTCTCACTCTGTCACCCAGGCTGGAGTGCAGTGGTGCGATCTCAGCTCACTGCAACTTCTGCCTCCCAGGTTCAAGCAATTCCCTGGCTTCAGCCTCCCTAGTAGCTGGGACTACAGGTGCGTGCCACCATGCCCGGCTAACTTTTTGTATTTTTAGTAGAGATAGGGTTTCACTATGTTGGCCAGGCTGGTTGCAAACTCCTGACCTCAGGTGATCTGTACTCCTTGGCCTCCCAAAGTGCTGGGATGACAGGTGTGAGCCACCTCACCTGGCCCATATAAACATTTTAAACCTGTTTGTCTATCCTTCCAGATGAATCCGCTAAAGAGGTTATAGTCACATCTTAACACCTAGCTCACAGCCTGCCTGGCACATAGTAGAGACTCAATAAATAGTTTTAAATTGGATTAATTGAATGGAGAACAAACTGTATTTTTAATCATAACTTACTCCCCACCTAAGAAGAAAAATCTTCTGTTGTCTTCATATGTCCTTTAGCCTGGCGGGGAGCAGGGAGGAGGAGGGAGCTTGTGATTCCACAGGCGCTGTGGTTTGAATGTTCATGTCCCCTCCAAAATTCATGTTGAATAAGAACATGGTAATATTAAAATATGGTGTAATATTTCATTGTAATACAGGGCCCAGCTGACAATGTTTCAACTTTACCATAATGTAAAAGTGATATGCATTCAGTAGAAACTGTACTTAAAGTAACCATACAACCATTCTGTTTTTTACTTTTAGTACAGTATCAATAAATGACATGAGATAGTCAACACTTTATTATAAAATAAGCCTTGTGTTGATGATTTTGCCACCTATAGGCTAATGTAAGTGTTTTGAGCACATGTAAGGTAGGCTAGGCTAAACTATACATGTTTGATAGGTTACACGTACTAAATGTATTTTTGACTTAATATTTTCAACTTACAATGGGTTTATCAGGACATAACGCCATTATAAGTTGAGGAACATCAGAAGTATTAAGAGGTGGGGCCTTTAGAAGGTGATTAGGTCATGAGGGTTCCTGTCTCATGAATGGGATTAAGACCTTTATAAAAGAGGCTTTCTGGCCAAGCACAGTGGCTCATGCCCGTAATCCCAGCACTTTGGGAGGCTGAGGTGGGTGGATCACCTGAGGTCAGGAGTTTGAGACCGGCCTCACCAACATGGTGAAACCCAGTCTCTACTAAAAATACAAAATTAGCTGGGTGTGGTGGCGCATACCTATAATCCCAGCTACTTGGGAGGCTGAGGCAAGAGAATTGCTTGAACCCGGGAGGCAGAGGTTGCAGTGAGCCAGGATCATGCCACTGTACTCCAGACTCTGTCTCAAAAACAAAACAAAAAAAAGCTTTCTATCACATTTGCCATTTTTGTCCTTACATTCCTTTTGTCACGCGAGGGCACAGCATTCATCCCTTCTGAAGGATACAGTAACAAGGCACCATCTTAGAAGCAGAGTGCGGGCCCTCTCCAGACACCAAACCTGCTGGCTCCCTGATCTTGGACTTCTCAGCCTCCAGAACTGTGAAAAATACATTCTATTTTTTAAATAAATTATCCAGTCTATTCTATTGTGTTACAGCAGCACAAATGGACTAAGACAACATATTATCAGTTTTAATGTATTAATCTTAAAACCATTCCTTATGCTCATCCATGTTCATTACATGTTTGTTGAAAGTAAATTTTGTGTGTATGTATATGGATTTTAATTATGTGGATTTTGTGAATTTTTAATCTTGTGAATTTTGTGAAAGTGAATTTCTGTGTGTGTGAATTTCAAAAAACAGTAGTTTTTGAACATCTACTACCAGCTCTGCCCTAGGGGGTACACAGCAGGATTAAACATGCTCTCAACCTGCAAGGAGACAAGGCTGTCCTCGAGAATAGGATGTGAGCACTTGGGCAGGAGAATGCTGGAGCCAGAAGTCCAAGTATGGGGAAGAATGAACAGTAAAGAGGAACCACTGAATCCAGTGGGGGACAGACAAGCTATCTCGGGGATAGGAAGGTAGGGCCAAGAACAAAAACTCAAGCCTTGAGTCCTGGGCTCCCTGAGGTCTAAGCAGAGGAAGAATAACAGCCCTCTAGAGTAGAGTACAAATTGCAGCTTAAAGGTCAGAGGCAGAAAAGACAATCACATTGGACAGTAAGAGATTCTCTAAGGGCAGTCTGGTTGGGCTCTAACTATCAAGAGGCAGGGGCCATTTCTACAACTCCTTCTATAACTCAATAAGTACTTTTCCACTGTTGAATTTTCACCAACTGATTGACAAGAAGACATGAACAGGCTGGGAGCGGCCCTTAAGCCAGAGCAGATCCATTTCTTTCCATCAAGATAAGAACAGGAGGAGGGGCAATTCTCCACCCCTGCACCTCCAAAGTCAGCTCCCTGGGTGCTATCAAGCACCACCACATCAGTATTCCAACCCCAGAGTCCCTCCAAATACCCATGTAAACATTCATTTACATTTAAATTGTGCTTCTCTGGATTCAGACTCTTTTCTCTGAAAACTCTAACAATCCAATTGTCAAGAAAACCAACATGTCATTTCTAAGCCTGGTGGTAGAGACCTTCTCCTCCCCCAGGAAACCCCTTGTTCAGCAGGAAGCAGCTTCAGGTGTCCCTGTCTGGATGGGTTTAGTCAGCATCCCAGCACACTCAAGGACGATCCTGAAAATATCTGTGCTCTTCAGTAGGGAAGGATGAGGGTCAAGGAAGTGTGCTAGCAAACCATTGCATTCATTTTAATGGGTAGAGAGAGAAGGGTAGTCAAGGAAAACTTTAGAGAAGAAAAGCCTTGTAAAAACTGCTGGAGGTGCTGGAAAGAGCTCTGCTCTGGAAGTAGAGCTGGCTTTGAATCCCAGCGTGGTGGCTTCTTAGCTTTCTGAGCTTCAGTTCTTCTACATCTCTATACAGCAAGGTCAAAGGGTTTCAATGACCTGGGCTAATATGTGCTTTCTACGGGTCTTGATGATTAAATGAAGCAATGTATATGAATATCCCTGGCACAAAGTAGACATTCAGGAAATGCTTTTCCCTTCCTTGTGAAGGCTGGGAATGCTGATTGGTAGAAAGCAAGAGATAAGCACCCTCCTAGGAGGAAGGGACCAAACCATCAGGCAAACCATGGAGGGCTGGGCAGTGAAGGAATTTGCTTGTCAGTTTAATGCCTTGAAATTTACTCAACTCAGTGAATACGGGGCTTCTTTGATCAGATCTTGGACTAAGAGTTCAAGGGCTGAACCAAAGGACAAAAGAAGGGGAAGAAAGCACTTCACCCAGCATGTGATTAATATGAAAAATGGGTCAAGCCTAGGGATGCGCTAAATCTATTCCCTCTGCAGTATCAGTGGGGTGTCCCCTTCCTACTTACTAGAAACTAAACCAAGTCAAAGGAAGAAAATTGAGAAAACAAAGAAAGGGCTAGGAGAAAAACAATTAACACAAGCACTTCAGGTTCTGCATACACGAGTCAGAACTCCCACACTCAAGCAGGCCTTGGTGTCATAGATTCCAGATTGCAACTTTAGCACACAGCCAAACTATTAGGTCAGTCTTCTTGAGGATCTCACATGGCTAAGGAGTATTCTTTCTAACAGATATTTAAAACCCAAATGCTTTCAACAACCTTCAGCCAATATCAGCATAGCATCTGGTTGGCCAAGATGCCTTCATGTACCCACCTCTTGTCAGCCAGCCCGACAATCACCTTCGGTGGAAGGAAGAAGAATCCTTCTCACTAGATATTTTGGGAGTGGGTTAGATGAAGAAATTGGGACACAGCGAAGAACCTGGCCAAGAAGCATGAAAAGCTGATATTATTACTGTTCTCCTTGAATGTGATGTTGAAACCTGTCCCATCTCAGGGTGCTCATTTCCTCATTAGTAAAACAAAGATGTTACCCATGTAGCTCACACATGTCTGGGCCAGGAGTAACAGGGGCTTACATCCATGTAGCCCCCAAGCATATTGACATCCTTTTTTTTTTTTTTTTTTTTTTAAGACCTTCACAATATTGTTGAAAGGAAAGCCGGGAAAATGGCAGTTTCTCCCCTTCACAGCTGAGGCATCTGAAATTCAGAGAATTTAAGTGTCTTCTGAAGAGCAAGTCAGGAGTAGAACTGGCCCCAATCCCAATGCCCATTCCACTCCAACCCACTGCCAATTTTTTGCTATAAAAATGCAATTGATTGTAAAGTATTCATAAAATATGGTGTTTCTTTTTATATAATTTTATTGTTTCTCATTTTAACCAAAGTATTGCATATTCATCATAGAAAATTTAGAAAGAACAAATAAGTAAAGGGAAGAAAATCATGATTACCCATAACTTCACTGAAATATAATGTTGTTTGAAGAACAAGTAAAAAGACAATATGCCACTGTACTAATCACCTAATATTCAATCCTGAGATCACCAAAGATGATAGGGTTCAACAGTTACATCGGGCAGCAA
Organism: Homo sapiens; assembly: GCF_000001405.40. NCBI lineage: Eukaryota > Metazoa > Chordata > Mammalia > Primates > Hominidae > Homo > Homo sapiens. Next base: position 61,721,337 of record NC_000015.10, read on the forward strand.
CCAGAGACTGTGCTCTTGGGGAGAGAGACGCTCATGAGGGGAGGGGTGGCAGCAGTTAAAGGAAAAAGTAGGGTCAGAGTTTTAATGCAGACAGATCCGTATGCTGTGGGGAAAGGCCAGTGGAGAGGGACGCAGCTGCTCCTCCAACAGGGAAAGGAGAAGACAGCTGGAGTGACCCCCCTCTCAAGAGGTAGGGCCCATGTGGAGAAACAGCACCACTGACTTTTTGTCCATATTATCAGGCCAGGCACAGGGTGGAAGAGGGGAGAGATGGTGACGGGTCTCTGGAAGTTCTTTACTGATTTCCTCCTTGTGAAATTGTTTTCTTTAGCGATGTAGAAGGCAAGGTCTATCTGAAAGTGTAAGGAAGATATCTGAGGGTTTCAGGAGACAAGGAGAGAGTAGAAACAGTTGTCTCCAAGAAAGAGAGAAAAAACAGCAGTGAGGGCTCTGGTGAAGACCTCAATTTGGTCTTATGTTTTCTCCAGCTGCACAGGCATAGCCTTGGAGTAGATAATGAGTTGGATATCATCAGCCTTGTGGCTAAGCAAGCCAGAATGAAGAACCAGGAGAGAAACTAGGAAGGTGGAGGTGTGCAAAGGAAGTGAAATGGTAAGGAAAAAATAGAAGGCTTCTGGAAATTTCGAGAGAGACATAATGTTGGTGGATTCATGGCTAATAGGTGAAGAACGGCTATTGGAGCTGGTGTAGAAAAGCATGTGAGCTAGAAAGAGAGAAGGAGTGGTCAGGAGATGTTTAAAATTGTGATTGCTGGCGGCACTGCAGTTATTAGTAATGACAAGGTCTAGGCTTTGACCTTGAAAGTGAGCAGGTGAATTAGGGTAGGATAGAATCATCAGCAAGACAAGATCAGGGAATTGAGAGGGCCTAGAAAAATAAAGATTATTTAATTCACTTTAAAAAATGTATTGGGAGCATCATGTATATTTATAATGAAATTACCAAGAATTAAGATGGAATAGTGTTGGAGACTGTAAAGTGACACAGAACTTAAATTGTGGAGAAAATGTGGTAGCGACCCAAAGATAAGGAGATGGCTTTGCACTATACATTACTGGGTATTGGATCTTGGAACCCTGACATTCAAAAGCACTTATATGTGAGGTTACTTAATTTGTCTTTTTGTTTGTTTGTTTAAGACAGAGTCTCACTCTTTTGCCCAGGCTGGAGTGCAATGGCACGATCTCAGTTCACTGCAACCTCTACCTCCTGGTTACAAGCGATTCTAGTGCCCGAGCCTCCTGAGTAGCTAGGATTAAAGGCATGCACTACCATGCTGGGCTTATTTTTGTATTTTTAGTAGAGACAGGGTTTTGCCATGTTGCCCAGGCTGGTCTTGAACTCTTGGCCTCAAGCGATCTGCCCGCCTCAGCCTCCCAAAGTGCTGGGATTATAGGCATGAGCCACAGCGCCCGGCCTGATGTGACTTAATTTGAAATTATTTAGGAATAGAAATTTTTTTCCAATGGATTAAAAAAGCAAATAAATGAGCAAAGAATATAAAATCTTAAAATGTATACATTCTCAGCATCCTCTGTTGAAGAAATTCCATCGTTTTAAGGTGTAGAGCTTCCTCGGAAGAGTAATGAGTTTGGTTACTGCAGACATTTAAATTGCTGGTGATCACCCTGAACTAGTGGAAGTTTTGTTAGAACAGGTCAATTTCCTTTAAAATGTAGGGGTTTTTGTTTGTTTGTTTGTTTGCTTGCTTGTTTCTTGTTTTGTTTTTGAGACAGAGTCTTGCTGTGTCGCCCAGGCTGGAGTGCAGTGGCGTGATCTTGGCTCACTGCAGACTCCACCTTCTGGGTTCAAGCGATTCTCGTGCCTCAGCCTCCCCAGTAGCTGGGATTACAGGTGTGTGCTACTACACCTGGCTCAGAGGAGATGCTTCCTTTTTTTTGCTTTTTGTTTTTTTTTTTTTTTTGCTTTGTTTTGTTTTTTGAAACAGAGTCTCACTCTGCCACCCAGGCTGGATTGCAGTGGTGAGATCTTGGCTCACTGCAACCTCCGCCTCTCAGGTTCAAGTGATTCTCGTGCCTCAGCCTCCTGAGTAGCTGGGACTACAGGTGCCTGCCATCCCACCCAGCTAATTTTTGTACTTTTAGTAAAGACAGGGTTTCACCATATTGGCCAGGCTGGTCTCAAACTCCTGACCTCAGATAATCCACCTGTCTCAGCCTCCCAACATGCCGGGATTACAGACGTGAGCCACCGTGCCCAGCGGGAGATGCTTCTTAAACTCAGATGTGGAGGGTGAACATGAGGACAAACTTGCAAAAACATGCCAGGGAATATCATTACAAAGATGTAAGAGTAACAGACTTAGAAGTTCAGAGAGTGACAACTAGCTCCCAGCACGTTGAAGAGAAGATACCATGAGGATAGGTAAAAGAAGAGTCTAGAACAGTAGTTCTCAATCCTTAGCTTGCAATAGCAACAACTAGGTTGCTTGTTGAAATGCAGGTCTCTCCCGATCTGATGCACGCCAGCTTACTACTTCACGAACTCCTCGTCTAAAGAAGTAGACAATGCCAGCGCACGATGGGCTCGGGGCATGGTACAGAGCTTAGATTTTAATCTCTACAAGATGGGAAATTATTGAAGCATTTCTCACCAAATGTACCAGAGGAAAAACAAGTGTGTCTTCATGGCTAAATGTATTTCAAATCCACATTTTCCCCCTCTTAGCCTAAGCAAGGAGCTTTCCAATATTCCAGGAAACTATAACCTTCCTTAGTATCATTAACAGACATTAGAAATAGGATCCAGCCCACAGGAGGTTCCTAATAAATGCTAAATAAATAAATAATAAGTAAATAAAATGTAATAGGGTTTATATAATACTGTCACCTCCACTCAATATCATTCCAAACTTAATATTGCTTTCTTTTAAAGGCCTTATATATTCCTAAAGTTCCTTTTCAAACTCTAAACCCATTCAGAAAGCCTTTGGATTCAGCATGCCTTCCTTCACCAAATTTATAGGAAGGACAATCTTGAGCCATCTGGTGCCTATTTAATTTTTAACCACCTCTCCCTTGAAATATTTCTTTCTTCATTCTTATTTTGTCCTAAAAACTTGGCTATGAGCTAAACTGCACCATCTGTGACTTCCAGTAAATACAACTGTTGCTAATGAAATTACCCAGTTTCATCATTTTGATTTAAATGCCTTGCCTGTTTTTCTTCTGACCTTTCGTTGCTTGCCATCAAACTCAAGCTTTTGTGAATTCAGATACATACGTCCATGTAGGTCAGTCTTGAGGAATAAATCTTCTCTGTGAAGCACAAGAACCTGGGCCAAGCCCGCTCAGCAGGCTGACATGGGAGGTGGGGGCCGGGGCTGTGCAGAGAAATATAGATGGCACTTGTGCCCGTCCGCTCAATGTGCGCAGGGCCCCAGGGCAGACCCCCGCCATGTGACCAAGTGGCCACTCGGTCTGGCTCTCCGGCCTCCCATTTGTTAGGATGCTGACGATATTAATGAGTTGGGGTGTTGGAGCCCATTCCTTGGCCTTTGGTGTCGGTTCCTCCCTGCACAGGAGTGCCTGACCTGATTGAAGAAAAGGAAAGTTCAGAGATTCTAAACTTTGCCCAAGTGGAGGGAAGGCCTTCCAGAAAAGGAGATACTTTTGAAGAAATCAGGTCCTTTCACTGCCCAGGACAATGCTTTCATTTAGGTAGCAAACCACTGTCTTTATCATGGCCCCATCAAGGGAATAAAAGAGAATGAAATAGACATTCGTCCATCAAGTCATTCAGTCATCAAATTGTTATCAGTACTATTGTCAACTATATCAGATAATTAAATAGTGGAGGGTATTATTAGTACTTGCATTAGCTAACATTTATTGAGTCTTCACTGTGTAGCACGCACTGTGCTATGCCCCTTACCTAATCAGTTCATTTAATCCTCATAACAATCCTATGGCTGGGAACTGTTATTATTCCCACATGACAGTGAAGAAGTGAGGCTTAAAGAGGTTAAGCCACTTGTCCAGAGTCCCACAGATTCTAACTCATGCTCATAAACTTGCTGCTTTATTACTTTGCATTTACTGGTGCTCTCTTGCTTGCCAGATACTGTGCTGGGAACTGGGGATGCAAAAATGACAACGATGTAGTCCTTGCCCACTTTCCAGGGAAGCAAGAGATAAAAATGCAAATACACCATCTGAGTGAAGCTACAACAAAGTAGGAAAAATATTCTGGGGTCGCAGAAAGAGAAGGGATTCTGTCTGGGGAAGCCAAGGAAAGATTCACAGCAAGGAGACATGAGATCTAGGTTCGAAGGGAGATGGCAGCCCTGGCAGAAGGAAAGAGGCATCCAAAGGAGTGGAAGTGTATGAAAAGCGAGCCAAGGGGAAGCAGCTTCTGCGGGGGTGGGGATGGGTGGGAGGGTTAAAGGACTGGGAGGTGTCCTTGCCCAGACTGAAGAGACTCGGATGGTGGGGGGAGTCAGCCCCACAACTTTACACCAAAACTGTCTGTCACTGGGTCTCTACAATCACCAGAGGGTGGGGTGGAAGTGGGGTGGAAGGTAGGGATGGAATAGAAGGTGTGTCCAAGGCAGCCCAGCACATCTGGCTAGCATTTAGCCTAAGAAGCAGCAGGACTCACCTTTCATTACTGAATTTTCATTAGCCTTAAGGACTCACCCACACCCTCAAGGTGGTTAAACACTCAGGACAGTGAGGAGATACCCAACAGGCCCAAAGGGGGTTAAGCTGTAGCCCCACATCTCCCCGATTATCCTCTATCTTCACTTTAATCTCTGCCTCTCTTCTAACATCAGGATGCTGCTCCTAATGACAAGGAAGGAGATCTGTAAGTAAAAGCTGTTTTTAGTTCCACCGATAGTAAAGATACGTTCATTCTCTGTGTGTTGTCAATGTAGTATGACTTCGGTGAAGACAAAATCTCCACAATCCCAAACGCACCCCCACTGATTCTATCATCACTTTCAACATCGCTTCCTTCTTAGGACCAGGCTTTAAAGGCTAATGCTGATAAGAGAACCCTACCGGGGAGGGCTGACACCAGGAACAACTTCATCAGGAGCATGCAGCAGATCAGCCAATCTCCTCCTAGGGCCCTGGGGAAAGGGATAGGTGGGACCAAAAAAGCTTTGTTGTCCCGGAACAAGGGTCAGTAAACATTTTCTCTAGAGGACCTGACAGTAAATATTTTAGGCTCTGTGGGCCACTTGGGTCTTTGTCACAACTACATAACTCTGCTGTTGCAGCATCAACACAGCCATGGACAACGTGTGAATGAATGAATGAATGAATGTGACTGTGCTCCAATAAAACTTTATTTGCAAAAATTGGGCATGCAGGCTAGATTTGGTCCACTGGCCATAGTTTGCTAACCACTGAGACAGGTCAATGGGCACCTGCACAGAGAAATAGGATGCCAATCTGAAAAGAGCTCATGGGATGCTCAAAGTGGGATCTACCTAATTAATTTGGTTGCGGTCAGCCCCCAAACATGTTACAGCTCCCCGAGGGTGCTCCTGGGAACAGTCCCCTTTTCTGACCTCCAAAACACATCCTCAGTGTCATCCTGGCTTCATTCCTCATTTTCAATTAATCCAATCTACCACTAATGCTGTGGGGTGATAGCATTTTCAATTAATCCAATCTACTGCTATTTCCTCCAATGAAATCTCTAAAACCATATAAAGCTCAGGAGCTTAAGAAATATGTTCATAGTTATCTACACAGAAGTAACTGACAAAGCCAGGACTGAAATCAAGTATGTCAGACACTAAAAACAGATGAATATCCTCACTGCATCTTTACTTTCCAAAAGCCCCTGGGAAATATGTTTGGCATAAAGCCGTCCATGGCAGCCTTACACAGCATCTCTGGGAACCCTTCCCAATGACCCTCACCTTCTGTACTCATAGCTGGACCCCCTGCCGACCCCAAGGGAGATACTCAAGAAATAAGACCCGTTTTTAAATATAAGTGCAGGTGGTTGTGGGTGCTGGGATTCTAGGCATGCAGTCAAACTGTACTAAGTAAATAGATAAGTCAGAATGTGAGCTTTTAAATCAAAGGTGTGAGTTTAAAAGTAACTTTATAAGAAAGTTAAATCAAAAGTTAAAGTAAAATTTTTATATTAAGAGCAGGGTCTGAAACAAGTGTCTATGGGTCAGCAGGAGAAAAAAACTATTATTTTATAATAGCTGAACTTTAATGATACACACGTGGTCAACTAATGAAAATGTTTGAGGTGGCTTAAACATACATGTAAGTGATTAATACAGGGGTAAAAGAATTAGCTTAAGTAGCAAAAGGGGAGAGATGCTTGAACCATGCTGCCAGAGAGTTCATGATCACATGAGGTAATCACAATCGCTTAGGCCTCAACAACACTGTTCTCTCTGGCGCAAAACTCTAAAGCTGTGGCCCTCAAAACTTAGGGTGCCCAAGAATGACCTGGAAGGCCTACGTTAAACAAATGACTGGGATCCCTCTGCAGATTCTGACACAGTAGGTCCTGCCTGGAACCTAGAAATCATTGTTTTCAACACACATTCCTGGTAGTTTTGATGAAGATGGTTTAGTGATCATCTATGAGAAATGCTGATTTTCGAGAACTTCATGGCAGGCTCTCTGAACAACACAATCATCATCATTATCTCTAGAAGAAACTTAAGCAAAGAAATATTCTTTGAGTGACTTCTCAAAAAGCTCAATCCTTGGTAAAACATGGAGGACAGAGGATTCTATCACTGCCCTGGGAGGATGTTTCCATCAGGAACTAAGGAAGTTTAGTGCAGATATTACCTTTCTGGTAATCCCACCCTCTTCAGAGATGGAGCTTGGAGAGCCTAGGAGAATGTATGGTTGGTTTCAGATCTTCATGTTGGGTCTCCACGTTGCCTCCAGAAGAGTGATTCAGTCTGGCATCTCTCCACAATATAAGGCCACATGCTTCCCAACTGGATGGTCAAGACATTGGGGTCACAGGGTCCTCTTTCTCCTCTACTCTTTACATCTTGCCATAGCCCCTAATAAATCTAATTCCTCTAAGCACCACTCTGCTCTCCCCTCTGAATGCCTACTGCTCCGGGTGTCCTCTGTGTACCCTAGTCTCTCCCTAGCCCACCTCTCTGTGCCCAAGAGACAGAGCACAAGGATCCCACCAACACCTCCTGTGCCTTCTAAGCTCTGGGTTCCCTTTCTACTGGGTCAAAGGGTGGCACCAGCTGCAGTTATTCCTCTGCCAAAGGCCAGGGTTCTGAATGGCCATCCTCTCCGGGTTGTAGTGACCGCCCTCTCCTGTCCCTCTGCAAGCCCAAGAGGTAACAGTTCCCCCACTGATTTTAGCCCTAGGGTAGGGCACTTCCTTTGGTGGTGGTCTTTCACCTTACTCATGCTTTTGTAAATAGTCCTGCTCCTCAATTTCCCCATGCTATGAGCATGGAAAGAGAGATGAAGCTATACTACCCAAGAAACAAAAAGGGACCTACTTCACAGTAATTAAAGAAACCCTCATGTATCCAGGAAAGGTAACAATATTATTATGTAGAAAGGGAGCAACTGAAAACAAAATCATTAGCGGAACTTCATGCCACAATTCTAGCAACTATCCCTGCTTCTGTGTGTCTAGGCTTTAAATGAGATAATTAATATAAGAGCATATTAAATCTTATTTTTAAAAGGGTTAAAAGTAGTAAATACCTAAAGGAGTGAATCGTGTAAGCAAAACCAATTTTTCTCATCTGTAAAACTAATTATTTTTATTATTATCCTTCAATTTGAACAGTTTACCAGGTGCTCTTAAATGTGTCTTCTTATTTGATGTGTCCCTTACACCAGCCTTGGAAAGGGGTAGGATTTTTCCCCTTTATAATATGGAGAATTGTGCTCTGAAAGTTTAAGGCATTTGCTCACAAACTCACATAAGTGATCCAGGCAGATGTTCCGGGCTCTACCCACCATATAAGCCTAATTCAGGGGAGGTTTGCAGTTGTGGTGGCCAATAGGTTTCACACAAACAGTCAGTTTGCATTGGTTGGTAGTAACTGTGATGTGTTGAAAAGATTCTGAGGCTATCTGGACTCAAGAGAAAACAGTATCTCAACTAGCAATGTCTGGCAAGACACAGAATTGAGGAGCAATACCATGCCTCCTACGGATTTTCTGCCTTGACATAGTGTTTGACAGCATGGGCTTTGGAAGGGTGAAGGCCTAAGTCAGGGCCTGACTCAGTCTCCCCACTCAACCTTCTGATAGTCTCGTCTGCTATCAAAGGTCATAATATTAACTTCCCCACAGAGCTGCTCCTTTTTGTTCCCAACCTAAACTTATTTTCCCATGAAAAGAAGCACCACCCTTATCTAAAAGGACAAATCATGCAGAGAAAACTATGAACAGCATCCATTCTAGACTTAACAATTCAATCAATAAAAGTAGCAAAGTGCAGAAGGGGATGAGCTGGGCTTTGAGTTAGGAATGCTGGCATCTGTCCCAGTTTTCCTTTCATAATTTGTTCTAGGGCTATGGAGATGCTCATAAAGGATTCTCATTCCTATTGTAAGCCAGAGAGAATGCAATCCAATGCAATGTTTCGATCATGGAGTCTTTATTGGACACAGGCTGGCATGAGTTGATGGCACCTGAAAATCAGCAAGGTACTTTCCAAAATAATTTATAACGCTTCCTTAAAAGTAGGTCCTGTTTGTCAGTCTTGGTGAGTTCTGTCTGACCTGGGTAATCATCAGCACATGAGTTAATTTTTTCAATAACGGTTTCTTAATCTAGAAAATGAGATTGTTGGAACATAATTTTTTAAAAAAGAGTAATTTTCCTACTGGGAAAAGGAGTATGAAAACTATTTTTGTCAGTTTCCTAACTTTCTTGGTGTTATATTGTCTTTGTAGTAATGAAAATAATGGTAATAATATCATAATGTAATGTCTGTTTGAACTGTTATTCCTCCCTTTAGAATCAATTTATTTTTCTCTTCTTATTTTTTTGGTGCCTTTGATTACCTCTCTTACTTTTTAAACTTTTTGTAATGCTTTTATTTTTGTAAACATTCGTTTTCCTTGCAGAATGCAGCATGTGAGCATTACGTGCATGCTTTGTTCATGATAATAACTGAGGTATGCCAGAAAACCTCCCATCCTGAAATACATCCTCCTCACGCATGAAACTCCATGTTTCTAATAGTGGAATCCGTCCCTCTGGCTTGTGTTGTCTTTGCAGCTACAAATGCTCCTGGGAGGAACAGCATCTTCAGTCTCTAAACCTTGGTGCAGCTGAGTTTATTAGAGGTTTTCCAGACCTTAACAAGAGCCTGTGACAGTACTAAGACCCTGGGGATGGTGCGAAGGAGTCTGGAACCAGGAGGCTGCTGCGTTTTACAGGATACTGGAGCCCAGTTCTCAATCAAACGCTAGAGCTCAGAAAGACATGCCTCTCAGATCTGTCTACCTTTAAGCATTTTTTTAATTAATAACTGGATATTGACCATTAAAACCATCACAGGTATAGGAGTTTGTTGACTAAAATTTGTATTATAGATACAACTGAAATGTTTACAAATCTTTATAAGAAAATCATTACTACTTGGGTCAGAAGCAATGCAAGTCAAGCTTAGGTCTATGGTTTTTGCTCCTGATCAGTAATATGTAGATGGCATGTGTTCTCTTACCCTCTCTAAATCTGGAAAGATGCATTTCATAGTACCTCTAATCTCAAAAATTTTAACTTTCACTTTTAATTGTTGAAAATGTCATTCTGAAATCCAACAATGAATGAGTGAATGTGTATATATTCATCATATACTTGTACACACACACACAAATAAAACCTGTATCTCACGGCCCACATATCTTGCTTAAGCTGCTCTTTCAGGAAGATTTATGACACTCTGCTTCACAAAGAAAGTTTAAAAGAGAGAAAGAAAACGAAATGAAACAGTGACTGTTCCCTAGTGCAATTACTCTGTCAAATACTCCCCTAGGGAAAGGAATTTGCTCTTATTGTGAAATAAATTAATATAGAAACCAGACTCCTGCAGTAACTTTTCTTTATCCCCAGGCAGTATTTTCCCACTACTGCTCTCAAAATTCACTTTTGGCGATACACATATGGGAGGTTGGAAATAGCTAGAAATTATATGTTTGAATTTAAATATATTCCCATTTCCATAAATGTTAGCAGCTCCCCAAATTATCAGGGAGTACACAATCATTTAGAGATCGCCTGCCTCAGAAATCAATTGCTTGTCCTCTTCATCCTTGGTGGGGGGTGGAGGAGGAGAGGGAGCACTTTGTCTTACCACCTTTTCAAGCCCACAAATAAGAATTTCTTTCCCAGAAGCTGCCACTTGCAAAGAAAATTTGGAATGACAAGGCCCATTGGGCTGCAAGAAGAGTGTAGACACGTCTAAGCTTAGTTAGTCCTTTTTCCAAAATCCACAACTCAGCATTCACTGGGAACCTTCACTCGCCACATGCCAGCTCAAGCCCTCCGTGATTCCTAATTAGGCGTTCACTACTCAATTAGTGCCCCATTAGCCTCGTACCATGTTAACTTTAAACTACTGGTTACATTTCTCTTCACTTCAGCCATATTATGAATGGATAGAACTTACAAGCAATCATGAAAACCCTTGCCAGCTGAAATTCACTCTAATCTTAAAACAACATAAGAGCAGTATATGTAAAATCGATTAGGGACTGTCTTAACCAAACTACAGAGCAAAGCAGGGTCTTTTAGGAGGAGGCTATTCAAGGGGGAAAAATAGGGAATATATAGTGCAAATAAATATCAGGCACACAGAAGTGAAGATAATAACTAAATGCTCCATGCTGACCTTTATGATTTGTGATTCTGTGCCTTCCCTTTCTACGTCATGGAAGCCTTACTGATGAACAGGTATAAACCTCTTTTTGTAGCTTCCTAGGGGCAGATATTTCCATCTCTAAGTTATTTCACTTAGAAACAACTAATATGGATTGAGCTCTTACTTTGTACCAGGCTTTAGTCTATGGGCTTTATATGTTTTACCTGTTTAATTCACACTGCGCTGAAAGTTATCTTTCCTATCTCCATTCAGTGGGAAAGAAAACTGAGGCTTAAAGACCATAGATACCACCGCATAGTGTAGAAAGCAAGAAGACCCTGAAGACGAGAGGCTCCATGTCCTATGCTACATTGTCTACTAGAAGGATTTTAAAATGCCAACAGGTTTAATAACAATAAGTATCCTTATCTATCATTTATTAAGCATCTACTACAGTATGTTCTTTTGTGTGTGTGTGTGTGTGTAAGTATAGCGTGTCTGCACTCTTATTTTCAGAACGATGCTGGCTCTTACACACACAAATGAAATAATGATGTCAGGGTAATGAACTGATTAAGAGCACAAGCTGTGGAGTCAGACTCTCATATCAAATCTCAGCTCCGCTACAGCTAGCTGTGTGACCTTGCACAAATTACTTGAACTTTCTAAGCCTCATCTATAAAATGAAGGCAATAATGGCAACTACTTGGTGGGGTGGTTGTGAGGATGAAAGGAAATAATCTCAGAGAAGGGCTTAGAACAGAGCCCAGTGCATAGTAAAAGTTAAATGAATACTGTAATTATTTTCCTCTGTTGACAGAGAAGAGAATTTTATAGTCAATAGGTAGGCTGGCCTGTAAGACTCCTCCACTAAAAATACAACTGGTTACATTGTGGTTTCACACCAATAAGCACTAAGAGATGGTAGACTTTTCTTTTTTATGGTGTTGATTTAGTTTGGCTTCGTTGGGCAGTTCAAAAAGCACATCTTTTGGCCCATTCCCGGTATTCTTTGCAAATTGCATGGACTTTTAGTCCAGACAAATTCAGTGAAGGGTGAGAAAGGGCTACAGAAACAGAAAAGAATGCAAAAAACATTGTATAATTCTAAGAAATTATAAATTACTTTCACTAAAAGGAATATTAAGGCATCATATCCTTTTCTATTAATTCTTACTATAAACAACACATTCTCAGTGTACAGAATTTAGAAAACAGAGAAAGACACAAAAATTTTTTAAAGATTAAAATAAGAAAAGAAAAATCAATCTCATAATCTTTTCACTGGTGGTTTTTTGAGGATAGATAATGAGTCAGTAAACACTGGCATGGCCACACCAATGGAGAACAGAGGTGTCCATTCTGATTGGCTGGACCCAGCTACAACAATTCCCAAATATTCCCAGAATTACCCTAGGCTTGTGCACACTTTGCATTCATATGTGTTTGTTTTTGGAAACACACTGAATATATATGCTCATTCAGATTTTAAAATTGCTTTTATCACTTATATAATGAACTTTTCCTGTCATTAGACATTCTTTAAGGGCATGATTTTAAAATCATCTACTAATAATGCAAGGGAGTGGATATCATGATTTATTGAGACATTCTATTAGTGTTCAATATTCATAGAGTTTTCAATTTTTGTTATCGTAAATATCTTTTTTACATAAACCTTTGAGTAGCTAATGTGTTATAATTTGAAGCACATATTTACTTACATGCCAAAATAACATTTTAATTTTAGCACAAGCTGTTACTTCTACAAGTTACTGGGTTATTTGGTATGTTTGTGGGGATTCTGCTACTAGGAATGAAATTCACACCTGCCTTATATATACCATTAAATGTAAATGAGTGTAAAAGTGTTCTATAAATGGTAAGTTTCTATACAGCTGTGTTATTATGATTATTTATGATAGCGTTAGTACCATCAACCACAGGTATTACAAACGCTCTGCTTTCTATCTTGACTTTTAGACTTGTAGGTCTTTTAAGTCCTAATAACAGACTTAACTAAATAACAGTATAACACAACTTCTCTGCCTGCAGATGAAGATATTGCATATCTTTTTCCTGATCCCCATTTGATGACCCCACCATTGCAAACCCCCACATTTTGGCATAACAAGAACCTGGACACATCGCAGTAAACATGTGGCCAGGTAAAAGCGAAAAGGAAAGTAAAATGGGCTGGGCATGGTGGCTCACACCTGTAATCCCAGCACTTTCAGAGGCTGAGGCAGGTGGATTGCTTGAGCTCAGGAGTTCGAGACCAGCCTGGGCAACAGGATGAAACCCTGTCTCCATAAAAAAAAATACAAAAAAATTTGCCAGGCGTGGTGGCATGCACCTGTAGTCCCAGCTACTTGGGAAGCTGAAGTGGGAGGATCACTTGAGCATGGAAGGTGGAGGTTGCAGTGAGCCAAGATTAGGCCACTGCACTCCAGCCTGGGTGACAGAGTGAAACTCAGCCTCACAAAAAAAAGGAAAGCAAAATGGGCATCTCCTACTGGCGGTCCAGCACATATTTACCCTCCTTCTGGACAGAATACTGTTATTTTTTGTCCCATTATCACCCACGTGGCTTGAAGAGTGTGGGGGCGAGCTCCCTGAGGGCTTCAGCCACTCAGCATATGCCATCCGCAGCCACAGTGACTGGCTCAGGGGCATACAGCCCAATGTCAGCCAGTGAGACCAGGGAGTTTCCAGGGAAGTGAAATTATTCTCTTTTTCAGTAAAACTACCAGAAGAGACCATCACTTTTACTCTAAATTTGTTGATGTGAACACCTGGAACTGTTGGTGTCCTCCTGATACCATAAGGGAGAAGCCTAGATCTTTCTAGAAACTATATTGTGGAATCTGAGGATGAAGCCAACACTACACAAGGCCAAGCAAAGATAGAGGCAAACTAAGACAAGCTTGTAGTTCTAGAAAGATGGCCAACTAAAGACACGCTCAAAATTTTCCTACTATCTAGAAATTCTGGATATACATTATTTCGGTAATGCAAGTCTGAGCTCACACAGAGGGAAAAAGAGTGTGTGTGTGTGTGTGTGTGTGTGTGTGTGTGTGGAATGAGAGAGAAAGAGAGAGAGAGACCAAGTCAGAAGTTAGCATGCTTACTCTTAATTCTATTAAATATACTAGGCTGAAGATGATAGAGTGATTTAAAAAATAGGTAAAGATCCCAAAGGTGAGCTCAGATCTCCCTGGTGAAGCCACTTAGGAGATAATGATGTAGTTAATTAAGTGATTGCCATCACTATCTTTCTAAATGGTCAAGGAGAACCCTTAGGTAATGGGGAAGCCTGACTACCACTGCAAAGGGAATTGAAGGTGGGTTTAGCAGAAGAGAAGGTAGATGGCAGAAATGGAAGGAAATCATTCCCAAGACCTGAGAAGATATCTGCTTGGTTACCTAATAATGTCTACTGTTTTTTAAATGATAATGTTTAGTACTTTTAAGCAAGAGGATTTTATGCTGATTCTCATATTTATGCCTATAATCTTTGCCATATGTTAATAAATTGTCTGCACATAAGGTGATCAATTATTTTCAGCAGCTTGTATCTTAAATGTTATGCTGGTCATCTTGATTGTGAGCTTAAATACCAGGCTGGTGATGGATTCCCCTTTTTAACTTTTCTCTTTTAAAACGAGCAAAATTAGGAAATCGAAATACACCCCATATAGATTTTTCAATACTTAATGAAAGTTAGTAATGACACAACGGTAGCCAGGCTGGCATTTAAACACATCATTTGCTGGCTTAATTCCAAAGTAATTTCTTGTCCCTTAAAAAATTTGGAACATATAAAAATTATTTTAGCATCAATTACTTTAATCATTTTGTTAAAATTTATCTTTCTCAATTTCAGTGCATTAGTATTATAACCTAGTATCGTTTTTAGTCTCATATTTCTTCATTAATATTCATTAAAAGTACCTGCTACTTCAATAAACCCAGACTAACTTTTTATTACATATTCATAAGTATTACTTTTAAAGGCTTTGAGATACTTCCACCTTCAATGAAAATAATAATTTGTGCTTCATAGTAATGCAAGTAACTCCTCAGAAACACACTAAAGTAATGAATCAGGATTGGAGGTCCTGTGTTTCTTCACTCTGCTGAGGAACATCACATTGTCCTTGCTTTAATCAACAGTCTTCTTCACTGATGGAGGTCCAAGAATTAAGACCAGAACTGATTACTTCAGTCCAGAGCAAGGTTTCTTAACATGAGTCCTTAGCAAAACCTCAAGAATTTTGAAAATCTTCAATGGTACAAAGGATTGGGGGTACAGGCAGGCAGATGCATTTTTCTGATGATGAAGTCTATAATTCTTACCAGACTCTCAAAGAAGCTTTGAGGATAATGGTGATGGTGGTAGTGGTAATGGTAGTAGTGATGATGATAATAATTTTTAGCTTCTAGATTATGAAATTATATTTTGTTTGAATTATCTTCAGGGGGAAGCAGTTTGTAGGAGCTGATAATTGTTGAAGATATTAAATGAGTATGTGATGGTTCATAGTTTCCATAATAAAAGCTTTTTAAGGATAAACAAATAAATGTTGCTTGAGTCTGAGTGTACCTATTTTGTGGGCCTATGATGCCCATTGAGTGTAATCTTCCAGTGTCAAATGGTGGGTCTCAATTAAGAAGGTAAAAGAGAGAGAGAGAAAAAAAAAAAAAAAAAAGAACTGCTACTAATGACATGATCAAAAGCATTTTGCAATAGTTCTGGCCTACTGTGCAAAAAAGAGCCCAAAGCTGCCTCACACACAAATGACCTCAAGATTTCTGTCTCTGCTCAAAACAGGAAGTATGCAATGCAGTCATGCAAGTCAGAGTCAGAGACCCTAGCACCAAAGGCGACCCACACTTGGCCTCTGGTCAATCCACCTCTCTATAGTTTCCTGGGATGCTCTAAGGCCAGGACCAAGCTGCCTGTTTGAAGGGCCACCAAGAAAATCTATAGCTTCCCTTTAGAATGTAGAATTTGGGGGCACTACAACCACCAACAACAAAAAACCTGTGTGGGAATTGGCCCGGGTGTGGCCTTTGCTCTGGTGTGTGACTTTTTGCACTACTTCTATTTAGCATTCTGGCATTGTCCCCATCCATCACCAGCCTCCCTCTCTCTGGGCTGGTTTCCTGTCTGAAGTCTTCACCATTCTAGCTCATGTCCCTGGTTAGCCTTCATTTGGGCATTCATTTATTCACTCAGCAAATATCTATCAGCTCCCAGGAGGCCTGGACTAGAAGCTGTGCAGTCACAAAGAAAAGATCACAGCCCCTTGCTGCTAATAAGCTCATGTTCCAGGCTCTGGATACTTGAATACAGGCATACCTTGGAGATATTGTGGATTCAGTTCCAGGCTGCTGTGATAAAGTAAATGTTGCAATAAAGCAAGTCACATGAATATTTTTCTTTCCCAGTGCATATAAAAGTCATATTTACACTAAAATAAGGCATTCTATTAAGGATGAAATAGCCTTATGTCTAAAAAACAATTGCACATACACTAATTTTATAATATTTTATTGCTAAAAAAATGTTAATGATTGGCTGGGCACAGTGGCTCATGCCTGTAACTCCAGCACTTTGAGAGGCCAAGGTGGGCGAATCACTTGAGCCCAGGAGTTCAAGACCAGCCTGATCAGGATAGCAAAACCCCATCTACAAAAAAAAAAAAAAATATTAGCCAGGTGTGGTGAGGCACATCTGTAGTCTCACCTGCTTGGGAGGCAGAGGTAGGAGGATCCGTTGAGCCTGGGAGGTTGAGGGCGCAGTAAGCTGTGATTTTGCCACTGCATTCCAGGGTGACAAAGTAAGATCCTGTCTTAGAAATAAAATAAAATAAAATAAAATAATTTAAAAATAAAAAATGCTAACAATCATCTAAGCCTTGTAATCTTTTTGCTGGAGGAAGAGCTTGCCTAGATGTTGATGGCTGCTGGCTGATCCAAGTGGCGGCTCTGGCAATTTTTAAAAATAAAACGATTAAGTTTTTTTTCACAACTAGCATATGATGTTGTTTGATAGCATTTTACCCACAGTAGAACTTCTTCCAAAATTGAAGTCCATCCTCTTAAACCTTGTCATTGCTCTAGCAACTACGTTTATGTAACATTCTAAATCCTTTGTTGTCATTCCAACAATGTTCACTACATCTTCACCAGAAATAGATTCTACTTTTTTTCTTATCCATAGGAAACAATTCCCCCATCTATTCAAATTTTACCATATGGTTGCAGAAATTCAGTCACATCTTCAAGCTCCATTTCTAATCTAGTTCTCTTGCTATTGCTACCACATCTGAAGTTACTTTCTCCACTGAAGTCTTGAATCCCTCAAAGTCATCCATGAAAATTGGAGTCAACTTCTTTCAAACTTCTGCTAATATTGTTATTTGACCTCCTCCCACGAATCACAAATGTTCTTAATGGCATCTAGAATGGTGAATCCTTTCCAGAAGTTTCTCAATTTACTTTGTGCAGATCCATCAGAGGAATTACTACCTATGGCAGCTATAGCCTTATAAAAAGTATTTCTTAAGTAATAAGACTTGAAAGTCAAAATGCTTCAATGATGCATGGGCTACAAAATGTATGTGGCGTTAGCAGGCATGAAAAAAAACCATGAATATCCTTGTGCATCTCCATCAAAGCTCTAGGGTTTCAGTGCATTGTCAATACGCAGTAATATTTCTAAAGGAATATTTTCTTCTAAGTGGTAGGTCTCAACAGTGGACTTCAAATATTCAGCAACTAATGTTAGAAGCAGATGTACTGTCATCCAGGCTTTGTTGTTTCATTTATAGAGCACAGGCAGAGTAGATGTAACATAATTCTTAAGAGCCCTAGGATTTTCCGAATGGCCAATGAGCATTGGCTTCAACTTAAAGTCACCAGCTGCATTAGCCCCTAACAAGAGAGTCAGCCTGCCCTTTGAAGATTTGAAGCTAGGCATTGACTTCTTCTCTCTAGCCACAAAAGTCCTAGATGGCATCTTCTTCCAAAAAAGGCTGTTTTGCCTATATTGAAAATCTGTTGTTCAGTGTAGCCACCTTCCTCAATTATCTTAGCTAGATCTTCTGGATAACTTGCTGTAGCTTCTCCATCAGCACTTGCTGATCTATCTTGCACTTTGATGTTAAGGAGACAACTTATTTCCGTAAACCTCATGGACCAACCTATGCTAGCTTCAAACATTTCTTCTGCTTCCTCACCTCTCCCAGCCTTCTCGGAATTAAAAAGAGCTGGGCTGTGCTCTGGATTAGGCTTTGGCTTAAGGAAATGTTGGGGCTGGTTTGATCTTCTATCCAAACCACCAAAACTTTCTTCATATAAGCAATAAGGCTGCTTCACTTTGTTAGCGTTAGTATGTTCATTGAAGTGGCTCTGTTAATTTCCTTCAAGAAATTTTTCTTTGCATGCACAACTTTGCTAACTATTTTGTGCAAGAGGCCTAGCTTTTGGCCTATCTCAGCTTTCGATATGCTTCCTCACTAAGCTTACTCATTTCTAGCTTTTAATTTAAAGTGAGAGACACACAAGTCTTCCTTTCATTTGAACACTAAGAAGAGGTCACTGTAGGGTTATTAATTGGCCTAATTTCAATATTGTTGTGTCTCAGGCAATAGTGAGGCCTGAGGAGAGGGAGAGAGATGAGGGAATGGTAGACTGGTGGAGCACTCAGAATACCAACAATATTTTTTAAGTTTGCCAACCTATATGAGCATGGTTTATGGTGCCACAAAACAATTACAACAGTAATGTCAAAGATCACTAATCCCAGATCACCATAATAGATGTAATAATAAAAAAAATCTGAAATATTGCAAGAATTACCAAAATGTGACATAGAGACACAAAGTGAGCACATGCCATTGGAAAAATGGCACCGATAGACTTGCTCAATGCAGGGTTGCCAGAAAGCTTCAATGTCTAAAAAATAGTATCTGCAAAGTGCAATAAAGCAAAGCATGATAAAATGAGATATATTTGTGTTTAGCTTGAAGATCACCAGGCCAAGCCCTAAGAGAGCCCACTGCTTCTGCGAACACTATTATAATATTTGCCTTAAATCTCAGGCTCTTCGCAGGGTAAGGAGATTCCAGTACCTCTGAGTTACACCTTTGGTTTGAGTCACACTCCTAAGTAGGTTCATCAAAAGCCAACCTTCTCACCCTACCTTGAGAAGGAAGCAATGTCCCCATAAAGGACCACTGTATGTTTCTGAAATATATCACTCATAAACAAATCCACAGGCCTAAAAGCCATTACTCCAAAGGAATATAAAGTGGCAGGGAACTCCGATCCCCACTCAATTTTACCTGCACTAAATTCCTAGGATAGTGATTCTCTCCCAGGAGCACATTTCCATTAAGGAGTGGCTCAAACTCCCCTGGTGGGATGTGGAGACAACATGTAGTTTAAGAAAACATATTCAATAATATGTTTCTATGGTTGAAAAATGAAAAACACAAGCATTATTTTCATAGCGTGAATGACTTGGGATAACGGTATTTTTTTTAACACCTACAAGGTGCCAGGCCCTATGCCTTGTGCCCTACATGTCTCATGTAATCCTCATGACAACTTGATGAAATATTCATTTCTACTTTTTGACAGATGAAAAACGGAGACTTAGAGAATTTCAGAAGAGTAGTAGTACAAAAGCTAAGATCAGGCTTCTGACATTTATTCTATGTGCCTTAGAGATATCTTGTGAAAATCATTTTTCTGCAAAAATTCTCTTAGGATGTTCAGATGAACTTTGAACATCAAGTTGAGCCTCTGGGATGTTACAAACCATCTGCCCACCAAGCATTATTTCACTTGTGACAGGTGGCAAGAATTAGAGAAGAACACTAAGTAATATTTTTAAGAATGTGTTGATCCAGTCCACATTTATTGAGCACCTACTATGTGTCAGATGCTATTGGGATACTGAGTGGAAACATCATGTTTGTCCCTCTCCACCTGCACTTGGAAATAAGCTGTCAGATAACCTTGAAACACTAAAACTCCTACAGAATAACTGTGACACTAGCCACACTTGTCTTTCATGTCCTGTGTCTGCTCTTTCTGTGTTTTTTGCAAACATTTTTTCTCAGATACACAAAGCTCTCATGCTCTCTTCTTCTCCACACCTCAAAATCTACTTTAAGGAAGGACCACCATCAATCATTTACACATCAGTAGAAGTTTCTTTTCTGAAGGGCATCTCCCAGGGCTTTTAAAACTCACTTTCAATGGGAACAATAAATCGGTTACTTATGAAAGAAATTTCAAATATTCACAAGCATGCTGAAATTATAACTTTGAAATAGCCAAGCACCTTCCCAGATTCATATTTCATCCATGGAGGGATTTGGTGGAAAGCAAATTTGAGAAATGGTAAAAGAATAACCCCAAACTCTATTATCTATACCTCTCCTTTGTCTTGTCTTCTTTATCTATTGAAAGAAGCTGCCTTGTTGTTTTTCTGAGCTCTCCAGCATGATCTTTGCAAGATCATTACTTTTAAAATTTCACCTGCACTAGATTCCTAGGATAGTGATTCACTTCCAGGAGCACATTTCCATAAAGGAGTGGCTCAAACTCCCCTGGTGGGACATGGAGACAACATGTAATTTAAGAAAACATATTCAATCATATGTTTTTATGGTTGAAAAATGAAAAACACAAGCATTACTTTCATAGCATGAAAATAAAAGTCTAAAAAATTGTCTTAACTGATGGAGATAAACACAATATATTGATTTTTAAGTAGAAATGGTGGAGGTAAGGGTGAGATAATGAGTGTATCAAAATCTTGGCAGTGAAGGAAGGGAGTTTTGGGTATATCCAATAAAGCATGGCTTTAAAACACTGGCCTGTTCTCTCCTCAGTTGATGCGTCAAATTAGTAAATAAATAAGTGGGTCTAAAATACATCATCCTCTTAGTACTTGCTACGGACTGAATGTTTGTATTCCTTCCTCCCCCTGCAGTGTATGCTGAAGCCCCAACCCCCAATGAGATGGTATCTGGAGGTGGGGCCTTTGAGAGGCAATGTGGCCATGAGGGTATATGTCTCATGAATGGGGTTAGTGCCCTTATAACAAGAGACACAAGAGACATGATCTCTCACTCTGCCATGTGAGGATACAAGAAGATAGCTGTCTACAAGGCAGGAAAAAGCCTCCCTTGGAACCCAACCATGTTGGCACTCTGATATTGAACTTCTAGCCTTCAGAATTGTGAGAAATAAATGCCTGTTGTTTAACCCTCCCAGTTTATGGTTGTTGTTATACAGCAGTCTGAGCTAGCTAAGACAGTCATTTTTGTACATGCTTTGCTACGCTCGGATCCCTTCAGTTAAATTTTCTGCAACTCCAGAGGAACTAGCCCTGGTGGAACTAATCATGGCTTAACCCTGAATAATTGTTTTAGATCATCCAAAATATTTCAGCTTCTGTGGTGGTCATTACCCCACACAAAGGAGAAAGATGGACTAGTGTGCCTGACTCCAAGATCCATAACCAATGTGACCAGTACAACCTCCCACTATGAGTCAGAAGCCTTGAGGACTAACTTGAATCTTTATCACCCAGGTATCCTGGATCCATGCCAACAGCATACAAACTAGACTCCCTATACCACAAGGCACCTTCTGGTGTGCTTTTTTGTTTGTTTGTTTTTGTTTTTTAGACAGGGTCTCACTCTGTTGCCCAGGCTGGAGTGTAGTGGTGCTGTCTTGGCTCACCATAACCTCCACCTCCTGGGTTCAAGCAATCCTCCCACATAAGCCTCCCAAGTAGCCGGGACTACAGATGTGGACCGCCATGACCAGCTATATCTTGTTTTTGGTTGTTTGTTTGTTTGTTTGTTTGTTTGTTTAGAGCCCTGTTACCCAGGCTTGTCTTGAACTCCTGATCTCAAGTGATCCACGTGCCTTGGCCTCCAAAAGTGCTGGGACTACAGGTGTGCGCCCAGCTAGTTTTTGCACTTTTGTAGAGATTGGGTTGCCCAGGCTGGACTCAAACTCCTGACCTCAAGTGATAGACTTGCCTTAGCCTCCCAAAGTGCTAGGATTACAGGTGTGAGCCACCACACCTGGCCCTCCAGCATGCATAGTTTTATAGAAAATGTGAGTATCATCTCTAAGGCAGCTCTGCTTTAGTCTCCTCACACCAGTCCCCGATAAAAGACCTCCACCAACAACCTAGCCAACTGCTCCCCAGCAGCAGTGATGCCAGGAATGAGCATTTAGTGAGATCCAGGTGATCTATCACAAGAAGCTGGTGGGCCTCCTTCCCTAGCAGCTTCAGAGCAACACACCAGGAGAGCTGGAATCCATTCAAATGGGTGTGAATGGCTGGAGGGGTGCCCAAGAAAGCACAATTTGTGGATTGTTCCTTCTGTCCTGACATTTTGTTTTGCTTTCCTGGAAATCTGAGGACAGAGAGTGCTAAATGAATGGTGGGACCTGCAAACAGCCAGGCTGGCTGGTGACCACTTGTCTGGGTGGGGATTGATCGGTTGTAGAGCAGAGAGGATGGTCCACAGTCAGGTACAGATGAGCCCCGCCCCTCCAGGACAGGGCAAGTACAACAAGCCCAGAGAGAGCAGCAACATTTGAGGACTCAAGAAACTGATACTCCTGATGAAGAGAAGGGAAATCAACTTTTCCTTCTAATTTCACAAAGAGTTTGCCCCTCAAACTTGATAGTGCATATCAATCTCCTGGGGAGTGTCCTAAAACACAGATTCTGACTCAGTTGGTCTGGGTGGGGCCTGAGACGCTACATTCCTAGAAAGCTCCCAGGTGAGGCTTTTGCTGCTACTGGTTACTGGATTTTATTTTGAGGCAATATAGCACATGCAATGATTCAGATAGGAAGCCCTGAAGTGGGAGCTGGGGAGGAGAGGAGGGAGCGGAATAAGGGAAAAACCTACCTGATATTTTACACACTTGTGTATTATTCAGTTTTTTCCATTGTGTTCTATCTTTGTAATTTAAAAATGGTCAAATACATAATCTAGTTCTCTTTGTTTTTTATGAAAAGAAAAAGGATCATCTCTTTTTTTTTTTTTTCTTTTTCTTTTCATGAAGTCAGAATGTGCTCACACTGTGCCTGAGGGAATGACCAGGGAATTCTGGGCCACCGCAATCTGACACGCGCACAGATGGGGCCTAGGAGGGTCTTTCTGAATAGAACGGTGGTCATAGTAATGGCGAGATCTCTACTAGCTCTGTGCTTCACCCACCAGGCAGTATGGCCAGTCACATACCAAGGGGGCCCAAAGCCCTGGCTATTCGTAGGTTTGGGTGGGGAGTGGTTACTATGCATAATTTAAATGGTAAATAATTTAAAACATTATTTAGATCAAAACAAACATGTAGCAGAATCCAGACATTAAATACATTTTGCCGACAAAAAAGGCACTTGAAATAATATTTCTCCTTGCCCCAGTCTCCCCCACGGTATAAGGGCATCTTGGTAGAAAAATCGGAGAAATGTTGACACGTGTAAACCACAGTGTGGCTGAAACTAATGCTCTCACAGCTATCTCTGGGATGCAAACAGGGAAACGGCCCCAGCAACAGGAGCATTTCCCAGAACTAGAACATCCATTCGGTCATTATGGTGAGTTTCACTGTCCTGTCCCACGTAGGGGTCACTCCTCAGCTCTACAGTCTAATGTTTTCACCTGAGCTAACCATCACTAAAATCTTGTCCCACAAATACAACATGTCTACAGTTAAACTCATTTCAAAGATTCCTGGGCTTTACACCTCACCCCTTTCTAATGTGATCCTCTTTTCATGTTCTATTGATCTCCAGAGAAGCGTAACAAACCCTTCCCCCAGCTTTTTCTCTCCTTTGCCCACAAGATCTGGTCTGCAAATCCTGTCATCTCCTATGATGCCAGCAGTCTCCAATCTCCTCTCTCCACCTTGTCTCATCCGGACTATTGCCGTGGCCTCCAAGCCAGTCTCCCTGTTCCAGGCTTTCCTCAGCTCGGTATTCTCTCCAGGCACTGGGGGCTGGGGTGATCTTCCTAAAACATAAACCCAGACATGTCCTTTCCTGTTTAAGAGTTTTAGGTGACTCCCATCCCTTCTCTCCATCCTTCTTTCTGGATCAAAATTCCCAAACCAAACTTTATAAAAAGGCCTTTATGATGTGGTCGTCACACTGCTGTTCTAACCCCATCCCCTTGCCCCGTCCACAGGTCCTTTTCTACCTCGTCCTTCTCTGACCACACTGTGTCCCAACGACAGTACTTTGTACATAGCATTTCTTCCGCCTAGAATAATTCTTGCACCTTCTCCATCTGATGAAATCCCCTATACTCCAAAGTTCAGTTTAAATGTCACATACTTTATGAAATATCTACAGACCTCATGGCTAATCTAATCCTTCTCCCTCCTGGCTCCCACTGTATCTGCCTCGATTACTGCCCTTTGCCACGACATTGTTACTTGTTTATTGTGAGCCCTTCACAAATGAGGACCAAGTGTCGTGCATTTTTATAGCCTCAGAGTCTAGCCCATAACAGCCCACTGACCGAGTTCATGAATGAATGAAAGGTTGCCTTTCTACCTAGTTTAATTCTGTTTAATTCTATGCATTCTGACCCAAGTAGGAGGAGCCTATTGACCCTACTTGAGGAGAGACAAGAGCAGCAGACCATTAACCATTTCTCCCTAGCTAAAAAACCTCCCCATAGCCTAGGAGAATGCCATAAGACATAGCCTTGCATGGAGACTTTGGCCCTGCTTTGCTGGGTTTCTTACATCAGTCCAGTTGATGACACTAGTAGTTTCCAGCAGTGGGATGGGCATAGAGGGAGCAGATAACATTTCTGGGCAAGAATTCAAGATACGAAAATTGGATGTCACCAACCTCCTTAAAATAAAGTTTTTGTAATTTTGAAATCCTATGAACGAATTCCCAGGACATGAAAGTATAAAGAACTAGAAGTCTGAGTGAATGTGATTAGAACTGTCTGTGCTAGTACACATTAGGTTCCTAATACTTATGTCAAGACAATCCAGTGCTGGCTTGAATTGGGATATAAATGTTTCTGGTATATGTCATATCTCCCTAGTGAAATCGTACTGTGAGCATAAACCATGTTTTTACCTAAACTGGGTTAACTTTCTGAGCTCAGTGCTGTCCTTTTAATATAGAAGAATTCCAATAAATACTTAATGATCAAGGACTGGCTGTATACATTCATGTCTATATATACTAAGTAATTTTTTTCTCTCATACTTTGCCTACAGCTTTCACTTAAAAAATGGAAAGAGATGAACCAATCAGGTTTTGCAAACAAAATAGGAATATAGGTCTGTACCTAAACCTAAATGGGTTTTGCTTTTGGTCCTGCCAGAGGCAGGGGGATAGATTAGTTAACTCCTCCAGGGATTTTCCAGCCCTGTGGTTTCACTCCACATTTTCTTCCTATAAGAGTCTCTGGTCGACTATAACCCTGTACCGAAGCTTCACTGTGGATTGGAGCTGACATCTAAAAACCACACTGGTGAATCTTAAATATGTTAATATGGATAATTTAAACCTTATAAACAGCTTTTCATAATGTGATTTTTGCCTGAGGGGGTCTTTTGGTTGGAGTGCTGTACAATCAGGCTTGAGTTTGCAACTTAAAAAGGAAAACAATATGAGAAGTAGAAAATTTTATGTGGCTTTTTCTTTCTCTCATAAGCTCATGTTTATTGAAAGAGCTGGTGGTGAGTCAAGGGAAAATGGAGTTGTAAAGGAGGCATTCTGAGATTGGTTAAGCTTGCTGTGGGTTCTTAGTAAGTTGGTGTATCTTCAAAATCAAAAGCTAATTATTCCAAGGACTCTCATCTGAGATTGGAAGCCTGCCTGGGCCATTGTGCTTCACACTGAAGCTTCAGTGATCAACAGGTAAATATTTGTCTGATGACACCCAGAAAATGAATAAGCAAGAAAAAGATATGTAATTTAATGCCCTATTCCTAACTTAGAAACAAAGAAATAAAAACATAAATTGGCCTTTAAGACCTAGTATGATAATGATTTCCACACTGCTTGTTATCTTGTTAAGTATATATCTTCATTATCTTCTAAAACAAGTGTCCAAATTATAAAAGAGATTTTTATTCAGACTGGGTGCTTAGAAGTTTCTTTAGAGGTACAGAAGTTGCTGGAAAAATGTCAGCCCCAGGAGTCCTTCTACAAGATGCTTGCGGTGGTCAGCATCCTGGCAAGCCCTCTTGCACCAACTCAGGAGGGTGCCTGTCTTGACACTACCTGGTAACCAATTCCAAAAGTTCTTAACAGAAAATGTTGAGCAATTTATTTTATTTAAATTTGCAGTTCATTTCATGCTTATCGAAGAAATCAAGCAGCATAAGAACTTCATAAAACTAATTTTGAAATATGATTGGGGGCAGAAGAGCACTGTTTGAAATTGCAGGTTCTGGTGTTCAGATCATATTGACTTAACTCAAAACTACCATTTACAGAGGGTGTGACTTCAAGCTTCTCTAAGTCTCAGCCTCCTTATCTGTAAAATGGGATCTTAATAGTATCAGATTCATAGGGTGCTTGAAAGAATTAAGTGGGAAAAACTAATCAACGTGCTTGAACATGGCAATCTCTAAGACATTTATTATAAGTGTGTGAGATTTGTAGTTCCAGGATCTTAAGCCTCAAACAAAGAAAATAGTATAGTGATCTTAACTTCCTAGGGAATCTACAAATTATGAAACAAGCCTCAATATAGAAGAGTAGGATGAAAACAAATCACTGTATCTATTATTACTTCAAATCTTTTAGTCCGGGCACGGTGGCTCATGACTGTAATTCCAGCACTTTGGGAGGCTGAGGCGGGCTGATCGCCCGAGGTCAGGAGTTTGAGACCAGCCTGGCCAGCATGGTGAAACATCGCCTCTACTAAAAATACAAAATTAGCTGGGCGTGGTGGCACAAGCCTGTAATCCCAACTACTCAGGAGGCTGAGGCAGGAGAATCACTTGAACTTGGGAGGGAGAGGTTGCAGTGAGCAGAGATCATGCCATTGCACTCCAGCCTGGGCGACAAAGCGAAACTCCATCTCAAAATATATATATATATTTTAATAATAGATTGTTTTTCTAAATTCCATGCTTTTAAACAAACCGTGTTTGTGTGTGTAACTTTTTGCAGAAAAACTAGGTATAAAATGTGATTTTCTTTATACACGCAGTCACTATGAAAGGGACCCAAGATCCCCTAGGAAGGTTCTTTTCCTCCTTGCTCCACTCTGAGGATAGGTGAGTAGGTGCACATCTTTGACATGACATGGTGGACAGGCACTAGACTGAAAGGCAAGAAACCATGTCTGCTGTTATATAGTCTTAAGACCTTGATTGAGTCACTTCACTTCTCTGGGCCTTGATTTCCTCATATGTGAAATGAAAAGACTCAATTAGATGGCTCTGTTGTCCCTGTCATCTCCCAAGTTTTATCCTCCTACCCACTAACAACAACATACCTGTCGAATGAGTGTTCCGAATAACTGAATGTTCTGTTTACTTGACAAGTAACATAAGTACCATAAATGAATTACACATGTTCAAGAAAGAGATGTTCATCACCAGTGGCTTGGTCTTAGAATCAACTGTTGATTTGATGACTCAGACAGCACTTCAGGATCTGGTAGTGCTAGAGGCTCATCATTAGAGACAGAAACCATAAAATTACACTCTAAATCATACCTGATCATTTGAGCTTTGCTGCTGGGGCTAATGAGCTTGTGAACTTAAATTTGCTGTCCTATGTGTCTTTTCTTTTAATTTTCAAGAGTATACCTTTCAAGGTAGATGTGAAATGAAAATGCTTCACTAGACAAGGTATCAGGGTGTCAAGCATATAATTCTAGTTCTGATACTAACTAGTTCCATAACCAAGTAAACCACTTTGAATCTCCTTTTTCTGCATATAAGATGGGAAAACTGTATCTGTCCTATCGCATAGGGTTGATGTGAGGTTCAAAGTTATAACAGGTTGTAAAAAAACTGAACGATAAAAACCACCCAACAAATACCATCAACTTATTCTTCTCTGTGAGAGAAATGGGATGATGCATCAGTCCAAACAGGATTCAACATGCCAATTCCGTGGGGTGAAGCGGCCCGCCAAATGGCTGGAGTGTTGCCATTTTCCAGCCGGATGTTCACTGCCCTGTTGACTCAGCCTAAGTCAATTTGAAGACATCCCATATGCCACACAGACTCTCCTAATATATTAAGCTCTCATTTAGATACTTAGGTTTTGATTACACACCAAACCTTGACCTGCTATTCAAAAAACAACTAGGAAGAGAGAGAGGAAGAAGTCCATCATTAAAGCGTGTTAAACTTACACGCTTAACATTCAGAAAAAAAAATGGAAAGAGCTAAGCATTCTCAATCAGTTATCACCTATGAACAGTTATGTGTATGTGTATGTGTGTGTGTGTGTGTGTGTGTGTGTGTTTGGCAGATTATGGATCATAACATCCTAGGATCTCACTCATTTCACTACAAAGGTTGTTATAAGCACAGCTGAGTCCCTTCTTTCTAACTAGCCTGTTGCTACAAACTTTATTGCATGAGGACTTCACTTTCTTGATTTTCAACTGGAAGTGAGAAACATTGTTTTGAGTGCATGTTACACACTCCATAAAAAGAGGACAAAAAGAGAACGTACAGAAGGATTCTCCTCCAGTCCAGGAAACCAAAATAAAATTATAAAGCAAAACACCCATGAAACAATTGCAGCAGTTGGAGAGGTCAATAGTATTTGACTAGGAATGGCCTGAAATCCACAAGAGGGTCTTCTTAGGAACATAGGTTACTTTTCCTTTTTTAAGTTCATATCCAATTTTTGTGATCATTGTTAAACATTTAACTGAATTGATTCAATTGACTGGCTATACTTTGACAGCTGGAAATCCTTCCTAAGTACCAAGTTATTTAATTAACTCATTTTCAATTAGCACAGTCGCTTCTGGCCCAGTGTAAATTAAGTCTCCTCAGACTCAAGCAAAGGAGAGAAAGGAGGCCAATGGAACTGAGACTTCTGTAGTGCATCTCATTCTGTCGGAAGTTTCCAGTTCAGATCAGACTCATAAAATAATGTATTTTTTTGTGTGTTTAAGTGTTAACTGGCAGCCAGGTGCTAAGAGAGTGCTGAATCAGCCCAGAAGAGAGGGAGGAAGAAAGAAGAAAGTTTGGTTTATAGGCTGAAGCAAGCAAGGTAAACAGAACCTGGCGAGAGTTATATATTGCTCAAGGCAGGCACAGGTGGATGGAACTGCAGGCCAGGTCAGAAAGAGAGAAAGATTTATGTTCTGTGCAAATAAAAGGGCAGAAGAAAAATCACCAATCTGGTTGGGCAGCACTGAAGTGAAGGAAACAGCTGTTCATACAGTGAAGGAATGGTCAGGTAAGACAGGCTGGAAATAGGAATCAGAAGGCCATCTGCTGACCTGGGATGGCACGCCCTGGAGGCACGCAACAAATCCTGTCCTCCAGGAGGCCGAGCAAAGGGGCCATTACCGGCCAGGCAAGTAAACAGTGCCAAGGCATTAAAGTTACATGAGCCTCATGCAAGAAGTTGCCCAGCGAGTTTACTTCCGAATGTGAAGTCGAGTGGAAACACAGTGTTTTCTTATTTGAGGACTTGGCAAACCCAGTCCACCCAGCCTCTCTGCGAAGCAAGAATGCAGAGAGGTAGTTCATCAAATGTCAGTGCTTATTACCCATCACCTTATCCAGACGCAGCTGCTCTACCCCTCCTGGCTGCCGGTGTGGGTGGCCACTGGACTCACAGTCGGGGCAGCTGCTGGCCTGGGGATATTGCAACCCAAGTGAGTGGAGAGCGAGTCGGGGGTGGCCTTTGATCATGGAAGGCAGCCCACCGGCAATAGAATGGAGGAGACAGAAAGGCCACCAGGAGGAAAGAGGAAACAAGTGTAGGAACTGGCAATGACCTTGCATTAATGGACATCACACCCACTGAAATAAAGACCCACATGAGTGGGGCTTTGCTCTAAGGAAGCCGACAGCTGATGGGCCCTACCAATACTAATGAGCATCATTATATTCCTCATACAAATGAGCCAAATTTCAGACAAAAGGTAGGAGAGGGAAAAGATTTATATCATAACACAAAACACAAAATGTAAGACCAAATGTCACTAGAGAACCAATTGATAATTGGTGAGACAGCAAAGGCAATCAGAAGAAAGCATGGCCTGCCTAAAGTACTAAGATGAATAAGAGTGAGTGTTGCAACACTATTAGTTAGTGACCAAACTGCAAAGCTGAAGTTGAATTTCTTGACCTCCTTCCCTTCTCTTACCCTTACCCTCATATTGCTATTTCCCTGTGCTCATGGTGCTGTACTTAATACACAAACACACACACACACACACACACACATAAAAATACACACACATACAGATGGAAAGAGTGAAAGTAGTAACATTTACTGAATTCATATTATATGCCAGGCAGACTTCTAAATCTTTTATAGGTTTTAATTCACTTAATCCTTACAACATGCCCATGAGGTAGATACAATTTCTATCCCCATTTTATAGATGAGGAAAATGAAAACGAGAGTTTATGCAAGGTAACACAGCCAATACATACGTGAGCTGAGATTGGAACCAGGCATTCTGGGTTCCAAACTAGCATCTTTGACCAGAGCTCTCCTTCTTTGTTTGAGAAACCAAAATCACAGACCAGAAACTCTGATGAGAAACAGGTGAGTTATCCATGCCAAGCTCCTCATAGCCAGCCTCTCTTCTTGTTCTCCACACTCTAGCCCCGCCGCCTGCTGCTGAGATATCATCCTCTGCTCTCCGTCCATTCAGATCCTTCCTTTTCTCTATGGCCCAGCTCAAGATTCAAGAGCTTAGTTAGCTGCATGCCAAACCCATTTCTTCTTCCTGGGCCCTCGATGAGACTACATTTCCCAACCTCCCTTGCATTTAGGTATGGCCATGTGACTGCCTTCTAGCCAAAAAACATGGATTGAAGTGACGAGAACCACTGTCAGGCCCACCTAATCAAACTCTGCATGCACTTGGAATCCTCCTTCTAGTCTGATGTAGCTAAGCAAAGAGACCTCAGAAGCCACATGTTGAAGACAGTGAAGCCATGTAATAGAAGGTCCCTAATCCCTTATCCCTGCTTAGAGGAAGGCCACCCATTAATCAGAAACTCCCATCTGGGTCTCATGTAAGGAGGAAATAAATTTTCACCCATCGCATCTGAGTCCTTGTAATTGGAAGTTTGTTTACTACAACAACCATTAACACCCTAATGTGAACTTTTACAGATCCAGCTCTATAGAAAGTTCTGTTTGAATAAGTTAGTCCCGGACCTTAAAAATTCACAGAAAAGAAGAGAGAGAGAGAGAGAAACAAGAATAACATAAATAGAACATGAGAATTTTGCAATAAAAGAATGTTTAAGGTTCTTCTAATATTCTATGTGAACAGAGCTAAAAGCATGCAGTCAGGAGAAGCCTTTAGAGACATGGTGACCTCTGAGGAAGAGGTGGAGTTGGCTCCTCTCTCTGATAAGCCTTTCCCAGTTATTCCATCCCAGCCTGAATTTTCTCTGCTATATCTTGCTGGCTTGTACCTCGCTTTATATAATCTGGGGAAAACTGTACTAGAAAAGTCAATCGTGGTGTCTACCGTGCTCACTATCCCTTTCCAGGGCCTTCTTCTTGCCCCTGTGCTAGGGGAAGATGCTCCAAGCTCTGCCTTGAGCACATCTTTGCTCCTAGTTAGACCAAAGGTGGTCCAGTTTCCAGGTGGAGTAGAGTCCTTCGGGATGGTCTGATACCACACTCTGCCCAGCGGTAATTAACAAAGCCAATCAGATCCCCCAACTCTGGAAGTTGAATGAAAGAACCATGAAGAAATTAGCCTGTTCTAGCAGGACGAAAAGAAGATGTAGGCAGAGAGGACCAGAGATGGAAGCTGTGCCACAGCCCGAGTGTGAAGATCCTGCCCCTGAGGGGCATGACAGTCAGCTTCTTACTGGCAAGCAGCAAATGAACTCTGGCTGATTGAAGCAGAAAGAAATTCGTTAAAAGGATAATGGCAAGCTCACAGAAGCCCTCGTCTTGGTCAGCTCAGACTGCTATAACAAAATACTATAGACAGAGTAGCTTAAACAACAGACATTTATTTCTTCAGCTCTAGAGGCTAGGAAGTCCAAAGTCAAGGTGCCAGCCAATTTGTTTTCTGGTGAGGGCCCACTTCCTGGCTTGCAAACAGCTGCCTTCTCACTGTGTTCTCACAATGGGGCTGGGTGTTAGGGTTAGAGAGTGAGCACTCTGGTCTCACTTCCTCTCCTTATAAGGGGACTAACCCTGTTATGGCAGCCCTATCCCCCCATGACTTCATCTGAACCTATTTACCTTCCAAAGGCCCCACCTCCAAATATCATCATATTGGGGGTTAGGGCTTCAACATATTAATTTTGGAGAGATACATTCAGGCCATAACACCCTTGAAAGGAAAGCTAGGCTCTGTGGCTCTGCTGCCAGTCACCACACCCAAAATTACTCCATAGAGCTGTCCCACAAGAACACCACCTCCTCTGCCATCAACCACTTAATGGAGGCCTGGTTCCATCAGCACCACTGCACTGGACACTGCCATGGTCATCTCCTATGGCGCTTGCCACCCCCCACCTGCACCACAATCATTTCTGACAACCTCTGATCCCTCTACGAGGACAGCGGGTCCATCTGCATATGTTTCTCAGTGCCTAGTCAGCAGTCTTGAGCATAGTGGTTAAATGAATCCATCAGTATCTGATGAATAAATAAGAATTCCCATTTAATATGACAATGCCTAAAGTAACAAAGCTGCAATAATTGTAGTTACAATGCACTGGGTATTTACTAAACACTAGTTACTTCTTAAGTGCTTTATGTGCACTCTCCCACTGAATCTCTACAATAACCTTATTTTTATAATAAACCTTATCTTTGCAATAATGCCAAGTGAGAAAGGCATTATTATTATCTCCACTTTACAGAAGCAGAAGCTTGGCCTTAGAGAAGTAAGTAACTTGTCCAATTTCACTCACCAAGTAAGTTGTAGAAACAGCACCCAAGTTCTTGATTATGTCTCCAAAGTTATACTTTCAGATCATCTAAAATAGACACCCACTGCCCCACAGGCTCAGGTTAAATGCCACCAAGATAAGAAAAAAATCCCATAGTTCATTTCTTCCCCTCCTCACTCTTCCCTCCTTTCAAAAAGTTAATAATGGAAAGACACATGACATATCTACCACAGATTATTGTGTCAGTCCATTCAGCTAATTTCAAAAAAGATGATGCTAATTATTGGAGATAATGAAAACTTGCTCTTCAACTACAACCTAAGGGGAATAGTCCAATTGATTAACAGGGATTTCAACCCACGCCTTCAATTTCTCTTGCTCGTTTTGTAACGGATGGGAAAAAATGGTTTGTAGATGGAGATTTTTGAGAGCTAAGTGTCTAAGACACTGAAGGGAGCCACCTCATTAAGTCCTAGGCCTGGTTAGGCAGGCTCTCGAAACCAGAGGCAAAGCCAACGGCAGGTAAACTCACTACAGGCATTATTTAATGAAAGTTTGCACTTTATCAGAGAATCCTTCCTGAATCCTCAATTTTTTTCTTTCTCTTTTAACCATTCATTATTAGTCTTTTTAAAATGCAGCATCGAAACAGTTAAGAATAAATCTAGGATTTGCAGAACAGTAAAAATTTAATCATGGCAGCAAACTAAGCCCCAGAGACAATTTTAGTCTCAAAGTCAAAATATAGTGTATCTGACTCCGAGTAAACTGACTTTTCACAGAATACTCTAACATAATGCATAATAGTCGTACACTCCAAGACAAGCTCCTGGGTATTGGTCCAGAGCCCACAACCAGCAGGAAGATCACAGTGTATGTTGAATAAAATTACCCATTCTAAAGGTCCTCAGCTATCCTGAATATTTTATTAAAAACCTTTTTGTGGTGGAGACCAACTGGGACCTCTTTCTCCTAGGAGCAAGCTGTCAACGGTAGTAGAATTGAAAACCAGACAAAGTCAAGTTTAATTAGATCTCCCCCCAACTCCAACCTCACATTTCTGGTATATTCATTCCTGACCATAATCCTTGCTAAATAACAATATAGTGGGATTCATTTCCCCCAAACCTTTCAAAAAAAGAAGCACAATTGTGAACAGGTGGAGAAAGAAAACAAAAATGCAGTGACAGATTTTATAACTCTATACAAAATAATAGCTGAACATCACCAATAATGTAATCATAATAATGTAATCAGAAAACTCACAGAGATGCCTCAAGGGTGGCACTTGGCGAAGGGCTGGGAAATAGTCCAGCTAGTTAACAGGGATTTCAGATGCATCAGCAAGCAGAAAAAGTTTCTGAGCCTCTGCTTTGAGGCCAGCACTGTGTGGAGCAACACAGGAAAAGTGACTGATACATTCCCGTATTTTATGAGAAAGCCTCAATGTCAGAAAGCCTCTCCCCTAATTTCTGTGCTTCCTTGTGTTCTTGTTAAAGCACATGTACCAACTCTGGGTTCAGAAACTATGACCAGTGAAAGAATGGTGGACATAATTCACTATTCATAAAGAGTTTATAGTTAAGCTGCCATAGTAAGGGAATAAAAGCAAAGACTACTGAGTGTAGATGGCAGAGTTAAGAAATCATCATTCTTTATTCCAAGCCCACTTTTATGGATTGCTATGTTCTGTTTTATGTCTTTACGTTTTTCTACTTTCTTAAGTACGATAACTTCCTTTCTCTCCAATTCGACAAACTGTAAGAATTCATAGAACATTTCGTTTGCCTTATGTTTTAAGGCGACTTTCTATGAATAACATTATTTGCATTGTAGCTTCATCTTGGGGAAACCCCTTTAGTTAGTCTACCCTTTGCGATAATTTTTACAGTGTTATATTTCACAAATAATTTAATATGAGCCTGGTTTCTTTTGAAACTGTGTGCATATCCATTTTCCCTTAGTTTCACAATACACAACACATCTGTTAGTTCAATGATAACAGATGTTATACTGAAATTGTAATAACTTGTGAGTTAACTGTATTCAAAACTTTATAGTTACACACATTTCAATAACTTAATCCTCTACCATTATCTCTTCAAATTGATTTAGCCCTGCAGAAGTTGGAGAAAATCAAATATTCATTGTGTTTGTTTTGTGCATATATACAAAAATCAGATCATGATTTATCTCTCCTGGTATTAATCCTGTCTTCTCTGGAAAGATGGAGTAAAAATCATAACAGCATCAACAATCCCTCCTCTCTTTACTCATGAAGATAAATTTCATAGCCAATTCAGGATTATTATGCATGCATCTGTGTGCAAGCATTTTTTGTGGATTTGTAGAAGCCCTATAAATCTGATCTGCATTTCTAGCCATTTACTGTTTAAACAAATGACCTTTCCTCTTATCTCAGGGGCACAAGCCTACCCCCATTTGGCCATTTTATCTTTTATTAGAGAAGCATCTCTCTTCTTTTAAAGCAAACCACTTTTTTTTTCTCTCAAGCTTCTCTTTCGTCTTTTTTTCCAAATCCACAGATTACACACCCTCTGCTGAAATGTGTGGGTTACAACCAAAATCCACCAGTAGACAGTAGACAGTGGGGCAGTATAGTGGGGGCGCTGGGAGAGCAGATTAAAGTCAGGAGACAGTCTCCATCTTCCAGTATGTTCCATACTGGTACAGAGCAGAAGACTTGGGTGCAACAGGGGGTAAAAGTACTTTAGGGAGCGCTGGGTTTCCCACCACATGCTAACGGTTTCAGGGAAGGGAGAGGCAGAGAGCAGTGACGGACCAGGAAAGCATCAAAGAGAAGCACAGCCTTAAGGTGGACCTTGGAAAATGCACAGAGTGTGGGCCAAAATGCAGCATGAGGGCACTCCCAACAAGGCCAAGGCTCCAAAGGGGCTTGGGAAGACTATGTGAGGGAGAGTGCTGGGGTATGAGCAGAGAAGAGTCTGGCCTCTCTTTTGGCTGATCTGCCCCAACTAGAGAACCATGCTCTTTTCCATTTCCAATCCTTTCCTTCCCCGTCCCTCTAAATAGAATGTAAAGAAACACCAGCCTTTTCACATGCACACATCACTAAACCCACGGCCCCAAAAGTCACCAGCTGCACAGGCCTGGGTTGGAGAGGAACCCCCAAGGAGAGGTGCTGTGTCAAGGTCTCACTGGGCTCTGACTTATGTTCTGGCTCATGGATTCTACTGACCTCAGACAGTTCCATTATGCTTGGCTCATTCCCAGGCCAACTTGCCATCTCCACCAACCACCCTCTAAGGGTCTCTCCCAAAACTCCAGACAAGTGCATGTTCAAACAATGCAAATGGGCACGTAGCCTTCAACAAGTGTCCCTAGATCTATTTATTTACAAGTGAGAAGAACTGCTTGAGGTGAAAAAACAGAAAATGAACTACAAAGTCAATAATGAGTACATGGTTTTGTTCTCATCCTGTGTCTTAGGAGACAATAGCGCATACCAGGCTGCAGAGCCAGACTGCCCAGGTTCAAATCCCACTTCAGCCACTTTCTAGCTGGGCAAGTCACTCAACTTCTCTTTGCCTCAATTCCCTTCATCTATGAAATGGGTACAATAACAGTTCTTACTCCATTGTGGTGTTGTAGGGATTATAGAAAACAAAACATGGAAGTTTCTCTTAGCACAGTACAGAGCATGCAGTATTTCCTATTACTGGGGCCATGCCCCTTCATTAGTGCTGGTATTGAAAGGTTAGAATCTTCACAGCCCACTGATGGAAGAAACTATATCTAGCTCAACAATCCCTTTCTACCCTCATCCTGGGCTTGCTCCTTGGCCTTCACCCTGATGTTCTTGCTTGGATCTCCTTTAATCTGAGTGATATTTTAGGTGATGATTTCTGTTTTGCAAATTTAGTCTCTTTTAACATCTTTTGAATATTGCTTGTTTCTCCAGAAAATATTACTCTTCTATAGATGCAACGTTGGGCCCAATAGGTATACAATGAATGCCTGGCAAATTGAAGTTGACTGTGTAGACACTCATGGGCTCTTCTCAGTCTGTATCACGTCATTGTTCATGACTGGTCAGTAAATATTTCCATTATTTGTTATAAAATCTCCTCACTTGTTATAAAATCTTAATGGAATAGGATAGATTTTATGCACTTCTTGAGGACAATAGAAAATAACACGAGCTCCACGTGTTACATGAAAAACAAAACAGTGGACCTTTTTAAACACAGAAACAAGGGAAAACAATGATCAGATACATATTTGTAAAGAAATTATCCTGGGGACAGAAAGACTCAAGAGGATCAAGTTTAATTCTAAATTTGATTGTGTTCAAAAGTCTGACTTCCTTGCCTGTACATAGAACACACATTTCCGGAACATGCTCTCTATCTGGGCACACTCACCATAATATTCTGCTTAATCTTCGTGATGCTATGATGAATGACTTATCATTATGGAAAAGAAATAAGAGTGGTAAGAAAGAATGCCCAGAGAGCACCAACAGGGGGCTGGGGATGGGGTAGAGTCAGTCAGGGGAGGTTTTATTCCATAAAATAAAAGTAAAGATAAAGTAATTGACCCACGTGGTACCCTGGTGTGATCAGCATTTGGAGGGGAGAGGAGAAAGGCCTGGTCATAGAAGAGACTTGAAACCTGATTGTGAAGGCCACCATTGCCCCACTGAGGCAATGAGGACCCAAGAGATGGGTTTCTCTGTTGTCCTCATAAGTCTTAGAAGACTCTAACTTATCATTTGGGTGTCACTTGCCTGAATTCAGCAGAAAGACATAGATTCTCCAGACCCTCTTAATGCTTAGAAAAGACCAGCAAATAAGCCTGCACTATCACATAGGGATTCTCAGTAAGTTCTAAGGACAGCTTAGATGTTCACATGAAGTTCCCATGTGAGATTTTAGAGGCCCTTCCCCAGCACAAAGTATCCTTTCTGGTTTTTTGGTTTACACTTATAACTTAACAAATTTCTTTGCCAGCAAAGCCCAGTTTTGATTCTCCTGCTTCAATATCTTTTCTCTCAGATCTGTGGATCTTCACAGATCCGTTACCAACTTGAACCATTTTTGTTCATCTGTGAGAGAAGCCAGGGACATCTCGCACCAGAGCATCCTATGCTTGCTGATGATTATTAGTGCAGCTCCTCTCAGACCATGGCCAAGCCCGGGTCCACAGCTCTGCTCCTCCTGTGTTGTGAGCCAAGCTCTGCCTCCCACTGTCTGCCTACTTAGAACACAAGGTCTCATCTACCGCAAAGTAAAGAGTCCTGGAGTACATATTCTATACAGGCAGGAGATTCCCAGCTGCATGTGTGGTTACAAAGCCAGCTTTCTCTAATTTAACACAGGTTTCTGTTTTTGCTCCACCTTGCATCTCTCTCAGGTCAGCTAAGTTCCCTCTGACTTAAAGAAAGCAAGCTTCCTGTGGCTCTGTGCTCAGAGACAGCCCTTGTTTGAGGCCTTTGTCACCTCAAGCTGGGTGTTCTGTCTTCCTAGGGCCTTTGCCCAGAATCTTTCCAGCTGGATGACTTCCCGGGCCCAGATCATGCCTCTTGAGCTTCTATTCCTGCTCTTCTTCTGACTCCTGGCTCCTCAATGCACAGGCTGTTTGCCTGGTTTACACTTCCAGCCCCAGAGCCTTGTCTAGCCCAAGTTGTCTCTCTTACCATCATCCCTGTCTCCTGCCATCAATCCCCACAGCGGTGTTCTGAAAACCTGCATGCATGGACTACTTCTGCCTAGTAAAGAGGCAAGCTGTATAATGACAGCACATACAATGCTTCACGGACGGTCTAAAACATGCCAGGTGCTTTTCCAAAGATGGCACCCTCAAAGGGCTGCAGTCTGCTAGAAGACATAGAGTATTAGTAGGAAATTAATACTCAGTGGTGAAAAATGCTAAGGGAGTGGTAGAAATAGAATGTGGTGCTTGCACAAAGGATCAGCCCCACCAGCACTGGGGAAGTGAGGGAAGGCCCCCATAAGAAGACAGTAACTGAAATATTAAGAAGGATGAGGAATTACCTAGGCAAGGGAGAGAGGAAAAAAGGGAGGATTGTTCCAAGCAAGGAGGCTGGTATGTTCATGGGGCAGGGAAGGAAGAGAGCATGCAGCATTCTGTGGCCTGTGGGTGATGCAGTTAAGAATGCAGCAAAGGCCGGGTGCGGTGACTCATGCCTGTAATCCCAGCACTTTGGGATGCTGAGGCGGGCAGATCACCTGAGGTCAGGAGTTCGAGACCAGCCTGGTCAACATGGTGAAATCCTGTCTCTACTAAAAATACAAAAATTAGCTGGGCATGGTGGCGGGCACCTGTGATCACAGCTATTCGAGATGCTGTGGCAGGAGAATCACTTGAACCCAGGAGGCGGAGGTTGCAGTGAACCAAAACCGTGCCACTGCACTCAAGCCTGGTTGACACAGCAAGACTCCATCTCAAAAAAAAAAAAAAAAAAAAATAGGAATGCAGCAAAGAGGATATGTGGGAGTGGCCAAAACCAAGACTGAAGATGTAGCTAGGGCTAAGCCATGAAAAGTCCTATAAACTCGGCCAAGATTTTGGAACTTTACCCAGGGAACATTAAGAAGACATTTTAAACAGGAGGCCGATATGATCAATTTGTTTTAGAAAGGTCCTTCTGGCCATGATATGGACCTAAGTTGGAAAGGAGCTAGGATTGAGGCCCACTAGTTAGGTAAGTAGTCATTTGCAGAGGTGCTGAAGGCTTGAGCTAAGGTAGAGACAATGCTGGAGGAGAGGAGTGGGCAGATGGGAAATACTGGAGACTCGATGAGGAAGAGCTATGAGTGAACATGCAGTCCCAGGCTTCTCTGATCTGGCAACAGGGAGGTCTATGGTTCCTTCAGCTGAGACAGGGACCTTAAGAAGAGGAACAGGTTTTGAACACAAGTTTGAGGAGCCTGTATTTGTTTCTACATACAAGTGAAATTGGCTAGACATGGACTTAGAAAGCGGAAACTCCACTTTATACAACTCAATCTGTGCTATCTGCAAGGATAATGCATTCCACAAGCATGTCACTCTGTGTGAAATAGACTATATGTCTGTCTTTCTCTCCTCAGGTATCATTATCTCACTCACATCAAACAATCAAAAGCAGGAAAAAAAATAATTCTCCTCCTCGCTCTTTTCCCTCATTTTATCAGGGAGGAAAATCTGTTTCAAAGGCTTCCGTACCCAAGACCACCCTTAAGTCTCATCAGCCAGAGCTGGGTCACATGGCCAGCCCTGAGCAGGTTATTCTCTGGAAAAGGGGGATCAAAGTGCCATGATTGGCTGTGACCAATCACAATTCAACCCTGAGGCTGGAGCGGGGTCTGCCTTGCTGAACTTAAAACTGCCCAAGAAAAACTGAGCAAAATCTGTGTTCATGTTGAGTTAGGTTATGCTGTGGTGGCTTTAAACAACAAAGCTCATTTCTCTCTCCTGCCATGGGTCCAGTGCAGAGTGGCAAGGGTCTCTGCTCATTGTTATCCCCCCAGGGAGTCTGGCTAATAGAAGCTCCATCTATCCCTGTGTTTCCATAATGTCAATGGCCGGGGAGGAGAACTCCTGAAGTCTCACACAGGCTATTAAATAGGGCTAGACCTAACAGCCAGAACTTCTGGGTCACATGGCCCTGCTAGGCCATAAGGGAGCCACGAATATCATTCCTCCAAGTGACTGGAATGAGAGGAGAGGCAGATACTGGATTGGAGATCATCATTCATAGCTATCGAATCGGTAATTCTTAGCAAATCCAGGGATTGCCCTGCCATGGGAAACCGACTATCTCCTAGGATAATCCATTTCATTTTTTCCTCATCCTTGATTGATAAACAATCCATCTTTATAATGAATTAAAAACTCCCTCTGCAGCATCTGTCCCTTGTTCTACACCCTTACAGAACAATGTTTTTATCTTTCCCATGACAGACCTTCAACTATTTGAAGATAATTATCATGCCCTCCCAGGTCCTCACTTCAACAAATTCAATCAAAATTTCAATTAGTAGTTCAAAACTTCAAGTATCTGAAGATACAGTGACATTGAACAGCAAGTTTGGAAAAGTACAGGAATTTTGATTCGCTTCAGAGAAGGAGAGCCAAACTGACATGTTGGATCAGACAAAGAGATAATGGATGGGAAGGCACGCTGCTATCTAAAACTGGGGACAGAGAACCAAATAATATAAGATGTCTTTTCCTACTTTGACTCAAATTAAATGTGAAATCCTCATTCCTCGGTTGCCACTTCACTTCTGGCCTGATAGAGTAAAGATGTTTCTGCAGTTATCTTCCTTGACTGCTGGGGGTAGCACCAATGAAAACATACAAAGAAAGCTTGATATCCCTCCAGTTCTGCTAATTGACTCATCTTATGTTTAGACAAGTGTTGTTTGAGGCTAAATTACAGAGCCTTAATTCAGACTGAGACTCTTAGAATCTACGACTAATGAATCTTTCTTTTTCAGAAGTGTTTCTTAATACAGCCACTTAACTAAAAAGCCAGATGAGATGGCAAATACAACTTCCCTTCTTTCTTGGATGTGCCTGACAACTGTGGGTTAATTGCATAACCAGGCAGCCAGTTAACACCTGCCTGTGGATTTACATACTTCCAGTCATATATCATCTCCAACCTAATACAGACTTTGTTGAAACCCGAATGTTTTACCCGGACTGGAAGGTCAGTCCCATTTGTCAAAGCAGGGACAATCCCTTTATCTTAGACAGCCTTATATAGGTTGTGGAGTTGCTCAAGGACATCATCTGCCTTCCTATCAGCCAAGCCTTGAGAAAGTTGAGCTGTGGGAACAGCGGGTCTTCTTATTCATTTATTTCTAGCTTCTCCTTTTGTCCTTATTAGCAGGCCAGAGCCTACAGGCTGATAAGACAAAGACACCCATCGTTTGCAAGGACCTAAGAATATAGTTGTATGAGACATTTGCTAACTGTATCAGAATTAATTTCGATAGATTTTATTGTGCTCGTTTCATCAACGAGTAGGGACAGGCAGCCTTGTGAGATCAGTGAATGGGGTGTATTGTCATGAAAAAAGGGGAATACTGGCTAATGTCCAATAGGAGATCCCAAATAGCAAATTCATGGATTTGGCAATTATTTATTGGGTACTTATCATACGGCAGACTTTGATAAGCACTAGGAACTATGATGTTCCCTGTTTCCTTGGGGCTCACATGCTGGTGGAGGAGCCAGGCATTAATCGCACAATCACATCATACCTGACATTCAGGCCGCACAGTGGCTCATGCCTGTAATCTCAGCACTTTGGGAGGCTGAGGCAGGTGGATTACTGGGGCCCAGGAGTTCGAGCCCAGCCTGGCCAACATGAGGAAACCCCGTCTCCACCAAAAATAGAAAAATTAGCTGGGCATGGTGGCAGGTGCCTGTAGTTCCAGCTATTCAAGAGGCTGAGGCAGGAGAATTGCGTGAACCCAGGAGGCAGAGGCTGCAGTAAGCTGAGTTCACGCTGCTGCACTCCAGCCTGGGCATCACAGTGAGACTCTGTCTCAAAAAAAAAAAAAAAAAATCTTACATTCAAGGAATACTTACTAACTGTCTGGCTGTGTTCTATATATATTACATACATTCATTCACTTAATCGTTACAACAATCCTATGAAGTAATTACTAACCTTATCCCTATTTTACAAGTGAGAAAACTGAGTTACAAAGAAATGCAGAAACTTGCCCTAAATCACACAGCCAGTGAGTGACAGAACCAAGAACAGAACACAGGCAGGCTGGGTTCTAACGCCATACTGCCTCTCAGTTGACCTGGAAGCCTCTTTAAAGACATGCAACCACACCCACCCCAGACAGAATAAGTGGCCCTTTCTCTGGTGCTTCCTCCAGTGCCTGTTCTACCAGTCACCACACTGCATTTCATAGGTCCATACCTCATCCTCAGCTACATATGGTTATCTTTTTTAAACACTTCTACTACTACTAATTGACTCATCTTATGTTTAAACAAATGAAATCAAGATGAGGTCGACAGTGTGGATAGCCAAAGTTTCATAAGTAGAGTACAGGACCAGGCCAGAGGAGGGCTCTGTTGCCAGATGAAAGAAAAGTTACTCTCGTGTTGTCTAGTGAAAAGAGAAGAAACCTAGAAAACTACAGATACAGAGTCACACACTTAGAGCTAGAGGGAGCCTCGGGAAGCACCATGCCATATGACAGGAGAAGAAATCAAGACCCAAGAGCAGAAGGTTTTGCTCAAGGTCACGCTGAAGAATCAGTTCTTGACAGCGATTAGCCAGACCCAAGTCTCCTGACCTCCACCCAGCTCAGGGCTCCCTCTGCCCTTTCCCACTCCCGCCAGAATTCTTACAAGAAGCCAACCCACAAGAAACCCAAAGCCAGAG
This sequence comes from Homo sapiens, assembly GCF_000001405.40. Lineage (NCBI taxonomy): Eukaryota > Metazoa > Chordata > Mammalia > Primates > Hominidae > Homo > Homo sapiens. The sequence continues at coordinate 61,764,700 of NC_000015.10, forward strand.
GCAGCAATGAGGAATGTCCTGTTTACCCTTCTGTTGTTTAAGTAGAATCCTTTGTTCTAATGACAACAAAAAAAATCTCTTGCCTTCAACAAAGACATTCGTTAACAATAAATGCATTATTTCCCCCAGGAAAAGTTTGAATTTTACTTATTTACAGTGACACAGGTTTACTCAATGCTTTCTTTAATTAAACTCCTACTTAATATTTGATGTCTCTCAATCCAACTTTCCCTGAGCCAAGAACCGATCAATCCTGACCAACCAACAATGACTATTAAGCCATGGATTTTAAAATGGTTATTTTTACCCCTCCATGGAACTTAGCAGCTTTTTAAACACATGAAATATGCGCAGATACATGACATCTTTGAACTAGGGAAAATGCGATTGTAAAACCAGCCCTCTCACCAGTCTAGGTTGGACAAAGAGGGAAGGCATTTAGAGTACTTCTGTTGTCCCTTTCATTAGAATGCTGCCTGCCAGCGTTCTCCCTAAAAATAGTTGTCACGCCAGTGGAGTCCTCACTCTGGCAAACAGACTGTTCTGCACCAAGATCCTTTTTAACTGCTTCTTAAGTTACAGGAATTTTAACTAAATTAGAAAGTTTGCCACTTTGTTCCGTGTAAAATAAAAGCGTATAAAGCCAGAGCTCCTGAAACACAGGTTCAGCTCAGTTTGAAAAAACAAGAAAACGTCGTCTTCACTTCTGGGCATAAAAAATGTTGAAGCTTGAGGAGGTTGAGAACAAATGGAACTTCCTACTTATTAATGCTTGGGTAGTCAGTTTCTTCACACGGCCATTTCCTTCCCCCGCGCCTTTCTGTGAAAGTTTTATCAGCGCTGGACCACAAAATGATAAATGCTATCCTGTATAAAAAGGTAAAGATGCCTTAAAAACTCACTCTAGTGTTTCAAAGCACAGCTCTGCTTTCTACAGTGTTTGTATTTTTCCACATTTAGGGCTTTAATGATTCTAGAATAGACAGTAGGAATGCCAAATACATAAACAATTCAAAATCTGCTCAGGCAGATCTGAAAAGGGTTTCCTCAGCATCCGTTCCAAATTCCTCATCTTACTTTTTAGGCTTCCCCTCTCAGCCTTTAACGGAGTCCTTGATTTCCAAGTACCTAGAATCAGCTGTTGAGAAGTTTTAAATATGAATTCTGTTTGCATTTTTTTAGTATGCTTTCTTGTTTATTTTATATTTTTAGGGTATTTTCACTCATATTTTCTAACTTCAGCTCCCCCATCCAAAACAGACTCGCTGGTATGTTCACAATACCTTGGGAACAAGGGCTCTCTTCATGTCCCCAGCTATGTTACACACAATTAATTTCCCTAAACATTTGCTGTCCTCATGATACCGCCTTGCTCGAAAAGCATCATTGCACTATTATCAATAAAAACCATTTTGAGATATATATGTGTGAGTGAATATATGTCTATGTATATATATCCATGTCTCACTCTGCAAATATATTAACATATTATAAAACATTAACAAAAATATATTTAGAAAGGAGGAGGTTTACAAATCTAAACAGAAATCTTAATGTTTCACTGTGCCCTAGTGGACTGCCTAGCACACCCCCAGAAAGGAGTAGGTCTTAGTCAGGAGACCCTAGTTTGAGAAGATCAAGATCTAACTTTTGGACCAGCCTGGCCAACATGGGGAAACCCTGTCTGTACTAAAAACACAAAAATTAGCCAGGTGTGGTGGCGCACACCTGTAGTTCTAGCTACTTGGGAGGCTAAGGCAGGAAAATCTTTTGAAACTGGGAGGCAGAGATTGCAATGATCTGAGATCAGACCACTGCACTCCAGCCTGGGTGATAGAGTGAGACTCTATCTCAAAACAAAACAAAAGAAAACAAAAAAATCTAACTTTTGAGTGGCATTCGAGGCCCACCACAATGGAGTCTCAAACTTCCTTTCCAGCATAATCCACTGCTGTTCCCTCCTTAGCAATCAAACTGAATCACTGATTGCCTAGAAGCTCCAAGCTGCTCAATAGGCTTTGGGGCCAGGCTGTGAGTATGGGCTCTTCCTTATACCAGTTGTCAAGTCACAGGTAACCCACTCATTCTCCTTATGCTTCCTCATGCAGGGAATGAGAAAAATAAAGACACCTGTGGCAACATTCTTGTTGACAAGTGAAATGGAAGTATACAGTGAGAGCACACTTGGTAAAATGGTTAAGTGTGACACAAATCTTATGAATGTATGACTCCCTATACAATACAGGGATGTGTGCAATCTTGGGCACAAATAAGAGACTCTAGGTATATTATCTTACAAATGTAAAACATCATCTTCCATCAGATCTTTTATTTAAATGCTGTTGAGTCCCTATTAGCTATTTATCAGTATCATTAACACATCAAAAATCTAGATCTCACAGCAATAACCTACTGAATGCATAAAGTGTGGCTTTGGCAAAAAATGAAAGGGGTGATTTAGGAGAAGACGAAAGCCCTGACCAAGTGGAAGAATACCCTGACCAAGGGTAGTAAAATAAAAAGTCTAATTATAGACATGTCAGATATGAAATATCTACTCAATATCTGCACGAGGATGTTGGACATCTGAGTCTGGCTTCAGGGGAGAGGTGTGGCCTAAAGATTAAAATTTGGGAGTGACATTCTTCTCAAACTTTAAGACAGGTTCAATGGCTTCTCCTTTATGAATCTTTCTTTAATTTCTCCCCCAGCTGCTCAAAGCTTCTCTGGATTTTTAACACTGTTTTTCTGTATATTTCCATGAGCACCTAGTCTACCTTCCTTTTATTTCACTTATTTGTGAACTAGACTGTGGGCCATTTGAAGGCAAAGACGATGTCACTTTCATCTTTGTGTTCTTTTGGTGTCTAGCACTGCGCCTTGTCTATATTTGGTTCTCAATAATGCATTATGGGTTGGTTAATTAATTAGTCACCTCTACCTATAACAGGTTCAGTAAAACTTCTAGAAAAAAAGTAATTCCAGATGTTTGATGACCAAATGAATGAATGAACAAACAATCCCTGAAGTCCCATTGAAAGATCTGGATAGAAGTGGCCCTGTGCATAAATAGGTGAAGCCTGGTGTCCTCCCAACCTGGCACATCCAGCTGCCCAGGGTCCAGGACTGCCCATTATCGTTCCCCAGTTAGGTCCACCTTTACCAGCCCTGTGTACTATAGCCTTTCATTTTCTTCATTGCCCAATCTAAATGTTCCAGCCCAGTCAGCTATCACTTTGGAAGTCAGTCTGCAAGGTGACAACAAGCCAACTGAACTAACTAATTTGTGCTACTGCGACCAGAAAGCCTACTGCCTACGTGCCTTTCCCTCACATGTCATAAGGTTGCATTTTAATGAGGGTCTTGAGAGAGCCAATGACTTAAAGCAAAGGTGACTTTAAAGCAGGACATGCCACACCTGGGGAGCTAGCTACCTGCCCTGACAGTGCCCTCAACAAGCCAGACCGTCTTACCATATCCAGTCTGGATAGAAGTCCTGAGAAACAGTTCAGAGGATGCAGATTTTTGAGAACATAGAGAGTCAGCTCTGCCCTAGGAGGTGCCCTGCTACCCAGGTGACCCTGCCCCAGCTCTGACACCAGGCAGCCTCTCAATGATTGATTGGTAAGTGTCTGGCTTCCCCAGTCCATGTCTCAGTGCATGACTCAGGAGCCAGCCTACACAGATCCCTTCTAGTTCTATGGTGCAATCTAAAACAAAATTTGATTTTCAGAATTCCAGAATCTTTCTACTCTCTTCTCAAGCTATTCTCATTTTTATACTCCTTAACATCCTTGTATAATACGGTTGCAAAGCTCCATTCCTTCCTCCATATAATGATGATGATAATAATGATGATAATAATGTTGCTTGGCTCCCAGGGTTGTTGTGAGCCTTTCATTAGAAAGTCCTTTGAGATCATGCCACTGCACTCCAGGCTGGGTGACAGAGCGAGACTCCGTCTCAGAAAAAAAAAAAAGAAAGAAAGAAAGTCCTTTGTAAATTCTGACTCTTACTAAATTTTGTTATTATTGTTTTATGATTAAAGTATCTCCTCTCTGTCTTTGCATGCAGGAAGTTAAAGATTGCTACCAATTCCAGTTTGGGAATTTTTTTAAAAGACTAGAAAATCTTGTCTGAGGCAAGTGTCCTAACAAGTCTTCACAGTAGAAGGACAGGGAAATGTATGAATACAGGAGGATTCAGAGAAATCTCAACTCACCTGTGATCTCAGGTCATCATGAGATCTCCATAGGATAAGTGAGTCTAACAAACCATTTACTTCTAAGTGTGGAGAATTAGATGAATTCTTTAGTTCACCCACTCCACAGTTTTCCATACAAGCTATTCCAAAGAGGGTGCCCCAGAACAGGGAGTTAAAGGCACTGTAAAACAAATGAAGGCCTGACCTACTCATATTTGTGAGTTACCCATGCATAGTATTAGAAAACATTAAATTCTCACAGCAAATAAACATATTGCATCAACAGAGTCTAAAAGGCATCTAAGAGCATTTTTAAAGTTAAATGAATAATACGATTTTTTTGCTAAACTATTGAACAGATCTGAACAGCATTAAAAACTGAGAAAGAGAAAAATGCCCATTTTGAGTCCCAAAATTAAAATATATGAAAATGTCATTAATTCAATTAGACTAACTAGGAAGAAAGGATTGGGAACTATTATCTAAACAAATATAGCTTTATTACTCTCAAGAAGTACAGAAAAAAAAACAGCAAACCTAACCAAGTTTGACAAAATCAATGATTTTAGGAAATATTTTAATAGTTTATTAAAATATAACTCCTACATACTGTCCACATATCCAAGTTTCTTCCAAGTTCTTTCTACCAGAGAAAAAAAACTGATATTGCATGAAACGCTCTATATATTGGGCCTAAGAAATACCATCTTAAATGAAGGACTAGTAAGAGGCTGAGGAAATAGTCCTCAGTCCTGGACAAAGGAGATTCATCTTTGGATAAAGTAGAAATAGAGAGCAAAAGTGGAGATACATACAAGCTGTCCTGTTTCTGTAATCTGAGCTCAGGACATCAAGCTCAGCTCTTGCTATATTCAGTTGGTGCACTAATGGGAAGCGAAACAATGTGCTTCACTCTTCAGAGCCACATTCTATGACATATGAAACCCTGAATCCCTCTGCACATCAGGGTTGCCCTGGGAAAATTGGGGAGAGGAGTCCTTTGCATCCTTAAAACTCATTGTTTCTGCTAAAAAGAAGGAGCTTCCTAAGACAGATTGACTTCTGCTAGCACTTGCCTAGGAATCATAAGTCACAAATTATAGAAATCTGAATGAATGGTTATGAAATTAGCCATTTAAAACAGGATCTACAAAATAATAAACTCTTCTCTTTCACTAAAAAGTAACCCACAGTGGTTACTTTTTAGAACAAAACAACCCATTACAATGCTCAAGACAGCACTGCAATCAATCAGTGACTCTGAGGCCTGAATCAAGATGTCTGGAGATGATAAAAAATGAAATGCAACAGACTTGCCATCTTAAGGCAGCCACGTCAATCAGTGCATCACATAAAAACCCAAGAAGGGAAGAAATCAATGCTTCCAAATGGAAAAAAAAAACTTTCAATATTAAATCTATAGAGAGCTGTTAGCTTGCCTTTTCTAAATTCTTCCTTTAAAGAGTTTTAGGAATTATCATGCCAAATTCATAATTCAAACTTCAATACCAACTTATACCTTCATAGTAGAATTTATCAGTGAAGTAGTATTAATTACATATATTTCATGATCTTAGCCCTTGATATTTTGGATGCTCACATAAGCTTTTGACTTATTTTAAGGAGGGTAAGGGAAAACAGGAGATGGAATTAGTTAACTCCACTTTAAATAATAGATTACATTCAATGAAAAAATAAGTGAGACTTTTGCTTTTAATCATGATGAAGTACTTGGTACCAGACTAGTCTTTCTGCTGTAAACAACTCTCAAACTAGCAAAATATGTATTATGTTGGTGCAAAAGCAATGGTGGGTTTTGCCATTAAAGTAATGCTACCATTACCACCAGCAGAATACTGTTACCCCAAGAAGCATAAGACTGTCATCCATCTGAGAAGACCCACCAGAGGGCTGTCATCCCTCAGAGAAGAAAAATACATGAGGTGATAGCCACAGCCACCCCACCTTTCTGCTCAAAGTTACTTTCTAGGCCACAAAGTAAGTAGGTGGTGCCCAAGCAGAACTCTGAGGTCTTGATGAGCTGAAGAGGTACAGATAGGAATTCATGGGTAATGAGGCAGGTTGATTTGTAGGACAGGGTATCACATAGGAGGAAGCCACATCGAGAAGGAATTCCAGAAATTAGTGTAGGGATCTCTTTAGTTTTTTGGTAGAATACTAAGTTGAATATGCTCAGAGCACATACTAAGCTGCACATGTTCAGGCAATATAACATAAATGAAGATTACAGAAATCACAGAGTGCTACAAAACATAGAAATTTTGAAGAGAGTTTAGAGATCTTGCTGAACACTCCCAGTCAATTCAACTGGGACTCTAGTCCATAGTTAAGAGCTCATCTAGAGTCACCCTAGCAAATCTTATTCATAAAGCTCAACAAGTATCAAACCAATACAACCATGAATTCACAGCCTGTCAAAACAAAACAAAAGAAAACTCTTTAGAGAAAGACAATGAGGCCAGGCGCGGTGGAGCATGCCTGTAATCCCAATACTTTGGGAGGCTGAGGTGAGCAGATGGCTTGAGCACAGGATTTCCAGACCAGCCTGGACAACATGGCAAAACCCTATCTCTACAAAAGTACAAAAATTAGCCAGGCATGATGGCATGTGCCTGTAGTCCCAACCACTTGGAGGCTGAGGTTGGAGGATTGATTGAGCCAGGGAGGCACAGGTTGCAGTGAGCTGGATCGTGCCACTGCACTCTAGCCTGGGTGATAGAGGGAGACCTGCCTCGAAAAAAAAAAAAAAGAGAGAGACAGAGAGAGAGCAAAAGACAATGAAATCCAGTCTCTCAACAATGTCTGTTACATAATCCAACAAAAACAGATGTATAAAGAAGCAGCAAAATGTAACCCATAACAAGGGGAAGGCTGGGCACAGTGGCTCACGCCTGTAATCCCAATACTTTGGGAGGCCAAGGTAGGTGAAACACCTGAGCTCTGGAGTTTGAGAACAGCTTGGCCAACATGGTGAAACCCCATCTCTACTAAAAATACAAAAATTAGCCAGGCATCGTGGCAGGTGCCTGTAATCCCAGCTACTGGGGAGGCTAAGGCAGGAGAATTGCTCGAACCCAGTAGGCAGAGGTTGCAGTGAGCTGAGATCACGCCACTGCACACCAGCCTGGGCAACAAGAGTGAAACTCCATCTCAAAAAAAAAAGGAAAAAAAAAGGTGGCAGGGGTGGAGGGGTGGAAAAATCAATAGAAACAGATCTGAAGATGATAGAGATGTTAAAATTAGAAGACAAAGAATTCAAAACAGCTATTACATGTTTAAAAACTTTTTGAAAAGATGGACTTAATGAGTGAACACATAGGAATCTCAGTAAATAAATGGAAATTATAAAATTAAAAACACTCTGGAAATTCTAGAACTGAAAAATGTAACAGAAAGAAAAAATTCATTGGATTAGCTTACAAATAAACACTGCAGAACAAAGTGGCCCTTCAAGATCACTTTCAGGCGAAATAGGAAGCATCATAATTGAAACAAAAAAGGTTGAAAAAGAAATGAACAGAGTCTCAGTGACATGTGGAAAAACAGGCCAATATACATATACTTGGACTCCCAAAAGTAGAAGAGAATCATGAGGGCAGAAAAATTTTTGAAAAAAATAATTTACTTCAAATAAATATTATTTTTCACTTAAATTTAATAAAAAATATAAATCAACACAAACAAGAAGTTCAACAAACCCAAATGGTAAAACTGCAAAGAAAACCACACCTATCTATATCACAGCCAAATAGGTAAAAGTAACAAAGATAAAAAGACAATCGTAAAAGCAGCCAAAGAAAAGCGTACATTGCCTACAGGGAACAAGGATAGAAATGTTTATTGACTTCCCATCATAAATAGTGCAGATCAGAATACAACTGAATAACACCTTTAAAATGCTAAAATAAAACTACCACTATGTACCCAGAAAATTTTAAAATTAAAATTTTACAAATAAATAAAATAAAACTACCTGTCAACCTAGAATGTTATATTCAGAAAAATATATTTTAAAAATAAAAGTGAAAGTAAAAGTAAGAGAATTAATCAGCAGCAGACCTATACTGCAATTAAAGGAAGTCTTTGGGCTAATGGAAAATTATACCAGATGGAAACGAGGATCTGTGTAAAGATATGCAAAGCAAAACACTGTGTCTACAATGTGGGTAAAATATATAATATCTTTTAATTTCTTAATGTGTTTAAAATATAATTGTTGAAAAATAATAACAATGCATTATGGGTTTGTAATACAGAGGTTAAATTGACAGTAATAGCACAAATAATGGGATGGGGAAAGTGGGAGTATACTATTGCAAACTTATTACATTATAAGTGACATAATAGTAATACATGGTAGATTGTAATAGGTTTGGGAAGCCTATTGTAATTCCTAGAGCAACCATGTAAAAGGTTAAAAAAATAAGCCCAAAACAGGAAGTAAAATGGAATACTCAAACACAGTCATGTAATCAAAAAGAAGTCAGAAGAGAATAACAAAAGGAAAACATATGGGAAGAATAGAAAACCAATAGCAAAATAGTAGACTTAAAACCAATCATGTCAATAATTTATTATAGAATACCTGACTAGATGAAAAATCAAGATCAAACTGTGTGTATTAAAAGATGGAAAATATTATACCATGCAAGAACCAATCATAAGTGGCTTTATAAATAACAAAGTAGTCCTTAAAACAAGAACCAGAGATAAGAAGAGACCCCTCCTAATGATAAAGGGATCAATTCAGGGAGAAGACATCACAGTCCCAAATATACAGAACTTCAAGATACCTGAAGCACAAACTGACAGAACTGAAGGGTAAAAATATACCAATGGGAAGTCATGGTGACAGGTTTTAACATGGCCCTCTTAGTAGTCAATAAAACAAGTAGACAAAAATCAGTAAGAATAAAAATTTGAGCAACATCAAGTAACTTAGCCTAACTGATATTTATAGAGCACTGCACCCACCGAATAGCAGAACACACATTCTTCACAAGTCAATGTGCAAAGAATCCACTGAAATAGATTGTATGCTGAGACATGGCTCAATAAATTTAAGAGGACTGGAATCATACAGGAATGGGCTCCGACCACAATGAATTTAAACTAGAAAACAGTAATAAGATATATGAAAAATCATCACATACTTGGAAATTAAGCCAAACACTTCTAAATAACCCATGAGTCAAAGAAAAAATCATGAAGAAAATTAGAAAATATTTTAAAGTGATAGTTAAAACACATGAATTGAAAACTTGTAGGATATAGATTAAGCACTGCTGAGAGGTAAATTCGTTCCTCTAAATGCTTCTATCTGGAGGGAAAAAATATGTAAAACTAGTGATGTGAACTTCCTCCTTAAGAAAGTAAGTAAAAAAGAGTAATTTGAAACCAACATAAGTAAAATGATGGAAAAAAAGAAAAGAGTAGAAGAAGCCAATGAAATAGAAAATAAACAAACTAGAAAGCAAATAAATGTAAACAAATATTAGATCTGTGAAAATAAAAAAAAGAAATATTATGAAAAACTTTATGCTAATGAAGTTGACAAATCAGATGACATAGATCAATTTCTTTTTGTTTGTTTTTCGTATGTTTGTTTATTTTTCAGACAGAGTCCTGCTCTGTCACCCAGGCTAGAGTGCAGTGGTGCAGTCTCAGCTCACTGCAGCCTCCGCTTCCCGGGTTCAAGCAATTCTCCCACCTCAGCCTCCCAAGTAGCCGGGTAGCTGGGACTACAGGTGCCTGCCACCACACCTGGCTAATTTCTTTTTTTTTTTTCTTTTTGTATTTTTAGTAGAGATGGGGTTTCGCCATGTTGGCCAGGCTGGTCTCAAACTTCTGGCCTCAAGTGATCCACCTTCCTTGGCCTCCCAGTGTTGGGATTACAGGCATGAGCCACCGCACCCTGCCAGATCAATTTCTTAAAAGATATAAAGGGGATACAGATAATCTGAGTAGCCCTTGGCTGAAGAAATTAAATTAATAATTAGTCAATTATTCCTACAATAAAAGTTCAGTCTCAGGTGTTTTCTCAAGTTAATCAAAAATTTAAAGCATAAGTAATACCAATCATACACATATTTTTGAGTAGAAGGATTGAAATAGAGGATTGAAAATTTCCCAGATCTTTGTATGAGGTTAGCATAACTCTGATATCAAAACATGACTTTTATAAGAAAAGCAAAAACATAAAGAATTCCAATTAATTTTTTAAAAATCAAATCCAGAATTATATGAAAACGTTAATACTTCATGATTAAGAGGATTTCATACAAGGAATGCAAGGTTAGTTCTACATTTGAAACTCAAAATTAATATGATATAACTCTTTTTTTTCTTTCAATTGTCTGTCATTGTTCTCAGCAATGTTTCATGATTTTCACTGTGGAGATCTTGCACATCTTTCCTTAGATTTATTGTTAAGTGTCCTAGTGTTTTTGATGCTACTGTAAGTTAGACTGATTTTTTTTTTAATTTCTGATTTCCAGTTGGTCATTACTAATATTTAGAAATACAATTGATTTTTGTATATTGGCCTTATAGCCAATATAAAATTAACCTTGCTAAATCCCTTTACTAGCGCTAATATTTTATTTAGATTTCATAAGGTTTTCTGTGAAGATAATCACCTGCTAATAGAATCAGTTTTATTTATTCTTTTTAAATCTCATCCCTTTTATTTTTTTTCTTGCCTTTTGTGCTAGAAATAAATAACGAAAGAGCTGGCTGGAACAATCCCATTACTGGGTATATATCCAAAATAAAACAAATCATTCTACCAAAATCATACATGCACTGTGTGTTCATCACAGCACTATTCACCATAGGAAAGACATGGAATCAACCTAGGTGCCCATCAACAAAGGATTGAATAAGGAAAATGTGGTACATATGCACCACAGAATACGCAGCCATAAAAAACAATGAAATCACGTCCTTTGCAGCAACATGGATGCAGCTGGAGGCCATTATCCTAAGCAAATTAATGCAGGAACAGAAAACCAAATACCACATGTTCTCACTTATAAGTGGGAGCTAAACATCGGGTACTCATGGACATAAAGATGGCAACGATAGACACTGGGGACTACTTGGGGGCAGGGGGCAAGGGTTAAAGAACTATTGAGTACTATGTTTCGTACCTGGCTAACAGGATCAATCATATCCGAAGCCTCAGCATCCCACAATATAGCCAGGTAAAAAACCTGCACACAGATTCCCTGAATCTAAAATAAAATTTGAAAAAAAAAAAAAAAAAAAAGAGCTGGCTGAAAGCTTTCAAACTTACAGTTACAGCTGCCCCTAAAATTTAACTCCCAGGTTCCTGGCAACCAAAATGACAGGGAAGTATTCGGTGATAACTACATTTTTCTCACTGTCTTTAAGCAGTAACATATGAATTCCTCAAAGAAAGCAAAGATTTTCCACGCACTTAACCAGTGGTTTGACTTCATATTTACAAATCTCACTGATCCACAAATATGTTATTCAAGTCTCTCTCTCAATTTTTCTTTTTTTTTTTTTTTTTCGGCATTGTCCTACAGTTTCTGAGGCTTTAATTTTTTTTTTGTTTTTCCAATCTTTTTTTTTCCCTTCTGTTGTTCAAATTGGATTATTTCTACTGATCTATCATCCAGTTGACTGGCTCTTTTTTTCCATCACATCTATTCTGCCATTGAGCCAGCTAGTGAATTTTTTTTATTGTGGCTATTATATTTTTCCATTTTTAATTTCCATTTGGTTCTTTCTTACATCTTTTCTCTGTCAAGACTTTCTTTCTATTAATATCAAGAATGCTTGACCACATTTCTTAAAGCATGGTTTTAATAGCTGCTTTAAAGTCTCTGATCTTTCCAATATCTATGTCTTCTTAGGATTGGTATCCGTTGATTATCTTTTCTTTTGAATGTTGAATTTTTCCTGGTTCTTCAAATGCTGAGTAAGTTTGGATTATATCCTGGACATTTTGAATATTGTGTTATAGAGCCTAGGTCTTGTTTAAATCCTAAAGAGAATGTGGATTTTTGTTCATTTTAGTAGGCAATCAACTAGGTTAGGTTCTGGCTGCAAATTCTAACCTGCCTTCTGTGGGCTATGGTACAACATCAGTTCATATTTCGACATCTTGGCTGTGCTCCTTAGATCTACACTGCATGTCTGCCGGAGTAGCCTGTGTGGGACCTCCGTGATGACTGACCCTGTAGCTCAGTTCTCAAAGCCTGTGGTACAATGTATACGGTCAGATTCATGCATGCACAGTTTGAAAATGAACCCAGGAATGCACATGCAATCTTATGGACCCACTCCCTTGGCCTCCCTTCTCTCCATGATCTCCCCAACACTTTCTGGCTCTCTGGGGCTTCTCTTCCCAGTCCTCCAGCCAGAAAGCTGAGGCTTTGTTTTTCCCACTCTGCTGAGAACTTAACCACCATGTGTCTGAGTGCAGGGCCAAGCAGTGGCAGCACAGAGAAAGAATAAAAGGAATGGAAAGTCACCCCACACTCTTGGGACAGTGGGTGTTTTTGTCAGAGCAAAGGGTGCCTCCGTTAGACTTTCAGGCACTGTCAGTCACCACTGCTGTCTCTGTGCTGTGCTGGAGAATATTGCCTAGGGACAGGTCATGGAAGAAGGCAGAGGGTGGGGGTAAAGAATTTTCCCACTCTCTCAGATTGGAAGGAGACCTTTTCTTGCTCTTTAGACCAAAAAGAGAGGAATTCTCTTAGAATTTTTGCTTCCACACCTAGTGTGCTTTTCTGGGTTTGAGGCTGCCTTTGAGTCCAAACTAGATAATATGAGAGGAAAACGAAAAGGGAAACTTCCTCCCCACCAGTTTAGTGGAACTTCAAATTCTAGTCTCCTTCCCAATCTGCCTGCTGCCATTTACTTTTCAGTCTTCAGATAGCTGCTTCGTGCATTCTGTGCAGGATTTCTCCTTCCTTTTAGTTGCAGAGACAGGGTAACGGTGTTTACTTATCCTTCCCCAGAGCCAGGGTAACGGTGTTTACTTATCCTTCCCCAGAGCCAGAACCCTCAGATTTCATTTTCTAATAAAAAATTCTACATCAAATGGTTGTAAAGCATGTTGACATGTAAATGTGTTATACCCCCAAATTTTAACATAAAGAAAAACACCAGTGTGTTCATTGGAGCTGCCAGGTAACTTCATTTTTATTCGGCCCTTGGAATAAAGCTTCTGCTGCATTTTTTTTTTAATTGAAGAGTATTCTGAGATTGTAAAGTAAGCTGTTAGAAAGCTTACAACTTGCAATTACTGACCTATAGAAATCTGGCTTTTCTTGATATTGTACAAACTAAGTTTTTTGGTTTTTTTTTTTAACAGAAATAAAGGCCGGGTACAGTAGGGCTTGCCTGTAATCCCAGCACTTTGGGAGGCTGATACAGGAGGATGGCTTGAGCCCAGGAGCTCAAGACTGGATTGGGCAACATAGCAAGACCTCATCTGTATAAAAAAATCATAAAATTAGCCAGGCATGGTGGCACATGCCTGTAGTCCCAGCTAATTCGGAGGCTAAGGTGAGAAGATCCCTTGAGCCCAGGAGGTCGAGGCTACAGTGAACTATCATTCTACCATTGCACTCCAGCCTGGGTGAGACAGCAGGATTCTGAAAAGAAAGAAAGGAAGGAAGGAAGGAAGGAAGGAAGGAAGGAAGGAAGGAAGGAAGGAAGGAAGGAAGGAAGGAGCAAGAAAGGAGAGGAAAGGAAAGGAAAGGAATGAAAAGTATGATGCTGAAGCTTATAAAAAATTTCAACTGTCTTCAGTCACTGGCAGTTTCACATTCTGTGTTCCTCGACACTTCCCTGTTTCATTGATTCAATGTACAGTATAAGTATTGAACTCATAAAATACATTTTGATATTAAAAGACCTACCAATCTATCTGTTAAATATGTTGTTTTCGTATGAGATTTTGACAATGGGTTTCTGCAACCAAATAAAAATAAAATGTTTGGAAAGCCATGGCCCCAGAATGGAACACAGTCTTGTTCAGCCTGGAAGTATTCCTTGCCCGACCACACAAGCACGCACAATCCCTCACACAAACACAGATATACATAAACAGCATCAAGATTTATGTAAAGAAAACACATATTTGCCAATCACTGACTCTGTCTTTAAAAATCACCCCTCCGAATTGAAACCAAGTAGCTCTAAGTGTTTTCTCAAACTGAATGCACCAATCATTGCTTTCAGCCAGGTCCTTGGCTCAACAAACACACACCGGGGAGGATTCAGGGTTCACAGGAATGACAGTGTTGTAAACAAACTACCTTCAAACCTAGGTGAATAGGTCTATACAAGATTAATCATGTGCTTCCTTCAGTAACTCCTAATGTAGGAACTTTCCTGTGGTGGGAAGAAAAATGACAGTCAAGCCATATTACCAAGAAATGACATGAGACATGGATGTTGTGCTTGACACAGATGAAGGTCATGGAATTGGATTTCCTTAATGCATCTCAGTTCAGGTTGTTTCCCCATCTCTGTCTAAATGCTGGGTCATGTGCTCTGGAAACACTCTCCTGTGGATTTAGACTTGAAATATGCCCAGTAACTCTCAGAAGGACAGGGTCAAATATCTGGGAGGTAAATGCAGGCTCTTTCTTCATGTGTCACATAGCCACGTCCTCTCTGCTGGAAAATAAACAGGTTGACTATCACACTGTCCACCGGTGTGAAGTACGAACACACAGGGAGCATTTATCTTCCCAATCAACCTTTATCCAGGACGAAGCCCTGTTCTTGCCTTGCATCAAAGTCACCTACTTACACACACGTTTCTTCAAGAGTCAGAGCCTTGTGCCTAAGAGGGGCAAAGTGAGCTAACTCTGGAAGAAAAAAACCGGAAAGTTAACTTGCAGGGTACTCTGTTAGCATTTCCTGAAGACTGACAGACACGTGTTCTTTGCTTTGCTTCCTTTCTCTGAGAGCACACAATCTCTAACAGCATTAACGGAGCTGATTACAAGCAGTAAGTGCTGAAAACAGACCCCTTTATATGCTACCCTGCAGGTGAAAATTCACATTGGTCAGGCTGCAGATCACAAAAACGCTATATGTTTGGGAAGAATCAAATTGTTCAACACCTTCCTCTCCCTGTCTGTGAGAACAACATGTTTGTTAGATTATTTCTCTAATAATCCTCTTCAAGGAACTTGACACTAACATTTATAGAGCATTGGCCATAAAATAACTTAAGTTAGAGAAAATCCCTATGTGCCTGGATGTAGGAAATGGTTTGGGGGCTGTTTGGCAGAACAGTGCTGCTGGGTGGTAGGGAGGAGGCTGGGAGTGCCTGGGAGTCTGTGGTACAGGAGATACCAAGGCCAGGGAATTCTGTAACTTCAAGTAAGGCCCAGTTCATCATCCTAACTACCCCATTTCAGGAGAGTTTCTTCATACTGTTTGTTCAAGAACTCTGTCTAGTGAACAAATCTATTGAGCATTTGCCCATTGAACACTCAGTTCAACTATGTAACGGGAACCATGCTGAGTTCTGGGCATAAGTGAGTGGAAACCACATGGGGCCCGCATCAATAAACTTAGCCTGACAATATACTGTTCGGAAAGATTTATGTTTAAGTCATGCATGGAGTGCCACGGGGACCCACAGAGGAATGTCTTGTTCAAATATGAATTCCAGAAAAGCCTTTCCAGAGTGATGCTATGTTTGAATAGAGTCTAGAAGTTGAATGCGTTGGCCAGTGGAAGAGTGGAGTAAGGAAATTTCTAATATAGTGAGGAGCTTTTGTATAAGTCACGCTGGGAACTGCAAATACTTTATGCAAACTAAGAGATACTAGGAGATTAGAGTGCACCGGGTAGGAGGGGGGTGGTAAATGGAAATGAAAAAGTATGCATGAGTCAGATCATAAAGAAAGGGTGGTCTTAATCATATCAACAATGAATGAGTCGTGATGAACAGTTCTAAGCAAGAGAATGCCTTGAGAAGGTGTGCATTTCCCAAAGATCCACTCACCAGCAGTGGAAAGGGCAGTGCCACATCAGGGAGTCCTCTCAAGGGTGTCACAATGACCCTGGCAGGAGGAGACGATGGCGTGGACAAAAGAGAAACAGTTCAGATGCAGAGGCAAAGAGAAACTTGGGAGTTTCAAAGGAGGAAGCATTTGTTTGACTTTGTAACTGCTTCTTTGGGGTATTGCGGGAGACAGAGGAATCAATTATGATACAGGTATCAGGGTTAAGGAGCTGGCTGGAAGGTAGAACCAGTACTTGAGGTAGAAAAAGTAGAGGAGCAGCTTTTTTTTTTAAGCTTTAAAAGAATTTTTTAAGTGGGAGAGTTACTGAGGTATTATTTACATACAGTAAATTTATCTGTTTTACATGCATAGTTCTGTGAGGATTGATAAACATAGTCATGTAACTTCCTCCACTGTCAAGATACAGAATATTCCCATCACCCTATAAAGTTCCCTCATCTTTGTATGAAGACACTACCTTCTCCCTACCCCAGACCTTGGCAACCACCCATCTGATTTCTGTTCTCATACTTTTGCCTTTCCAGAATTTCCCATAATTAGAATCATATAGTATGTGGTGTTTTGTGTGACTTTTTAAAACTCAACATAATGTGTCCAGGCGCAGTGGCTCACGCCTGTAATCCCAGCACTTTGGGAGGCCGAGACAGGCGTATCACGAGGTTAGGAGATCGAGACCATCCTGGCTAACATGGTGAAACCCTGTCTCTACTAAAAATACAAAAAAAAAAAAAAATTAGCTGGATGTGGTGGCGGGTGCCTGTAGTCCAGGTACTCGGGAGGCTGAGGCAGGAGAATGGCGTGAACCCAGGAGGCGGAGCTTGCAGTGAGCAGAGATCATACCACTGCACTCCAGCCTGGGCGGCAGAGCAAGACTCCGTCTCAAAAAAAAAAAAAAAAAACAACTTAATGCTTTGAGAGATCCATCTATGCTGTTGCTTGTGTCAGTAGTTTGTTCCTTTATACTGCTGGGTAATATTCCGTTGTAGGTACCATAAGTTGTTTATCCATTTGCTGGTTGATGGACATTTGGATTGTTACCAATTTTGAGCTATTATGAATAAAGTTAATACGAACATTCAAGTTTTTGTGTGGACATTTATTGGCATTTCTCAAGAATAAAGACCTAGGAGTGGGATTTCTAGATTGTATGCAAAGTATACATTTAGCATTCTAAGAAGTTTCCAGACTTTTCCACAGTGCCTGTACCATCCTGCATTCCCACTAGCAACGTAGGAGAGTTCCAGTTGCTCTGCGTCTTCACTACCACTTGGTATTGTTAGTTTTTTCATTTTAGGCATTTTAGTAGGTGTGTAATGGTTTCTCATTTTGCTTTTAATTTGCATTTCCCTAAGGAATAATGATGTTGAACATCTTTTTATGTGCTTATAATATTATATTTTGGTGAAGCATCCATGTGGTGACATGCAGTAGGCGGTTGCATATATAAGTCTGAAACTAAGAAAGACGTAGCTATAAAGATTTGAATTGAAGTTTTTCTGGTATTTGAATCCATCGGACTTTGTCAGTTTTCCAATTAAAATCAGTCTGACCAGCAAAGGGCGAAAATGAGGATTCAGTATGGAAGGGTAGGACAGAATTTCTTTGAGGAAAACAATGGTCAGTTGAACTGCAAGGATTTGGAATAGGATGCTAGCACCTAAATTCTACTATCCACCCCTTCTATGGTAAGTACGTATTGGAGAGGAAGAAATGAGAAGCAGGACTACAGTTTGGAGGCTACTGGAGCCAGTGTATTTTTTAAAAAAAAAAAAAAAAACCCTAAATAATGCATATTTCTTGTGAATATAACTTTCATAGGTACACACATGGGGTTATAGACATACAAAAAATCCTTGAGCCTTAAGAAAGAAGAAAAACTGCTAATCTTAGACTGGTAATTTTTTCTGTAAACAGGTCTTATGTTATTTACTGGTCTATAGCATTCACTATAAATATTTAAACTTCCATTCTTTATGATAGATTACAGTACAAGCATAAAGTTGTCACCAACCTGTTGCATCTAACAATAGCTAGCAAACCCATGTAACAGTTGTAACAGACTCGTTTTACCTGTACAAAAGATTGTACATAATCCTTTATCCTTTTTCCTGCATGATTTGATGAGAAAGAAGGTTGGTGTACACAGTTTATTTTCTCCATAAAATGGAGGTGCTAATGTCCACTTTGCAAGTATTAAGCAAAATAATACATGGATTCCAGTAGGTGCTCAAAAATGTTAACTGAGCCAAATTGAATTGAAATCATTAAAAATACTATTACTGTACAGAGGAATAAAATGTATGGCAGAGTAACACAGCATTGGGAAGAAAAGAGAAAGCCTCTGGGGTATCTTGCATTGGCCCCTCCACAGTCACCATTCCCTAGACCTGCTGTCTGCCCTTGAAGGTGGACTTCTATGAATAGGACAAGACTCTCCCTTAACCCTCGCTTTCAGAGGGTTCAGAGGATGGGAACCTTAGCAAAGGATTACAGGGAAGGGAAAATTAGGGACATATTTATTCCTTGGTTGGCTCCCTCTAAGTGGGCACAACCTTGGTTGGTACAACATTTAGAACAGGGTTTTGTAACCTTGTTATGTCACATGGTCCTTCTTGGCAATCCAGTGAAGTGTATGAACACCTTTTCAGATTAATATTTTTAAATATATAAAATAAAATACATAAGACTACAAAGAAAACCACTCACATTAAAATACACTTTTACGGCCGGGCGCGGTGGCTCATGCCTGTAATCCCAGCACTTTGGGAGGCCGAGGCGGGTGGATTGTGAGGTCAAGAGATCAAGACCATCCTGGCCAACATGGTGAAACCCTGTCTCTACTAAAAATACAAAAATTAGCTGGGCATGGTGGCATGCGCCTATAATCCCAGCTAGTCGGGAGGCTGAGGCAGGAGAATCGCTTGAACCTGGGAGGCGGAGGTTGCAGTGAGCAGAGATCACGCCACTGCACTGCAGCCTGGCAACAGAGTGAGACTCCGTCTCAAAAAAATAAAATAAAATAAAATAAAAATACAGTTTTACTCAGGAATGGAAAACCAAATATTATATGTTCTCACTTGTAAGTGGGAGCTAAGCTATGAGTATGCAAAGGCATAAGAATGACATGTGGGGACTTTGGGGACTCAGTGGGGAAGGTTGGGAGGAGGCTGAGGAATAAAAGACTACATATTGGGTACTGTGTACACTATTCAGTTGATGGGTGTACTAAAATTTCAGAAATCACCACTAAAGAATTTATCCATGTAACCATAAACTACCTGTACCCCCAAAACTATCAAAATAAAAATAAAAGATTCACACAGATTCATGTCAGAATTTTTAAAAATAAAACATAGTTTCATATTTGTACATATATATTTATCTGTATATATTGGAATTTATATACATATATGTTTGTGATATAGTAGTATATGTGCTTCTTTATTGGCACATTAAATACCAAGATAATATAACGTAGGAAGTTGAGATTAAATTTTATTTTCTAAGAGATATGTCAATGTTATTTAATCCGAATAAGAACATTAAACTCAGGTCAGCTACAGTGGCTCACATCTGTAATCCGAGCACTCTGGGAGGCTGAGGCAGGTGAATTGCTTGACTCCAGGGGTTTGAGGCCAGCCTGCGCAACATAGCGAGATCTGGTCTCTACAAAAAATACAAAAATTAGCTAATCATGGTGGCATGTGCCTGTGGTCCCAGCTACTCAGGAGGCTGAGGCTGGAGGATTGCTTGAGCCCAGGAGGTTGAGGCTACAGAGAGCCATGTTTGTGTCACTGCACTCACTCCAGCCTGGGTGACAGAGTGAGACCGTCTCAAAAAAAAATAAAATACAATAAAATAAATAAACCTTAAAAAAACAAAAAACAACAACAAAAAACAAACATTAAACTCTGGGGTGATCCTTGGATGGCAACATATGTCAAGTTGGACATGCAATTGTTATTTATTTATTTATTTATTTATTTATTTATTTATTTAAGAGACAAGGTCTGGCTCTATCACCCAGGCTGGAGTGCAGTGGTGCAGTCACAGCTCACTGCAACCTCTCCCTCCCGTGTTCAAGCAATTCTCATACCTCAGCCTCCCAGGTAGCTGGGACTACAGGCACTCGGCACCATGTCTGACTAATTTTTGTACTTTTTGTAGAGACGAGGTTTCACCATGTTGCCCAGGCTGCTCTTGAACTCGTGAGCCCAAGTAATCCATCCACCTAGGCCTCCCAAAATTCTGGGATTACCTGCGTGAGCCAGGGGGCCCAGCCCAATTGTGATTTTTTTGTTTTAATGATTACAAATGTTAAAAAAAAAAAAAAAATCCTGTTTACAAAGATACAATGTTGCAAGCGGAATTATAAGTTTCCATAGCTCATTTCACAAGATCAAGATAGGCTTGTCTCAAAAAACACCAAAATGTTTCAAGGCTGTTATAGTTAAACTAATTGTAGTAAGTTTGTTATGTTAGTCAGTTTTTTTGCCCTTAAGATCAACACATTCCTCTTTGGCTCAGTCCACATTTTCAATCTAGTTTATATCAGAGAGAAATGTATTATGGATCCATAATTCAACTTTAGTGCCATCAAGATAGAGAAAAATTTTGAAAGACTTTTAAAGAGTTTCCAGGTATTTTCTGGTTTATCTTGTCAAAGAAATTGACAGAGAAATTTGTATCTTGACTCCATCTTGGAAAAGCAACTCCTCCAGTAACTTAAAGTTTGTAAGGACATTGGCCTCTACTTTTTTCTTCCATATCAGCAGCTAAAGCAAGGCAGTTTTTAATTTTTCTGTTGCGTCCATAAAGGTAACTTCAAGACCCTGAATGGAAAGATTTATCTTATTCATATGGTTAAAAATGTCTGCAAGGTAAGCCAGCTCATAGATAAAATTCTTTCTTTCAGGAAAGTTCTAGAATGAATTTTCCTTTAAGTTTTATTTTTTAATTGGTACATAAAAATTGTACATATTTATGAGGTAGAATGGGATGTTTTGATAATATATATATATTTGATTACATATATATATGTATACTGTGTAATGATCAAATCAATGTAATTAGCAAATCCATCACCTCAAACCTTTATCATTTCTTTGTGATGAGAACATTCAAAATCCTCTATTCTGGTTCTTTTGAAATATATATTATTGTTAACTATAGTCATCCTACTGTGACTAGAACACCAGAACATGGTCTTCCCATCTAACTGTAGCCTTCTACTCACAGACCAACCTTTCTCCCTCCTCCTCTCCCCTCCCTTTCCAAGCCTCCAGTAACCATTATTCTACTCACTACTTCTATAAATCAACTGTTTTAGATTTTGCATATTAATGAGATCATGAGGTATTTGTTTTTCTGTGTCTGACTTATTTCCCTTAGCATAATGTCCTCCAAATTCATTCATGTTGTCACAAATGACAGGATTTCATTCTTTTTATGGCTAAGTAGTATTCCATTGTGTATATATGCTACATTTTCTTTATCCATTCATTCATTCATTGATGGACACTGAGACTGAATTCCATATTTTGGCTACTGTCAATAGTGTTGCAGTAAGCATGGGAGTGCTCTTTGACAAACTAATTTCATTTCCTTTGGCTATATACCCAGTAGAGGGACTGCCAGGTCATACGGTAATTCTATTTTTAAGTTTTTGAGGAACACCCATACAGTTTTCCATAATGGCTGTACTACTTTGCATTGCCACCAACAATGTGTAAGATTCCCTTTTCTCCACATCTTCACCAACACTTGTAATCTGTTGTCTTTCTAATAATAGCCAGTCTAACTAAAGTGAGATGATATCTCATTGTGGCTTTGATTTGCACTTCCCTGACAATTAGTGATGTTGAGCATTTTTTCATATACCTGTTGGCCATTTCTATGTCTTCTTTTCAGAAATGTCTATTCAGGTCTTTTGCCCATTTTTTTAAATTGGATATTTGGGTTTAGTTTTGTTTGGTTGCTATTGGGTTTTCTTTTTTATTGAGAGGAGGTAAAATTCTGCCCTTAGTTTGTTAGCAGTGGCTATCAGGCCCTCTTGCTAGAGAACCTCAGTGTGATGGAAAAGCTCCTCATACTCTGCTCCCATCTCTTAACAAACTCTTTTTAAAATAGCATGATTCAGAGAGCTGCTTCACATACACTTGATGACCTTACGGCTATTGGCCGAACTGGCTTCAGAATTGCTGGGAGAGTCCATGATGTCAAAGCACGGCTGTGTGAAAGAGAATGAGTGACACCAACGTAAGAAGCTTCCATTTTCTCTATATACCAAAAGTAGATGCACCACCAAGTATTATAGAAGCACCATCTGTGCAGAGTCTGATGCTTTTATTTCCAGGCAAAGTTTTGTTTTCCAAAATACTGCAGCACTTTGTAGTTTCCATAAGGGACTCACAAAATAAGAATTCTTTAAAAGCTTCAGCGTGCACACAGGGAGCAAAAGTGGGGAGCTGGCTACAATGAGAAATGTCCGTTTGCATCCCACCATAGAGTGAGTGGGAATGGCAAAGCTGCCAATTCCCAAAGACAGACTTCAGAATGTCCTTCTAAAAATCAGCTACTCCAGACCAGATCTCACCACTTAACAAAGGTGCCATTACCAGCCTTTTCCTTCTGCTCCTGTCCACGGACCAGCCCCACGTTGTCTAGCACCTATGGCTTTACTATCACCTCTCTAGTAGTGTGGGGCTTCTTTCACTTGGCAAATACAAACTTGGAAGTATCCTATACAGAGTTAAGATTTTTCATTTGAACCATCCCCTTTTTCGAACTTTCAGCAAACTCTGAAAACTGCTAACCTACTTTCACAAATGTATCAACCATGGTAAACAGGAAATACTCAAAGTAACATAGTATGTGGATTACCCAAGTAAGAACAAGTAACTCTACCTTCAGTGGCACCGTTGCACAAGCACACATATATAGAGAGACTGCATGTTTCTTCCAGCAACACGTCTAAAAACTGGTGTATTTTCAAAGTAGTGATGCACGGATGACATTTCAAGGAATTCACAAACGACTGTGTTATTAAATACTGTGTGATTTCTATTATGACAAAGTCACAGATATTACTAGCACTACTGTGGTTTGTGGACTACATTCATAATTGAGAGAAATGTGGCCAGGAGTGGTGGCTCACGCCTGTAATCCCAGCATTTTGGGAGGGTGAGGCAGGTGGATCACTTGACATCAGGAGTTCGAGACCAGCCTGGCCAACATGGCGAAACTCCGTCTGTACTAAAAACACAAAAAATTAGCCAGGCATGGTAGAGGCAGGAGAATCACTTGAACCCGGGAGGTGGAGGTTGCAATGAACCAAGATCACACCACTGCACTCTAGCCTGGGCAACAAGAGTAAAATTTTGAGGAAAGAGAAAGAGAGAAAGAGAGAGAGAGAGAGAGAGAGAGAGAGAGAAGGAGGGAGGGAAACGTTTTCAGTAAGATATTAGTGAAAATGGAGATACAATTTTTTCCTATCTAAGTTCACGAACTCCTTGAAATCTCTCCAAACACCAAGGTTAAGAAAAAGTAACTTTAAAAGGAGAAATAGCCCAAGGTTAAATTAGATCCCTCTGATCACAGAGTGAGCAGTGCTTTGTCATTGCAGGATTAGGCATACATTTCACATATATATTTGTCATTCCTACCCAAACTGCTTGTGCTAAAGGCACTATTCACAGACTTACAGGATGTCCTATCCAAGACTGTGTTATCTCATTTAATGTTGCTTCCAACCAGGAGAGACATTTTACAACAAAGGAGGGTCAGACCTAGGCTCACATGGGGGAATTAATTCGTCTTACTATCCTCGGATGGTAATTGTTTTTATAGAACAATACAATAGCCTGCTGAAGATTTAGTGACAGAACCAACTGAAGAAAGACCCTATGAGGTTAGGTTATGCTCTAACAGGATGCAAAACGTATCTTGAAACAGCAGCCTCTATTAGGTTTCACCTTTCCCATAGCCAGAATGCTTGGGTTCAAGAAAGTGGTAGTGGTAATGGTGTTGAGAGTGGTTCCTCTGATTATTATTCCGAATAACTCACTTACAAAACATTTGCTTTCCATCCCCATGGCCTTGGGCTTCGTGGGTTTGGAAGTCATGGTTCCAATCATTGGAAGCCGAGGTTGCCCTCTCACCATTTTGGGCTTCTCATACCATTGAGTAAAAGGGAATTTTAAAGGAGTCATTCTACTGACTGGTATGCATGTGCATGACTCCAGTTACCAAGTGGAAATGGATTGCTGATCCCCAATATAAATAAGGACTAGGCTTGAAATTCAAATACTCACTGGAATGCTTGTAAGTACTCCTTTGTCCAATTGACTTGATCAATGGAAGTCAATAAAATCAAAACCATTATGGCTTCTAATCTTTCAGAAATTGAGCTTTCAGTATCCTCAGCAATATAGAAATTAAGTAAAGAATCCCACCTAACCTATGGGGCTGGTAGAGGGTAAAGGAAGCATGGATCTGGTGGTGAAAGAAAATAGCTATGGTTATCCACCTGGGCCTCAAGGCTAGCTACAGAAGGACTATATTTGCTATGTTATGTAATTATTTAAGTTCTACCCCTGCCTCCTTCCTTATATAAAGAATATGAGTAGTGGCTAGTAGGTTATATTTCCCATATAAGTAAAACCAAATATATAGCTTTTTTGTATTTGCTGTTTGAAGAATGTGAACTTTTACATAGGCAAAGGACAAGATGGATTCTACAGGGCAAAGGGGTGGACTGTGATGAATATTTACTATTTTCTCCTCCAGATCCACTCTTCTCCTTTCTCTACCCTGCCCTGCTCTCTGCCCCTGGGCTGATCCATTTGGGTCTCAACAACAAGACTCTCATGCCCTCTGGCTTCTGCCTAGGTGGGGTTAAGGGAGAGCTCCAGCAGGAGATCAGAGGAAGGGAAGAGACAGCATCTTGAATATTCATTTGGCCAGCTGCACCTGACTTCCCACAGGTGAACTTTTATGCATGACTCTCTTCTTCTGGGTTAAATTCTGGTAACTCCTCCCCTTTCTCATCTCTTTGAAACTAGGGGTGCTGACAGGTCTACACCCTGCTGATTCTTCTGTGAATGGTAGCTCTATTGTTCCTATTGGTAACTTTATTAATGGCCTCCAGAAGAAGAAGAAGAAAGAAGAAATATGAGTACATTATTTGTTTCCTTTTGAAGCCTTTTCTGAGATACAGCTTTGCTATGGGGGGATGAATGTCAAGTTGGATCTTACAGATCACGAGAGGAAGGTGCATATGCCAGAGAAAACATCTACTTCATCAACATTTCATACCTGGAAGGCTGAAAAAGAGCCTAACATAGTCTAGAAACCACAAGAGTACGTGGGGCATAAGGCAGGAAAATGGGGCAGAAATGCATGATTACAAAGAGCCTTAAATGTTATGCCAAAGTATGGGACATCATCCTGTGAG
The DNA here is from genome assembly GCF_000001405.40 of Homo sapiens. Taxonomy (NCBI): domain Eukaryota; kingdom Metazoa; phylum Chordata; class Mammalia; order Primates; family Hominidae; genus Homo; species Homo sapiens. The sequence goes on from NC_000015.10 coordinate 61,790,408, forward strand.
TGGAAGGAAACAGAATCCAAAACTGTTTTTTGTCACTGGGATTTATTACCTTTCACTTCTGAAAACTATTGCCTTATTGGAAAGAAATCCACAAAATGATTTTGCCTCCATTAGGGGGAAAAAAAAACAAAAAACAAAAATGTTACATTTGAAAGGGCAATGACATCTCCTCTAAGTTTGGCTCAGAGACAACTCCCATCGTGTCAGATACCGACACTGTCAAAGAATCACCTCAGTTTGCTCCATTCTGCAGCCAGCAAAAGAACAATTTCCCCTCTTTTATTTTCTCTTCTCCATTGAGCAGCTGAGCAGACCCCTGAGAGACTCCTGGCTCTCTTGACTTGGCAGAGTTTGTTGATGCATGTAGAAGAGCATTTTTGCTTTCTTTGGAAACATCTGTGGGAAATTGTGGCCACCAAGAAGGCATGGATGGCAAGAACTGTGGCTTCTCATACTAAGCTCTTTCTCTGAGCTGAGTGGCAGCCTCTGTAATCCCTGGGATTCCTCTGATAGATTGTTGACTATCTCCAATACCAGCTTGCTTCTAGGCACTATACTGGCTTTTACAGAGTTCCCAGGCTGATGTGTCTCAAGTTCCCATTGTTCTTTCCATGCCAAGCATTCTTGGACTTTTGAATGTTACCAATATCCTTCAAAGTATGCAGATTGTTTAGGAGGCAAACTCTACACCTTTTATCACGAGTCAAAATTGTATTAATGGAATAATCTCCTCCCTTGGTAAAATTTGTTGGTTTTTCCAAATAAATAAATGACTATCTGCATTCCATCACCCTAGGCAAATCCACAGAATCAGGGACCTCCATATCGCTCCTGTTATTAATTAGCACAATTATTCTCTTTGAGATACTAGGCCACAGGATCAGTGTGGCTTCCACAGGCATCAGAAGCCAAGACTCTAATCTCTAGTGCATCTTCAGCCTCCTCTGCTGCCGAGTGGGCTTCAGCACATTAACAACCCTGTCTCTCAGCTATCCAAGGATTTGATTTAATTACACTGCTAGTGTCTGTCTTCATTGGAAGTCTCCACACATGCTGTTTTCTCCATTAGTATGGATTGCACTTCTTCTCTGCTGCAATGTCTCATTCTTGTCCTTCCTTGGGCTTTAGTGGCTAATAGACATTTTCATTAATTTTCATCTCTCCTAGTGCTTAATAAACATCTTCTTAGGCACTCATCCTAGAAGTAGAAAACCATTTAGCTCAACCAAAAGGCTGAACTCCAGACCCTTCCTAAGACCAAAACTTGTCTTTCTATTGCTATTGTCTCCCTACTTCTCACAGGCTCTAAGGGTCTACTCCAAGAACCCAGTAGAGACTCTGCTCTTATCTAAATTGCTTACACCTATTTGAAGTTTTCTGGTTGCCATTCCTTAGTACATTTCATAAAAGTCACACACTCACACACCCACAAAAGTTTCACGAATCAAGTTTTTCACTGCATTCAACAATTAAGAAAGGGTTAAGTAAACCATGGTACTTACTCAACAGGGGAATATGCAGTAATTGACATATATATGAAGTATACATATTAAAATAAATAAATATGTATATAAAGACTGCATAAAACACTGTGGGAAAATATTTACATTGTGCTATTAGCAAGAAACAAAGTTGTACATATAGCATTATCACAATTATATTTTAAAATATACACACTCACATCCCCATGCATATGGCAAAGACAGGAGGGAGCTATACTAAAATATTTACTATGGCTAATATAGGTAGGATATCTTGGAGAGAATTATCTTTTTGTTTTTAATTAACAAAAATTTCATATATTTATGCTGTACAACATGATGTTTTGATATATGTATACATTGTGGAATGGTTAAATCTAGCGAATTAATATATCCATTACCTCACCATTATTTTTGTGGTAAGAACGTTTAAAATCTACTTTCTTAATAGTTTTCAATTACTGTACAATAATTTTCAAGTACTATACAATACATTGTTATTACCTAAGTCACTATGTTGTACCACAGATCTCCTGAACTTAGTCCTCCCATCTAACAGAAATTTTGTATCCTTGGACCAACGTCTCCCCAGTCCTTCTTTCACCCACTCTAGTTTCTGGTAACCACCATTCTGCTCTCTGCCTCTATGAGTTCAACCTTTTTAAATTCAACATTCAAGTGAGATTATGCAGTCTTTTTGTGCCTGGCTTATTTCTGTTAGCATAATGTTCTTCAGCTTTATCCACATCACAAATGAAAAGATTTCCTTCTAAGGAACAGTATTCCATTATGTATTTAATAAACAGACCACATTTTCTTTACCCATTCATCTGTGGATGAACACTTAGATTGATTCCATATCTTGGCTATTGTGAATAGTGCTGTAATAAACATGGGAGTGCAGATAGCTCTTTGACATACAATTTCATTTCCTTTATTTGTATATCCAGAAGCGGAATTGCTGGATCATATGGAAGTTCTATTTTTAATTTTATGAGAATCCTTCATATTGTTTTCCATAATGTCTCCACTAATTTACATTCCTACCAATTGTGTACAAAGATTTTCTTCTCTCCACATTTTCACCAACACTTATTATCTCTTGTCATATTGATAATAATCATCCTAAAAGTTGTGAGGTGACATCTCATTGTGGTTTTAATTGCATTTCTCCGATGATTAGTAATGTTGAGTATTTTTTTAATAATACATATGTTGGCCATTTGTATGTCTTCTTTTGAGAAATGTCTTTTCAGGTACTTTGTCCATTTTTAAAACAGGGCTTTTTTTAATTGTTACTAGGTTATTTCAGTTTCTTCTATTTTGGATATTAACCCCTCATCAGATATATGGCTTGTAAATATCTTCCTCCATTCTGTAGGTTGTCTCTTCACTCTATTGATTGTTTCCTTTGCTATGCAGAAGCTTTTTAGTTTGATGAAATGCTGTTTGTCTAATTTTCTTTTGTTGGATGTGCTTTTGGGGTCAGTTGCAAAAAAATATTTGTCAACCAATGTCAAGAAACTTCTCCCCTAGGTTTTCTTCTAGTAGTCTTACAGTTCCAGTTGATTTTTGTATATGAAGTGAAATAAGGGTCCACTTTTATTGCTCTGCATGTGGATATCCAGTTTTCCCAAAACCACTTATTAAAGAGACCGTTCTTTCCCCATTGTGCTTTCTTGGCACCTTTATCAAAGATCAGTTGGCTAGAAACATGTTGATTTATCTTTGGGCTCTTGGTTCTGTTCCATTATTCTGTATCTCTGTTTTTGTGCCAGTACCATGCTGTTTTGATTACTATGGCTTTGTGTTAGGTTTTGAAATTAGGTAGTGTGATCCCTCCAGCTTTGTTCTTTTTGCTCAGGATTGCTTTGGATAATTGGGGTCTTTTGTGGTTCCATATGAATTTCAGGTTGTTTCTTCTATTTCTGTGAAAACTGCCATTGAAATTTTGATAGGCATTGCACTGGATCTGTAGGTAGCATGGTCATTTTAATAATATTAATTCTTCCAGTCTATGAACACAAGATATCTCTCCATTTACTTGTATCTTCTTCCATTTCTTTTGTCAATGTTTCACAGTTTTCAGCATATAGATCTTTTACCTCTCTGATTAAATTTATTCCTTTTTTGATGCCATTATAAATGGAATTGTTTTCTTGGTTTCTTTTTTGGATTTTCATTTCTTCAACTTATTAAATAAAGAATATTTATTTTTAGAACAGAAAACACTAATTTAAAAAAAAGAGAAAATGGAAATATATTTCTCATCACTGAAGACCCCAAATAATAATCAAGGTGGAAGATAAAATGCAGAATGGGATGTAAGTTGGGACCACTGAACAGAAAGCCAGAAATTTAGGAGCAGAGTTTTAGAGTAAACAAGATGCTAAGGACTTTACCACTGTGTCTTTTAAAGACACCATGATCATGTTAAAACTACCAGTGGAGATTGGTGGCATCACAATTATACAGAGAACAGGAGCGAACTTTTGTAGAAAACTGTCCTTTTCATAGCCACCAGGCCAGCAGAGATGGAAAGAATGGGACAGGAAGCCAACATGTTTAACAAATACTCCCTCAGGGTCTGGCTTTGGGCCAATCTCCTGACCAATCCAGGCTCAGGGGCTCAAAACATAATTTTCTTAATACATGATTTAAAATACAAAGTACAAACATAAATATTTATGTAAAATAAGGAAATCCACCAAGAATTACAAACATAAGAAGTTGTCAAATACAAAGCATCACAAAATCCAGAAAAAAAGGTTTCCTGACTTAACTTCTTTAAACATCTCTGTAATATTATTTTTCCTACCTTTTTGACTGCATACTCTTTCATTATCTCTTCATGTAGCAACTATATATAATAATTTCTATCTACAAATTAGAAAGATAATTCAGTCTTTCCTCTGCTATGGTTAACTGAAAATTTTAAAACTTTTAAGATAATGTTATATTTACAGAAGATTTCCAAAAATAATACAGAGTTCACCCAGCTTCCTCTAATGTTAGCATCCTATGTAGCTATAGTACAATCATCAAAAGTAAGAAATTAGCATTGCTACAATACTATGAACTGAATTGTAGGCTTTATTTGGATTTTACTAGTTTTTCTACTAATGTTCCTTCTCTGTTACAGGATCCAAACCACACTCGTTTTGGTTGTTGTGCCTCCTTAGTCATCTCTGAATTATGACATTCCTTATCCTTTCCTCATCTTTCATGATATTGACCCTTTTAAATAGTACTACTTGTCAGATGCTTTGCAGAATGTCCCTTACTTTGAGCTTTCTAGTATTTTCTCATGATTAAATTGGGCTTATGCATTACTGGAAATAATTCCACAGAGGTGAGATACCCTCTGTATATATATCACATAATGGGGGGACATATGTCACTGTGTCTTACTGCTGTTGATGCTAACTTTGATTACTTGGTTAAGGTAGCAACTGTCAGATTTCTCCCTTATAAAGTTATTATTTCTCCCTTTGTACTTAATAAATATTTGCAGGAGAGATATTCATCTACTAATTTTATTAACCATTCATAGAGCTTGTTCATAGCAATTATTATTGTAGTAATACTGTGGTTTTAATGGTGATTTTCCATATCTCTCATTCCTCTACGTTTTATTAAGTAGAATTCTTCTGTTATAGAAGAGTTGTTTCTTCTACATTTATTTTTCAGTGACTTTTCATATGAGTTTGAACTCATGAATATTTATTTTATTCTTTGGGTTATAATCCAATACTATCTTAATTTACTTTGTTGCTCAAATTCTTCTAGTTTTGGCCATTGAAAGTTTTTTTTCAGATTGGTTCTTCCGCCCTTTTCACATGCTCCCTTTCTTTCTTCCTTCCTTCCTTGCTTCTTTTCTGTCTTTCTTGCACTTCCTTACTTTCTAGCATCAAAAGATATTCTAGGATCATCTTTTTTTTTTTTTTTTTTTTTTTTTTGAGACAGAGTCTTGCTCTGTTGCCCAGGCTGGAGTGCAGTGGCGCAATCTCAGCTCACTGCAAGCTCTGCCTCCTGGGTTCACGCCATTCTCCTGCCTCAGCCTCCCGAGTAGCTGGGACTACAGGCGCCCGCAACCATGCCCGGCTAATTTTTTGTATTTTTAACAGAGGCGGGGTTTCACTGTGTTAGCCAGGATGGTCTCGATCTCCTGACTCCAGCCCTGGAATCTACTACTTAAGGAATCCTGGTTCCTTTTATTGGAGAGTGACATTTAGAAACCAAGATGTGGGCTTGGTTTCTTTCATTCAGCAAAATGCATTTAAGATTCATTCATGTCGTGTGAATCATGTTTCTTTTCATTGCCAAGTAGCATTCTGTTCCATTACACTATGTACCACATGTACCACAATTTGTTCATTCATCTACTGGTTGAAAAACATCTGTATTGTTTCCAAATTTTGGTGATTATGAATAAGGCTACTATAAACATTCAAATATAAGTTCTAGTGTCAACGTAAGTTTCATTCCTTTAGGGCAAATACCTAGAGTGGGATTGCGGGGCCTTATGGTAAGTATATGTTTAACATGATAGGAAACTGCCAAAGAATTTCCCAAAGGGGCTGTAACATTTTGCATTCTCACTATGAACATAAGAGTTCTAGTTGCTCTGCCAGCACTTGATATTGGCAGATTGGTTGTATTTTAGCCATTGTAATAGGTTGGAGTTTCACTTTGTATTTCCCTAATAATTAATGATGTTAAACATCTTTTCATTTGCTTATTTACTATCTGTATATCTTTGAAAGTTTAGAGAAGTGGGTTTTTTCCTACTTCACAACTCAATTGATAAGGTCTCATAAACTTTTAAGATTGCTGTAACATTTGGGAAAGCCAGTTTTTTTCAAATATAACCTATAAAATCTTGGTGCCTTTCAAGTTTTCTCTGGAAAAGCTAATCAAATGCCTTTTTAATTGATGACTTTATTAACCATTTTACCATCAATGCCCTTGTTGTAGTGATATATGAGTTTTATTATCTTGGTTGATGTCAGTATTTCACATCAAATCAGCAAAAAAAATTAAATCTTTTTCCAAAGCATTCATATGACTCACTCCATATCATTAATTGGATTAGCAAACATTCTAAAAGCCTACTCAATATTTCTTTCCAAGATGTACCTCTTTCTCACAGAACTGCTGCATTTAATGGAATCTGAAATTTTTGTTACAATCTGACATCAGGAAGTGAACAATTTTATTGGTTTAATCATTCACCTTATTGCTTTCATTTCACAGTCTATTACTCTTCATCTAAATTTTCTCCAAGTCCTTTAATAAAGATGACAAAAGAAGGTGCTCTTTGTATAAGTCCATATCAGGAATCTGTAACTTCTAACTTGTTTTATTGATATGTTCAAATGATCTATCCAAATTACAAACAGGCATATTGCCAGCCGGGTGCAGTGGCTCACGCCTGTAATCCCAGCACTTTGGGAGGCCGAGGAGGGCGGATCAGGAGGTCAGGAGTTCAAGACCAGCCTGAATGAATCCCCATCTCTACTAAAAATGGTGAATCCCCCTCTCTACTAAAAGTTCAAAAATTAGCCAGGCGTGGTGGTGGGCGCCTGTAGTCCCAACTACTCGGGAGGCTAAGGCAGGAGAATCACCTGAACCTGGGAGGCAGAGGTTGCAGTGAGCTGAGATCACACCGCTGCACTCCAGCCTGGGCAACAGAGCAAGACTCCGTCCCAGGAAGAAGAAAAAAAAAAACCGGCATATATCCAATCAACTTTCCTTTCTTAGAACACCAACAAATATCTGTGGGTGCTTCACACCACCCGGACACAGAGAGAAGCATGAAGGAGGAGAAGCTGGATTGCAAACAGAGTTGGTCTTAAGAGATTGTGGTTAAAATATCGTACTTTTGCTAATTTCCTTTCCTCAGGCCTCGAGATCTGAGATGAAGGAATCTAAAGTGTAACTTTCGCTAGCTTTGAAGTAATTATTTTCTACTCAGAGGAGAGAGATGGCAGCACAAAATCCAGGCTCTCAACCTCATCGTTTAGGAAAGAAGGCAAATCTGTGCTCACAGTGACGCAGGAGACAGCAATACCGGGACGTTTGGACCAGAACCTTGTATAGCCCCTTCTAACGCACACAAGGAAATGAAACACACAGCCCATCTGTGTTTCTGGGTGACCACCTCTCCTCACCATCCCTCCGATGTCCACCTACTCACACGGGCCCTGAGGCAGCTCTGGAGGCCAAAGCAAGGCTAATATGTGAATTTTTCTCTGCCCTTTCATTTTTTACACAAGAGTGAGGAGTAGAATAAGAGCTTGAAAGAGGATAGAGTACATCAAAAATATCATCATCCTAAATACTGTGATTTGAAGTCATTTTTTACTGCCAAGAAAGAAAGAAAAATAGTAGTCGCGACTCTAAAGGCAATGTTTACTCTTCCAGGGAAGAGAACATACCGAAGAGCTTCTGACAAGACTGTCAAAAATGTGTTCGGCAATTTAACTATTAATAATAGTAAAAAAACAACAAATAAAGCTTTGAATTAATCCAGCATCTTTCATCTCCACATATCAAAGAGCGTTGCCAATGTTCCTGATAACAACATGTCTGTGAAACACATAAGTGGCAGGCGTTGTCATTCCTCCATGACAGATGAAAGAACAGAGACGCTGTGAAGCTCTTCCCCAGCGAATCAGCGCGGCACCCGCTCCCTCGAGCAGCTCGGCCTCTTTCCAAGGCATTCCCCCCCCTCCCTGGGGGCTGTAGAAGCGCTTCTTTAGCTAAAGGATTTGGGTTTAAAGTCGTGCCTGAGCAGAAGCAACACAGCAACCGTGGAAGGCATTTAGTCTCTGTTCTCCAGAAGGCTAGATATAAAACGCATCCACTAAGATAGACCTATGGCTATGCAAGCGAGTCAGCAAAATATTTTTTAAAGGTCAGCTGTTCATGGGCCCTGCAGGAAGTGCCCTGGAAAAGTACGGGCCCCCACAGGGCCAAACTACCTTGAGGAGTTCACAATATGTGGGATGACAAAAGGTAAGATAGATGCGCACTCCTCAAACCCCACACTCTAACACAGTGAGCTGCCCAGTTTCTCCAAACACAGGGGCACGGGCCTCTGTGCTCTTCTTGCCCATACTGCCACTCTCCTTCGCTCATCCCCCTTCACAAAACTATTGAGGCACTGCCTGCTCTAGGAAGCCTCATGCACACACACATACCTTTCTTTCTTTTTCACACCTTCTGGATTCTATAGAGATTTCTGCCACAGACCCTGTAACTTTGTGGCATGCACTTGTTTATATGTCCTTCTTCCTGATCAAACTCTCAGCTGTTTGTCAGAGGGGATTTATCATATTTATAGCCAAAGCCCAGGACAGTGTCAAGTTCATACCAGATGTTCAGTAATTATTTCTAGAAAGAAGAAAGAAGGGAAGAAAAGGGGATTAATATTTATTCAGCAGCTACTATTTGCCAGACACTGGGCTGGGCATATTCCTGTTTAGTATTTAGTGCTCCTAATCTGAGGGCTTGGTCTCTTCAAAATGTCAGGATCTTCTTAGCTTTCATCTTTTTGAAAACTGCTTTTCTCCCATTCTCTCAATGTTTCATTTCTGGAAGTCCTATTAGACATGTATTGGAATCCCTCCATCTATCCTCCATGTCTCTTAACTTTTCTTTCATATTTTCATCTATCTTTGTGTAACATTTGAGGTAAACTCTCCAGTATCCTCCCCCAATTTACTGATTTTTTTCTTGGGCATATCTAGCCTAGAGTTGATCTTGTCTTCTGAACATGTTTTAATCACAATTACTTGATATTTTCATTTCCAATGTCTAATTAGTTCATTTGCATACACATCTGTTCTTGATTTCTATCTGCTTGTTTTCGTTTCATAATTTCTTAATCTTTTTAGGTGTTATTCCTTTTTTACTTCTTTAAGAATATTAAACATACTCATTTTAAAGTCATTTTTACATTGTTTTATGATTCCCATTTCAATGGGAGTGATTCTACTTTCTGAGCTTGTTGGCTATCTTTCTTAGCATTCATTTTTTTCATGTGCTTTGGAACTTTCATTAGCAAGTTCATCTGCAGTGAGTATTTTCTGTTTCCCTCTAGCCCCTCTCTCTCCTTTTCACCACTCCCTATGTGGGAGTTGTTCAGTTTTTCTTTAGGACACCTAGCCCAGGGCCAGGTCTGATAGCGGTGTTTTCTTGTTCCAGGGTGATCTTGGAAATGTCACACAGCTGATCACTGAGCCAGCAGGTGGTTAGTTGAGGTGCTTAGTGTGGCTTCATCTGCTCCTTCCTTCCACCCAGCCATTCTGCTCTATAACATGCTGCAGCTCCAAGCACTGGCTGAAGTTTATTCCAGCCTCTTTTGAAGGGATGGGCGTGAGCACCTGCCCCAGCCCCCAGTTTCACGCAATGACCCTAGGTTCAGGCCCTAGTCTTGAATCTAGAGCTTCTGATCCCTGTCTTCCCACAACAGCCACGCTTCTGCCTATTCCCAAATCCTGGAGCCCAGCAAGTCCAGGGCCTCAATCACCACCTACCACTGTTCTGTTTCTAGCCCACAAAGGTGTTTATCTTGTTATTGAATGTGGATACGTCTGAATTCTTTCCAAAATATTTCATCTACCATTGCAATGTATTTGAAGTCAGGGGGGTCCTTTAAAGTGTGAACTCGAACACCGTCCTGACCTAAAGTCCCAGTCTAGGCATTTTCATAACATCAATCAGTCCTTATATAATGATCCCCAGATGACCATAGTGTGCCCCGTCACCTGCAGGCTCAACTCTTCATACTTGGGTCATGGGCCAATGACAGCCAGATCTGCGACTATGCAGAGTCCTGCCCATGAGCTAGCACGTTCTGCAAACAGTCTCCACTCTCCATGCCTGTGCAGTGCGGAACCAGCCCCTGAACTCCCACAAGGGTACTGGGCTGCAGCTCCTCCCTCATAAAGCAAGCACTCAGCATTTGAGCCCACACTGCCCAACTAGTCCCTGAGGGTAGTGGGACTGGAGCCGAGGTTCGCGCCTTTCCTAAACGCCTTACTCTCCTGATCCTTTTAACCCACACTTGTCTAGATTTATTTTTCAGATCTTCACTAAAAAATAATCCGGAGTCCCATCTAATACTATCACATTACTCTCAAAGTACGCCAGCCCTCCCAGATCAGACCCCATGGACAAGGGTCCCACCTGCATTGACTAGAGTCTAATACTTCTGCCCTTAGGAAGCAGACTCCAGACTCAGTCCACACTCCAGGCCTCTCACAAGCCCACACCATACTCCCCTTGGTCTGGTCCCAGCTCATGTCTTTTCGCTGGCAGAAGCTCTTACCCCTACCCATCTGGGACTGGACAAAGGACATGACTTTAGTGCATTTTTAAGGTAATTATTACTGAAGTTTTGTAAGTAGATATTGTTACCATTTTTACCCCTCATAACTATAATAGTGACATTTCTTTCCTGCTCACAGTGTGCCAGGATCTGTGCCATTTACCTCACCTTCAGTGTATCATGTAATCATCACAAACCCTATGAATTTACTTCTGTTATCACCTCTCTACTTTATAGATGCAAAAACTGAGGCTCAGGTTAAGTGACATCTCCACGACCCCAGAGATACTAAGTGCTGGAATCAGGATCTGAAGCCAGGTTCATCTCAACCCAAAGACTACACCCTTAGTCGAATGCTACATGGCCAAATCTGTCTTAGTGTCAAATGCCACAAAGAGATGAATGCTATCACCAGTGTCTTCCTCCTGGGAAAGCCCTCCTCCTCATGCTTCCAGGACAATACCCTGGTGTGAACTTACCCTCACTAGTTCTCCTTGCTCCACCCATGAGTCCTGGTGCTCTCTGGGACTTGATCTTTTCACACGCGCCATTCTCTCCAGGCAACGTGACATAAAACTCTACATTTAACTACCACCAAAGGCTGATGACTGGCAAATCTTTACCTTTACCTTTATCTTGAGCCCACGTCTTTCTCCCATACTCCCATCTTCTTAGATGTAACATGGACTCCTCCATTTCAGCATGATCCATCCTGAACTCATTACTTACATCCCTGTGTGTATATCACAGTCCTGGCAAGGCCACCCACCCAGGCTCCCTAATCAGAAGCCAGAGTCAGCCCTGTCTGGTCCTGTCAGTCAGCCCACAGCCCATCAGTTGACACGGGCAGCTGATTCTTTCCCTGACACTCTGACTGAAGCCTCTCACCTTTACATTCCCATCTCCTACAGAATAAAGCCTACCACCTCCTTTGGGTACCCAGGACCAGTTTTTCACCCTCAACGTTCACTTCCACCATCCACATCCCATGTCCTAGTCTTCTCAATCACCTGCTACTTCCCACAGATCAGGCCCTTGGGTGGCACCAGGTTTGTCCAGTCTGTCCCCAACACCTAGAGCATGCTCGTCCCTTGGCCACCTACCATCAGTCTCAACATTTCCTGCTCTGTGAAGCCATTCACAAAGTCTCTTTCTTGGGTCCTGAGCAAAGATGAGGTGCTGACTTCTTTGTCTCAGCTCACCCTGGGCCTCAACACTGGCCTTGCTTGACTTTCTTCTGACCATCGTGCCCCAACTGCACACTCCATGCATCAGGAACCCTCCACACAGCCAGTGAGCGCATGGATTCCCTTCCAGCCTCTAGCCCCAGCCCTACTTCTAGTCTTCATCAAACATTTAGGTAATTAACTGGCAACAGGCAACAGATACAAAAAAGCAATATCTCACCCCAGCAGGGACGTGTAATGCTCAATTCTATTATTCCAAGGGAAGTGATCAGAAGCTTGTCCACACATAAGAGATGTTTTGAAAGAGATGCTGACATCTGAAGTCAGCAAGGGAGCTTGAATGAAAGAATTAACGGAAACAGATCTCAGCTGTGGGCTTATGTAGAAGCCTGTGCGGCCTGTGCTGCTAAAATTTGCATTTCATGGGGAGCACATGGCAAAAAAAGTACTGTCATGACATACAGTGGCACAGAATGAGGACAGTGGTAATTGTCCAAGTCTCCCAGGTTGTTTCTCAACCTATGAATACACACTCTCACACCCCACACACAAACCATCACATACAGGCACATGCGCATGCACACACACAGGCACACATGCCCCACAATGAGCCAGTTTCAAACTTGACTGATCAGTCCCAAACGAGTTGTCGAACTGCATTGCCTGCTCATCACCAGTCTCTCCCTTATCAGTTCAAATCCAAATGTTGAAATACTTCAGGTGGAAAAGGTAATCAAAAACCAAGTACAAATGGCTAATAAACATATTAAAAATTCAACCTCAGCAGTCATGAAAGAAATAAAAATCAAGACAGAATACTATTTTTGATCTGTCGAACTGGCAAAATTAAAAGCAATGATAAGATTACTCCCAGCTGGAGAGGTCTCTGGCTACCTCCCAGCTGTGCCAAGTGGGGTGCTAAGGTGATCACCCATACCCAAGGCAGAAGAAACCTCTCTTCCGCAGACTTCAGAGTCAATTCACCTGTATCCTTAAACATTTCACTGGTTAACAGAGCCTGACTGAGCATAAGGCAGGGTATGTATGTGCTTGGAGAAGGTAGGAAGAAAAGTACAGAGAAATGAGACTACACACACACACACACACACACACACACACACCCATGTTGTAGGCACATGAATGGGCCATGCTTTATCAAGCCCTCCACACTAACATGTCAAGGAAGAGGCACAGCTGAATCTTGCCCTTATAGGCTTACAGTTTAGAAGTGAGGTCAAAACTCATACCCAAATCTGTAGAAAACAGGCAAACAGTATTAGATGCTGTCAAAGAAGAAAAAATGCTGGGTGCACTCAGAAAAGAGATTACTTCCAACTAGGCCATCAGAGTCAGGTGGAACCTTGTCAAAGTTGTGGGGAGAAAAGTATTCAAGGGGCAAGAGAAAGATTAAGGTCACAGACAATGAAAATTCAACATGCATTAATGTAATCACCAAGGTCCTTTCCAGCCTTTACGTTTTTCTACTCTGATGCTTTCTCTCCTATTAGTTGGTTGAGTTTCAATGCCTTCAGGAAATGAAGGTAGCTACAGTTATGTGCCAGACATTGCCCTTACAGCCTGCACAATCAAACTCATTTAATCCTCAGACCACCTTTGGAGTGAGTATCCTTAGGCCTGTTTTACAGATGAGGAATCTGGGGCTCAAAGAAGATCGACGTGCCCAAAATCTCAAAACCAGTCAGTGCTGGGAGGTCAGACATGAACTGACGACCACCTGTCCACCTGACATTGAAGCCTCCATTCATTCTTTCTTCTCTACCGTACTGCCTCACTTCCAGACCACTTTCTTCTTTAAAATTAAAACCCCCAAACTGATCTACAGATTCAATGCAATCCCCATCAAAATCCCAGTAGGGCTGAAATTGACAACTTGATCCTAAAATTCATGTAATAATTCAAAGGATCCAGAAGTGCCAAAACAATCTTTGAAAAAGAACAAAGTTGAAGGATTCACACTTCACAATTTCAAAAGTTACAACAAAGCTGCATAATCAAAACTGTGTGGCATAAGGTGATGGCATAAGGACAGGGGTTTGGGCCATATCCCCAAAAGACATAATTCTGAACACCATAATTCTGAATGTTGAAATCCTGAAAGACCAAAATCCTGAAAGTATAATTCTGGAGAAATAATTTTAAGAAATTACTTAAAAGACATTTATTTGCATTTTTAAAGGGGGATTTATTTGAGAAATAAATAAAAACGTCACAGAACACTTCATAGGCCACTTTACACAATAAGATAGAAAATGACAACACACATATTTTTGCAAGCATACACATGCAGGTATATTAGCAACCATCGCATGGGTGTAGGGGTTATGAGCAGACAAATAGTATTCATAAAGAAGTAGGACAAAAAGAAAAATGTATAAGCACATATCAGTATAGTTGGTAATTGCGTGCACCCAGCTTTGTAATTACAGTCATCTGATATTCCATGACAGACTATCTAAGTCCTTTGACGAGATGGACCAAACACAGTGGGTCACCCCCACATATGCAATTGTCCAAAGAGCTGAGATCTTGAGAAATTTTCTTTTTCACAAATGCATATGTAAAGAAAGGATATCTCTTCATTTACTGGAGAAGTTTCAACATTTCTAACATACACCACCAAGGTTTACACATAAAGTCAACATTGTGATAATTCACTTTAGAGGAGTCAAATTTCTGATGCTCAAAACAGCAGAAGCAAAGTCTGTTCCAGATCTTAGAGAAAGACCAATTTATCTTCTGTATTTGCTCTGAGTTCCTAGCCGATTGGATGGTGCCCATCAACAACGAAGACAGATATTCTCCACCTAGTCCATCAGACTCACACACTGATGTCCCCTGGGAACACCCTCACAGACACACCCCAAATAATGCTTTACCAGCTTTTGAGGTATTCCTTAATCCAGTCAAGTTGACACCTAAAATTAAGTCCACAAATCCACCCCTTGTCAATCTGGCACCCGTTTGCATTTCCTTAAACCATACCCAACTTCCAAATGAAGACAGTTAACAAGGTAATAGTCCCACCTAACATGATGCCACTAACATGATGCAACTGTCCTGCTTGTAACCGAGAGGACACTAATGCCTTCCCCAGAATTCCGATTTCAGGATTTCACATGCAGGGTTTTAATCTGTCAGGGTTGTGATTTTTAGGATTTTAGATGTTAGGGGTTTCGACTGTAGAGATTTTGATCTCTCAGGATTTCAAAATTCGGGACTACAGTGTTTGGGGTTGTATATTTCTGGATGATAGGCACTGATCCCACAGAAAAACCCTTTGTTCTTGTGACTGGCTCCTGCTCCTAAACCTGGTTCCTTGGGTGCAAATTCAGTGTTTATTCCCCTTCAGGAGAAAAGGGATGGAGGGATGTAATTTTGGGAGGAAGTAGGGTGGGGAGGTTGATTCTCCACTCCTCAAGCAGCCATCCTTCGTCTTGAAAGGATGATATCTATGTATCAATCAGTATGTCAGCCTGAAATAATCAAACAGGTGGGAATCCAGTTTTAAAGAGAGCATTTAAGCAAATAGCTGGGAATGACCATCCAGGAGAGAAAGACTCCAGAGAAATGGGGTCAGTGCTCTGAAGTTAAAAGTTAAGTTCTTGCTTATATAGGAAGAAAACAAAGAAATTAAACAGGATTACATTTTCAATACAAGGCTGGTTTAAGAATTACAACAAATTGGTTGTAGTCTGTTTTCTTTTCCCTATAGGTTTTCTTTACAGCTGTTTTTTTCTTTTTCAACTTAAAAGAGTGTATTTAATACTCCCTTTTAAGATAACATGATAGCCATGAAGTCTTGTATGAGAAAGGTAGGAGGGAAGTTAATCTAGAGAATGAAAGTCAACAGTAAGAGGAAAGTGGTCTTCCCTGGCATCCTTCAGCCATTTACCACATTTTAATAAATACAGAACAACACAGGTAAGGAAGAAGGTTTAATCCATAATGAGAAAAAAACAAAGATTACAGCTGCCTAGGTTACAGCTACCTGTCACGTGCCTCAGGCCCAAAATTATTCCTTTAAGGCTCAAATTTATTTAGTTCCAACAGCTTAGGTTCTGAATTACTTATTTTCACATATCTGTCTATTTATCTAAAATATCTTCCAGGAAAGATAATGGAAGTTTGGCTGGGTGCAGTAGCTCATGCCTGTAATCCCAGCACTTTGGGAGGCCAAGGTGGGTGGCTCTCTTGAGCCTGGCCAACATGGTGAAACCCCATCTCTACTGAAGATACAAAACTTAGCCTGGCGTGGTGCACATGCCTGTAGGCCCAGCTACCCGGGAGGCTGAGGCAGGAAAATTGCTTGAACCCGGGAGGCAGAGGTGGCAGTGAACTGAGATTGCTCCACTGCGCTCCAACCAGGGTGACAAAGCAAGACTCCATCTCAAAAAAAAAAAAAAAAAAAAAAAGTAAGTTAAAAAAAAGGGAGAAAAAAAGAAAGATAATAGAGGTTCATCTCCTTTTTCACCAATTTGCTCTTCCTGACTTACCTGCCCCCACCCCAAGCCCCTTGGATGTTACAACCACAGGCTAACAGTTTCTCTGGCCTCCCCTCCAGGGAAGGTGCCTTGCACTGACCTCCAGTGAGGACTGGTTTGGGTGGGCGGGGAAGAACCACAGCCCCAGACTTGGTGACCCCACAAAGACCAGACCCCACCCATCTCGGAGGTTCCAGGAAATGGGCTATGCCAGTTAGACTATGGTTCCTTGTGTGTCAGCCTGACATAAAAATCCGGGTCCAGTGTATTACAACACACAAAAAGATCCGTCTCTCTTCCTCTCCCTCTCTTTCAATAGAGATGGACTTATTCGAATTACAGAGCTCAGGAAATGGAACCCATCTCCTTGTTATCAATGTAAAAACTGAGCTGAGCTATTTGTGATCTAAATCAAAATAGAACTGTGTCTGGCAAACTCACTTTTCTCAGGCCCCGGCAGCTCCCCAAGATACATTGTCTACTGATAGGGGGAGAGAGAGACAATGGCAACTGCCAGAAGCCATTGATCACTTGTTTTATGTGCAGAATGAATCCTTAATCACTGTCGCTTCAGAAAGAAAGGGGAAATTGAGATGGATTCTCAAGTGCCAAAGGCAGAGAGCTTGGTAATTGGAGCTCTTTCATTAAAACTTTGGAGCGTAATGAGTTAGCCAGTGGTTGTTCATCTCCGCCTTGGAGAGCACAGACCCTCTTGGCACATCGTTCAGGGGGAGCAACGAAGAGACCTGAAGGTCACATGATAATCGCGCCTCCTTGTGAGTTGGGGGATTAAGAATCTCGTACAGCGCCTGGAATGTGACATCTCAGCTTGGCCGCTGAGGACCTGCCAACCAGACCCAACTTACCCCTCTGACCCTATCACTTACGGAGTCTCAGTTTCCTAATTTGTAAATGGGAAAAAAGCGCTGCGTTTCCTCATTCACCCTGTGCTATTTTATTCCCTATCCTGCTTCTTGAACTAGTTCTTCTACTGGCAGTGGCATTTGTTTCTTTATTTGTTTATTTTGCAAAGAATTATCAAGAGCTTATTATGTGTTTAACGGCCAGCAAGAAGAGTTGTGGTTTCTGCCCCCTTGGGATTCTTTGCCTACAGCATACATCCTCATCAAGGGGCAATAGTGTCCCCTTGGTTCTGGGGGAGTAATAAATCTTATATTTTTGTGTAAAAAAGCACAAATATATATGCAGTACATAATTAAATATGCAGCATATTTTAAAATTTTCATGGGGGGCAGGGAGGAAATGATTGGAGAAAAAGATGGCTAAAAAGCCTCCTTAGGGGAGCAATAATGAAAAAAAATCACAGGTCTACCCTAGTTTAATGTGACTTTCCTCCCTCTTCAACCATCTCACTCTTCAGAACTCAATACGGGTCCCTTCCTCCAAGAACCCTTCCTTAATTTCCCACTCCTCTTTGCCCCTTCTTTTTGTTCCTAGGATGACCTCTACACAGCTAGTTCATAGCACTAAAGATTGAGCTCCCAGCCATGGCTCTGATCTATAACCCTGTCTCCTCAATTGATCTGTAGAGGGCTTTTAGGCAAGGCTCGTGTCTGAGTCTACTTAGCTGGAAACTACTAGGTGCTCAATAAATGTTGAATAAATGAATGAATAAATGAGTGAGTGGTGACACATACACCGCTTTGCTGTTCCTGGAGTGGAGAAGAGTTCAGGGAACCAAGGTTTACTGAGACCCTCCTGTGTGCCAGCACTGTATGGTCAAAAGACCGACTTCACCCCCATATTTACCACAGCCCTGGAGACACCAGGTCAGAAATGGTTTCTTCTGGGGAAATGAGGGAGAAACTGGGTCCCAGGCAATGGTGTGCTGAAGCCAGTTTCTGCGGCTCACCAGAGCCTATTAAATTTTCAGGAATTTTCCAAGCTAGTTGTTAAGCCGTTGACAGTTTTAAATTGGCCATGATGGGAGTATTTATGCCATGGAAGTTGGAAAACATTACAAATCAGGGCTTTTGTGTCCCCCTCTGAGAACCAGTTTACCAGCATGTCGCCGATCCCATGCCTGGCAAGTGGCAGACAGGAAAGGGTACAGGGCATTTCCATTGTACCACGCTGCCTCCCTGCTCATTGTAGGGGGCCAGAGGGAGATACCTATCTTTGCATCATAAGACCTCATCCAGGATCTCACCTAATACCCTCTTTCTTTCATTGAAATAGTTTTCCTGGCCCTTTAGTTAATTATTGCGAGGAAGTGAACAAAGGGAACCCTTGAAAGTCACTCTCTTGGAAACCCGGGGTTACCACTACTTCCTAAGAGGTAAAGGTTAGAAGGGAGAGCTCAGGAACCTGTCTCAGAACTAACACTCCAAAGTCCACAGCCTTCCAGTTTCCCTCGAAGGGAGACTTGAAGCTCTACCAAGAAACCGCAATTAGTTATTTGCCCATCTCTCTTGAGAGTATATAGGACGTCATTAAGGCAGGGACCAAGCGGTTGTGACCCCTGCCATCTGTCTCCAGAATGCAGCCCAATGCCTGGTCTGCAGTTGGCACTCAGTAGTTGTGTGTGTTCAATGAGATAACACCCACCTGACCCAGACGCACCTCGTCAGGGGCCAGAGCCATACCACATCCAGGTATTCTGAGCAATGTCCCCAGTGAATTTTAACCAACTGAGTCAACCTCAAAGCTCATACGACTCTCCTAATTCCTTGACCCTTTTGTATTTCCCATAAGACTCCAATAAAGTGTAAATGCCTTCAGGTGCTCTGGCTGTACGTTCTAAATGCTAAATGTCTTATTAGACAAAGGACTTGGATCTGACTCCTCTAGAATACAGATCTCCTCAGAGGAGCCTCGGCAGTAGCTGGTGTTTTGCCACATCACGGTGTCATTAGCAACCAGACAGAGTTATTCAGCACATACCTTTGAATGTTGAGTCTCCATTTTCTGACTGCTTGACAAGCCAGGGAGGAAAAATAAAGGAGGCTCCTGGTACATCTGATTTTCTCTCACATTAGGTTCTGTGATGGGATCCCTGATTTAAGACCACGATTGAACTGAGAAGCTGTGCTGATAACACCATAAATAATAAGGAAACATCAGGCCTGAACTGGTGTGCTGTGTTAGCCCCAGACCATGTACTGTGTCGTTATTTATCATCAAGTAAATACTTATTTTGGTTTCCAGAAAAGGGCATCATGGAGAGAATAAATATTGAAAATGGAAAGAAAAAGGCATGCGGGGAAGAAGGTGTTTGTCCTTGTTGGGGAGTAAGAGTCAACAGGTAAAAATACTTTCTGTGGGCATGTTCAAAACAGCGATAAGGGACAAGGAAGGTTTTGTTTTTCCCGGCTGTTTTTGCCATGATCTCTACCAAGGTCCTCCTGCAATGGACACTAGGAAAAAAGAATAAAAAGGATTCCTTATCGACAGTGATCAAATAGCCTAGATTTTTTTTTTTTAGCAAAATTCCAAGAAGTGCTGTTAGTCTTTGAAACAAAGGTTACTCATTCAATTGGACCAAAATACAATTTATGTCTGTACTTTGAAAGACTTTCCATATCAATAAATTCACAAATCAGAAAAAGAAATTCATGTTGAACCAGCAACCTCATTTTTTATAAAACTTCATGACCTCAGTATTTTTATTCACCCTTGAGCCTCTCTTTCCCTGCTTTTAAATCTGTGTAACAGCCTGTGGGGTACACTGAGAAAAAGTCAGAGATGCAGACTCAGGTGCAGAGAAGGCCAGCACATTGCCCAAGGTCTGACAGCCAGCCAGTGCCAAGGTTGGGCTTCAGTCCCAAGGCCACTGTCTTCTGATGTGCCTCCCACCACTCTCACCATCCCTTGCCCTGAAACCCGGAGGCCTTCCAGCCCCACTTCCTGTAACACTAGAGTTCTCCGAAAGGCAGGGTCAAAGGGTGCCCTGGGGACACCCTCCCCTCTTCCTCCTACAGTGGCCCTGTACTTTCCGGGAAGCCGGGAGTCTCATTTCCCTTGGATTCCTGTCACCCCTGGCTGCGCAGACCTCTCTGAGGGGTCACGCATGGGCCTGGGGGACAGGACAAGCCCCAGGACGCAAGCGCATTTCCAACAGGCAAGGGGAGACCTGCTGACCGTCCGCCCTCCCACCCTCCACAAATCACCACCGAAGATCAGAGTGACGAGAATTAGCATGCGTAGTAACCCAGTTCTTCCTCACAAGTCTGCACAGTAGGTGGAAGTCCCCCCATTTTACAGTGTTAAAAGACAATCTTTAGATAAATTAAATTTAACAGAGTGTAATTGAGCAAAGAAAGATTCGCCAGTGACGCACACCTCAGAACCAGAAGCAGTTCATAGAGCTTGGCTCAGCAGGGTGGGCAGGCAGCATCCATGGGAGGTACAGAGACCACTGTTGCTGACGGCTCAGCATTGGCCTTATTTGAACATGGCCTGGTGAGTTGCCCACCTGTGATGGACTGAAGCTCGGCTCCTACATACACTCCTGTTAGGCTTTTTTCAGTAAGTTCCTGTACTAAGTTAGGTTGCAGTTCTTTACATAAGGATCCAAGGTATGGAGGCATCCTCAGGCCAAATCCAGTTTAGGTTAGCAACAGATAGGGCAAATGAAAGAAGTGTAAAGTAATTTGCAAGGTCACACAGGAACTGGTAGAGCCAGAACTCACACCCACTTCTTGGATTCCAAGTTTCCTTCCTTTATCTGCAATAATAAAAAGTCCCAGTGCAGACGGCCTGCAGTCTCAAGGTGCTAATTCTCTACACCTGGGTGGTTAGAAGGCGCACAGACTCCAGAGGTAAAGAGTCTGGCTCAGAGATTTGGGGCAGTTGCTCAACCCCTCCATGGCCCAATTCCTTCATTTCTCAAGGGAAGTGGAAACAGCTGCCTGTCAAGGTCATGGTGAGGCTCTGAGATGACAGCCCCGAGGCCCCCATGTGTAGGTGTGGGGTTGTGGTACACCGTGTGAGACACCATTTCCCTCCCATTCTGCCTTTCTTTGGGGATTTTGGGTCTGGTTTAAAGCAGTAGCCAGTGTGAGGGGCAGGAGTGGACACACGCGGGCCCCACCCACCCTTACAGGTTCCTTCTAAGGGGAGCCTTGTCCAGCTCTGATAAGGGACTGATCCCTGGCAGCAAGATCACAGGCAGCAGCCGCTTCTAAAACCAAGAGAAAATGAGGGAGCTAGAGCCACATCCACACGGGACAAAGGGGCTGCAGATGTAGCCAGCTGCCGCTTGGGGCCTAATTATCCGGCAGTCAAAGCCCTGGTGACATCTGAGATCCCTATCAACCCTGAAATACCCTCGGATGCCATCCAAGTTGGAGTTATCTATCCAGGAATCCAAATTAAGCAAGGCACAAGGTGCTATGGTGGCCTCCAGGGGCCATTGCTAGCACCAGCTCGCTAAATCTCTAGCTCTTAAAGAAACTGCAGGTTCAGGCCTGCAGCAGAGAAGCAATATCAAGCAGGAAGGACATAAAAACATAAAACAGGGTCCCAGAATACATCTAATAAAGCTCCTCATTTAACAGGTGAAAAAACTAAGGCCAGGAGAGGGAAGTGCCCACTAAATATCAAACAGCTCCACAGTGGCAGGGCTGGGGCCCAGGTCTTTCCACCAGTCCTCCCCACCCTCCCCACATGCCTCTCACACTGCTCTTGAAACTCATGCTTACAGCCCGCCATGGGCAGAGGTCCTTTCCCACTCTCCAACCCATCCTGGAAGCCACTGCCAGATTTGTGGTCACAAAGACTCACTTTACCTATCATTCTTTGCCCAGCACTTCCAAAAGCTCTTCTGTGGACCGAATGTTTGAGAT
The DNA here is from genome assembly GCF_000001405.40 of Homo sapiens. Lineage (NCBI taxonomy): Eukaryota > Metazoa > Chordata > Mammalia > Primates > Hominidae > Homo > Homo sapiens. Next base: position 61,812,722 of record NC_000015.10, read on the forward strand.
TCATGTGTTGAAGCCCCGATCATCAATGCGATATGCGATGGTATTTGGAGATAGAGCCTTTGGGAAGTAATTAGGTTTAGATGAGGTCATGAGAAAAGAGCCCCCACAATTGAATTGGTGTCTTTATAAGCGGATAAAGAGACCAGTGTGTGCACAAGTGCCCTCTCTCACTCTTGCTTTCTCTGCCATGTGAGGATACACCAAGATAACTATCTGCAAACTAGGAGGAAAGCCCTCACCAAGCACCCGAGCATCTGGCACCCTGATCTCAGACTTGCAGCCTCTGGAACCATGAGAAATAAATGCTTGCTGTTTAAGCCACCAAGTCTATTCGTAATTTGTTATAGCTGCCCCAACTAAGACACAACCCAGTAAAGAACAGAATTGATAGGTGAGCATTTAGAGCTGTCCTTTGGTGAGACATGATCCAGTCTTTCTAGCCTTATTCATCTTTGTATTCATTTACTCATTCAGTCAATAAATATTTATTGGTGTCAGGCACTGAGAATAAACAGTCAACAATAAAACTCCCAGTTTAGTGCAAGAAATAGCTGCAAAAAAGATAATTATAATGTATTGTATTAAGGGCAGAGAAACAGATATTTACAAGGAAATATGGGAACCCAAAGAAGGAATTCAATACAAAGCCAATATGAACAGGGAAGTTACATCTAGAAAAGTCTTCCAGGAAGATGGATGCCTGAATTGAACTTTAAAGTGGACACTGGTCAGTTAACAGGGAAGGAAAGAACACCAGGGGTTCCAGGAGAAGGGACAGCCTGAGCAAGAGAAAGCTATGGAGCCAGAATGTAAAGTCCAGATGGGCAGTTGTCATATCATTTTTTTGCCTCTGTGCTTCTGGTGACTCGGAATCTAAAGAGATATGTTCTTGGCTGGGCGTGATGGCTCATGCCTGTAATCCCAGCACTTTGGGAGGCCGAGGCAGGTGGACCATGAGGTCAGGAGTTCAAGACCAGCCTTGCCAACATGGTGAAACCCTGTCTCTACTAAAAATACAAAAATTATCCAGGTGTGGTGGCGGGCACCTCTAATCCCAACTGCTGGGGAGGGTAAAGCAGGAGAATCACCTGAACCTGGGAGGCAGAGGTTGCAGCAAGCCGAGATCATGCCACTGTACTCCAGCCTAGGTGACAGAGCAAGATTGTTTCAAAAAAAAACATACATATATATATATATATATATATATATATATATATAAACTTAATTAACGGTCACTGGATGGATGGATGGATGATCCATGTGGGGAACTTCGGAAGTCCCATGATGCTGGGACACCAAAGAGTGGGACAGGTGGGTATGACCAGAGACAAAGTGGGGAGAGGGGCGACAGGTCCAGCCATGATGGCTGTGTGTATTTTACAAAAGGGGGAAACTTGACCTTGCAGGTCAAGGATTCTTGAAGTCTGTTGCCTTCCAAGTCCAGTGTACTCTCCCCTGACATTGTAAGGAAACTTTTGTGCATAAATTTAGCTTTCATCATATTCTATAAAGGATTCATGACCCAAACATGGGTAATGAATAATAATTAAGAATAATGAGGATGAGATTTGAAGGTTCTAAGCCAGAGAGGGCCAGTGTATGATTTATTAATGTGGATCCCACTGATGTATGGAGAATAGGGGCCTTGTCTGTCTTCTGCACGGCTGTATCCCTAGCACCCATCGCTAGGCTTGGCATGTGTTGGACATCCAGTAGGGAAAGAATGACAGCTGTGTAGACCCTGAGCTGAGGGGACCAGGCTGGAAGCAAGAAGACTTGGGAGGCTGTTGAACAGAACCTGGACTGGGCAGGGGGTGGGGAGTGGTTGGTTGTTGGTATAGAGTGAAAGTGCATTTCAGAAACATTTCAGAGCTAAAATTAATAAGACTTGGTGAATATGAGAGGTGAGGAAAAACAGATTTCTAGCTTGACTAGCTAGGCGGTAGTGTTATCAATGAAACAGTGGAAACAGGAAGCAGTGCATGTTAGGAATTGCTGGTGAATCGTTCTGTTGGACTATGGGACGACAGAGAGGTTGGTAGGCAGTGGTGGATGGGGCTGAAGCTTGAACACAGGACTTAAGCTGGAGACAGAGATGTGGAATCAGGCATATAACACCGTTGAGACCCAACCAAGGTGGGTCATGAATCTTTTTCAGATGGGAAAGGCTTGGCTGCCTCTTCTTGCTATCTTTCTCCTACTAAATTATACATTGTGTGAAAGCAAGGACTATATAGTTCATGCTTTTTTAAATCCCCCAACCCACCAATAATATCTAGTAAAATTTGCACAGAATATATGAGCTGTCATTCATTCATCCATCCATGCATCCAACCATCCTATATTTATTATCTACTACATGCCAGGCACTGTTCTAGGCATTCTGGATAAATCAGGAAACCAAATAGACACACAGCCCTGCCCTCATGGTACTTAATTCTAGTGGCAACAGATAAACAATAAGCAATAAATATAATAAATATATAAAGAACAAAGTATGAAAGAAGGTGGCAAGTGTTATTAAAACAATAAATAAGCAAAATAGGAGGTGGGGAATGTTAAGGATGGATGCAGTGAGCCTCACTGAGAAGGGAAGATTTGGCAAAAGGCTGATAGGGATGGAGTTTGCTGGTTGGTATCTTGGAGGAAAGTGTTCCAGAGACATGTAGGGTGACCAACTGCCTCTGCTTTCCCAGGACTGAAGGGCTTCCTAGGATGTCAGGCTTCCAGGACCAAAACCCTCCCTAAGAAAGGGAGGCCAGCTAAAGGCCCGTGGCAGGAAAGTGGCTGCTGTGTTCAAGGAACCACAGGAGGCCAGTGTGGCTGGAGGAGCATGGATGATGGGGAGGGGAGGAGGTGACACAGACCACTCCACAGGCCACCAAGTCATCCCACACTCAGCACTTTTTCAGCCACTGCTACGTGACAGATGCACATACCGAGCACAGAGAACGTATAAATTAATGAAACAGAGAACAAGACCGGTTTCGCAGAGGGGAAAAGGACACTATGACTCTCGTGCTAATATGCTCACCTTTCACAGCAACTTCCTGCCACGTCTTCTTTCTTGAGTGGCAGCTGGCAGTGACCGTGTCCCCGACCTGTGGGTTCTGTACCTCAGCAGCTGCCCTGTGAGCAGTCCGTCCTCTCAGCAACCCCTTAGGGAACAAAGTCCTGGTAAGCTGGACCAGCCTGACCCAAAGCCAGGGCAGGACACATCCTGTCACAAACTCATACCCACCACAACCACAAACAACAGACTTTGAAAATGGCTTCTTCCAAGAGGTCCCCAGACACCTGGCAACCCATTAAGATGGTAATGAGGAGGACGTCTCCTGGCATTTTCAAGATTTTAGAAAAGCCCCAGAAATAATACCGGTGGATTATCTCCCATTTTATAAAATATAAAGATGTATATATGGAATAGATTCCTAATTAGTTAATGAAGTTTGCTTCTTTCAGAAACACCCACGGAGCACAGGGCTGGGAAGGGGGAAGATAGCAAGGGGGTCCCTGGTGCCTGCAGATTAGAAATTCTGAGTTAAAACTCCAGCTAAAATGAAAGGGTGTTATCTGAGAAAAACAATCGCATTAGGCTGTCATCATTTATGAACACCTGAGTGTAAATTAGCCAGTGAGATTAGTTGTTCACAAATCAAAGATTTGCGTGGGACCGGGAAGGGGGAAGAGAGGATAAAAGAGGAGATTGGGAAGGACCAAGACAGTCTTAAATAGGGAACTGGATAAAGATAACCTAAGATAAAAATACCATAAAAATAACCATGCAGGCCACAAAGCAGCTTTACATCTCCCACTTCATTTGCCCCTTCACAGCCCAGGACAGTGAGAACTATAATTATCCTCCAAGAGGCAGCATGGCACGGCAGAGCCAGAATGCTGGCTTCAAAGCTCACGCTACGGCTCTACTAGCTGTGTGATTTGGGCAACTTATTCAACCTCTCTGTGTAGATAATTATAGTATCCACCTCATAGGGCTGCTGTGAGAATTAGATGAGTTAATTCATGAGACCCTTAGAACATGCTTGGCACAGGGTAAGCACTCAATACATGTTAGCTGTTATTTTATAACTGAGGCATAATAATGAGGTAAAGAGATTTGGCCAAGGTCACCAGCAACAATACAGCAAAGTCTACACCCGTGCAACTTCAGGTTTCCTGGGAAAAGGAATCATCTGGGAAAGGTAGTTAGGACATGCAGATTCCCAGGCCCCGCCCCAGATATTCTGATTGGGTGGGTCAAGTAGACGGTGCCATAGGAGGGCAAGAATCTGCATTCAGAACAGGCTCTGCCCAGGTGATTCCGATAGAGAGGATCAGCAGGGGACAGCCTGGGGAACCCCAGCTGGGACACAGAGGCTCCTGCTGCCTCACTGGTCTGCCATCCAGGAGACCGCAGGGGCCCCCGAACCTCCTCTTCCCAACTCCTTGACCAATAGCCAGGCCCACTGATGGCTTCGCAGGGCAGCATAGCCCCCTACTCCTGACTTACTATGCATTTTTCTTTCTCTAGTTTCCAAGGTAAAAAGCGAGGCAAACCATTATCAGAGAGACAAAGAGTTCTCTCCAAGACGAAGAGCTTTAAAACCAAGCTGCACTTCAGAGTGGATTTTACCACTGGGTTCCGTAATGGAAATGCTGACATAATCTTAATTATGAGGGAGACTTTCCTTCAGATGGAAATGCGGTGACCTAGAAGGCTCCATTTGCAAGTCCTCCTGACCTGTAAGAGAAGATGCCTGGTGGAATATTTTGGGTAATATATTATGCATCTACTTATCCTATGATCCCCATCTGTGGGCTTAGCAAGGCAGTATTTTGAAGAAAGGGAGAAAAAAATATGAACACCAGGCTTGAGAACACTCGCCTGGATCAGAGACCAGGGTGAGCTTTCTACTCTGCAGTGTTTTGCATTTCATATGAAGCAAAATCTATTTCAGGTGCTGCTGAAAATGCAGGAAAAGTACCAGTGACTAGAGTCCTAGGAATTAAACTGGCCTCAGTTCAGAGACGCAGAGTGGTCTCATACCATCTTTTCTGCATATTCATAATTTGTCAATGTGAAGAGGTCTTTGCTACCAAGAAAAAAAAAAAAGAAAGGAAGGAGGAAAGACAGACAGGAAGAAGAAAACGTTCCTTGGGAACTATCATCTCATACGAATGAGGTGGCTCCCTTCACACCAGCCCCGGGAGGCACACACGTCATCAGCCTCTGTCCTCTAGCATTTGACTTAATGCAATCTCTGCCAGGCATTTCTCGCCAAGATATGAATGGTGTGGACTCTAGGTTGAATATATTACTCAGAAAACAAGGCTGCCTCCCCTGAGAGTGGGGCAGTATTTAGATATTTAGCTCGTGGCTAGGATAAGAGGGCAGGCCCCTAAGCAGGAATAGAAGGCTGCAGTGACTCAATTTCTTAGCAGAGATAAAGGGTAAACCCTTGAGGTGGTGCCCTCCTGTGGAGCTGAGTCACCTGCAGGCTTACATGTGGCTACGATTGGCCATGAGTTTCTATCTACCTTCATCTCATTCATCTACAGCAGTGGTAAATCACCATGATATTTTTTTTTTTTTTTTGAGACGGAGTCTCGCTCTGTCCCCCAGGCTGGAGTGCAGTGGCGCGATCTCAGCTCACTGCAAGCTGCGCCTCCCAGGTTCAAGCCATTCTCCTGCCTCATCCTCCCAAGTAGCTGGGGGTACAGGCACCCACCACCATGCCCGGCTAATTTTTTGTATTTTCGGTAGAGACGGGGTTTCACCGTATTAGCCAGGATGGTCTCGATCTCCTGACCTTGTGATCTGCCTGCCTCGGCCTCCCAAAGTGCTGGGATTACAGGCATGAGCCAGCGCGCCCGGCCACCATGATACTTTTTTAAAGCACACAGTTTCATTTGTTTTGACAAACATATACACCCATGGAGAAACACCCTCATCAGGATACAGAACATTTCCATCCCCACAGAGTGTTCCCTCATGCCCTCTTCCAATCAATCTTCTCCTCCCCAGAGGCAACCATGCTTCTGATATTTTTTACCATAGATAGTTTCACCTATTCTAGAATGGTAATATCAGTGGACTCATATAGCATGGCCTTGTTTGGCCTCTTGCATTAAATGTAGCATTTCTGAGATTCACCATGCTATCGTGTCAGTAATTCACTCCTGCCGTAGACTGAATGTTCATGTCTTCCAACATTCAAATGCTGAAGCCTAATTCCCAATGTGGTGGTATTTGGAGGTGGGGCCTTTGGGAGGTGATTAGGTCATGATGGCAGAGCCCTGAATGAGATTACTGCCCTTATAAGAGAGACCCCAGAGAGGCCCCTCACCCCTTCTACCATGGGATGACACAGTGGGAGAAGTTGCTGTGAACCAGAAAGCAGCCCTCACCAGACACTGAATCTGCTGGTGCCTTGATCTTGGACTCCCAGCCCCCAGAGCTGTGAGAAATAAATTTCTATTGTTTATAAACCACCCTCTATGATTTTTTTTTTTTTTGAAACAGGGTCTCACTCTGTCACCCAGGCTGGAGTGCAATGACACCGTCATGGCTCACTGAAGCCTCGACCTCCCAGGCTCAAGCAATCCTCCTGCCTCAGCCTCCCAAGTAGTTGGTACCACAGGTGCATGCCACCATGCCTGGCTAATTTTTAAATTTTGTGTAGAGATGGGGTCTCACTATGTTGCCCAGGCTAGTCTCAAACTCCTGACCTCAAGTGATCCTCCGCCTCTGCCTCCCAAAGTGCTGAGATTACAGGCATGAGCCACCACACCCAGCATCTGACCACTGTTTAAGTGTTGGCAGCTCACTCGACAGTCCCACTTCTCGCGAAGGCATCTGTGTCCCCGAGCAAGCAAAGCCTTTGGTTTCCCGCAGGCTCTGCTATCTACAGCAGCTCTTCTTCACACCGGCTTTCAGGATCCCGGATTTGTAGGGAGCTCTTGGGTTAACTTCTTGCCCCTTCTCCATCCTTCCTCTCAGCAGTGCCGTGGTTCTCATGGGAAGCAGGAATTTCCCCATCAGCCCTTCCCCATCCCCAAATCATTAATGACCTTGACTGGTGGACGTGTGTGAAGCAGGCAGGAGTTGTAGAGGCACCGAGAGTGAAAGGTTTCCTGAGCTCCGGGGAGAGGGAGCAGGGAGGATGAGGGAGGGCACGCTTTGAGGCCCCCAGAGTCTGTGCTAATTTATCCTTCCTCTCAAATTGCCTCCAAACTTCAGTAATAAGCATGCTCGTAGTTTGCTGATGAAATACATTCTTCCAAAGCAATTTTAAAATAATCGTACTGTATGCTAAACCTTAAAAAAAAAAGAAAAGAAAAAACCCTGCAGCCAAGTCATTCTAGACTGAACGGCAACGACAGAATTTCATAATTAGGAAATGCGGTGTCATTTCTGAACGTTATTACACCTTTGAAAAACAGTATCAAACCGAGGACTGAATATTTGATACCCGATTGATTTCAGATTTCAAGTCAACTGCAGCAAAATAATGAGCTGCCTCTGTCGTGAGCTGCTGAGCTCCCGCACGGAGGGTCTGGGAGGGAAGGCTCAAAGGGGGCACAGAGCCACAGAGCCTAAAGGCCTCTGCAACGAAGCTGTGGGGCTGCTGGGCTGGTGAACAAGCAGGATCCGCAATGTCTTGCATTGATGTTTTTGCCCAAGGGGATGTTTTTGAACCCAGGCTTTATTTTAAGTGCCCTTCAATTTTGCTCAGCGATGCTAATGCTGGGAGTCCGGGGATCAAAGTCCTGGACTAGAATTGGCTGGCAGCCCCTGTCACTTATCCAGGGCTGGCCTCCACTGAGGTTAGATGGGGTACGTGGTATGGTTCGTGGGCTGGGGATGACCAGTGGTGGCCTTCCTCCTCTGGATACTCACCTTCACCACCAAGCTTTCCACTCACTACCTCTATATCCCAGGAGAATTTCATTCATAAAATTGGAGCATCTTGGCCTGGAAAGGGATGGCATGCCATCCTTTTCAACATTTCCCTCGAAGCCAGAATCTCCCCATGGCATATCCGAGATCTGGCCCCTCAGGCTCTGCTGCTAGAATTCACATCACCTTGTGAAGCCATCAATTCATGGAGCCACAAAAGTTAGAAAAGGCTCATTTCTCCTCACCCAAGGTTTACTTCCATATTACAGCTCTTCCAATACCTGGGGACAGGTGCCTGTAGCACATGGATTAGTATCCTATCCATATGATATAGCCTTCCCACTACAGTGTCCTCATCTCTGTGTCTAGGCTCCCTCAGAAGCCTTGGAAAGACCCCTGGGCATAGCCCTTAGTCAATGAGGGTGGGTGTCGACATACAAATGTCCCAGTCCTCATGCCTTGAATGGGATGACTGAGAAGCACGCTCTATACCACCTCCCAGAGTTTCTCTGCAGTGTGAAGCCCCAGTTCATCACAGTGGGAGCTGGCTGGATAACACACCCTTTACTAGCTGCTTCCCTGCCCTGGATCCCTTCCCCACCCTCTTCCCGTGTTCTCTTTACTTCTCAAATAAAGCACGTGGACCCAATCCTTGTCCCAGAGTCTGTTTCTGGAGAGCCCAACCAAGACAATGCCATATTTCAGTTCTCTTCCCCAAGCCCAATATCCCTGATGCCTTCTCCTATTTCTGATGTGATATTCTCAGACTTAGAATTACCCTGGCCAAGCTTCTCCGTAGCCATCTCTCTTTCAAAGTTCTCTCTTAAGATTTGAAGCCTAGGACAAGAGACGGTGCTCCCAGCACATCTATCCAATGCAATGCAAGTCCTGTCATTTCTTTTGATCTCAGCACTATACTGCTCTTCTGTCTTAGGAATGGATTTGATTTTCCATCATCTCACACTCTTGGTTTATAATCTTCTTGTTAATATGAAACTCCCAGGTCTTCTGACTTGAACTGCTAATGCTCCTGGCCTTATTTCACTTTGGAGTAGATAAGCATGCTCTCTGTGCCTTTATACAAACATTCAATGTCAATGTTAGACAGGGCAGGCTCAAAAATATGGCCCTACAGTGTATTACTAGAGACCCAAGGTTGCCAGTAATTCATTAATCAAATCCTATGGGTACAAGTTGATTGGCCCACGACACATACATCTAATTGTTGTCATCAAATCCACATTTTCTCTAGTAGGTCAGGGATATCATGAGAGTCTTTGCAAATGCCCTGCTGAAAGCCAGACCCACCATTTAACAGACTGAATGGAATTAAATGAAATTCCAGGATCTTTCAGCATCCCGCCTTGTCCTGTCTCCCCTTCTTTTCCCATGCTCCATGGAATTACCTAATTCAAGCCATGCCAATATGAAAAATGGTTCTCATACCCTTCATTCCCAGGTTCTGACATGTCCTCATTATCTTTTTCTGGTAGCTGTTAACATAGGAGCCCGAGAAGAACTGGCCAAGGGCTAAAGAGAAGGGGTCAGCCAACTTCTTCTATAAGGGGTAGATAAAATATTTTAGGCTTTGAAAATCAGAGGGTCTCTGTCATGGTGTCTAGTCTACCATTCTAGCAGAAAAGGAGCCACAGACAATATATAAACTAGTGGGTATGGCTGTGTTCCAATAAAACTTTATTGATGGACACTGAAATTTGAATTTTATATCATTTTCACAGGTCACAAAATAGAAATCCCTTTTTGTGTTTTTTTTTCCCCTAACCATTTAAAAATGTAAAAAACCATTCTTAGCTCACAGAACCTACAAAAACAGCTGGTGGGCCAGATTCAGCCTACAGCCATTGTTTGACAACCCCTGCTGTACAGTAAAAGAAAGAGCACGAGATCTGCTAATGACCTGAGTTCTTTTATTTCCAGCTGTGGGATCTTGGGCACGCCCCTTACCCTCTGACTCTGCTCACTTGCAAGTGTGGATGATATGGTGAAGGCAGGCAAGGCTGGGCCCAGGGTTGGGATGAGGCACCCAAGGCACAGGTGCACAGAACATTTTAAATCCTTTACCCCAGGCTGGCTCTCTCACTGCAACCCTTTATTTCTAAATGCTACCACTGGCTTGCAATTTCTTCTAAAAATTGACTAGGGCCTTATATGCAGTATGTTCCTTTTATGAAAAGCCAAATAGCTAGTCTGCAGTGCTCTGACCCCCCTCTGGCTTTCCGTGTTCTAAAATTTCAGACAGGGGTTCAGTGGTCACATCTCCAGGAATTTTCAGTGCCCTGAGCTGAAAGTGGTCTCAGCCCATAGGCTTGTAGATTTAAAGGTGCTTGGGGGCTCTCTTCTTATCTTCAGCTTCACATCTCTTTAATATGCTTATGTTTTACATAGCCCAGGTTAGAGACACATCTCCTTGATCAGTAAAGAGGAAAGACAAGTGATCTGACCCTACTCTACTGAACACCCCATCTGCGACGATCTGAATGTTTGTGTCTCCCCAAAATTCATATGTGAAAACATATTCTCCAACATGATGGTGTTTGGAAGTGGGGCCTTTGGGAAGCAATGAGGTCATGAGGGCTATGCCTTCTTAAGTGGGATTAGTGTCCTGAAGAAAGAGGCTCGAGCAAGCTCCCGGCCTCTTCCACCACGTGAGGACACAGACAGAAGACCGCCATCTATAAACCAGGAAGGGCATCACCAGACACCAAATTTGTCAGTGCCTTGATCTTGGACTTTCCAGCCTCCAGAACTGTGAGAAATAATTTTCTGTTGTTTATAAACCACCAAGTCTATGGTATTTTGTTATAACAGCTCAAACAAACTAAGCCACCATACATCTACTGCACACTAATTTTTCAGCGTCCCCACCACGGTCTTTAGATGACTCTTCAGCCATTTCTCAGCTTTCCCAGCCTTCCTGGGACTCATCTTTCATGATCACCATGTTCTTGTATTTGCCTTTGGCCACATGCTCCTTTTGAGAATTAATTTTGTGTGTCAACTCGGCTAGGCAAGGGTGCGCAATTGCTTGCTCAAACCCTGGTCCAGATGTTGCTGTGAAGGTATTCTTTACATGAGATTAACATTTAAATCAGTAGACTTTGAGTAGAGCAGATGACCCACCACAATGTGAATGGGCCTCGTCCAATCCACTGAAGGCCTTAAGAACAAAAACAAGGTTCTCCGAGGTAAAGGCACTCTCCCCAAGACTGCAACACAGAATCTCTGCCAGAGTTTACAGCCTACTGCCCTGTGGAATCTGAACAGAAGATTGCAACAGCAACTCTTATCTGCATCTCCAACCTGAAGGCCTGTCCCATGGATTTCAGACTTGTCAGCCCCCACAATCATGTGAGCCAACTCCTTAAAATGTGTGTTTATATGTGCATCCTATTGGTGTGTTTCCTTGGAGAACCCTGACTAACCCACTCCTCCTCCCATCTTTTGCAGGGCTATGCTAGTTTTTTAAGAGCCTTCTTTATCTCTTTCTTTTGGGTCATTGATGAAACACAAACAATGGCATTGTAGAGTCTACTGTCCTTGTAACTCATATAAACTTTGAAGACTTTGAAAGGTAAGAATTACTACCCCCTCTCTTGCCTTGTTTCGACTTGCTTTTCCTCCAGTGTAAATAACATGCCTCACTTCATTCTCAGCTTGCTTCCTTCTTAGATTCTAAGATGAAGGCCACTTTCTTCTGGGATCTTTGTCTTTTCCTACCCACACATAAATTCTTTCTGGTCCCAATGACCAGTTTTTCTCTTTGCTTCTTCTCCTCAACTTTTGGACATAAAATTGTCAGCAAGGCCAAACAAGAATTTATGTTTTTAGCAGCCTGAGACTCCAGCTGATGACCAGATGGTTGAAGTCTTCCTTTACTCCTGGATCTTGCCTCATGCCAGTTTTGTATTCTGCCTTTAAAAAGTATTATCCATCCACTCCTAAAATAGCACTGCCACTGCTCTCCCCACACAGTCCTTCTCTTCAGGTTGAGATTTGCATTCCAGTGAAAACTTGATAGACTCCCGTCTCCCTTCTATGATTTCCACTTCTACTGCTGCTGTTAAATGCATTATATGTTCTTCCTTTTGTATTCGTCTGTTCTCACGCTGCTAATAAAGACATACCCAAGACTGGGTGATTTATACAGGAAAGAGGCTTAATTGACTCACAGTTCCACGTGGCTGGGGAGGCCTTGAAATCATGGCAGAAGGTGAGGGAGTTGCAAAGTCATGTCTTATACGGTGGCAGGCAAAAGAGAATGACAGCCAAGCAAAACGGAAACCCCCTTATAAAACCATCAGTTCTTGTGAGACTTATTCACTACCACAAGAACAGTATTGGGGGAACTGCTCCCATGATTCAATTATCTCCCACCGAGTCCCTCCTACAACATGTGGGAATTATGGGAGGTACAATTCAAGATGAGATTTGGGTGGGGACAGAACCAAACCATATCACCTTCCCATTAATATATTCAATTCCTGAGTCCCAGAATCAGAGAATTTCAGGGTTAGCACAGATCATCAGACCCTGGGACCCCATCTTCTCTGAGAAAACTCCATCAGGAGGTTTGAACACCTTCAGCAGCTAGAAACTCATTTTTCCCATGCAAGGTGGCCCCTTCTGTCTCTGAGCACCTCTAGCTCACCTGGATTTGCAGCAGCGGCACTGCTGGGCAGCCTGGAGGGAGGGCAGGAAGCATGCTCACAGCTGGAACAGTCAATACATGTTCTCCAAAATATGTCTTTTCAGGCCTAAAGGTGAATAAAGAAGGTAAGCAAAAGATGGGGGCTTTCTGTGTGTTAACTTCCCCTGTGATAAAATCTGCCCAGGCTACCACTCGGCAACACCTATAGAATACATGTTTCTCCTTTGTTAGATTTTTTTTCACTTTGTTGCTCAATCTCTATTTACTGGTATCTCTAAGGTCCTACAGATTTTCCCTGTCGCCACTAATTTAAAAGTAAAAGGATGGGCAAAGAATTTAACAAGGATGTTGCAATCCTTAATAAAATTTTGCAGGATTGTCAAGAAATTTTTGACCAACAAGACAAGTGATAGTGAAACATTCTTTTAAAAGGCAAATGTAGCCAACAGCTGCACTAATCAAAGCAATAATGACACTGTAATAAACAAAAAGATCAGTGGAAAAGGCAAGAGGGGAGAAAAATATGTGAGTCTATGTGGGAATTTAATAAATGATAAAGGTGGCAGCTTAAGTCTTGGGAAAATGGGATATCCCTCTGAAAGAAAAAAAATGATACCGTCTTGTGATGGATTAAAAAAAACTAAGCATTCCTAAAAAGCATAAAATTTTAGACTGCATTCGAGAACAGTTTTATAACATTATAAGGAAGGTCTTCCTAAGGGAGAAAAAACTGAAATGACTTCACAGATTTTAAAAGATTTTAAAATTAAAACCTTATTTGGAAAAGTAAAAAAGAATAACAGGCTATAAGGTTCAAAGTGTATCTCTTACACAAAAAGAACTCTAATACATTTATAAGAAAACTATTAGTACTTTAGAGGAAAACCAGGCAGAAGATATGAACAGAAGAGGTAATTCAAATGGCCAGTAAATAGATGAAAAGATGCTCAACTTCGTATCAAAAAGATGGTTAGTGAGATGCACAGTGAAACAACAAAATACAACTTTTCATTGAAAGGTCCAGCAAAAAAAAAAAAAAAAATGATAACACCTAGTAATGGCATGAGTGTAGAGAAAAGGAGTTGGAAAAATAAATTGCCACTACCTTTCTGGGTGTCAGTTTTGCAATATTTACAAAGTAAAAATGTGGATGAATTCTGATTCAGACACTTCTAAGGAAATATTCAACAGAACATTTGTACACATGCATAATGATATGTAAAAAAGGTTTAATGAGGTGTTGCAATAACAAAATGAAAATAATAATATCTGAGTAAATTACCAATAAGGGATGGGTAGGAAAAAATATGTTGCAATCATATGGCATGCTACGCAGAAGTTAAAAGAACAAAGAAGATCAGTATCCAATGATCTGGAAGGAAGAATGTTTATACACATTTTTTAAAAAAAAATCCATTACAGACCAAAATGTACAGACTGATTGCATTTGTAAAGACATACCCGTATAGACACAGATCCACCCACTTCAGGTGGGAGAAAGTCAGGAAGGATGCCCCCCAGACTGCTACCCCACCACCCCAGAATAGTGGTGGGACTATGGAACACTTTCAGGTTTTTTGTGGTTTTCTCTATTTTTCAACAAATGTGTTAAAAAAAAAAAAACTTACTACAATACCTGGCACAAAACAAATGATCAAAAGACAGTAGCAATTATCTTGACCATTACGGTGTGCTGTGCCCTGGACAATTCCCCTTGTGTCCCATTCTTGAAGCCAGCTCTTGTTTTCCAAACATTTTTCTCTTCTTAGTTGGAAGCAGAGGTGAATTTCCCACCTTCCCATGAAGACTTTATGACTTAGGACTTCACTCCCCTTCTCCCTCCCCCACCACCCATATGGTACACATCCCTTCAGCTGGTGTTTATTTCCTGTGTATCCAAAGAAATGGAAACAACTAATGGGGTCAATGACTGTGGCAGGGTCCTTATGCCATGCCAGGGATACCCTTTAGGGTGACAGCCGCCCCCAGAAAGGCTATGCCAACACTATCCATGGCAGCTTTGGGGCCCCAGTGAAGCCAACCAACCACCCACCATTTTGGGCTCTTGCTTCTGAGGTTTCCCTGGGCACTAAGGTAACCAACTTGTCCCAGTTTGTCCAAGACATTCCCCCATTTTAGCACTGAAAGTTTTACATCCCAGGAACCTTCTCAGCTTCATGCAAACCCAGACAGCTGGTCACCCTTGTGGGTACCTGCTATGTGTCTGGCTGTTTGCTAAGCAGTGTTTCGGGGGAGAAACGATATGAAGATGAACAAAACACATTCTCAAACCTCAAGGTCTCCTTACGATGCAAATGAGGACACTGGTGAAGAACTAACCTGCCCTGCTGTGATTCGTCTTAGTGGAGATGCCGGCCACATGCTCTGGAAGGGAAACCGCAGAGATGAATTCTGCCTCCAGGGAGCTGGACTTAACGTTCTCCACGCTATGGGCAGAGGCTGTCGCTGGGAGCTCAGTTCCAAGGGCTCCAATTATCTTTCCCTGGTCTCTCCTGTGCCTTGTTCTTGCACCCTCCCCCACTCCCGCCTCCCCAAAACTCCCCTCCTGGCTTGGCTTCCAGGGCCCCTCCCAGGCACCTCAGAGCCCTTCAAAAGCATCTCCTCCAGTCAAGCCAGCCAACACTGGTGGGGAAAAAACGCAAGGGTCACAGTAGTCCCGACTTTCTGGGTCCCTCCTGAAATAGATCCCTCTGAAGGCCACCCTGAGGACGTGGCCTTGGCGATCGGTCCTTGGGCTCCAAAATATCAGCTGGCCCAGCCACATCCGGCCTCCCATTTGGAAGCACATATGCGCCACCTCCCAGGGGTGAAGACCAGCTTTCTTTAGTAAGCACAGTCACAGCTGCCGCCCTGTGCCTCCAGCCCGGGCGGCCATCTTTCCCGGTGAATCCCTCACCTCTTCCCGGTGCTCAGAGTGCACGGGCCCCCTGCTGGTCTTCCTGCTTAGCCGGGGTTCTCAGCCCCAGGTTCCCATTAGAATCACCTGGTAAGTGTTTCAAACATAGCAACGCTGGTTCCCCTCTCCCACCAGACCATTTAAATCCAAATCTCAAGAGAGGAGCTCCAGCATTAGCAGCCTTTAAAAGCCCCCAGGTGATTCAAATGTTTGGCCAGGAATGAACGCAGGGCCTAAAGCTGCAGTGCTTCGCAGGGGCGCCACCAAAGCTCACTAAAGCCTCGACCTCCTGGGCCCATGAAATCCTCCCACTTCAACCTCCCAAGTAGCTGGGAATACACTCAGCTATTTTTTTTTTTTTTAATGTAGAGATGGCGGGGGGTCTCACCATGTTGCCCAGGCTGACCTTGAACTCCTGGGCTCAAGTGATCCTCCAGACTTGGCCTCCCAAAGTGCTGGGATTACAGGGGTGAGCCACTGTGCCTGGCCACGTTCTGCTTTGTTAAAGGGTAAACTAGCCCAGGTGTGGTAAATATAATGCTCTAGGGTGGAGACCAAGCACCTTGGCTCCTGCTATCTATTAAGTAAATTACCTTAAGTAAATGTGGCGAATGACAGCATTTACCATCAAGGGCTGTGGGAGAATTCAGTGAAATAATAGAGGTAAAAACACCTAGCACAATGCATGATGTGTACCGAGAATATCAGAATGTTAGCTATCGGCCAGTTACTCTTTAGTATGAATGAGTAAATGGTGGGTGCCCAGCAAGTGGTCTTGAAAGGGGAGCAAGGATGAGGAGCCTCCTGTCTTAGGGAGGAGCACCCTGACCAGGGGAAAAGGGAGGGAAGGACTGAAGCCCAGCTTTGCTGATGTCATAGATTTGGCCCAAGGATGTAGTTTGCACTGATTGCTTTGTCACCTTTTCAGGTCACCTTCCCTCTCTGGCTGTCTCATTCTTGAAGGCAACAGCATTATTGTCCACTCTTTAACCCAAGGTGGGAGAAGAGATGAGAATCAATGCCTTTTCTAAGGAGAATTATCAGCAGGCCTTTGTTGGTGGGGGCTTCTCATTCCTGGTTTGTGAGGTCATTCTTGTGGACAAACAGAATAAACCAGAATTTGGCCCGCCAGGGACCTCGAGGCACCAGGCCAGTTCTGAGCTCAGTTTAATTTCACCAGCCACAAATCTTTCTCAATGTCATCCAACACATTACAGGCGCTTAATGAATATTAAACAATAACAATAACAAATCATTGTCTTCAACCTGCCGAGCCCCCTCTTAGTACTAATGCCAGAACTTGGTTGGACACTTTTGGGAGAAAATCCTGCCCATCTCCTTGGCATCCCAGCCCTGCACCCAGGGGCAGAGAGCTCACAGGCTACAGTGAGGACAGGTCACCGCCCACAGCAGGGGGGTAGGGCGTAGGGAGGAAGCAGGGAAAAGATACACGGCAATGGCCCCGAGCTGCTGCCAAGCATGACCAGAGCCTCTGTGCCTGCGGTCGGTCCATGAAGCCTGCCACCATCAGCCAGAATGCCTCCTCCTGCCCAGCCACCATTGTGACCCAGCTCCCGCCATCCAGGAGGGCCAGACTCCACCTCACCTGTCAATGCTGAGCTCTTGGTCATGCCACCTGCATCAAGAAAGAGCTGATCAGGAGGAAGCACTCTCCCCTGTGTACCCTTGGACCTGTTCGAGTTCGGGCCATGCACACATATTATCTATCAAAAAAGCTACATTTAAAACACTTTAAAGGGAGGACTGAAAAGCTGCATGTAGGTGAGATAGGTCAGACAACTGTGTTTTCATAGCAAAGCTGGCCACTGTGGAGGGAGGAGAGGTAATGCAAATATTTGTTGAATTTGATTTTCTTCTTCATAGTTAACCTGAAAAAAATCCTGGTGGGGCTACATATGGCAACGTGTGTTTTGTCTTAGGTCCCACCCCTTCTATGTGTGGATTTCCAAGTCAAGCAGAATCTTCACCCATTACCAATGAATGTGCCCCACCCTGGCCTGGACTCCTCTTTCTCCCGCTATGCACAGGAAGGAGGATGGAGGATACAGGAAATCATTCAAGAAGAAAGATTAAAAAATAAAAGGTTCAGAAGAGGCAGGAAGCTAGAGAAACCAATGTGAAGAAGATGGAAAATGGGAGAACGTGTCACAAAGAAACAGCAAAAAGAAGAAACCCAGTGTTAATTAGGCCCCGGGGCCCTCAGTCACCCACGGTAAGTGGTAAATTAACTTCTCTCCGCTGCATCTGGAATGGTCCTAGTTATGACTATGAGAGCATCGAAATAAGTGGACAGGTGCATCCCGCAGATGCAAGTCCAGCCGTCCTGAAGCAGCAGAGCCTCTCACATGCTGCAGGACAGACACAAGGAGCCTCCAGCCCAGCACCCAAAACCCAGGAAGTGCCTGATAAATACTTGTTGATGGGAATGAAGAGCAGCCAGGCATCTGCAGATTTGAGAAATGCCAGGGATGGTTGCTGTCACTCAGCCAAGGGATCCAGAGAACCAATGAGGCCTAGATCTAAAACCCATCTGACTGCCCCAATTAGCCTGGAAGCTCCAGGAAGTCAGCGACCACATCTCAGTCATCACTGCAGCCCTGGCCCCAGCCAGGGCCTGGAACAGGAGGCATCTCCCCGTGTCATCTGACTCTGCAGGGAGGTGGGCACCAGCGCAGGCTGAGGGGACACTGTGGGGAGGGGACGCTGTGAGTGTCCTCACCTGGAGCTCCAATGGAGAACACTGAGAGTGAACCACAGGCAGCCAAGGCCAAGGCAAAGCTTTGAGCAGCACAAGGAAGCAGGAGGAGTCGTGGCCCTCTTGGCCCTGCCATGGGGCACTGCGGGAGTGCACTTCGGTTTGGAGGTGGTGGGGGTAGGGACACCCCTGAGGTATTTCCACCCACATTGCCTATGTTGCCCAACCAGCTAGATGGCCACCTCGCGGAAACTAAGGAAGCTGTGGTTTGTGTGAAGGGAAAGGTGTCAGGAAAGTGTGGCACCCCACAGGGACCCCAGTGTGGGGCAGCCGCTGGGCCCCACCGGGAATAGGAGACTGAGGAAGAAGGCCTGCAAGGTCAGAGCCCACTGATTTCAAAACCCAAGTGGACTTCATTCCTGAAAGGTAACGTCATGGCCCCGTGGTGAGGACGGATAATCTGTCCACACTGCCAGTTGCTCCTCACCTGAGGGGAGAGGCTCGGTGACAGGGGCAGGAAAGGGACGACTTGGGAGCTACTGGACAGAGCTGGCACTGGACTGAGCCCACGGAGCAGGCTGTCTGCACACACTACCAGGTCCCAGACACACCAGCTGCAGCCACTAACACTGGCAGAGCCCAGCAAGGGAGGCAGCAGCAGTGGTTTTCCTCCTTCCGTTACAGATTTCTCAATCAAGGCCCAGAGAGGTAAACTAATCTGCTCAGGGTGGCCTGGCTAACAAAGGAACAGAGAACGGTCTCAGGTTTCTTGCGCTGCTCCTCCTCTTCTCGGCATCACACTGCCTCTCCCAGGGTGGAGGCGTGGGCACTCGCCCTCACTCTCTCCATCTCTCTCCCAGCAGATGCTTACAGGGTGCCCCGTTGTGGAGGGCACAAGCTGGGCACTGCGAACAGAGCGCAGCCCCTGTCTGTGTGACCCACAAGGTCCACTGGCCCTGGGGTGGGGCACGGGGCAGCATCAATCCCTAGTGGTCTTGGCTTTCAGTCTTTCAGAGCCTCCCCTGGGGCACTGCCCCACCTCTGCCGAGAGTCCAGCGTTCACTCATCCTCCCCCAGGGAACTCGAGGCTTGGGGAGCTATTAATAAATACAGTTTCCCCTCCACACACCTTCATCAATCAAGCGGCAAGAACCTGGGGTAAGGCACAGCTCCAGGAAGCCCCAGCTACGATGAGCAGATAGTACCTGGGCAGGCCTCCTTTGCACCCCTAGGCACCAGCATGGACCTGTCTTAATCACCAGGCCCCGAAGAATGACACAGGCCTCCACAGCTCAGGGAGCTCCTACAAATGAGGGCTCAGGTCAGCTCTAAAGACAACTGCCCTATGCCCTAGAATCCTCTTGACAGAGGCACAGTCCTTCTGTGTCTCTGAAGGTCATGCCGTCCTTCAGGTATTGGATTGCAGTTTCTAAAAAGACCTAGGAGCTGTATCTCAGGTGAACAGTGCTCCCAGCCAGGCAGCCCGATCTGAGCCGGAGGCCACAGCCACGTCTCCCTCATCTTCGTAGACCCAGAGCCACAGGTTCACCTCTGAGCTTTGTCACCACCTACCCCTTCCCTGGTGGCCACAGTGACATGTCTCCCAGCTCTTCCCAGCTCCCTGAGCAGAAACAACTGTCCAGCTCATCTTTATTCCCTACAGTAACTGGTCTATGAGCACGTGATAGATATTTGTTAGAAGAGGATTATGGAACGCTTTGGTTGATAAAGAAAGAGGAATAATATATTCCTTGAGCTACATGTTTCTTGATTTCTTTCTGGGTGTACTGTGGAGAGCCCATTATGTTAGTTCATTTAGTTCTGACGACAATGTGTTGATGTGGGTAATACTATTATCCGTATTTTAGGAGGAGGAAGCTGAATAATAGGAAGAGCCTGGGCTGGGTTTCAAACCCAGCCTGCCTATCCTGGAGCCACATTCTCAGCCAAATGTAGAGCCCTGCTTTTCCCTATCAAAAAAGAATGGATTCCCAGGGATCTGTCTTTTTCTAAACATCAGCATGACTCTGTTTCATCTTAATTGCCTGGCACACAGTAGGTGATCTATAAATGTCTAGGAAAGATTAATAAATGAATGTCATCAATGTCGATGAAAAAGCAAATATTGAAGGAAGAAAAAATTTAAAGATGGGCACTCTGTTCTGAAGCATTATCAGCAATTTCATGGTGTGTGTTTTTTGTGTGTGTCTCATACGCAGACACTTGCAGGCACACACATACCACACAAGTCTATGATCTCAAGTTTGAGAAAGTGAATATTAATTACTTCTACAAAAAATATTACAGGCTTTTCTATCCCCCAAGATGTGCTTCAAAACTGTACCCATGTTGCAATTCAACCTTCCTTCTGCTAATCTCACTATGCCATTTAAACTTCTACTGTCTTTATACGGCGGCGCCAAGGGTTTAGGCAGAAGTGTAAGAGATGAGAGCCCAGAGCTTCTACATGGGCAACAGTGGGATCTATCCTGGATCCTACCCTTTCTACCTAACCCGGGAACTTGGTAAGGTCCTCAGTGTCTCTAACCATGGCTCACACACTCCTTCAGGTCTAGCTGTGTTGTCTTTGTGCGTGTGTGTGTGTGTGCCCGTGCAGCGCATGCACACCCAAGAAGGTCCAAACTATTCCCAAATTTAAATCTTTTCTCTCACCATAACCCTAAATACAGCATGCACATTAGAAACATATATCCAAATATGGGGTTCAATAATGAACCATTGCCTCATCAGACATTATTTCCTCCAAAATGTATACAAACACTTAAACCACTCCTTTTATTAAAAAAAAAAAAGAGCAAAAAAATGAGGACCAACAATCTATAAAAGGAAATTCAGATAGAGATGGGGGAAGTGGCAGTGGTTTTGCAGTTTCCAAAGGTGAGCCTCCAAGGGACAGAGCTCACTCAGCATCTGCCAGCTAATGAGGTCATCGTGATCATTTCTTTGCTTTAAGAGACAGGGTCTTGCGCTGTCACCCAGGCTGGAGTGCAGTGGCGCGAACTCGGCTCACTGCAGCCTCAGCCTCCTGTCCTTAAGTGATCCTCCTGCCTCAGCCTCCCAGAGTGCTAGTACTACAGGCGCATGCCACCATGCCTGGCCCTATGGGTGGATTTGACTTTGGCCACTCAATGCTCCTTGGAAAAGCCCCCTCTACTTCAGAATCCAGTATCCCCTTTCCTCACCACCTCCCAGCACTGACATTTAGAGTTTTCACAAACATGAAGTCCACACCACTCTAAACAAACTCTTGGATGCTCCATTTTGCTCACTTTGGCAGAAGCTGAGCTTTCTGTCCCGAGATTGAAAGAGGCACGAAGCTTAAGTCACTCCGCCACCCTGTGGCCAGCGAGAGAACTGCACGCTTCCCGCGGGACAGAGGCCGGGCTCTGGAACAATGAGCTCACAAGCCGCACACAATTTTTAAATCCATCATAGCACCTTTTAGGAGCACCTCTTCAAAGGCCCTACAGTAGTTCTTAACTGAACTGGAAATTGCCTGCTTTCCATACAATTGTACACAAGTGTTCTTCTGTTTAAAGGGACCGATTCATCTATTTCTGGGTGCTTTGTTCTCCAAAACAGTGTGGTTAGAAATCACCCCCAGGTTTATCCAGTTCATCCTCCTGCCTCAAGGAAGGACGCCCTTCAACCCATTCAGGGAACACACGTCGCTGCCGTTTTATGAAGAGTATCTGAAGGCAGCGTCACAATCTCCTAAAACGCACCCATGTGTTTGAAGGTCAGGGGCTCAGAAGGTTTTCTCTAAAGTCAAACCCAAATTCCTGCTGCTGCAAAGACCTGAGGAAGTACGAGCAACCCCTGCTGAATCTGATGTGAGTTCGAGTCCTAATTGCAGGACTTACTTGCTCTGAGCCTTTCTGTTCTGATCTGTGACGTGAGGGGCGAGGGTCATTCTTCCTGCCCCTGCCTTACGGTTGTAGGGGCATCCCGTGTGCAAAAGCACCCTGTAAGGCTTTTAAAGTGCGGTGGGAATGTGGCTCCGGGTTATTCTCATCGAATGTTCCACGGTGTCAGAAGACATTCACAGAGGGGCAGGTTGCACAAAACGAGGTCCTTAAACACAGAGCTAGGAGGAAACAGAATGGGGTAGGTGCCGGTTAGGTGGACCAGACATATCACACCCCCCTGCTCAACTTGGGGGTTACAGTGCACGCTGAGAGCGGGCCACCGACAAACCATGAACCAGTGACCTGCTCACTGGCATTTTGAGCCGACAGTAACCCCCCTCAGCCACAGAGTGCCAGTGCAGGAGTTACTCTGGCCAGGGCAGGGAGGCCCGGGGGCTCTGTGACACAGAGCTTGCCCCGATCACGGAAGCCATCTGTCCTGGATTTTCTGGAGTTCTGGTTTCAAATATTCCAGTCTATTGTTCCAGCAAAGACACAGGGCTTTGCAGGGTCTGACAGCTGGGGTTCAGGAAATATAGCCCCAGAACCCCATCCTCGCAGCACCCTTTTGAATGGAAGAGACATAAACGATCATAAATGAAAAACCCTCACTGCGGTCTCTGAAATCCCACTCCTGAAGTGAAGGGCTCTCACTGTGGCCACCCTGTCCAGGAAGTCGGGGGGTAGCCTGTTTCGGGGTTGGAGCTGGAATCCTCCCGAGTCTGTGATTGGCCAGGACTCTCTCCTGGGACCCCACACCGGAGCCCAAAGGGCAGGATCAGAAGGGAGAGGCTTCCTTGGAGCACGGGCACAGCTGGTGGCTGGGCGCCCTCTAGTGGAAGATCAGAAAAAGACAGCCTGGAGGGATGCAAAATGAAACTCACCAAGCAAGCCAAGTGAATTTTTCTCCTGAATTTTCTTTCCCCTGCTTCAGGATTGCCAGCAGACATCTGCTTCCACGTTGACTGGTAGGCAGGCTTCAGTGCCTCCTATGATCCAGTCTAGGGAACGACCTTCAGTTCATAACAAATCACAGAAACCTTGGAAATTTTTCTGAACAGCAGCTCTCTCCACCTCCAAGAAAAATAATGAAGTTTGGTGTTTGGGCCGCCTGCCTCCTTGATGTGTTTCACACATGATTCTCCTGGTTTAGGGAACTTTCAAGTTTGGGCATCAAATACATGCACAGCCCTTTCAAGTAGGAGGTCTGAAAACCAAGACAAATAGTGGCTGTTCTTTTTCAAAATGCCTCACTTCATTTCCAAAGCATTTGGTCTTTTTATTAGTCTCTTTAAAATATCAAATCCATCCTGCAGCACACATCCATTTGAACGAACTAGACTCCAAGAATGCTTCGAGCGGATGCACACAGTCTTATTTTGTGGGCATGCACGGAGATGGGCCTACACTTAAAAATGGTGAACATTGTAAATTAAAAAATTGATATTTAGCCAGGCGCAGTGGCTTATGCCTGTAATCCCAGCACTTTGGGAGGCCAAGGCCAGCGGATTACTTGAGGTCAAGAGTTCGAGACAGCCTGGACAACATGGTGAAACCCCGTCTCTACTAAAAATACAAAAATTAGCCGGGCGTGGTGGCGCATGAATCCCAGCTCTACTCGGGAGGCTGAGGCACGAGAATCGCTTGAACCCGCGAGGCAGAGGTTGCTGCGAGGCAGGATCGCGCCACTGCACTACAGCCTGGGCAGCAGAGAGAGATTCTGACTAAAAAAAAAAAAAAAGACATGTAAATGGAGTTACATTTACATGTCACCACACAAGGGTTATTATTATGTTTATGATATACTTTTTGCAATTAATTTTTCTGTGGCTTTAGATACTGATAAAACCTATTAAACATCATAACAGTATTTGAATGTGGATATTTAACAGGAACGTTGGATCAAATTTTATAAAATCAAAGAACATTAGGATGTAGTATCTCTTACTTGGTTCCTCTGAGCACTGAGCGCCATGCCAGACACTTTACACACATGATCTCATTTAATTTTCCTAACACCTCCATGAAGTGGGTAGTATTATTTCCATTATATTGTTAAGAAAACTAAACAGAGACGCAGAATGACTGAACAGGATTCCCCTCTGTTTGATTGAAAAGTCTATGGTCTAACTGGTCCACTTTACTGCCGCCTGTGTAAGTGCCGTAAGTACAAGCAAGAATAACCCACTTCTAAACTACTTAAACCAGAGGATGCTGATCAAATGAAAAACATTTAAGACAAAAAGAATTTCAAAACAGAAAGGTTAAATTAAGTAAACGCTAGAGAGGAAAACAATGTAGTATAAGTATTCAGCAAAAGGCTTTTATACAAAGATGTTTTTAGAAAAGAAATGTGATTCTAAACAGTGTCTCCAATCTAAATTACATGAAAACATTTGAAGACTTGAAGACCAAAATCAAACTGTGCACAAAACAGTGGTACGTAATCCCAGAAAGATTTAAAACACAAATTTACCAAAATCACAGCTTCTGAATAACAGATTTGAAAACATAAAATAGATACTCACTGCACAAAGACAACTTTGGTTCTTCTTTGGTAAGACTTTGGCACTTACCAAAACATTATAAATAATGTTAAAAAAAAAAAAAAAAGAACTTCAAATGATTAATCTTAAACTTCACCTTTTCTAAAATTAAATGCCTCCAGTCTAAGGACCTGGCTGCTTGGTCTGTAAAGAATTTAATTAGCATTTATAAACTGTCAGTGTAAATATCTTTTCAAGAGACATATATGATGATTTTAATTCAAGAAGCCAATTCAGCATTTATAAAAGGTAACTAAATCCGTCAGTATGCCTGTCCATTTTTCCTTTTGCATTAACGAGACTGAGTTTCATAATTTAATTCTGAAGCATACAATTCAAGTATGTTCAGATTAATAACAATGTATATATTAATATATTACATATATATTAATATGTTTATCGCAAGATAATTAAAGTAAGAAAACTGTATCTTCCAGGTTTCAAGAGCAATGAAATTATCAAGTTCATTTAGACCTGATTGTGATTATTTCTCTCTCACCTTGGAATTCTCTAGGCCCAAAGGGTCCAGAGAAGCAGAGACTGTTGCTTCTGTGTCCCCAGCCTAGTGCAGTGTTTAGCTCATGGTGGGTACACAGTAAATGCTTCTTTAACGGATCTGTGCTAGCAAATTCTAGGGTACAAGTTGGATCCCTAGAAAGGTTTCTGCATTTCACCAAGGACAAACATACCTGTATCCTTTAAAAAAAAAAAAAAAACTCTAAGCTTATTGCAACTTGGGCTTTTTACTCATAGTTCAAACTACTCAACCTACTAAAGGACTGGAAGTGCTTTCAGAATCAACCTACTCAGTTCGCATCAAGGAGACAGACTGAGAGAGGTGAGGGCATCCCTGAGACCCTTGCCCAGACCTTCTCACTACAAAATTGCTATTCCTCTCTTATGTCTGTGGAGCTGAGGCCTCACAGGGTGCTCACATGGCAGAAAAAAACAGCTACCTCAAGATAAACAAAAATATCTCTTCTCTGTCCACAATGACCAGCCACCTGTCACATTCTCAGAGTGGGGTGACCCAGGCAAACATTGCAGCAATGCTGTGGGCCTCGCTTGATGCCATTGGAGGTGAGCTCGGAGTCCCTCCTCCTTGGCAGCTGGGAACAAGGAAAGGGGGCAGGTTAAGAAAGGGAACTTGGAGGAACAGAAGGGAAAATCAAAAGGCGGAATCAAATGCAAGAGGCAAGAGATATGTCTGTGCAGGTCATTAATCAAGCCCTCCAACATGGCCTTGTTGTGTTGTGCTGGGTCTCCCACGGGGATTCCCAGCCCCACGAAGACAAGAGCTATTCTGGAGGAAGCCATGAGGAACTTCTTTATGCAAAAGCACTCCCTAAATTCCTCACCAGAAGGACGAAAGACATGGTGCGCGTTCTCGAAGAACAGATTGGTGGGAGCTTACGTTTCCCTAGGAGGTCACTTTATCGCTGTTTATCTTTGTTTTGACAGAGATGTTGCATCAAAAGCAAAGGTTTCTAGAAGCAACAAGGTAACTGTCCAAAGCCCTGGTTAGTTAATCAGATCAGCCCCCAGACATGGGTGTTTCAGACAAGTGGGTTCTGCCTTAGAAGAGGGAGATTTCCAATCAAAATGCGTAATTAGTGGCTAAACAAGAGATGCGTAGGGCCAGCCAGCTGTAAATGCTAAATGAATGTCCATAGAAGGTCAGAAGTTTACTGAATCTGAACCAGATTCCTGTCAGGCCACACTATGTCCAGAAACATTTTCTTACCCAGAAAACCTTAGTAGCTTGGATTGCCAAAGTAATTCAAGTGAGGCCTCTGCTCTATCAATGAAATATAAAAGTTAGATAGAGCTAATTAATAGTATAAAGCATCACTTAAATTACCTTTCAAGCATTCTCAATTACCTTAGAAGAAGCAATTGACAATCATTTGGTATATGAGATATGAATCAACTTTCTCTAATTCATTAAAGCAGGTCCCCCAGAGCCCTGGCCAGACCGTACTTTGATAACCTAGTTTAAGTTATGGAAACAATTTGTACCTGAAAGTAATAGAATGGAATTGCCTTAGAAATCCCCTTCCACATAGTCTGCCATTGTACTTTTTTTTTAAACTATACTTTATAGCATTTCTATCTTAGAGGAAAAGATACCTGCATTGTACGCAGCTGTCTCAAGCCTGACTTCTTTCCAGTGTTCTCCTGGGCAGACCCCTTTCTTCCCTGGGACTCAGTTGGCCTCTCTGTAACACGAGGGGCCTCGTCTCTGAAGTTCATTATCACTCTGAGGGTGCTTGGTTCCCCATTGCTCCGGCGGCCATCAGACACCTGAATCTAACCAGCCGCTGCATTGGGGCAAAAATGTTGACTCAAATGTCCACAATCTCTAATGTCAAAACCTCAAAACCTCAAAAATGTCTTAGGCGAATCAGTTTCTCCAAAGAAAACAAATCTATATTTTTGTCTTGTTTTCTTGGCCTGACTGCCAGGCTGAGCGGAGAGTGTGAGGAAAAAGGCGACTGGGTCCTCCTTCATCAGAATACTCATTTCTCCTGGGCTTCTCCCCATGCTCAGTGCAGCTCCTCAAACAGCTCCTCAAACTGCAGCTCCTCAAACTCCTCAAACTGTCCCTCTGGGACAGGGCCTGTGTCCCAGAGCTCAGAAACTCTCTGGGTCAATTTCTCCAGGGTCAATTGCCGTCCCAGGTCCCCCACCGCCACCATCCCACACTTAGCCCTTTCCCCCACCATCTCCTGCCAATTCAGGAGAAGGGATATTAGCAGGCTGCGGAAGGCTGGGGATGTCTTAAATTTGCTCATTTTAAGACTTCGAGTTAATCCCCTTGTTTTCAGTTTCATGCAACACTCGGGATTCTCTTTATGAGTGTGCAGCATTCAGATGCTTACTATTGTCGACAGCGTCCCCCATCAAAGCCTCTGGGTTCCAGCTTTATCCGGTTTGCTAAGTCAATTGCAGTCGTTCCTCCCCTCAGTGTTGTTGACATCTCATCCACCGCGCTTACCTTTGCCGTTCCTCCACTGGCATTGGGGCGGGGGACGGGAAGAGTGCAGACACATATGGGGTGGAATCTTGCTTCCTTTAACCTGATGCCTCCAGGGTGGAATTCCTTAGGTCGTTTGACCCTCGCCTCTCTTCCCATTTTTCCCTCCTTGCCTTTTGCCAAGACCCAGAGTCACTCCAGGACCTGCTCTCTTCCTCTCACAGCCTCCTCCCTCACTGAGAGGCCTCCCTTAAGATCAGTCCCTCAGAGATCTCTGGGGCTCTGGCCTGTGAGAGAAGCCCTCTCTGCATTTTGGGATTGGCACAGCTGTGGAAGAGAAGAAACGTTCCAACAACCCGGCTGTGCTGACAAAGCTCTTCAAACACTGTCCTGACCATGAATGAGGCCTCTCTGTCTCCCTCCCTCCCTCCCTCCCTGTTCCCTTCCTCCCTTCCTCCCATCCTCCCTCCCTTTCCTTCCTTTGTTTTAAATATAAAAAGTTTCATGTACAGAAAGTGTACAAAATCTTTTTTTTTTTTTTTTTTTTTTGAGCCAGGGTGTCGCTATGTCATCCAGGCTGCAGGCTGGAACTCCTAGGTTCAAGCAATCTTCCTGCCTCAGCCTGCTGAGTAGCTACGACTACAGGCATGTGCTACCATGCCCGGCCGATTTTTGTGTTTTTCATAGAGATGGATTCTCCCGTGTTGCCCAGGCTGGTCTCCATCTCCTGGCCTCGAGTAGTCCTCCCATCTCAGCCTCCCAAAGTGCTGGGATTATAGGCATGAGCCACCCCTCCTGGCCTCCAAATTTATAACTAAAGCCCATCCTTCTCCTACCCCTTTCCTTCTCTCACCCTCTCATCCCAGAAATAATCATTTTTCTAGAGTGGGCATGTATAATTTTCATGTATGCCTCATGTATTATGTGCTCACATTTACATGATCTATATCCTTTGGCAACTTGTTCTTTTCACTCAAAATTTGCGACTTCATTTCTTACAGCTGCTATTTTCATATTCTTTTGCATGTTTTAAAATCTGCTGCTGATGGACCATTTCCACATTTTTTTATTTTATTTAAAGTGTTGCGGTGAACATCCTCGTACGCTTATTTCTCTTTTGGCTTAGACTGCATGAGAGTTCCCTAGGTTGGGTGTCAACAGTGGAACTGCTGTGTTTGGATGCATGTGTTCAGCTGGGGTAGGGCTTGCCAACTTTGTTTCCGAAGTGATTCTCCTTCCCATCAGCAGGGTTTTACCGTGTGCGTGTCACCGCATCCTGTGAAACATCAGCTGTTCTCAAACTTCCCTTTGTGTGCCAATCTGACAGATGCAACAGGGCAGCTCACTGTTTCACTTTGCGTGGCAATCAGTCATTTCCAGTTTTCCTGTTCTGTGAATTGTCTGTTCATAGCATTTGCCCATTTTTCTATTGAGTTGTTTTTTCATATTGAGTTGAAGGACGTCTTCGTATATTCCAAATAATAACCATTTGGCTGTCGTATTGGTTGCAAATATTCCCTCCAACTTTTTGGCTTGTCATTTAACTTTTTAATGGTCTTTTCTCTCGTAGAAAGTTCTAGCTTCTCAAGAGCATAAGAATATTCTCTTATATTCTTTTCTGTAAATTTTAAAGAATTGCTTTGCATGTAGGTCTTTAATATACCTGGTATTTATTTTAGTGTGTAGTATGAGGCAGAAATCCAATTGTTTCTCATATGAATAAATTAATTTCCTGAGCAATATTTGTCTATCCTTGCTGACTGCAAATTTTTTCATTGAGGTATAAAATTCACATTAACAAGTAACTATTTAAAAATGTACAATTCAGCAGTATTTAGTGCATTCATATGCTGTGCAACCACTACCTCTCTCTAGTTCCACAACTTTTTCATCCTAAAAGAACACCCCATAACTTTTTTTTTATGGTAATCATTGCCTTGATTTTCTTTCTTTTTTTTTTTTTTTTTTTTAAGTTCCGGTATTAAGTCCAACACACATTAGCTCTTTTCCCTAATGTTCTCCCCACTCCTACCCTCCCCAAACAGGCCCCAGTGTGTGTTGTTCCCCTCCGTGTCCATGTATTCTTATTGTTCAGCTCCCACTTATAAGTGAGAACATGCAAACACCCCGTATCTTTTAAGGAATCGCTCCCTCTCTCCCAGTCCCTAGCAACCACTAATCTGCTCTTTGTCTCTATAGTTTGCCTATTTTGGATGTTTCATATAAAAGGAATCATATAAGATGTGAACTTTTGATTATGGCTTCTTCCACTTAGCATAATGTCCTGGAGGTTCATCTATCTTATAGCATATAGTACTTTGTTGCTTTTCATAGCTGAATAATACCCAATTGTATGTATATACCACAATTTGTTTATTCCCTTATATCTTAATATACATATGTGTTGTTTCTTCCTTTTGCCTATTATGAATAATACTGCTATACTTAACTGAAATTTAATGTCACCTTTAAGGATAAATGAATTAGAATATGTAAAGTGCTTAGAACAATGCCTAAAACTTACATAGCAGAAACCATGTAAGCCATAGTTACTATTCTTATTATGCGTTTCCATATATTCATGGGTCTGTCATTACTGTCTTTTGTTCCATTTATCTTCTAATCTATTTCTCTGAAAATATCACGTTGTTTCACTTATGACAGTTTTTTAGTAAATTCTAAAATCTGGGAGGGCAAAATATATCCTACACTTGATCTTATTCCTTAAAGTTATTTGATAATCCTTGGCCTTTTCGTCTTCCACATGAATTTTTGAAATAGCCTGTCAAGGTCCATGAAAAATATTAATAGGATGTTGATTAAAATTGCATTGAATTTATAGATAAATTTGAATATGATTGCTTTTTAATGAGTCTTGCCATTCATGAACATTATATAACTTGCTGTATATTTAAGAAAATTTAAACTTTATTTCAATATAATTTTATAATTTCCTTTAAAAATGTCTTGCAAAGTTTTGATAAACTTCTTCGTGTGCAATTGTTAAATTATATTTTAACTCTACGGTTTACCAATTTCTTTGTTGCCATTCATTTCTATATTTAATTCCTTCTTTCTGAGTTCTATTTCCTGAAGGACTTCCCTCAGTAGTTTTTAAAGAAAGAATTTGAGAGTGGAAAAGTTTCTCTTTTTTTTATGAAAATAGGATTATTTAACCCTCATTCTTGAATGATAATTTAGCTGATTAAAGACAACTATATAGACAGCTTGTTTTCTCTCAATAATTTGTAAATATCCTGTTGTTCCCTGGATGCTATTGTTACGAACTCTTCTCTCAGTCTAATTGTTGATCTTTGTCAGTAATCTCTCTGTTCTTTTTAGTTGTTTTTCAGTTTTTCTCTTGGTGATTGCTATGCGATAGTTTCAATCCAGTGTCTCTTAGGTTTAAATTTGTTTTGTATTTATTCTGTTCTGGGTTCATTTTGTTTCTTGCATCTATCAAATCATATCGTTCTGAATCATGTCAGCCATTTTCTCTATTCTTATAGGACTTGAATTAGAGTACGTTCGATACACTCATCTATCCTTCATGTCACTTAACTTCTCTCTCATATTTCCATCTCTGTCTGTGCTGCGTTCCAGGAAATGTATTGATCAGTTCTATTGTTCTAGTCCATTAATCCTTTCTTCAGCTATGTCTAATGTACTTTGTGGCTGTCCACTGGCTTTTTTTTTTTTTTTTTTTTTTTTTTTGAGATGGAGTCTCACTCTGTCTCCCAGGCTGGAGTGCAGTGGCACGATCTCGGCTCACTGCAGCCTCCACCTCCCAGGTTCAAGCAATTCTCCTGCCTCAGCCTCCAGAGTAGCTGGGACTACAGGTGCACACCACCACACCTGGCTAATTTTTGTATTTTTAGTAGAGATGGGGTTTCACCATGTCGGCCAGGATGGTCTCCATCTCTTGACCTCATGATCCACCCACCTCAGCCTCCCAAAGTGCTGGGATTACAGGTGTGAGCCACCGTGCCCGGCCTTCACTTTTTATTTTAATGATTATTGAATTTCTAAAAAATCTACTTAGTTCTTATCAAAATCTGCCTCTTCTTTTTTATATAGTGTCTTGTCTTTAATTCTTCTTTTTAATCATACATATTTAATATTTTTATTGGGTAGTTCTTATCTGAATTTCTTGGCAATGTAATTCTAACAGTTTTAAATCGTCTGACTGTTGCTCAAGATGATTTGTTTCCTCATCTTCCATGTGGGTAAACAGTGGGAGGCATGTATAACCTGGGTTGAGGGTTTATCCTTCATAAGATGTTTGATTTTGCTTTTATCAGATTCCCAGGCATATCACTGTCTCCAGATTCTTTTAATGTTAATTCATTTGCTTGGATGCTCCAGGACCACATAGGAATGGATTCAATTTGCAAACCCATGTGTTAGAGGCAGTGATTACACATTCTCAGGGGAGAACTTTATTTTCATTCAGAACCCAGGCCAAAACAACTTTCTTTGTAATTTCCCTATGCCAATGGGAATATTTTTTTCTTGCCTATCATTTTATCTTAAAGGAGGGTATAGATTTTATGTGGGTCTCTAAGTTCCTACTTTTCAACTTACAAGGGTCCAAGACCTAATCTCCTGGATATTAAATCCCAAGCCTTGAGATTATTAAAATTGTTTAATAAAATTGGCAAACCTTCATCATTCTGGGCTGCAGTAATATCCCCTCATATGTTTATTGATCTAGTTTTAACTTCCCTTTGCACTTTGCCCTAGAGGGAATTTTCTCATATTCTTTGAGCTCAGCTATTTATTTCAGAGAATGTTATGTTTTATCTAGTATTTCTAGGTGCTTTGTAGGAGGAGTGCTTTTAGATATTTAGTCTTCCATACTGTCATTAATCGTTTTTCTCCTTATTTCTGTTCCATACAAATGGTTTTCCTGTTTGGGGGCACTAATGAGTCTTTTTTATTTTTATACTTTATGTTCATCTACTATTACTTTAAGTTTGAACTACAGTGAAGAATCCAAAGGATAATGTCATCTTGACTACAAATCCCAGATCTCTATTACTGATTATGACCAAGCTGATAGTAAATCGGAGGAAACAGTCCAATGTTCCCTAGTATATGTGAGTACATGAATGTGAATTTCTGAAAATTGTTGAAGCTAATTGTGGCAGGCCGTGTTTGTTGTTCACCTAGTAGCTATTCTGCCTAATTTTATTACTGGAAGATACCTGATTTTTGTTTGGATTTCCACTCCTGTCTCATGTGATTCAGGGGTAAATCTTAATTTCTCTGTCATTCCTAGCAATACCATTTGCCTTACTAGTGAGAGATTTAGAAGATGTGTTTCCAATTCTGAACAATGAAATTTGAAGGGAGGTCCACTGGAGACTTCTGGGAAATGTTTCCTTGCTCTTCAAGGGAAAAAAAAGTGGCAGAGTTAAGCTTTTCTTCTGCAAGTTCATTGTTTTCAAAATGTGTTGTCTGAAACTGTCATGACCATTCAGAGACCATGAAGTAGGCACCAAGCCGAGGATGGCAAAACCAGAAAGATGGAAAGATGCTGCCTTCTTGGATAGTAGTGTTGTGCTGATGAATTAATAAAACAGGAAGCCATCTATGTCTTGTTATGTCACTTTTCAATATGTTAGATAATAAATCCCTTTATTTGTTAAGCTAATTAAATGAAAGTTTTCGGTTACCTGCATCTGAAATATGCTAATGGATGTACCATGGTGTAAACCTACCTTTGATTGGTAACAGTCTAAAAGACAAAGGTGAGCATAAGTTCATCCCAACTGGGATTCAATGCTTTAGCCAGATCACTGGTTTAGTGGTACATGAGGAACCTGCATTTACTCTGTGAAAATATATGTCCTAGCCTTAATACGAGAAAAGACCAGGTGATATAAAAGCCCAGGGAATATGAAACATTC
Organism: Homo sapiens; assembly: GCF_000001405.40. Taxonomy (NCBI): domain Eukaryota; kingdom Metazoa; phylum Chordata; class Mammalia; order Primates; family Hominidae; genus Homo; species Homo sapiens. The sequence continues at coordinate 61,846,288 of NC_000015.10, forward strand.
CTATGAAAGAAGGATGATAACTCTGAGAAGTCCAAGCCAAAAGGAACTACAGAATGTCTTCTCATTTCCTCACACAAGAAGGGGTTCAAAAGAATAAAGAATGCATCTGCATGCATGCATAACTAGAATCAAAATCATTTAGAGCTGCATCCATATGAGTTATAATTTTATCTATCTTGCTCCCTTGAGCTTGAAAGTGGTCCATTTCTGCAGGTTGGTGTGCTTACAAAGTGGTGGCATAGTGCGATAGAAAAGGAACGTGATTTCAACCAGTTCCTGAGACTGCACTTCCTACCTATATGAACTTGGGTAAATCACTTCTACAAACATGTTTCTTCATCTACAAAATGGAAAATCACTACCTGCCATATAGGGCTGCTATTAAGACTTAAAAAGATTAAGTATGGATTTATAAACTGTAAAGCTCTTTAGTATGTTAGTTAAAATGACCTTTCTCTGATTTTGTAATTTACTCCATGCAAATTAATCTGAAGAGTTAACATTTGCATTCCATTATCCAAAGCAATGATTCCAACACATTTCAGATGACAGGGCTGACCAGCAGAGAAGTCTTCTGAGTGGGTGATGGCTTATGGAGAGCCCAGGTTGCGCATGGTGTGATCCATGACCACCTCACACAGCACTGGTCCTTAGACAACTAAAAGGTGCTGCTGAGGGTGTGCATCTGAGAAGGAAGAGCAGGATCCCATTTTCACAGCAATGACCTAGCTCCCGACTCAGCCATTCCTGCCCACAGTTCTTTCAGGGGCTCTCTTTTGGGACTCAGTTACCTACAGTCTCCACATCTAGACTTTTCTCCATGCAAGGACTAGTAACAATCTCCCACACTTTCTCTTTTGATTTTGTTGGTGGTGGTGCTGTTAAATGTTCTGTGGTTTTAAAAAAGAAACTCACTAATGATTAAGAATACACATTTAACATCTTTAGGAATATTATGAGAAAGAGGAAAAAACTTCTGCAAGCAATACATCTCACCTTTTCAAAATAACAATTCTACATCTGGTCATTTTATCAATATTTGTAAAATCTAAAGGGATCCTTAGGACATGAGGCCAGTCTTCAACTCCTTTTGTGAAAAAGGCAGATCTGGTCCAAAGGTCTTACTTTCAAATGAAGAAACTGAGGCCAAGAGAAGTAAAGGGATTTTTAAATCTACAGTACCATACAAATTTACCCTTACTGTTAGCAAAAGTGGTGAAAAGAATAACTCAACCATATTCTTAAATAAGTAAAAGTTACAAGATTAATAAATTACAATAATGGGGAAATGTTACTTTACATAAGTAATTGCTTTAATAGGTTGGGACACTTACTACTGTTAGAAAAGCAGTAGAAAATATGGAATTGTCAAAGCATTAATCTGCCTTAGTTGATTCCTGGAACATTCCTGCAGATCAGTGCACCATATCCTAAAAGGAACATGGATGAACTTGTTTGTTTAAGGAGTGCCACCAGGATTATGGGATGACTTGAAGTTTTGTCTCATTAGGGATGGTTTAGGTAGAATAAGATGAGAACTTGAAAATGAAACTTACTTGCTTGCTGGATAAATGGTAGGACATGAGGCCAGCCTTCAATTCTGCTAGGTAGTGCTCCCATAGCTAGGCTTCTATATACACAAAGAGTCATTCTTATTCCGATAGCCCTAAGGATTTGGGCTCAATGGATGGAAGCCACAAGAATAGATCTATGCTGAATATAAGGATCTCCCAACCATTAACTATTCTATGAGTAAGTACAACTAAAACAAAGGCCCCCAAGTGAATTATTTTTGCCAAAAAAAATGATTAAAATTAATCCATTCCACACAAAATAAGTATCATTAGTGCTTCTGAAAGAGCTGCACTATAATTCGGTGGCAACTGAGCATTAATTTTAGGTCGTGTGGGAAATATATTCTTATTCACCAGTCTAAGTCATGGGTACTCAGTCTTTATGGCCTTTACTAAACAGTGTTTTCAATGGTGTCCATTTACCATCTGGATTGTAATAATAGTCATGCAAGATTTCTGTTCTGTTCATTTGAGGCCAACTCGAAAGGAGTGCTTTCCAGGTCTCTCAGTTTTAACCATGGGAATCTTTTTCACAAGAAAGCACTTGTTTCCTGCTGCCAATAATTCCAGATATATTCAAATGTCCCATAGACCTTACAACTATTCCAGAATTCTTCAGGAGTATGATTCCCTTATCTTGGCGTAAAGAAAAAAAAAAATCTACTACCTACTTCAGTAACAGTGATAGATTATTCAACTGACTGCATAGTCCAAGAAATCTTTATTGAAAAAGTTAAGAACGCTGTTAATCTTCTAGTTCATGCCCTATTTTTTTTTTTCGTTTTTACTATTTTTGAGAGCATGAATCACTGTGAATTGAATGAAGTGGGAAGATTTGATCAGAAGTGTCAAAGTAGGTTAAGCCTCTCTAACAGTACTCCACAGGGAAAGGAAATGTGCCCTGTTCCAGAGTGGCTGCTTAATTTAAACCATCAATAAGTGCTTGCTTAACTAATTTGCAGCAGCATCCTCTGGTGAAGCTAAAATTTTATAGTTTCCATTCAAATTGCAATCTTTGAACACCTGCTCATTTGTTACATTACTACTCTATAATGTCATGTGCCATGCTCAAAAATATCATTTCTACTTTGGCAAGTCCCTAGCCAGTTATAATAAAGTATGTATCTTGGGCATGGTTTTTCTACTCCTGATATCAGTAGAACTCTATAAGGGTTTATGGTAGAACCCCATGCATTTGATTTTTAGTTTTGATTGTGCTGTGGAAATAGAGGCAAGTTTTATGTCCCATATCCAAAGTTTTTATTTCCTCATTTGTATACCTCAAAAGCTACATATGCTAGTCAACTGTCATAGTAATATTAGACCATATGTAAGAATTCTCCAGGAAAAAAATGTTTTAACTAAGGGCTGGCTTAGGTTTGGGTGTTACTATGGGAAATGCCATATCACAGTTAGGTGTAAAACATAGATAGGGAGAGAACATAAAATTTGGGGTTAAGGGTATAAGGTTCTAAAAGAAATCCAAGAGGCCAACACTGGCTGCATTCATTCAACACCAATGTCCTTGTTTTTAGGAAGAAGTAGAGATAGAGAGGGATGTTGGTGATGTTGGATCCTAATTTCAGTTCCTATCTCACCACAGGACCTTGGGTAAGTCATCTGATATCTGTTTGTCCCATCTGTAAGATCAATTATATGACACAATATAGGGATCAATGAACTTTTCTGTAAAGGGTCTGATAGTAAATTGTTCAGGCTTTGCTGGCCGTATTGTCTTTGTCACAATTACCCAACTCTGCCACTGTAGTGCAAAACCAGCCATAACCAATGCAAATAAATGGGTGTGGTTGTTCCAATAAAACTTTGTAAGAACAGATGATTTGGCCTGTAGGTTGTAGTTTGCCAAGCAATAGTATAATATCTACTTAACAAAGATAACTTAATATTTAAAGAGGTGCCATAAGAAGAAAAGTTAAAATGATGCATAGAGAAGGAAGACTTAAAATGATGGCAAAAGAGAAAAGTGGGTGAAGAGAAAAACTGGTACCATAAGATAAATGTTTTCTACAAAAACAAACAAAACCCAAATACCAAGAACTGAAATCTACTCTTGGTGAAAATCATTTATCAAGGCATTTAAACCACTTTAGGCATTGTAGTCAATCTCTGGGGAAGTTGCTTGATCTTTCTTCAAGTTTAAAATAATGCTAAAGAATTAAATCTTCTTTGTAGTGTTGTTATAATCTTAGTGGATAGAGGACCATGTTGGTATATATATTTCATTACTATTCTAATTTTTTCCCCACTAGAAGTCAATTTTTAAAATCTTTTCATCCAGCAGATATGTAATGTACAAAAGGGATAAAAATAATTTTGATGTGCTTATGTTTCCATATTTGTTCTCAAGTGTCATCCTTCTGATACACATCATGTGGCAACATATATGTTGACACCAATTTCTCTGAACTCTTTATCAAAAAAAATTTGCCAGCACTAACTGTAAAATGAAACATTAGTATGGTCTGAGAGGGAAGAAAATTCTGTTGTTTCTTAGAGTTTCTCCTATAGTCTATGATTTTTCTAAAATTTGAGAAGCAAATTTAATACATTGAGAATTTTGTAGGTATACAGCTCTACAATCTCTTACCTAAAACCCTGAGGCTAGATGTTTCAGAATAGAGGACTTCACATTTAAGAAAGGCAATATGGGCTGGGTGCAGTGGCTCATGCCTGTAGTCCCAGCATTTTGGGAGGCCAAGGTGGGCAGATCACCAGGTCAGGAGTTCAAGACCAGCCTGGCCGATGCGGTGAAACCCTGTCTCTACTAAAAATATAAAAATTAGCCAGGCGTGGTGGTGCACGCCTATAGTCCCAGCTACTCGGGAGGCTGAGGCAGAAGAATCGCTTGAACCTGGGAGGCAAAAGTTGCAGCGAGCTGAGATCGCACCACTCCAGCCTGGATGACAGAGTGAGACATCGTCTCTAAAAAAAAAAAAAAGAAAAGAAAAAAGAAAGACAATATGGTTCATATACCACATAGAGCTTGTATGCCTCCAGGGAAATCTGCAGCAGCACCCCACAACCAAATAAAGTACTTTTGCTACAGCCAAATTATCTACACCAAATAGAATAAAAGACCATGAATAGCCTCATGTCAATTCAGTTCAGATTTTGCTGCCAAATGTCTTTGTTTCAAAGTTTTGCAAAATCTTTTGGTTTTCAGAGCCTTCTGAATTTTTGAATTTTGAATAAGGAACTATGTGTCTGCGGTTTGTAAAAACAAAACAGAAAACTCTTTCTGAAGACTTTTTCACCTCAAAGAGACCCACAGTTGACTGTTTGAATGATACACACTTATAACTGAAGATACTTTCCAGCATGAATTCAAGAATAAGCCTCAATTTTCCCACTAGCGGCACAGTTACCAAGAGAAATGTGCTCCCTCCGCTCCAGTGAGTCTCGATTTCTTCTTAGAGCTGACACACATGGCACAGAACCCACTTTCATCAGTACTCATGGTCATTCTGGCAGTGATTCTCAACCACAAGGGCTTGTCCCCAGAGGACAAATGACCCTGTTATGAGCAATCTTCTATCCTCTAAGAATCTTTGGTTTTTCTCCCCAATAAAAAGATGATTCTTCCAGCTCTGGCAATAATTGCAACTTAATATTAACTAACATTGAGATCTGTAGAGCCCTTTAAGAATTTGATCATTTTAAGTCCAGAGCATTAATTTTTAGTCCTGGCTGTACATTAGAAACACACACAGAACTTCGTTAAAAACAGATATCCAGGCAGCACCAGATCAACATACTTAGAAACTCAAAGCACCAAAAAGATGATAGTGTCCTCCTTCATGCATAATTCAAAATAAAAACAATACTAAATCATAAAACACATGGAAGTAAGTCCACCCTGGATGGCATTTTTCTTACGAAGCTTGGGTACAGTCTTCTTCCTTTTTTTTTTTTTTCCTTTTTTAATGCCCCTGCTTTGCTACAGCCCTCAGCATGAACTTATTCTTCCTACCAGATAATCCAGCACTGGGTGAGCCTTCCAAACTGGTAGTCTGAGCCCCATGTGGAAGAGGGAGGAGAAGAGAAAGACAGCGGTATGGTAGAACATCCCAGACTGCCATGCAGTCTAAGAAAGGTTCTGCAAGGCCACTGAAGAGTCTTCAAGCCAAAGTCGGCTGTCAGAGGAGTTCTGTGTCTCCTAGAATTTCCAGACTAAGTATGTCTTAGTATAACTTCATACTCAGCCAGTCGCTGAGAGAAACCACGGAAGGCATGGGCTCAATGCAAATACAGCAATGGATTTCAAAGTGCAGCTGGGCCCCTAGGTCAACCGCATTCTCTGTAATCCCCCAGTATTGGAGGTCTCTGCCACAGATCTCTAGTGTGATAAAGGGGCTCAGTACCCCTGAGAAAAAGCTTTTCTGACTAGTATCTTGTAAAGTCCTCCATAACTATCAATATAACTTCTCACTATTTTGGGATTGGAAGAGGAAAAGGGAAAGACAAAAAGTAAAGCAAATGTTACTTGAATAACACAAACCCACAAAGTTTTCACACCTGTAAACAATGTGCCAAATGTTTTATTTCTCTCATATGCAAGTAATTACCTCTCAAAGCATTTTTAAAAAACGCATTATTACACTTTACCAATGAATTATTTCTGTCCCTGGAGATTAAATCAAATCAAAATGTTACAAATAGTATCAGTATGATATAATTTCTTAAATATATGGGACATTGTCAACAGCTGTGATTCATATGAAAAATATAATCAGATATCTCAAATTCCTAATTCTGTTTTAAAAACACAAAACACTAGAACAGTTGCTATGAAATTACTGATAATGATCCCTTTAATAAACTGCAATTAACCACTAATATAGAAATTCAATTTAAGCAAGAAGTTTTATATATTATACTTTACAGAAAAAAATAATTTTGAAAAAGTAATGACAAACAGAGATCAAACATTTAGGGCATTAGTTACTGCATTCTCTTTTTAGAATATACATTAAGTAACACTAGTAAAATTTAAAGTTTTATGACCAGGCCTTAAAAAACATGAATGATGATGACAGAACCACTATCACACATAAACAAAAATAGAGCAAACCAAGCGTGTCCACATCTCCATGAATTCAGTGATTTGAAATAAATGTTGTTATGTTAAACATTATGAGCAAATCTAAAGGTTCAACCAAAAAACTTACATATTTTTGAGTATTTTTTAAAGTTTTAATAGTTTATCTCTGATCAAGGATGGAGAAAGGACAAAAAAAAATACTGTCCTGAATTGATTCTCACAGGGCCTGCTCCCTCACAGAACACAGTGTCATTATATATGCCTTATTTATATATAAAACAACCAAAGAATTTTCATTCTTCTTAGTAAGTATTTAAAATACATTCTAGGCGTGCATTAGGAGTAAATGTTAATTTGTGATGCCCTTAAAAGACTTTCAACCTGTAAGAAACAATTTCTGGGAATATAAAAATATTGAATTTTACATATTTCAGAGTCTTGAGAAACTTAAAGTGCAGTATTTTCATGTATCAGCAAATAATAATTGTGTCATATAAGCTCATCTTGAAAGAGGATGTAAATACTTCCAAATTTTTATGAATGCTACATTACAGAGGGCAGAGTGTAGCTATTTTAAGGTTTGATTGTCCAGATTTTTTTATTAGACTGCAAGGAGGAAAAATAAGCACCAAAGTAAAATATGCTTTATTAGGGGGAAAAACAGTGTTTTCATGAAAAGAAAATAGAAAACATGTCATTTCTCCCTTTAGTGACCTTTCTTCATTCAATTACCTGGTTTACCAAGAATGTTAACTCAGTTCAATTATTGAACAAATCACTCTTAAACAAAATGTCAGGATCCAACATTTGTTCATGGGTTAAAGCCTTTTGGCGGGCCGTGGTGGCTCATGCCTGTAATCCCAGCACTTTGGGAGGCTGAGGCATGCGGATCACAAGGTCAGGAGTTCGAGACTAGACTGACCAACATGGTGAAACTCATCTCTACTAAAAATACAAAAAAAAAAAAAATTACCCAGGCGTGGTGGCACACACCTGTAATCCCAGCTACTCAGGAGGCTGAGGCAGTAGAACAGCTTGAACCCGAGAGGCAGAGATTGCAGTGAGCCAAGATCGCACCACTGCATTCCAGCCTGGGCGACAGAGCAAGACTCGGTCTCAAAAAAAAAAAAAACCCCAAAAAAACAAAAATAAAAAAACCTTTCAAAGAACACTAGTCATTCTAAGCTCATTTCTTATTCTTCAGTAAGGCTTTAATTAAATATAAGCCTATTGACCTTTGCTTCACAATTTTAATATTAATGAAAATTTCATTCTGAGTTTGAAGTGACGTTTCTTCAAGGGTCTGACCCATTTGGGTGGTGGCGTAGAAGTGGACTGCTAGCATATACATGGTTACAAAATTAGAGTAAAAACTAAAAGGTGAAAAAACTAGAAAACCCAATACTAGCTATTCCAGAAAACTAAAACTAAAGGATTGCTTGAAAAATTGTCTTTAGCAAGATAAAGCAGAGTGACTTATAGACAAGACCAGTGATTGTTTTTTCTCCCTGTTGGAGCCCCTGAGGTCTGTGATTAAGATGGCAATTGGGGTCTGAGAAGTCTCACTGATGACTGCTTCATCAATTTTTGCTGCTGTCTCGTTGACTGTGCATCCTCAATGGCATTACATGCTCTCTGTAAAGTAAAATACTTATTATGAATTTTAAAGACAAGTATAGGCTCATTTGGTTGAAGGGAAAGGTATGAAAGCAAGGGCTGAAGCTCTCCAAACAGGACCAACAGCTAAGGACCAAGGATACAGTCCAGATGTGTCATATAAAAATAAGACCCTTGCACCCGACTGAGTCCACAGCATATTAAGTTTATATATCCATCCATAGTTATATTTGGGAGAGCTTTGGGAGAAATAATGGTATTCATTATAAGAGGCTTTTAAAAAAGTATTTCAGCTAAAAAAAATTGAGGCATGCTCTTTAAATTGTTTACCTCTGCTGTGGCGGTGTCCTTCAGGTAAACTTTTCGAACACAGCCTTGATTGGCACTGTCTTTTTTGTGGAACAGACCCTGTTCCTGTTTCAAAAGAAACAATGACAGAAAAGAAATTATTCTGAGGAAGAAAAAAATTCCTAACTTTTAATTGTATACTTAAATGTCAACTCTATCTTATAACAAGTAGGCTAACCAAATACACATATTCAAGTAAGATATGAAATAAATCATCTTGGAACAAGGACGGTATTTCCATATGTGAGTTGTTAGAACTTATAAAATTGGATGAGCATACATCTATCTGTATAAAATAATGGCTTTCTGCAGGCTATGATAAATAGCCTACAGAAACACCACTTGGTAACTCATCACATCTGACAAATCAAAAAACCCTTCCTTCATTTCTTTGGCTGATACATAAAATTTCTGTATAATGTAAAATACACTGAGTCAATTCTCACCATTGATGTGAAAGAGAAGTGATAACTGAGGAAACTATAAAATATATGCACAGTGACATAGTCTTTCCTAGTTTGAAAACTATATTTCATACATCAAAACATTCCTTAAATTTTGACACTCTACAATGTAGTAATGCTGAAATACAAAATGGTAGGGTAACACGGTGTTTCCTTTATTTGTAAATTTCCATGAAAAGATAAGTAAACATAAATTAAAGGGTAACAGTACTCACATCTATAGCTATTAAATTTCACAGTAAATGTTCTTCTAGCTACTAAATTTCCCAGTAAAAAACGTTTAGTTTTGCAGATAGTTTCACTAATAGAAATAACATTATTGTTTAGGGAAAACAAATGCACTAAAGAAATTGCCATATTTAGAATAATAATTTATAGTTTTTTAAAGGCATGAAAATAAATTTATAATATATAATGTAACAAACATATTTCAAAGAAAGTTAAGTACTTGAGTCTAAGAACTAAGCAAAAGACAGAGTATCACTTTTACAAATTACTATGTAATTAAAATAAAAGTGCTTCCTTACAAAATGATGGGAGAAAAGACATTTTATCAAATCACTTAATAATCTTCTAAAAACCTAAAAAGAGGGAATCTTTCCAGAAATGTCTAAGATTACAGCAACATGGGTGTCCATATGAAGTTAAAAAAAAAACCTCTCCTATTTACTAATGCTTAATTCTACCAAAAAGAAAATATCAGCATATGAGAATCTTAATTATTTGGGTGGGTAGACTGATATTTCACTCTATGCAATCAAGACTGCCAGAAAATAAGTACAGTTATTCAAATAAATTGATTACATCTTTCTTCACATCTCAGCATATAGTAGTAATAACGACACTAATCCTTCAAATATTTTGTGTAGTTAACTGCAAAACAGTCTAAAAGCAATGAACTCTTAGCTCTAAAGGTGTGACATGTTTTCTTACCTTAACTGAAATTTTTAGCACATTTTCACTGACACTAGGAGGAAATACAAAATCTTCAAATGGACATTGCCAGTCTACACACATAAGGCCCAGGATTTCAACTTCCTTTATACACAACACTCGCCTATTTTGCAAAAGAAAACAAAAACTTACAGTAAATGATGAAGACAGTTTATTCTTGCCAATATTTCACCCTACTGGATGGCAGAGGTAGCACTTGCTTAGTAAACAATATAAACTGGCACTAAAAAAAAAACCTGCTTCATTTTTTTTAAGTCTAGATAACTGTCAAATAAAGAGCAAATATGACACCTACCAAGCAACAAAGTAGACTCAAAAATTCCCCTTCTGTCAATCTTGCAGAATTCAGAAAAGTGTAACTTTTTTTTCTTTTTTCTTTTCTTTTTTTTTTTTTTTTTTTTTTGGTTAACTGACCAAAAAGCTGATAGGGAAATCATCTTTGGAACACATAAGAAACAGGCTGTACTCTCATCTGGGGAGCAATAAAGGCAGATGTCCCTGAAAATGTTTTACTTGGAAAATTATTAATTGCTCTTTACTGTCAGCCATTTATGCCTTCCAGTCAAGAACGAACGTGAAGGAAATGTCATAAACCTTAAATGTCAGCAAGGATTCACTTGAGGCCTACTAATAAAGATCAGATTTGAACACTTTAATGCTAATATACTTTATCACAGAGTATCTTATTTTACTCAATGGCAATAAAAAAAATAACAGAACCCTTAAAGGGCATCCACATTGATTTCTCAGTGTGTGATTCATTTTGATTACTGATATAACTATACTTAAAATTAAGCTTCTATTACAGAAAGCAAAATTACAAAAGAAGAGAAGGACTATTAATTCAACAAATATTTAGGGTGCCAGAGAAACAAGGAAGATAATTCTGCTTGAGAGGTGCTCACTGGCTAGAGGAGAAACAAACATGTAAATAAACGCTACAGCACAATTAGACAAGTGCTGTAACAGAGTGTGCAGATTAGTCTTTTGGAGCGAGAGAGAGAGAGGAACAGATCGTACTGGCAAAGTAGGTGACACAGGAGTTGATTCTTGAAAGGAAGGAGTTCTCTATGTGGGTAAGGGAAATGACAGCCCAGACAAAAGGAGGAACACACTGACATATAAAGGAGTACAAAAAAGGAAAGACTTATCTGAGGAATGTGGAGGTCTGCAGCTGGAATACAAGATAGATACCATGGTGAAGCTGCGAGAAAATGAGCTTAGCGCCAGACCTTGAAGGGCTATTATTTTTCCTTTTAAAAAATGTTTCACTTTTAATGAAACAGGAAATGACGTGATAATGTTCTTTCACTTTTAATGAAGAGGAAATATTTTAGATTCACGGTTCTGGTGGTAAACAGAAGGGAGGTGGCAAAGAGAGTGGCAATAGACAATCAAGGTAGGAAGTTACGGCAATATAAATAGTCCAATCAGGAGACAATGGAAGCCTCAAGTATGGCAGTGGCTCTGAGAAGGGGGAAGAAAGGGCTAGATTGAGATGTTTAGAAGGCAGACATGAATGAACATGGTGACCAATGGAGTGTGGAGAACTGAAATAGATCCCTGGCATTATATTTCTCAGCAGAGGTGCTATTAAATTTTGGACTTGTATGGGATGGTCTTGTGCACTGGACAAAGTTCAACATCCCTAGCCCCAGCCTAGTAAGTGGCAGTAGTGTCCTACAATCACTGTGGCAATCTCCAACACCACCATACATTTCCAAACAGTCTCCACTGCCCACACTCCCGGCCCCAGTCGATAATCAGCTGACAGAGCTAAGGATGGCTGTCACAAATCCTCGTGCCAAACACAATTCACTATTCCAAATATCTTTAAACTCTTCTCTTTACCATCCCAATAATACTACCGTTCTCCTTCCACCTAGAATGTCTCCTTCATTTTCTTCCTCTTGCACCATGTTTACCAGGGTTCAAATCTTGGTCTTCTACTCACACACTCCCTCAGAATGGTCTCTCAGATCTCAACTCGAGATTTTTATCCAAACTCCAACTATCTATCTATCTATCTATCTATCTATCTATCTATCTATCTATCTGTCTATCTATCTCCCTCCCTCCCTATCATGTATTCCTTTCTCCTCTACATCCACTCAGTCACCAAGCCTTGTCTCATAAGTCAAATCCTCATTCTTTAGGCCCTCCCCACTTCCTACCATGATAGCTGCCACAGTCTCTATGGTAGACAGAATTCTAAGACAAGTCTCCAAGATTCCCCAACCCTGGTATATATCTCTGTATAGTGCCCTGGACTTTGAATATAATGGATTTTACTTCCAAGATTAGGTTATTATAAGGCACAGGTGACTCTGAGCAAAAATAGTTTATGTAGGTGGGCCTGACCTAAGTTCATGGACTATAAATCTGCGTAAGAGACCAAGAAGTCAGAGATTCAAAGCACCCTTGTTGGGTTGGAATAAGGGTAGCTTCTAGGAGCTAAGAGCAGCTCGCTGGCTGACAGAGGTCAAAGAAACAGGGATCTTAGAATTCTGCCAACAACAGCAAATGAGCTTGGAAGTGGATTCTGTGGTAATTTGTTGTGCAGCAATACAAAATGTATACAGTCTCTAACTGGTCTCCTTGCCTCTGGACTGATTCTCTTCCAGTATAACATCCAAACCGCCAAGGATCTTTTAAAACTACAAGCCTCATCATATTACTTGTTTACAAACCTTCTGTGGGGTAGAAAAAAAGAGAGATTACTCACGTGTGTACTATTCTGTGTGAGAAGCTACAAGTGATATCAAATAAAAAAATAACTGCCAGCCAGTTATGATGGCTCATGCCTGTAATCCCAGCACTTTGGGAGGCCAAGGTGGGAGGACTGCTTGAGCCCAGAGTTGAAGACCAGCCTGGGCAACATAGTGAGACTCTGTCTCTTCTAAAAATACAAAAAATTAGCTGGTGAATGCCTGTGGTACCAAGTATGCAAGAGGCCAAGGTGGGACAATCACCTGAGCCCAGAGAAGTCGAGAATGCAGTGAATCACGATCGAGCCACTGCACTCCAGACTGGGCAATGAAAATGAGAACCTGTTTCAAAAAAATAAAATAGCAGACTATACCTTAAGCAAAAACCAGTGATTCTCCATCACATTAATGATAAAACCTAAACCCTTAGAATCTTATGAGCTGCTACCTATGACTGATCTCCCAACACTAACACCCTACCATCCAGCCATTCCACACTGATCTTACTGGTCAAAGTGCCATACTATTGTATGCCTCCACTTGCCTCTAGTTTACCTATGCAAGAGCTACATACTCAAGACTCAGCTCAAGCACTCCCTCATCTATAAAAGCCTCCCTGACACTTTTCCCATGACACTGTGGTCCCCATCTTACTGTACCAAGAGTTTTCCCTATGTCCTCAGAGACTCTGTCCATCGCTCTTCTTAGCACCTATCACACGGTGATATCATTGATAATTTGTAGCCCCCTGCCCATTAAAATAGGGAAGGAACAGAGATGTAACTTCATCTCTGTGTCCCTGTATTTGTCATATGTTGATGGTTTTTTTTTTTAAAGTCTGCTCAATAATGAATTTCTCAATAAAGATTACTAAAATAAACTATAGCAGAGTTAGGACCAACTAGTAAAGCTATAGCCTAAGAAACTTAGGTCTTGAGAACTTGTGTTTTGATTTTAAAAACTCATAAGAAAAAAAAATTCAGGGACTAAGTTTTGGGTGAATTTCAAAACAAAAAAATGCTATATACTGAGAAACTCAATTAGCAATCACTAACATGTCAATAATACATTTGACAAAAAGGGCTAATATCATTAATTTGCAAAATGCTCTTTAAATTCAGTAAGAAAAAGACTAACATACCAATGAAAAATGAGCAAAGAATATGAACAAGTAATTCACAAAGTAGCAAATATAAATAGATGATGATATATTAAAAGGTACAGGCTCAACAGTAATCAAAGAAATGCTAATTAAAACAAAAAATTATTTTCTACCCATCAAGCTAGCAAAAAATAAAAGTTTAAGTGATAAAACCTAGTCTCAGCAAAACACAGGAGAAAGAACACTTTCATATATTGTTGAGTGGTATGTAAAAAAACTGATACAACCTTTCTGAAAAATGACTTGGCGATATACAGAAAGGACCTCAAAAATCTTCACAACTTTTAAATTAGCAATCCCCCTTTTAAAATTTTATTCTAATAAAATAATAGAAAAAGATTTGGTTACAAATAAATAACAATAAGATACTAGGGAAAAAATGTCCAATAGTGAGGGAGTATTTTAATAAATTATAGCATATCTGCAAATACAAAATTATGTAGTCATTAAAAATCATGTTGTCAAAGAATATTTAATGCTTTGGGAAGATGATGACAGTATATTGTTACATGAAAAATTGACAAGACTAAAATGTAATAATGCATTTTTTTGTACATAGTTTTCGTAAAATGTGCCAGCTAATGGGGTTATCTTTGGGTGCTGACATTGCTGGTAAAGGATATTTTTAGGGGTGATCATATAATCTGTTATTCAAACCAGGATGTTTTTAAGAATGAAAGGAATAGCTATTGATAATTACATAGGGACAAAACGTGCAAGCAAATCTACTATGTCCTAGGCAAACTAGAACGCATGTATGGTTAGTTATTTTCTTTCTTTTTTTTTTTTTTTTTTTTTTTTTTGAGAGACAGTCTTGCTCTGTTGCCCAAGCTGGAGTGCAGTGGCACAATCTCAGCTCACTGCAACCTTCGCCTCCCAGGTTTAAGTGATTCTCTGGCTTCAGCCTCCCGAATAGCTGGGATTACAGGCATGCGCCACAAAGTCCAGCTAATTTTTTGCATTTTTCGTAGAGATGAGGTTTCACCATGTTGGCCAGGCTGGTCTCGAACTCCCAACCTCAAGTGATCCGCCCGCCTCGGCCTCTCAAAAGTGCTGGGATTACAGGCTTAAGCCACCACACCCAGCCTATTTTCATCTCCTTATTTTCAATACTGGGGTGGCCAAACTGTGCCCTTCAAGCCAAATCCAGCCCAAGACCTGTTTTAATATATAAAATTTTACTGGAACACAGCTATGTCATTCTTGTACATACTGTTCATAGCTGTTTTCTTACTATAAGGGCAAAAACAAAAGGTTGAGAAACACAGTATGGCCCTTAAAGTCTAAATTTTACTATCTGTCCCTTTAAAGAAAGTTTGTTGACTCCTGTTCTATGTTATCTACAATGAATAGCCATAACTTTAGCAATAAAAATTATTTTGGATGTGGTGGTGCATGTATGCCTATAGTCCAGGCTACTTAACAGGCTGAGGCTGGAGGATCACTTGAGTCCAGGAGTTTGAGTCCAGCCTGGCCAACACAGTGAGAGACCCCATTTCTTTAAAAAAGAAAATGTTATTTTTAAGAATACTGAATTTGGAAGAAATGCTACTATTTTAATGTAATCATTAAAGGTCTAAATGATTACCATAATGATAACTACCTCAATCAAATACATTCTTGTTAGAAAGAGTCTACTAAGGCCAGGTGCTGTGACTCATGCCTGTAATCCTGGCACTTTGGGAGGCCAAGGTGGACGGATCACTTGAGGCCAGGAGTTCAAGACTAGCCTGGACAACATAACAAAACCCCGTCTCTAATAAAAATACAAAAATTAGCTGGGCATAGTGGTGCATGCCTGCAATCCCAGCTACTGGGGAGGCTGAGGCACGAGAATCACTTGAACCCAGGAGGCAGAGGTTGCAGTGAGCTGAGATCGCATCACTGGACTCCAGCCTGGGTGACGGAGTGAGACCCTGTCTCAAAAAAAAGAAAGAAAAGGAAAAAGAAAAGAAAAGAGTGAGAAGAGAAGAGAAAAAGTAAAGGAAAAGGAAAAGGAAAGGAAAGGGAAAAGGAAAGGAAAGGAGAAAAGAAAAGGAGTCTACTAAGTAAGGTTAGCAAGGAAACTAAGTCATAGTATTTACTGGTCAGGTATATTTTACTAATTACCTCCTAAACAACTCCATCAGTGACTAGATTTCAAATGATGATGATTTTTCAATGTACTTGAAGAAAAACCAGATATATAATGTATACAGTAATACTCCCACAGAATGGCTTAAATCAAATAGGTACTAAGTATTACCAATAAGTATTACCAAAAAAACCCCAAATTGATTCTCATTGCCCAGTACTGAATTATATAAAAGTGATACAATTTTAAAATGAATTAACACATTGCAACAGCTAAGTACAATATCTAAGACAAAAAAACATTGTTTTTGGCTTAATCTATTGAAGACAATATAAAATTATGGACATAAAAAATAAGTGATTACTTGTCAAAGTCATAAAATCTGCTTTTTAGATTGTTTTGTGAATATTTTTAACTCTTAACTAATGAGCAAATCACATGACTGGAGAATCCTCTCTTACATGAGGATTCTGACATGACTGGTTAACCTCTCTTATCCTGTCATTCAGCTTTTCTTTATTCCCATTCAAACAAATTTAAATGCAGTCATGAGGAATCTAATGCAGATTTTGCCACTGTAAGAACTTTGCCTTACTCTTATAAAGCTCAACACTAAGAAAGTTCTGAAAATTATTAATATATAATTGTCATTTTGGGATAATTTTATTATCTAGGATAGATCCCAGGAAAATAAGCTTGGTAGTTTACTATAAGTTCTTCTATTTGGAAAAATCTACCACAACCAAATGCTTAGGAAAAGCTGAGATAAACATATAGAAGTAATGCCACCCTTTAAAAGGGGTATGCTAATCACTCAAAATAAAACTTAGTAACAAAAGTGATTCATGAATTAATCCTCCATAACTGGACTTGTAATTCATGAAAAAGGGTATCACTATTACAGGTATAAAGCCTAGTCTACATTCTCTCAGTGGTTGTGTAACTTGGATAAGTCCCTAAGCCACACTGAGTCTCAGTTTCAGCATCTTTCAGATGAGGAGGTCGGAAAAGAAAATCTCAAAGGACCTATTTAGATCTGTATTGTGATTCTATGAAAATGAACATTTTGCCATTCACTTTGGAGAATTTTAAGTACAATTTTCCAACTCTTCTGCCATTTTAGCCTTCAAAATTCTTGTGACCTATGCAACTAAGTACTATTTGGAAAAATGTCACTTCAAGTCAGTACCTATTTGTAACCATAAGGATTGTCTTCTTGCTTCCAGGAATAGCACAGTGGTATCGGTAAGTCTCTCCTTCCAACTTTTTGATATGATTCTGAAAAGGAAACCAGGCTCTAGATTTGGGAAGTTATGCATTTAAGTAGTATTTACAATACTGCATATTAGCTAATTATAATAATAGTGTTAGGAAAAAATTAATTAGAAATAAAAGCACAATTCTACATATTGGTACATGAAGCTAGAAAAATATTCACAGCATGTTTGTAAGTTAACTTCCACTGTTGCCTTAAAAGAAAAACATGTAATAAATGCTTACCAAGTGGTCTTCTGGTAAAATACATTTTGTTCTGTAGTAACTTAGAAATATTAAAATATCTACCAGCAATTATCACACACTTTAATTAAGAAACATATGCTAATATAAAATAACTACATTAACATTACAGGGGATTTGAAATAGGGGTCACTGGTAGCACTTTGCGGTGGGTCTCTGAACCACCTAACATAAAATAGAAAATTTTGAAAACGTAGTTCTAAAACTTTTTTCAGGGCAGTTAATATTTTTTGTCAGTTTTTTTTTAATCACAGAGGGGGGTCTGTGATCTCAAAGATTAAGAACCACTGGTTTACATAGAGGTATTAGTAGATATTATACACATAATAAAATTCCAAGATAATTAATGTTTAATGCTTTGAACATTTGATCTTATACGTTAAACATGCGTGGGGAAGTATATTTATATATCAAATTATATTTCTTATAGAAAAGAAAATATGACAATATTAATATGAACAATTTCTAAGATTTCAAAATAGCTGGCACAATTTATTTCTAAAAACAAATATGAGCATAAAATAATTCAAGTATAAGTAGTAGCACATTAAAACACATTTATTTTCCTTTTCAGCTATCTCAAAAGTACTGTGACTTGAATTAGTCAAATATTAAAAACGAGTTTTTTTATAATGAATGCTAATGAAATACTATTACTGACATTATATATAATGCATGGCTGAAAATAGATAATATATATGAAAATACAGAACATAAATATACTGAATAAATAAGACCTTGACATTTTACGACCAAGAATATAATGCCAATATTATTAAAAGGATAATATAATCAATATAACCACAAGCAGAGAAATCACATTTGATATTATTTCAATGCTTAAATATACATTTTTTAAAGTTGCTTGGTACCTAGTCATTCCTTGACAATTGCAAAAAGCCATGAATAAGGAAGAGGAATCCACAAAGAACTGGGATCTCATCTTCAGAATGAGTCTCAGAGAGGAGTGCAGATTTCACAGCAATAGCTACTTGTTTCACAATTCACTTGTGCGAATTAGTTAAAATCTTTTAACACTTTTGCCTTAATTTCTTCAAAGAGAAAATGGGAAATGAATTTAATAATGTAATGCATTTATCTGCAGCTTGAAATTTAAATATGTTAAAATATTTAGATCTGAAATGCAAGTACAAGAAATACTACCCACTTTCTATCTTGTATGTATTTTCGTTAGTTATTAGGCTATTGTGCTTCAAGCCATTGACAGTTTTTAAAATATAATTTATCACCATAATACACTTTAGAAAACTTGTCTTCAGCACTACTAAAAACCCACTACACTCTGAGATTCAGATTAAGATATTCAGTCACTAATGGCAGCAGGGAGACCAAATTAGTTGATAAAATATTCACGTCCCCTTTCCAAAAATGCAACTCGAGGAATTTAACAATACTTTGCAAAAGCCCTTTACCCAGTAATTCAATTTTTTCAAGTAAATTCTAAGGAAATATGAAAAAGCAAACAAGATATAAAAAAGCAAAATCTATAATGATGTTTATTACAGCATTATTACTGTTAGTAGAATAATTTAATGTCATGAATTAAGACGAGATAAAAACACAATGTAATGTCACCTCAATAGATGGCAATACAAGAATTAAAAATGTTAATGAGGCATTTCTAAGAACATGGAAAAATATAACTAAAACTAAAAAGCAAGAAATGCTGTTTTAAACGTTGCATGATCATAAGTATGTGAACCAAAATGAGTATTAAATGACTATATATACATACATATAATGTATGTATATATGTATGTGTAAATATGTGTATGTTTGCGTATATATGTGTGTATATGTGTGTGTATATATGTATGTGTATATATGTATGTGTACATATGGGTATATTTGTATGTGTGTATATATATGTATGTGTATATATGTGTATATTTGTATGTGTATATATATGTGTGTATATGTATGTGTGTATATATGTGTTTGTGTGTATGTATATCTGTATGTGTACATATATGTACGTGTGTATATATGTATGTGTATATATATGTGTGTGTGTATATATATATGAAGATTAGAGGATAAGTAGAATAGTACATCTCATGGAAATATAATATATGATTCAGTAACTCTCAAAGCTGCATATTAAAGAATACAAAGTAGTACTTAGGAGAAAAAGGAACATGAGGATCAAAAGATCCCCAAATAAATTATTTAGAATTTGGCCATATTACAAAGGGCTAAAAAGATATACTTTTATACTCTAATACTCTTTAATATTTCCATGTTTTGTTTTACTCGGTCCCTTAAGGACAGAAGGCTTCTTTTGTATATCCAGTACAGTCTAAATAATCAATAAATATTTTTACCCAACTAACTGATCACAGCAAGATGGGCAAAGAATGAAATAGCCTAAATATTTCAATTATCCATGCCCACACTTGACATCCACGACAAAAACTACCAAGTCCTCTCATTAGTGTATAATCATTCTTTTTCTTCCAGTAATTATAATAATGCACTAAAGTTTTAAAAGTTGTCTGATATCTTAATAAAAACTAAGAAATCAGACAAGATTATATGTTCAGACAAAATAATTAAAAGTTTCTTGAAGTTTTGTGCTTTTTGACAGAGAGTTATAAAAAGATATCACAAGGAAAAAATTAATAACAGAGCTAAACAAAACAATTAAGAAAAAATCTTAAGTTACAGGGGTTCTTAAAAGTAAGTCTCAGTAAAACAGCAATATAACCAGTAAAATTAAAAATTGTTACTTTAGAATCTCAGGAAGGGTAACTATTGGAGATGATTTAAGTCAGCATCTTGAATTAGTTATTTGTGCTTGACTCTCCTAGAAAACTGCATGTGGTGACATTTTTGCCAATGCTAAATTATCTAGGCACAAGAAAGGTTTGTCAGCTACTTTTAACAGTTACATGTTTTGTTATACTTGGTCCCTTAAGGACAGAAGTAATTTCCTTTGTATATCTAGCACACGCTGGTTTTTGGATGTCAGTCTTTCTTCTTTAAAGTGGTTAAACATAAAACATTCAATTTATTATTTTGATAACTGCAATCCTTAAAATACATAATCCAACTGAACAATTATATGTTAATAGTTTCATTCTCTTCAAATATACAACACATTAAATCTAAGTTTATACTTTGGCTTCATTTCTGAGGAGAAGCATGAAAGTTGCTAGATAAGACATTGTTAAACATTTCCATCATTTATTACAAAAAAAAGAAATTGAAACATAACTTATGTTGAGAATTAAGAGGATACTAATTTCAAAAATAATGATTATAATTATTTTTTCTCTAAGATAATAAACCCTCTCTAAGGATTTAAAAGCAAAAGGTTGGTTTTTGAAAATAAAGAAATCTATGTATTCAAGTGCCACACAGCAATTTGCCTAATTACATGTTCAACTTCTATCTACATTAATTAAAACTAATAATTATGAAATAAGCATAACCAACAAGGAGATTCAATTTTTGAAAAGCAGAAATGCTAAAGGCTGAAAATGTATATAACATAATTATAAAATGGCTATCATTTATTTAGCAACAGTACCAAGGGGTTAAATAGGAAAAAGAGGGAAGAGGAAACATATCCTCAAAATTCATGTGCCAACTATTTATTACTTGAGGTCTAAGGGCAGGCTCAGAGCAACTGACAATTCAATTATTAAAGCAGATGCTCCAGGTAATAGTCCCGTAACTTAAGCAAATTTAGAGCCATTTGTGAAACAGAAAGCTATGTAATTCCATCATCAAGACTCACAAACATAAACATATTAATTGGACATAATAATTGTCCTGTTTTTCAATTTTACCTGAAATGCACATGAACACCATAAGATAAAATTTTCGAAATGATAGTAACAGTATCTGCTTCTGAGCTCAATAAAGGCTTTCATCTATTAAACGCAGAAGAGAGCTGATTCTCTGCATCCTTTAATATTTTATACTAATCTCTTATTTCTGGACAGTATTACCAGGAATACCACAAGTTTTTATTTGTAGTCAATCCCACTACTATGAAAAGTTCAGATGGAGGTGAGAGTTTTAAAGAAAATTTCATTAAAATTGACAATGGAATTCACACACAGTCAATTAACACCACAGTTTGTTTTGATTTTTAAGGATGAAATCAAGTAGTAGTTTAGGAAACATTTATTCCTGTATTTCCAGTTCTTGCTGTGCAGGCAGAAAAACAAAGAAAATAAAGTTAGAAGCATGCAGAAAGATAGATAAAACGTAATCATATACAATAAAAACCAAAGGAAGAACAATTAAGAGGCATTTTATTTTAAAGTCAAGGTAGAAAAATATTAATACATTTCTTTTGGGGGAAAGCCTGTCATGGGAGAATAGCAATTTATATATGTATATATTATCAAAATATAATCAAGTTAAAACTAAAATAAAAGCCAAAAAGCTCTTAAATTTTTTTTAAGGTTTAACAAGATCATAATTATACATAATCTTTTATTCTCTCATCTAGTTCTAGTTACTGGAATAAATCTAGATTTACAAAGTAGTGCAAATAAATTAATTTGGTTGGGAGAAATGGAAGCAATGAAGTTCCAATAATCAGCTACAAAGCAGGAAAACAAAATTAACAATGTTAACTAAATGAGCTATCACAGAAATAGTGATATAGCCTATGACTTAACATTATCTTTTCTGCACACAAAAAAAAGCTTTGCTCCCATGTAGAAAAAAAATCATCTGTAATTTCCATTTAACACATGCTAAAATGAAAAACAATCAAATTCTACTCTAGAAACTATGTATAATACTTAAAGCAGTTCAAGAATCAGGAACTTTAAGAACCACCTAGGAAATCCTGGGCCTAGAAATCATTAAAATTCCATTTCACTCGTGACCATGAAGAACAAAATTTACCTCAAGTAAGTCAGAGCCCTCAGATTCCTGTCTGTCATAAGGACGAATGATGCCATCTTCATGGATCAGGCGAGGGGGACGGAGGCTAGATACTTCCTCAGTTGATTCTGCTGCCCTGAATAAGGCATCAGAGTAAGTGTAAGAAAATACGTGAGAGTCTTTCAAAATAATGTGTGTGTTGATTAAATACATAAATATTTCACAAAAAACAATCAGTAATTTTAAATAGCTTTCCCCAAATAATGCAAAAGTATTAAAACCAAGTCTGTCTGACTCCAAATCCCCCAACCTTTTCTAAAATAAAAAGAAATATCAAAATAATAAAAGCAGGGCCTAGCTCATCTACTCTTTGTATCCTTGGTGTCTAGCACAGGGCTTGGCACATGGTAGGTAATAAACATTTGTTGAATAAAAGAGAAATTTAGCCATAAAATATGTCTCTTTTCTTTTCTTTTTTCTTTTTTTTTTTTTTTTTTTGAGACAAAGTCTCCCTCTGTTGCCCAGGCTGGAGTGCAGTGGCACGATCTCAGCTCACTGCAACCTCCGCCTCCTAGGTTCACGCGGTTCTCATGCCTCAGCCTCCCGAGTAGCTAGGATTACAGGTGCCCGCCACCACGCCCAACTAATTTTTGTATTTTTAGTAGAGATGGGGTTTCACCATGTTCGCAAAATATGTCTTTTCTTATTCCTTTCTGGAGGCACTCTATGTTTTAAAGCTACCACAGCTTTCAATTAGACTTTAAGATCCTTAGGAGCAGGCAAATAATCTAATCTATTTATGTATTCCTTGTAATAATTAGCACACAGACACATACCTTGCACATAGTATGTACTCAATTACCTCTGAATGCCTTGGAAGGTACTACTGGCCATATCTACGATTCCACCAGTTGGACGGGCCACAGCACCCACAAGCCCTTTTCCAATTCCTTTAAAGAATCCAGCAGCTCCTTCCTTTTTGGCACCTTCAGAAAACCAATGACCATGAATGGATAAAGATATTTTTAAATGAGCAAGTTTGAGCTCAACCAAAACCTGGGCCAGATACTGAACTGTTTTACCCAGGAAGTTACAAAAATTTGGCTTTCTAAAGAAGTTAAATGTAATCCTAATGTGATAAAATAGTGGTTTCTCAAAGTGTGTTAGAAATGCGCATTCCTGGGCCCCACCCCAGACCTACTGAATCAGAAACTCTGGGGGCGGGGCCAGCATTTATGTTTTTCTAAGCACTCCAGGTGATCCTGACACATGCTCAAGTTTGAGAACTACTGATCTAGGAGTCTCATCAGTACCTGCAACTTGCAGGTGTAAGAAGGGACCAGTAAACATTCTCTTTTTTAATGCTGACCGTTAGATTTTTCAAGGAGTGTGCTTTTAAAAAAATATATAACAACTTTATTGAAATGCAATTCATATACCATAAAATTTACCATTTAAAATGTACAAATTAAATTTTAGGATAAATTAGCTTTTAGTATGTTCAGACTTCTACAACTATCACCACAATCCATTTCAGAAAATGTTTATCATTTTAAAAAGAAACCCCCTTTCCATTAGCAATCATTCCCTATTTCCCCCAGCCTCTCCCCACCAAATCTTACTCAGTGTACCTCCATTCCTCCCTGCCCCTCCCCACCTCCAGACTAGGTAACCACCTACAGATACTTTCTATCCCTATGGATTTGCCTATTCTGGACATTTCAGACAAATGGAATTATGTAATATGTGGTGTACTGTGACTTTTTTTTCTACTTAGCATCATGTTTTCAAGGTTCATCCATTTTGTAACAAGTACCAGTACATGATTCCTTTTTATGACTGAGTACTACTCTAATGTATGAAAATATCACCTTTTGTTTATTCATGTATCAGGTGATGGACATTTGGGTTGTTTCCATCTTTTGGTTATTTTGAATAATGGTGCTATGAACATTTGTGCACAGTTTTTGTTTGAACACCTGTTTTCAAATCTTCTGGGTATAAACCTAGGAGTAGAATTGCTGGGACACATGGTGACTCTGTGTTTAACTTTTTGAAGCACTGACAGACTATTTTCTTCCAAAATGACTGCATTATTTTACAGTCCCACTAGTAGTGTATGAGGGTTCCAATTTCTCCACATCCTCTTAACACTTGATTCTAGCCATCCCAGTAGGTGTGAAACGGTATCTCATAGTTTTGACTCGCATTTCCCTGTCGACTAATGATGTTTACCATCCTTTTATGTGTTTATTGGCCATATGTATATCTTCTTTGGAGAAATGTCTATTCATATCTTTTGCTCATTTAAAATTGTGTTGTCTTTTTATTGTTGATTTTTAATAGTTCTCTATATTTTCTAGATATGTCTTTTATCACATATATGATTTGCAAAAATTTTCTTCCATTCTGTGGGCTGTCTTTTCCCTGTCTTCATGGTTGTCCTTTGAAGCACAAAAATTTTAAATTTTGATGAAGTTCAATTTATGTATTTGATGAAGTCCAATTTATGTATCTTTTCTAGCAAAGTTTTGCCTAATCCAAAGTCATGAAGATTGACTCCTATATTTTCCTCTGAGTTTAATGGTTTTGCTCTTACATTTAGGTATTTAATCCATTGTGAACTCATTTTTATATATGGTACAGGTAGGGGTCCAATTTTGTTCTTTTGCTCATAGATATGAAGTTGTCCCAGCAAATTTCTTGAGGACGGTTCTTTCCTATTGAATTATCTTGACATCCTTGTCGAAGATCAGTTAACCATAAGTAAGAGTCTATTTCTGACTCCTTCTGAACTCTATTTCTGAATAGTATCCCACTGTTCTATATGTCTATCCTTATGTTAGTACTACACTGTCTTAGTTACTGTAGCTTTACAGTAAGTTTTCAATTTGGGAAGTAGAAGTCCTCCAACTTTGTTCTTTTTCAAGACTTTTTTTTTGGCTATCTGGGATCCCTGGAATGGCCATATAAATTTTGGACTTGGCTTGTCAATTTCTGCAAAGAAACCAACTGGGATTTTGATAAGGGTTGCACTGAATAAGCAATGTGCTTTTTTAATGGGATAAAAACAACAACAGCAAAACTGAGTAAATTGCTACTGAGGACCCAAACAAATCTAGTTTATCTCTGGCCCTGCTAAAAATAGCATTCAAAGTCTGAAGCATGATCTACTACTTAACCTCTCTGCTTTCTAAGGAAAATACATTCATTGAGCAACTTAAGGCTACGAATATAAAATTCAGTCAGTAATTTTCTCAATCAAGTATATAGCAGCAATAACATCTACTATGTTTACTAATAGCATCAAGTCTTCAGACTTTGTAAAGGAAGGAAATATTTTCAACATACCTTCCACAGGTTTTGTTATTATTCCAGTCACTCCACCAACAACTCCCTGAAAGAGAAATCAATCATATAGTTTAGACTGAATGGAAGGTGTTTAATTTTAAACCAACCACTAGAGGTCTCTACAGACATACTGGAAATAACAACAACAACAACAAAAATTGAAGACTTAACTTGATAATGTGAACAACATACACATATAAGTTAGCACTATGATTTTTCAAATATCATATCACAGCAAATCTTAAATGAAAGCATTTTATAAATTTTATAAAAGAAACAGGAGTAAAGCAGGTAAAAGGATTTTAAATCTGGCTATGACACCAATCAGCTACGTAACCATGGGTAGCTGAAATCTCTTTAAGTCTCAGTTTCCACATCAGCAAAATGAGTGAGTTGAGCCAAATAATATTTACTATCTAATTATAAATTTTAAGGGGATTACATTGTAACTTAGTGGAAGTGTAGAAAACTGAAAATAAAGGGCCCTCCCAGGGACAGGTAATAACCTGGCAAATAAAGTGCCTTAGTAACTGTAACACCCAACATTACAAATTACTATCAAAAAACACAGCAGTTTCCTGAAATTATTTCCAAAATTAAAACATGAATATACTAATACATTTTTAATCATTATGAAGTAATGGTAGTAAAATACCTGTATATTCTATGAACACACAGAAAGAGAACTGATGGATACACACTTAAATTGGAAACAGATGAGATGATTAGGGTATTCTAGCCTTACTTATAATGTTTTATTTACTTATTAACAATAACTTTTAAGTTCTTATAATTATAAGAATATTCATACATCACCTATATAATTAAGCAGTATTCATATATTACCTATATAATTTTAAAAGTATTAAAAAGTAATGAAAGGCAGTTCCTGGATTATCAACAATTAATTTTCACACATCCCTTCCACAGAAACAGTCAATTGCTGATGACCTGCAGAGCTCCTTCTCCCTCTAGTTTCCATAGGTACCATGTATCTCTGCTTCTCACTTCCTCGCCTTCTACACCAGTACTACCCTGTCATCATTACAGTTTTATGAAATCTGACAATTCAGGGGATAGATCTGGTGGTGACAATGGGGAAGGGGAGCAAAAAGGAAACTGGGAAGTCCATCATTTATCATTCTTTCTATTCCTACAGGCCTAGACTCATAAGCAGCATTCTAAGTTTCACACAACCAGCTAGAATACACTTTTTTTTAAGTTGCAGATTTCTTAAAGATTCAGCAAAGAACTTACTCGCAGAAAGCCCTTTCCTCCTCTGGCCAGGCTGTCTCCAAAATCTCTGGGCTGTCGACTCAACTCTTCTCTTCTTTTTTGCTGATATTCCTTGTCCATTGTAATTGCTGCCAAACCTTTCCCAACAGAACCGGTGATTCGAGATACAACTCCTGCTGCACCACCTATCAAAGACAAGGGATTAATTTCTAGAATATACAAGGAACTATACAAGGAACTCAACAGCAAGAAAACAAATAATCTGATTTTAAAATAGGCAAACGATCTGAATAAATATTTCTGAAAAGGAGACATACAAATGGCCAACAAGTATATGAAAAAATGTTCAAGATCAATAATCATCAGGAAAGTGCAAATCAAAACCACAGTGAGATATTATCTCACCCCAGTTAGAATAGTTATTATAAAAAAGACAAAAAAAATCACAAACGCTGTCAAAGAAGTGGAGAAAAGGGAATGCTTACACACTGAGAGTGGAAATATAACTTAATACAGCTATTATGGAAAACAGTATGGAGGCTCCTCAAAAAACTGAAACTAGAACTACCGTATGATCCAGCAATCCAACTACTGGGTATATACCCAAAAGAAAAGAAATGAGTATATCAAGAGATGTCTGCACTCCCATGTTTACTGCAGCACTAGTGACAATAGCTAACATATGCAATCAATCTAAGTGTCTATCAACGGATGAATGGATAAAGAAAATGTGATACACACACACACACACACAAACAGAATACTACTCAGGCATTAAAAAAAATGAAAACCGGTCATTCACAGCAACTTGGATGAGCCTGGAGGACATTATGTTAAGTGAAATAAGTCTGGCACAGAAAAACAAATACTGCATGTTCTCATTCACATCTGACAGCTAAAGAAGTTGAACTCATAGAATTAGAGAGTAGAACTGTGGTTATTAAAGGCTGAGATGGGTAGGGGGAGGAGAGGATAGGGAGAGATTGGTTAATGGATACAACATCACAACCAGATAGGAGAATAAGTTCTAGCATGCTATAGCACTGTAGGGTGACTATAGTTAACAACAACTTATTGTATGTCTTCAAATAGCTAGAAGAGAGGGTCTTGAATGTTCCCAACACAAAGAAATGATAAATGTTCGAGGTGATAAATATGCTAATTACCAGATTTGATCACTACATATTGTATACATTTATCAAAATATCACTCTATACCCCATAAATATATACAATCATGTGTCAATTAAAAATAAAATAATTTTTTAAGGCTCAGAGAAGTTACATTGTTTATATAAACAGCATTATCACAATATATAGCATGCAATTGCTTTAAACTAATAGGTGCTTAAAATTCTGTCTCATACAAAAAATGCAGAAATTAACTTTTCCCATCTAACAAGAAAAGGAATAAAATTATTTAATTTAAATGTAAAATTATTTGCATTTATTCAACACTACAAAGACATATTAAAAAACCAGCAGTCTACTGTTATTTTTCATTTAAAAACATGGGAAACATGTCTTTTAAAAGGGATTATTAAGAAAGTGATCCCTCCTTTATTAAATAAAAGCATTTGTTTTTCATAACAACGTATTTCATAACAATATAATAAAAAATATACACATATACACAAATATGTGATACATACCTACTGTGTGTCCAAAGAGGCTTCTCACTCCAATCACTAACCCCTCTGCAAATTCTTCAGGGCCTTGAACAGCACCCTGGCAAAAAAAAATAAAAAATAATCTTATTATTTAAAATTTAAGTTTCAGACTTTTACTTTAATAGTTCAGGGTTTGCAAGAAGAATCCAAATCTGTAAAAATCCATAAACATTGTGATGAATCAATTTTCACTTCTACCCCAAATATGGATAGAATATCTATTGTGTTTGAAGACACTTTCAACCTACATGATCTTAGCAAATTCTTTAAGTCAAAAATTGGATAGGTATAAATCACTGGCTTCAATTACAATTTGAAGTTGGCCTCCCAGAACTAAGTTTCATCAAATTGCTAAAACAAGATGCAGTGATAACAAGAGTAAGAGCCCACAGATTTTTTTACTGTCTTATTCTCTCATTTATTTTCTCTGCTTTATTCTCCGAAAACCCTCATACACTGGGCTGGCTGCTAGACCCTTTAAATGGAGGGGAATAGGTTAGATGACAGCTTGAATATGAAACAAACTTTGCTTTCAGTGCCCTATTAGTCCCTTCCACAATGGTGGAACAGTCTTGAAAGTCTTAATCTACCCAGCACTCTAAATATTCTTACAACTACATTAAATCCTGGCAAATGTGGGCAGCGCTCATTAAATTCTAAACAATCATCCAATGTTATCTCATGTACCTTTAAATAAAAATATAAAATTGATATACTTTTGTGATTTGAACATTATTCAATTCCAAGATACAATTACAATGCAAATTACTATTTGTTATTAAAAAATAGACCATCCATTTTTCTGTACCTATCCTTAGAACAAATAAGAGGTCAATACCTGGAAGGGTTCATAGAATAAAGCTTCAACTCCTTCAGACAGACCTCTAATTAATCCAAATGGGTTTCCAAGTACATCTAACCCCAATACAAGGACATACATCTGTTTCAAGAACTAAAAAAGAAAAAAAATTAAATTAAGTCCTTCACAACTATTGTAAGAAACATCATAATGAAATAGAAAAAAAGAGATTTACTGATAAAATTAAGTTTGTGTTAAAAGAAAGCTGTATGGAATAATCACCACTACCTCCACTAATGGATCTTTTACTGTGTGCCAGGCACTATGCTAATTTAAACAGCTTTTAAATTAGACAGAACTAGGTTTGACGCACAGGCTGCCACGTAGCAGTTATGTGACCCTGTGCAAGTCATTTAGTATCTAACAGCCTGTCTTCTAATCTATAAAATGGAAGGTCAGGCTGGGTGTGGTGGCTCATGCCTGTAATCCCAACAGTTTAGGAGACTGAGATGAGAGGATCACTTGAGGCCAGGAGTTAATGACCAGTCTGGGCAACATAGTGAGACTCCGTCTCTATAAAAACTCAAAATTTTTTAAAAAGGGAAGTTACACTGTCCTTGCATGGGTGAGTATGCATATTAAATGAATACATAATTCAGTAATTGTTAGTTTTTTTTAGTATTACTTTACCATCATTATTAATAAATTAGATGGAAAATAATAACCAAAACAAAAAAAAGGGAAAACATATCCTCATTTTAACATGTAACAATCATAATGTCTGTATATGTAATAGGAGAAAGAATATTCCAGCAGTGGAAGGAAAGGAGATGTCACCATGCAGTTCCATGGTATAGCAATTGTACCAAAGTGACCTGCAACAACTACTGTTTCTATGCATACATACTTGAACCACAGAGTAACTGAGGCACAGGGAGGAAACCGGCTTAGAATTCTGCTTGCAGTTCACTAGATTATATTCAGAAACTATAATCACTGAAGAAATCAAGTATAATGACTATAAAGTCACTATTCTTTCCCAAAGTGGTAAAAGTATAATTGCAAAGTCAAAAAAGGAACTGGAGGAAAATTTTCAAAAGGTGTATAAAGAGGGGTTGAACTAAAGAAACAGAAATTAATCATTGAAGAAAGCCACTAAATACGGAGATTTCAAAGTGAGATAAATTAGATAAACATTACTGCACACTATACAGTCACATGCAAATGTTTTGATATTTTATGAAGTATATTCCTTATGAAATACTATGATAGGAAATTACCTGTTCACTGTAATGCCTAACAACACTCCATATAAGCTGATCTCTCTTGTAGAACTGATATCGAATTTCATAATAAGCAAGTCTGGGAGGAGAAAAAGGAAAGATTCAAAGATACTAATATTATATGATAAAAAAAGAGACTTAAAATTTGAATGACAGCTAATGCTAATCATAGCCAATTCTTTCACAATTGACTTCGTACATTTACCACATACAATTTATGATTGTCTTAATAATGGTTACTAAATTATTATAAAAACAGTGCACAAGTTTTTCATATATGCATAAAGAGTTCTTTAAAAGTCAACCATCATCCCATCACATAGTGGATTTTAAAGGTTTATTTTCGTATTTCGCACTTAGAATTCTTTCTTTTATATGCAATGATAAAATGTTTAAAACATTTTGTATGCCCTGTTTACACTCAACACTGTGGAAAAGTATTTCTCTATGTTATTTAAAACTTGACATAACCATTTTTAACGGATGCATAGCATGCTACCATGTGGCAGTGTCGTAACAAACAATTCTTCCACTGTCAGACATTTCCAATTTTTGCTAAAATAATTAATGATGCCATGCGTATGTTGAATATAACTCTTTGGTTGAACTTCAAGGTTAGATTACTTTTTGGAAAGAATTTCCAAAAAGAGAACTACTGAGTGAAAAGCAACAAAACATTGAAGGCTCCTAACAAATGCAGTTTTCCACTTATACCAACAGTATTTAAAAAGTACCTATTTCTTAGAACCACCCCTGACTAGTATTAAATAGGATTTTAAAATAGAATCGCTCATATTTTAAAATCTTTGATAATTTGCTTTAATTTGCATGTATTCTTTGATAAATAATAACGCCATCACTGTGTTTTCCCTTTTGCGAATTATCTCCTATTGTTCTCTGGCCATTATACCGTTAGAATCTAGGTTTTTCTTCTCAATGTTTAATATTAAGATAACAGTCCTTTCTCTGTCATTATATTTTCCCAGGCTTTTGTTTTTTAATTATTTTCATTGATTTTGTTGTAAAGTATTTGATTTTTATGTGGTTAAATGTATCTTTTATTTTCCATTGAAATGTTTTCCACTGCTTTTAAACTTAGAAAGACCTCCTCTATTCAGAGATTGGACTTTTTTTGTCTTTTCAGTTTAGGTTTTATATTTTATCATTCGTTTCCTCTGAAATTTAGTAGTGTACATGTAAGGTAAAAATGATCTACAGGGAATTTTTTTTCACCCAGATAACTACTTGTTCCAATACCATTGTTGAATTTCAATTCAATAACAATTTATTTAATGCATATGTATCTAGCATTACATATCTCTAAATATAATTATGTTTTAAAATATGGTTAATTTATAATATATGACTAAAAAATTCAATTATTATTCTACATCCATGTATTATCTAGATATGAGTAATCAAAAAAAACAAAAAACAAGACTCTACACCTTATCATTATGAATACAATAAGCATTCCTAAAGAGTATAATCACAAATGAACCAAATTCTCCAAATATAAGTAGTAAAGTTATCCTTTTCCTAAGCTAACATTGCACAAGTGGAGAGAATTAATGTCTAGAAACATGACCTTGGTACACCTGCTTCTCAATGTACTCTAACAGAAGTCTTACTTGAATATAAGGTCATCCACATCAGTCAGAGTAGCACCTATGCTTTTCAACAGCAAGTTGACAGAATGAACTGCAAACATTTCCTGTTTTTCTTTGTCTGATTCTTCACCTCCGGAACCCAAAGACAAACTCAAATGCAACTAAAAGAAAAATAATGTTCAATAAATGAAAGCTAAAAGTGAAAAATTTACATATTTAGGATCCAGGTAGTCCAGAAACAAACCAAAAAAAGTCTTTCGATTAGAGTCCTAGTGAAAGCTATTATTTGATACCACACATTATAGCAGAACAACCCACTTACATTTGATTCTCTTTGCTTTTTGATAGAATACAAATTAGTCTGATCCAAAAACAGAGTTCTAATTTTATGCAATGTATATAAATGCCATTGCATTCATATGAGGGAAACCGACACACTTTACAAAAATGGCGTAATCATTTTAAGAAGAAAAACATGTAAACTGGCACACAAGTAATCTGCCAGTCAAAATACAGATAATAACAATAACATGACAATTAAGGTAAGTTAGCAAGCTGTCAAGTTTTTAAAAGTATAATAAGGCTTTCAGCTTCCACAGATCCTCCAACTTAGTATTTAAACATGAGATTTCAGATTCTCATTTAGCTGCTACTTTGAACTGAACCATCATTAGTGCAATAGTGCAAGAAGACATAGGCAAAAAGTAATTCAATATGTGTAAATAAAGTAGATGAATTTCCTTTCTCATTTTGTCATTTCCTAGGCATATTAACTAACCAATATAGAGTTCAAGTAAAGTGGACTTGGGGCAACGCCAGGAAAGCCTGTGGTTAGTTTTTTCTTTCATGTGACCCTCTGCCCAAATGACGAGTCTGGGAGTGCTGGGATCCAGGAAAGGTAACCACAGGTAAACATTAATCCAGCCCTTCCCTAGGGCAATGTTACTTATGGGCTATGAAAATAATTGTTGTTCATAATCTTTGCCATTAGACTTCATGGCACAATTCCCACTGTGCCTAAGAACACGAATAGGTAAATTATCAATCATTAATATCCCCCTAGAATATAATATCCATGAAGCTGTTTTATACCTCCACAGCAACTTTCATAATAAGCATTCAGTAAATACTTGTTTAAGGTATTGTTCAATCCCACAAATAACTGATTTTCACTTAAAAGTGAAAAAGAAATGGTATATTACCTATCACATAAAACAATATCAATTTTAAACCTGACACTATCAGTATGTCTGATATCACCAAACTAATAGATCAATTTAAAATAATAATTCCATTTTAGAAATCCATTCATTTAGCTGAAGGACTGGTAAATGCAATTGAAAGTAATGTGCTGTAAACAGTTTTTGAGAATGTAAAGGATCATCAATATTTTAAAGAGTTACTTAATTATAAATCTGGCCCATTACACAAGTTTAGAGCATTATGGTTGATAGCATTTGTGAATTTAAGAATTTACTAAGCAGTCACCTTCTCCTATAAAAGCTAAAAAGAACAACAAAAGGGAAAAAAGAAATGGGTTCATAAAGTACAACATCAGGCAAGTGAAAGGTATCCAATTTTCCACTCCCTTAGTTACAAGCAAATTTTGGAAGGGGGGAAAAACACCACATCAACAGTATAGTACCTACTTCAGCGTTTTCACATTCTGGTTACAGCACCCATTATAGCTCTCTGTTTAGACAGTGATAGTAGTTACAAAGTGCAACCAAAACATTAAACGTTGGCAAGCACTTCTACGCTTAATTAAGAAACGCTTTTGTCAGCTTCTTCTTTGAATAAGGGGGTTATTAATTCAAAACTGGAGAACATGCTCTGGTGGTTTCTCTGTGGGAATTGTGGCTGCACATATGCTACAGAGAACTGTCTTAATTATTTCGATTAATCAAACAAAATTCCCACCAAATACATGATGCAACAAATTAAAACCTACCTTGGTCCACAGACCCTTTAAAAAGTTCTACAATAATTTCACTAAATTTTCAAAATAATAATTACAACAAACCTTCACAGGAGAAATATGGAAATGTTCAAAGAAACTAAGAATTGACATATCAGTCATTGAAGTCTCCATTAATTCTGCATTTAGAGCATCAATATCTTGTTGGATTAACTTTGTCTGAAAAAAATAAAATCAAGAATTTCTATTTTAATTTTTTTCTCTATTAGAATTCGTTCAAAAGAGGCTGATTTAAATTTTGTTAATTTTATATTTTCCCCAAGAAATAAAAATTTTTACCCGTCTTCTTTCAGCTTCAGGGTCTGTTGTTGGGGTAAACAGTGCAATAATAGCTCCTAGAAACCCTTGATCAATTTTTAAGGCCATTTCCTGAATGAGGACCATAAAATACCTAAGAAAAAAAATTTAAAATGGAAAAGGATTTCTACCAAATCTTTTAATTTTCAATGTTAAAACTTTGATTTCAGTGAAAAGCCACAGTTATATCTTGTTCCTTCATCTCCTAAAAATTATGTTAATAAGATCAAAGTCTTCTTAGATTGAGACTTTTTCACTGGAGTGAAAGCTTCACTCAAGGTAATACTGCTGCATTAACACTTAGCAATTACAGTCCCAAATGCCACATTCGTCATGTCACAGATGAAACAAATACAACCAGATCATGTAGCATGTATGATCCAATTTTTAAAGTTCACAGCAATTACATTAAAGAACACAGCTCACAAATACATATCATTTAGATTTCACTTACTATTTTATATTCTAATTGAAGTTATAAAGGGAAGAAGATGGTTGAAGAAATTCTACACTTTAAAATATGTAGAGACTACTACTAAAATAAGTTGAAGCATAAAAGATTACTTGACCAAAAGTGAATTAATAGGTTCAGCTGGAAAATACTTTTTACATGAAAGTCACTTTCAAAAAGAGTAAGATTTATTTTCAAAGTAGATTCTCATTTTAAATTCTTTTAGAGAAACAGCAGGAATCTTCACTTACTTGAACTGTAAGACTTTACTGTACTCATTAAATCTTGTGATGACACTCACATCAATGAAAGGCTTGGGCTCTAAGAGGAAGAAGTAACACATAAAAAAAAATAATGCTTTATACTAGGTTAAACTAATGCCTATTTAACTTTTATAAATAAGGTATATCTATGTCACAACTTATTTTATTTTACCTGAATCTAAAGCAATAGATTTTGGAGGGGCAACAGGATGAAATACAACAGGGAACATTGCACCTGGTAACTGATTATCAACCTGAAAGAAAAGAAAACGAACTTATCAAGATTTCAAATAATTTAAACTTTTAGTTTCAAAGATAATGTTATAGAAGAGGCCACCACTTTCATCATAATTAAGTGTCTGCGTGTATATGCGGTGTAATTAGAAGTTTCATTTTAAATCTGTAAAAGTTACATACCTCAGCAAGGGCAAGGCTTTCAATAAAGGACTATATAAATACTCTCATAATTGTATTAACAGTGTGCAGTATGTACATCATTAATGAAAATACTTGTATCTATGGATCCTGTGAGATTTCAATTCTCTATGGTTTAAATAAAAGTTGAAACTG
Source organism: Homo sapiens (assembly GCF_000001405.40). Taxonomy (NCBI): domain Eukaryota; kingdom Metazoa; phylum Chordata; class Mammalia; order Primates; family Hominidae; genus Homo; species Homo sapiens. Next base: position 61,882,145 of record NC_000015.10, read on the forward strand.
AATATGAAATTAGGGGATAAGAGAAAAAGAAGAAGAATTAAAGTAGCCTAAACAGTACTTAACAGCTAAAAGGAAGGAAGGGAGGGATGCTGGGAGAGAGCAAGCAAGCATCCAAAAGGAACCTCCAGCAAAGCTCTGCTCTCTGTCCTGAATGACGACAAAGGAAAATCTTATTTGGGGGTCCCATGACAAATTCAAAGGAACATTTAAGAATAACAATCTCAGTGCAAGAAAACCCTTTTGCAGGCTAATCGATCAAAATTAGTCTTAACAGTCACGAAGTTTATAAGTAAGATGTTAAATAAACAGGATATGTGGAAAAAGGGGAAAAAACATACAAACAAAGAAAAGATACCAATTACAATGTAAACTATATAGTTGTAAAAAAGAAATTTCATTCCCAAGATTCCCAAAGTGATGATAAATACTTATTTGAGAATGACAATGTTACCTGAAGCCAGTACAACCTGGCCCTTAAACTTCTCTGGTGAGAAGACTGCTTAAATTCAATCTGAATTCCTGATAAAAAGTCTCGTTTAATAGGGCTACGAATAGGGAGGCGCATTTCCATTGGATCTTTATCAAAATTGACCTAGAAAAAAAGCACATGTTTTTGTGATGAGCTGATATTAGCACAGTAGCTATTCCATTTTTAATATCTGTTTATTGATCAAATTGAAAAAATCTTTATCTTTATGTCTCACCAACAGATCTATCTTAAGGTGATCTACAGTTGAGATCTCTGAAGCAAAAGCACCACTTTTCTACCAGTTATTAGAAAAAAAAGATCGTGAAACTTTTCAAGTATAGAAACTATAGTTTTAAAAACATGCTTTATGTAAAAGAAAACTTCCTCAAGTAACGAATAGTTCCAGATAATTCTTTCTTTCCTTTTCTTTTTTTTTTGAAACGGCATCTTGCTGTCACAAGTGCAGTGGCAAAATCACAGCTCACTGCAGCCTCAACCTCCTGGCCTCAAGTGATACTCCTGCCTCAGCCTCCCAAGCAGCTGAGACTACAGATGTGACACCATGCCCAGCTAATTTTAATTTTATTATCTTTTTTTTTTTTTTGTAGAGACAAGGTCTCACTATGTTGTCCAGGCAAGTCTCAAACTCCTGACCTCAAGTGATCCTCCTGCCTCAGCCTCCTAAAGTACTGGGATTACAGGTGTGAGCCACTGCACCTGGCCCAAAGATAATTCTAAACAAACTCTGTTTTGCAATCAATAATTGAGAGCTTAGTCACGTCTGACATGAATTATATAGTTTTTTATCATTTAAGTATGGCCAAAATTGGTGGGGGTGCTGGGGAATGTAACTGGTGACAGTGCTAACCAAACCATCAGGCAACAATGACAAAGAGTAACTAAACTGCATGATTAAACTAGAGCAAGCTGGAAATTGCAGTCAAGCTTCTGTAGACTTCCTGGAGCACAGGTGACTTTTAGTCTTAACTGTGTAAGGGCCTAGGTGGAGTGCATCTTTATTTGTGGATGCCTACTCAGGTCCAACAATCACTCACATTTAATGAATTTACTTGAGCAGCTTTTTGTAGGTTTTTCCTCAATGAAATATGTAATTTTACACGGTCTTTATTTAGCAATATATATTGGTGTCATTCAAAATATAACAAAAATTTCAATGAGGCATTCTTAACTTCTCCCTAATCTTTCTGGAAACAAGTTCCATAAGACTATCTGATTTGTAAATAAAATTATAAAAATATAAAAATGTAATAAAATTATTAAAACACAGGTTTAAATCCTGTTTCACAGTATATTATTAAATAACAATATATTTTAATTAAAAATATACTAACGTGTATCATTAGACACGCCAATCCTATTAAGAAATAAAAGTTTATCTACCAATAAATAAGTTCATTTCTGCACATGTCTTTACTTGGGCATTACAATTTTACTTACTACCACCACCAAGAAAATACACATATAAAAATCAAAACAAAAGAATTTTGGTATACCTCAAAATTATTATCTAGCTTAATCCAGCCATGGTCTCTTGATATTTGATGTTTCTGATAGGATTGTTCCAATAAGATTATCTGCTTTTGACTAAATGGCTTCCATTTCTGCTTTGGTTTCACCTCCCAAACAACACCAGAACTAAATAATTCACACAAAAAAATTAAATTAGCAATATGTATTTAGGTCTGTGGAACTTTATTCAACTCCAGATTATTGTAACTATTATTTTCCTATGAAAATTACATTGGTATAAGGGACTTCTTAAAATAACGAACTATACCTGTGTTGCAAGAGTACAAAAAGAAAAGAGGCAGGCAAGAAAATACTTTTTCTATCAACGTTGACATCAACCAACTAAGGGACTGGCAAACTTTTTCTGCAGAGGGTCATATATTAAATAGTAAATATTTTAGGCTTTCTGGACTGAGACAAAATTCAAGTTATTAGATAGGCAACTTAGATACCAAAGAGAGAAAAAACTCCCATAAATTTTAATTGATGAAATTTAGAATATAAAATAATTAAGAGCAATTCTTAAAAACAAGTCTATTAATGAAAAAAAAAACTTCTTTTGTGAAAGTAACATGTCACTTAGTGTTATTTATTACCAAAATCTATTGTAAATGTTCATCTATTAATGGTAATCTGTAATGAGCATCTTTAAAAATGCCATTTCATACAGATAGGTGCTGCCAAATACTGATATTGGTCAATGAGAATTTATTATTTTACTTGAGCATATATATCACTTGGAAGGCATTCATAAAATTCTATTAAATTCTTCTCTTGATATTTGCCTTTTAGTATATTAATACATTACAGGTCAATCACTTCCAATTCAAAGTTAGGTAGAAGCTCCTCAATTGCACAAATGAATTTTGAAATGTGGAAATTTCCTTACACCTGCACTGAGGTCAGAAAAAATGTTGCTGGAACTGGAGTTGCAGGCCTTAAAATATATCCTCTCCAAATACATGTGGAAGTGGAGATTTTGCTTCATGTTTTAACCTTGGACAGCACAGGAAGTACATGGAACATCTTGATACTACCTGAGATTCAAACATTAGCTGTCTTCAAAATTGACTATACTGTAGTATAAATTTTTCACATAAGCACTGTTTGTCTTCTAATTTTAGCTTGAAATTCATTAAAAAACATCATCAATTCTGCAATTATGCAACAAAAACTAATTTCCAAAGCCACTATTATTGCATTATCAATTCTGCAACAAAAATTAATTTCCAAAGCCACTATTATTGGTGTTTAGTCATAGTGGTTGAGGGTGGTTCTTTTTGTTCAAAAAAATTTTAATCCTGGCCCAGAACTCAAAGAGTACAATAAAAAGTTACTGCTGCTAACCCATCAAACTGCTGTGTGGTAACACAAGTAAGAACATTCAGCTTCTACTTCTCGTGAAAATTCACAGAACTGATGATAGTTAAGTCCACATGAATTAATGAAGTTAACTATTTGACACTAATGGTTTGGTAACAAAAGGTGGACTGAAATATTTTCCACTAAGTACCTGCTCACAAATAATACAATAGGCTTTAAATGCTTTACATTTTCACTAGCTTTATGAATTTGTCCAACTAAGTCTTTTTCTGTTCCACACATATTTTTCCCATAATCAGTTGTATCTATCTTCAGGTTGTACTGAATTAGTATTTCTTTCGCTGGTTTGAAAATATTCTCACCTGTAGTTGTCCTAGGCAAACTATTTATACAGGTTAATCCTTTAGTCACTTCAGACTCCGTGCTGACTTCTCAAATATATAACTGAGCAGTATTGGTAACATCTGTTGACTCATCAAGAGCCAAAGGAAACCACTCAATATCATTTGCCTTGTTTTTGTAATTGACTATTGAGGTTGTTCTGAATGTCTTCAATTCTTTAAGCAACTGTTCCTACTGAAAGGCTAATGGCCTTAAACGAGTTCATTTTCTCTGGATACATTTCTTTAGCTGCTGCAATCAGACACAATTCAATTAACTCACTATTGGTAAAAGACTTTCCTGGCTTAGCTAACAAGTAAGTCACTCAGAAACTTACTTTGCTTACAGCCTCATTATTGTTTTTTGTATTTGTTAAGATATTCCGTGTGATGACATATTTTGCCTTAAATTTTCTAATTTTTCTGGCCATTGCTTTCCTGTGATTTGAAAATGTTACGGTAAGTGCTTAGTTTGGAAACTATACTGTCAACATATATTGCATTACTTCAGCAGAGCTGTAGTTCCATAACATAATAAAATGATGCTTTTTTTAATAAGAAGATCATACACATTTCATTATGCCCTAAAAGATGAACATTCAAAGTTCACTTTTCTCTTGTTTTGATATGACGGATATATATCAGTAAAATAAAAAATGCTGCAGAACAATATGCACTAACTCAAACATGCTGTGATTTGTAGTGCACTGAGTAGCAATGTCAAAGAAGCCATGTAAAAGAACAGAAATCACTGTGTCCCAACAAAACATTATTTATGGGAAACAAACTGAATTTCATACAGTTTGTACAAAAACAGGCATTGGGTTAGATTTGGCTCATAGGCCAAACTTTGCTGGCACCTGAATTAGAGAATACTAAAATCTATAATATTTTATTTCACATAGCTTGTTTCTATTAGTCAATGATAGTGTTAACAATGTCCTAACTATAAAATGTATTTAGAGGATACCAGTCAATGAAGGCACTGAATAAAATATCTACTACAGACAATATAAATCCAACATTATTTATGATAAAAACTCTGAGACAACTTAAAGGAGAACTTCCTCAACTTGATAAAGAGCACCTACAAAAAACTTACAGCTAACATCATAGTGAGAAACCAGATGCTTTCCCACCAGGATTAGGAACAAGGCAAGTATTTCCACTCTCAACCATTCCCACCTCAACATAGTACTGGAAGTCCAAGATGTGATAAGACAAGAAAATAAAGCTGGGAGTGAAGAAATAAAGTGTCAATGTTCACATTTGACATGACTGTCTAAACAGAAAATCCCAAAGAATCAACCAAAAAATCCTTGTAACTAATAAGCAATTATAACAAGATTGCAAAAATATAAGGTTAATATACAAGTCAACTGCTTTCTTACATGCCAGCAATAAACAATTGAAATTTAAAATAAAAACAGAATACCATTTACATTAGCACCAAAGAAACAAACACTTAGGTATAAATAAAATCGAATACAATGTGTATGTGATCTAAGTGAGGAAACTACCAAAGTCTTTCAACAAATTATGTTGGAACACCTGGACATCCATATGCAATAAAGCAAATCTAGACACAGAGCTTCCATCTTTCACAAAAAATAAACTGGATTAGACTTAAATATAAGTTTGAGATCAGCCTAGACAACATGGTGAATTCCCATCTCCACAAAGAAATAAAAAATATCAGCCTGGCATGGTGGCACGTGCCTGTAGTCCCAGATACTCAGGAGGCTGAGGTGGGAGGATTGCTTGAGCATAGTTGGCAGAGGTTGCAGTGAGCGGTGATTACACCACTGCACTCCAGCCTGGGCAACAGAGTGACACTCTGTCTCAAAAATAAATACATACATACATATATAAAAATAAATAAATATAAAACACAAAATTACAAAACTCCTAGAAGATAATAGGAGGAAATAAAGCTAACTTTCGGTATAGTGGAGACTTCTTATATACAACACCAAAAGTACAATCCATGAAGGAAGAGAATTGATAAGTCTGAGGTAAAATATAAAACTTCTGCTGTTAAAAGCAGTTGAGAGAATAAAAAGATAAGCCACAGACTGGGAAAAAGTATTTGCAAAACACACATCTGATAAAAGACTGGTATCCAAAATAAACAAAGAACTCTTAAAACTCAACGTTAAGAAAATAACCTAATTTTAAAATGGACAAAAGATTTGAACAGGTGGCTCAGGAAAGAAGACATACAGATGGCAAATAAGCATATGAACAGATCCTCAACATCATGTATCATCAGAAAACCGCAAAGTAAAACAATGACACACTACTATATCCTTATTAAAATAGCTAAAATCCAAAACACCGACAATACCAAATTTTGGCAAGGATGTGGAGCAACAGGAACTCCCATTTATTGCTAGTGGGAATGCAAAAATGATGCAACCACTTTGTAAGATAATTTGATGTTTCTTACAAAACTAAACATACTTTTATCATATGATCCAGCAATCATATTCCTTGGCACTTACCCCAAAGCAGAGGAAACATATGTCTACACAAAAACTTGCACACGAATGTTTATAACAGCTTTATTTGTCATTGCGAAAATGTGGAAGCAACCAAGATCTCCTTCAATAGTTGAATGGATAAACAAACTGGAGTAATAGTCCATTCATACAATGGACTATTATTCAATAATACAAAGAAATGAGCTGTCAAGCCATGAAAAGAAACAAAGGAACCTTAAAAGCATATTGCTAAGTGAAAGAAGTTAATTTGAATAGGTTACATACTGCTTGATTCCAACTATATGAAATTCTGAAAAAAGAAAAACTTTGGAGACAATAAAAAGAACAGCGGTTTCCAAAGGTTTAGAAGAGGAATGGAGGGATTAACAGGAGGAAGCTGAGAGACTTTTAGGGCAGTGAAACTATCTTATATAATACTGTAATGGTGAATACAGGTTATTACACATTTGTCAGAACTCATAGAATGTACAACACAAAGAATAATACTTAATGTTAGATATAGAAGTTAGATAATAATGGAGTTAGACAATAATGTAGTATCAATATTAGCTCATCAATAGTAACAAATGTACCACACTACTGCAAGATGTTAGTAATAGGGGAAACAAGAGTGCGGGTACGTGAAAACTCTTTATTTTACAGTTTTTCTCTAGACATAAGGCTGCTCAAAAAAAGTGATTTTTAAAATTATGTAACTGGTGTTTTTCCTTTGAAAATCTAGATTTCACTGAATGTGTACCATGTCATAAAAAAGGTAATGAAGTTATTTTAGATAAATTTTTTAATGTTCTTATAAATAAAGGTAAACCTGACAAACCAGGACAGCATATACAATATTAAAGTAAAAAGTTTTATAGAAGAACAAAAGGGAAAACTGGACCTATATAACTAAAAATGATTTCCATGTTTAGTTTAAAAATATCATATAATACTCAAATATATAACAAAGAATGCATTGTCTATCTACATATAAATATATTAACATTATATTAATGGTATGTATGATACCATTTATAACCATTAGTTTCTCAGGTGTTGTGCAAAGTTCATTACATAGACTATCTATTTACTTTTCTCCTTAATTTGCTTTTCTTTCCCCAAACGTGTGCTTCTTGATAGATCCTATCCTGGTTATATTTTGTATCATGTCAACCATTCCACCCATCAGCCTCTAAAAAAGAATAAGTCTTTTACCAAATTAAGTGTGATTTTTAAAATCAACTACATACTCTAATATTTTTCTTATACAGGTATAAATAGAACTGGAGAAAATAACTGGTCCCATAACTATTAGAAAATTCTAAATGGCCACCCATTAAAGATTATGTACTCATATCAAATACAGCCTCCTCTCTGAACCTTTTTTCCAATTTGTTTCTGTTGGTTTCCCCCTAACTCATGACAGTTTCTCTAACCTCTACTGCACAAAACAAACTAGTCACTTGTACCTCTGTACTTCCACTGTGCATGTACATCCTTCTTTGTACATCCTTTCCTTTTCTCAGTATTTTTGTAACTCATTAAACACACACACACACACACGCACACATTAAGGACAACAAGGAAAGAAACAAACCACTTTTTCCCCCACCAACTGACAATGAGTATTGTGAAGACAAAGACAATATCTTAGTCATCTTTCTATCCTCGGGGCTTTTCAACTAACAGTTCAAAGAATTATTCAGTAAGCTTTACTGAATAAATATACAGCATACCAAAGTCAAACCAGGTATCTTTTTACTTTCTTCAAATCGGCTATTATGAACTTAATGCCTTTTAAAGGTTTAGGATGTCTTATTTTCCTTCTTGCATACCTGGTTATCCCAATATAGGAAACTTCCTGCTTGCTTTCATTGTTAACCAGTGAAAGCCCAAGACTGTGGAGAGACAAGGTTATTTCATAATCAGCCTGTTCCATTTCTTCTGCCTGCAGTGCTTTGGAAACCAAGGCAACATCATCGGTGAAAAGCAAAACTCTCTGGCGCCCATCCAGAAATGATACCCAGTGTATCTGGATGTTTGCATCATATGGAAACTGTCCACATCCATCCTGGGAAGAAGAAAGACTTCATTAAACCCACACATAGTAACTTGTTATTATATAAAATTGAACTATAATAACAGAAAGATTAGAAAAGTTTAAGAAGCACTACTATAAATTGAAAAATTCTAACCATCAAAATGACATAAATTAAGCTATAATCTATTTTAAAATATACTCACCAATTATTTTCAAAAACGAAGACTAATAGTACGTAGTTTTTTAATACCTAAGTCTGAATTACCTACTGAGTGCTGAAGGGCACAGAGCAGGATTCAAGAGGATCCTTTGGTGGCACCAATGCAATAAGATGATTCTTTGTCTCCAAGCCGGAAAACAGAATGGTTCGGAAGTTTATTAGAGATGTAACCTTAGCCCAGAGTGGTGGCTCACGCCTATAATCCCAGCACTTTTGGAGGCTGAAGCGGGCAAATCATCTGAGGTCAGGAGTTCGAGACCAGCCTGGCCAACATGGTGAAACCCCGTCTCCACTAAAAATACAAAAATTAGCCAGGCATGGTGGCGGGCACCTGTAATCCCAGCTACTCAGGAGGCTGAGGCACGAGAATTGCTTGAACCCAGGAGACAGAGGTTACAGTGAGCTGAGATAGCGTCATCGCACTCCAGCCTAGGCAACAAGAGCAACACTCCATCTCAAAAAAGAAAGAAAGAAATGTAACCTCAGACAAAACCAGCCTAGCTTATTTTTATATTTTCATGATCTATAACATAGGAAATATTTATGTAAATCACACTGGTGAAGGTTATATGTAGCACTTAAAAATATGAGGCTTGATTTGGTCAGTGTTTTCAGAGGTTAAAATAATAAATTCCACTTTGTTCTGGGTTTAATGAAAATAGAACAGTTCATTTCAATAAGCAGTACGAGTACCTACTATGTACTTTCCATTCCATGCTTTCCAGGGGAGAAAAAAAAACAAAAACAACTGAAGTTACCAAGAGTATAAGAATAGTTGAGTGTCACTAATGTTCAAAATTTACTAATACTTTCAAGGTACATTATGTGATCAAAGATGCCTGCCCAATTTTTTTACTCTAATAAGAAATCAAATTTTCAAACATACCTATTAAGAAGGTGAATTCTGTATCTGTAAACTACAAAATGTGCTATGTATCTTAGTTCACAGTTATTATTCCAATATTATCTGACTCTTGTTTTTCATCTATTTCATGTGAAGTACAATAAAATATCCCCAGGTAATTGTGTTTCAGTTAATTTCTAGCATTTTAAGTTTTATATGTTGATGCAATACTATTCATTGCATGAAGGTTTATGGCTATCACTCCTTCTGTGTCATATTATCATTATCTATTTAATAATTTTGCTTTGAATTGGTCAGAAATTAAAATCAACAGAGGGTGATAACGCCAAAATGGAAGAGTAGAAGCAATGTGGCTTCACTCTTTACCACAGAAAACCAAACATAAACTTCTAGTGCCAAGATTATCATCAGCAATATCCCAGAACTTGAACCTGAGGCTGACACAATTCCTGGAGCCACAGAGAAGTGAAAAGCTCCACGCAGATGGTAACAGAAATGAACTTCTCTACCCACAATGCCTCTCCCCGAATCTGCCTGGCACTGCATGCAGGAAATTCCTCTTAAGCTCACAATTTCTACACTGGATAAAGTGAGATCAAAGCAGAAAGCCAGCTTCCTCACCATCTTGGGCTCCCTTGCAGGAAAACCACTCCTGGCTCAGCCCATGGGAAGCATCACAAGTGCTTTAGGAAGAGAAAACCCCCAAGGGAGGCTACAGACAAAGAGGAGAAGCAGGATTAAAAACTCCAGCCCAAGAATTTCTGCTCTTTATTTCAGCCAAAGGAAACGCCTATTCAGAGTGGCTGTTCAGCAGCACAACACTGTGGGAGGCACAGTCCCTAAGTCTTCTGAGGAGGAACCCTGGGCAGCCTTCCTACATAGCTGGGATATCCCCTTTGAGATGCAACCCCTTCCCCACCACTGGAGACAGTACTGCCAAATGTTTCAGAGAACTGAGGCAAACCAGCAATTATACCACCATCTAGTGCTGAATAGGAGGCAGTGATCTAGGATAAAGGGGACCCAAAGGCAACTGCAAAGGACCTCTAAGCAAACATATTCTAGAAAGACCAAAACAAGCCAGAGAACAAACACTGGAATAAATAAATAATCCTTCAATGTAAAGCCATAGACGCATGTCCACAAGAAACAACAGCAAGCAGGGAACCATGGCCTCCCCAAACAGACAAAGCAAAGTGCCAGTGACAAACTCTGATAAGACAGCCACGTGTGAGTTCTCAGATCAAGAATTCAAAGGAGCAATTCTAGGAAAGTCAGCAACTTCCAAGGCAACACAGAAAAACAATTAAGAAATTTATCAGTGAAATTGAAACAGACTGAAATAATAAAATTAAACAGAAATGCTGGAATGATGAAATAAATTTGCTGAACTGAAAAATGTATTAGAGGCTCTCAACAGCAGACTGGATCAAGTAGAGGATGGAATCAGTTAGCTCTAAGACAGGCTATTGGAAAATACACAGAGGAGAAAACAGAATAAAAAAGAACAAAGAATGCCTGCAAAATATAGAGAATAACCTCAAAAGAGCAAATCTAAGAGTCACTGGTGGTCAAGAGAGAGTTGAGAAAGAGCAAGGGGTAGAAAGTTAATTAAAGAATTAACAAGAAAATACTTTCCCTATTGGAGAAAGATAGAAATACACAGGTAAAGGTCACAGATGACCAAACGGATTCAATCCAAAGAAGACTACCCTAAGGCATATAATAATCAAACTCTCAAGGGCCTATGACAAAGAGAGGACCCTAAAAGTGGCAAAAGAAAAGAAGCAGATAACATATAAAGAAGCTGCAATTTGTCTGGCAACTGACTTCTCAGGAAACCATGCCCTGCAGGAGGCAGTGGGACAACATACTCAAAGTGTTGAAGGGGAAGAAAAACCCTGCCAACCAAGAATATTGTATCCAACAAAGCTTTGTTTCAAACATGACAGAGAGATAAAGTTTTTATCAGATGAACAGAAGCTGAAGGAATTCATTACCTCTAGACACATCTTACAAAAAATGATAAAAGGAGTTACTTGATATGAAAGAAAACAATGTTAAAATGAAAAAAAAATTTGGAGGCATATAACTCACTGGTAAAACTAAGTACACAGACAAATTGAGAATAATCTAACACCATAATTGTGGTGTATAATCCACTCATATATCTAGTATGAAGACTAAAAGACAAATCTATCAAAAATAATAATAATTACAACAACCTCTTAATAGGCAATACAAAAAAGATATAAATTGAGACAACAGAATGCCAAGATGTATGGGGGATGGACTTAAAAGTGTAGCATTTTTTAGTTTTTCCTTTTTGGTTTCCTTGCTTTCCTTTCTGATCAAAGTTAAGTTGTCATTTGTTTAAAATAATGTATTGTGTCTATAAGATGTTTTTTGTAAGCCTCATAGTAACCACAAAGCAAAATCCAATAATAAATATACTAAAAATGCAAAGCAATGAACTAAAAACATACTGTCAGAGAAAAACCACTTAACCACTAAGGAAGTCAGTAAGAAAAGAAGAAAGAAAGAGGGGCATTATAAAAGAATCAGAAAGGCCAGGCACAGTGGCTCATGCCTGTAATCCTAGCACTTTGGGAGGCCGAGGTGGGCGGATTGTCTGAGGTCAAGAGTTTGAGACCAGTCTGGCCAACATGGTGAAACCCCATCTCTACTAAAAATACAAAAAAATTAGCTAGGCGTGGTGGCGTATGCCTGTAATCCCAGCTACTAGGGAGGCTGAGGCAGGGGAATTGCTTGAACCAAGGAGGTGGAGGTTGCAGTGAGACGAGATTGCACCACTGCACTCCAGCCAGGGTGACAGAGCAAGACTCCGTCTCAAAACAAAAAGCAGAAAAAAAAAAAACCCCAGAAATCCTGTAACAAAATGGCAGTAGTAAGTCCTTACTTATCAATAATAATAATGAATGTAAATAGACTAAATTCTTCAATTAATAGAAATGGAGTGGCTGGGTAAATTAAAAAATATGGCCCAACTATATGTTGTCTACCAGAAACACACTTCAACTACAAAGGCATACATAGGGTGAACGTGAAGGGATAGAAGAAGATATTCCACACAAATGGAAACCAAGAAAAAAAAAAGAGTAGGAGTAGCTATGCTTAGTTACATCAAATAAAATAGATTTCAAGGCTAAGATTACAAAAAGAGACAAAGTCACTATATAATGATAAAGAGGTCAATTCAGAAAGAGGATATAACAGTTGTAAATATATGTACCCAACACCAGAGCAGCCAAATATATAAAGAAAATAATAACAGATCTAAAGGAAGAGATAGACTGGAATACAATATTAATAGGGGACCTCAACACCCCCACTCTCAGTAATAGAGAGATCATCCAGACAGAAAATCAAGAAAGAAACACTGGAGTTAAACTACACTTTAGACCAAATGGACCTAACAAACATGTACAGAACATTTCATCCGACTGCTGCAGAATACACGTTCTTCTCATCTGCACATGGCCCATATGGTAGGCCACAAAACAAGTCTCAAAAAATTCAAAAAAGTTAAAATTATATCAAGTATCTTTTCTGTCCACAATGGAATAAAACTAGAAAGCAATAACAACAGGAATTTGTAAAGTATAAAAACACAGAAATTAAATATGTTCCTGAACAATAAGTCAATGAAGAAATTAAGAAGGAAATAAAAAATTTTCTTAAAACAAATGAAAATGGAAACACAATATATCAAAATCTACAGGATACAGCAAAAGCAGCACTAAGAGGGAATTTTACAGCAATAAATGCCTATATCAAAAAAGTAGAAAGATTTCAAATAAACAACCTAACAGTATACCTTAAGAATCTAGAAAAGCAAGAATAAACCAAAACCAAAATTAGTAGAAGGAAAAAATAATAAAGATCAGAGCAGAAATAAATAAAATTGAGACAAAAAAATACAAAAGATCAATGAAACAAAAAGTTTTTTGAAAAGATAAAATGGACAAACTTTTAGCTAGACTACAAAAAAAGAGAAGACCTCAAATCAATAAAATCAGACATGAATAAGGAGACTTATAACAGTTGATACCAAGGAAATACAAAAGGATCATTAGAGACTATTATGAACAACTATCTGCCAAAAAACTGGAAAACACAGAAGACAGAGATAAATTTCTGGACACAAACAGTCTGCTAATAACGAACCCTGGAAGAAACAGAAAACCTAATTGGAAGACATCATGTTAAGTGAAATAAGCCAGGAACAGAAAGTTAAATACTGCACATTCTCACTCATATGTGGTAGCTAAAAAACAGTTGGTCTCATAAAAGTAAAAATTAGAACAGCAGATACTAGAGGCTGGGAAGGATAGGAAGAAGGGCGGATAGGGAAAGATTTCTTAAAGGAGATACAAAATTACAGCAAGATAGGAGGAATCAGTTCTAGTGTCCTATAGCATTATAGGATGACTACAGTTAACAATATTATTATATAGTTTCATATAGCTAGAAAAAGGATATTGAATGTTCCTAACACAAAGAAATGATAAATATTTGAGATATGAATATGTTAACTACCCTGATCTAATCAGTATATATTACAGATATAGCACAATATCATAAGTACGTACAATTGTGTCAATTTTTAAACATTATTTTAAAAGAAACATAAAGCCTGAGCAGACCAGTAACAAGCAACAAGATCAAAGCAATAATAAAAAGTCTTCCCTCAAAGAAAAGCCAAGGACCTGATGGCTTCACTGCTGAATTCTACCAAACACTTAAAAAATAAACTAATAAGGGGGAGGAGCCAAGATGGCCGAATAGGAACAGCTCCGGTCTACAGCTCACAGCGTGAGCGACACAGAAGACGGGTGATTTCTGCATTTCCATCTGAGGTACCAGGTTCATCTCACTAGGGAGTGCCAGACAGTGGGCACAGGTCAGTGGGTGCACGCATGGTGCGCGAGCCGAAGCAGGGTGAGGCATTGCCTCACTCGGGAAGCGCAAGGGGTCAGGGAGTTCCCTTTCCTACTCAAAGAAAGGGGTGACGGACGGGACCTGGAAAATCGGGTCACTCCCACCTGAATACTGCGCTTTTCCGACGGGCTTAAAAAACGGCGCACCACGAGATTATATCCCGCACCTGGCTCGGAGGGTCCTACGCCCACGGAGTCTCGCTGATTGCTAGCACAGCAGTCTGAGATCAAACTGCAAGGCGGCAGCGAGGCTGGGGGAGGGGTGCCCGCCATTGCCCAGGCTTGCTTAGGTAAACAAAGCAGCTGGGAAGCTCGAACTGGGTGTAGCCCACCACAGCTCAAGGAGGCCTGCCTGCCTCTGTAGGCTCCACCTCTGGGGGCAGGGCACAGACAAACAAAAAGACAGCAGTAACCTCTGCAGACTTAAATGTCCCTGTCTGACAGCTTTGAAGAGAGCAGTGGTTCTCCCAGTATGCAGCTGGAGATCTGAGAAGGGGCAGACTGCCTCCTCAAGTGGGTGCCTGACCCCTGACCCCCGAGCAGCCTAACTGGGAGGCACCCCCCAACAGGGGCACAGTGACACCTCACACGGCAGGGTACTCCAACAGACCTGCAGCTGAGGGTCCTGTCTGTTAGAAGGAAAACTAACAAACAGAAAGGACATCCACACCAAAAACCCATCTGTACATCACCATCATCAAAGACCAAAAGTAGATAAAACCACAAAGATGGGGAAAAAACAGAACAGAAAAACTGGAAACTCTAAAGAGCGGAGCACCTCTCCTCCTCCAAAGGAATGCAGTTCCTCACCAGCAACGGAACAAAGCTGGATGGAGAATGACTTTGATGAGCTAAGAGAAGAAGGCTTCAGACGATCAAATTACTCTGAGCTACGGAAGGACATTAAAATCAAAGGCAAACAAGTTGAAAACTTTGAAAAAAATTTAGAAGAATGTATAACTAGAATAACCAATACAGAGAAGTGATTAAAGGAACTGATGGAGCTGAAAACCAAGGCTCGAGAACTACGTGAAGAATGCAGAAGCCTCAGGAGCCGATGCGATCAACTGGAAGAAAGGGTATCAGCGATGGAAGATGAAATGAATGATATGAAGCGAGAAAGGAAGTTTAGAGAAAAAAGAGTAAAAAGAAATGAGCAAAGCCTCCAAGAAATATGGGACTATGTGAAAAGACTAAATCTACGTCTGATTGGTGTACCTGAAAGTGATGGGGAGAATGGAACCAAGTTGGAAAACACTCTGCAGGATATTATCCAGGAGAACTTCCCCAATCTAGTAAGACAGGCCAACGTTCAGATACAGGAAATACAGAAAACACCACAAAGATACTCCTCGAGAAGAGCAACTCCAAGACACATAATTGTCAGATTCACCAAAGTTGCAATGAAGGAAAAAATGTTAAGGGCAGCCAGAGAGAAAGGTCGGGTTACCCACAAAGGGAAGCCCATCAGACTAACAGCGGATCGCTCGGCAGAAACCATACAAGCCAGAAGAGAGTGGGGGCCAATATTCAACATTCTTGAAGAAAAGAATTTTCAACCCAGAATTTCATATCCAGCCAAACTAAGCTTCATAAGTGAACGAGAAATAAAATACTTTACAGACAAGCAAATGCTGAGAGATTTTGTCACCACCAGACATGCCCTATAAGAGCTCCTGAAGGAAGCGCTAAACATGGAAAGGAAGAACCGGTACCAGCCGCTGCAAAATCATGCCAAAATGTAAAGACCATCGAGACTAGGAAGAAACTGCATCAACTAACGAGCAAAATCACCAGCTAACATCATAATGACAGGATCAAATTCACATATAACAATATTAACTTTAAATGTAAATGGACTAAATGTTCCAATTAAAAGACACAGACTGGCAAATTGGATAAAGAGTCAAGACCCATCAGTGTGCTGTATTCAGGAAACCCATCTCACGTGCAGAGACACACATAGGCTCAAAATAAAAGGATGGAGGAAAATCTACCAAGCAAATGGAAAACAAAAAAAGGCAGGGGTTGCAATCCTAGTCTCTGATAAAACAGACTTTAAACCAACAAAGATCAAAAGAGACAAAGAAGGCCATTACATAATGGCAAAGGGATCAATTCAACAAGAAGAGCTAACTTTCCTAAATATATATGCACCCAACACAGGAGCACCCAGATTCATAAAGCAAGTCCTGAGTGACCTACAAAGAGACTTAGACTCCCACACATTAATAATGGGAGACTTTAACACCCCACTGTCAACATTAGACAGATCAACGAGACAGAAAGTCAACAAGGATACCCAGGAATTGAACTCAGCTCTGCACCAAGCGGACCTAATAGACATCTACAGAACTCTCCACCCCAAATCAACAGAATATACATTTTTTTCAGCACCACACCACACCTATTCCAAAATTGACCACATACTTGGAAGTAAAGCTCTCCTCAGCAAATGTAAAAGAACAGAAATTATAGCAAACTATCTCTCAGACCACAGTGCAATCAAACTAGAACTCAGTATTAAGAATCTCACTCAAAACCGCTCAACTACATGGAAACTGAACAACCTGCTCCTGAATGACTACTGGGTACATAACGAAATGAAGGCAGAAATAAAGATGTTCTTTGAAACCAACGAGAACAAAGACACAACATACCAGAATCTCTGGGACGCATTCAAAGCAGTGTGTAGAGGGAAATTTATAGCACTAAATGCCCACAAGAGAAAGCAGGAAAGATCCAAAATTGACACCCTAACATCACAATTAAAAGAACTAGAAAAGCAAGAGCAAACACATTCAAAAGCTAGCAGAAGGCAAGAAATAACTAAAATCAGAGCAGAACTGAAGGAAATAGAGACACAAAAAACCCTTCAAAAAATTAATGAATCCAGGAGCTGGTTTTTTGAAAGGATCAACAAAATTGATAGACTGCTAGCAAGACTAATAAAGAAAAAAAGAGAGAAGAATCAAATAGACGCAATAAAAAATGATAAAGGGGATATCACCACCGATCCCACACAAATACAAACTACCTCTACGCAAATAAACTATACTATAAACACCTCTATGCAAATAAACTAGAAAATCTAGAAGAAATGGATAAATTCCTCGACACATACACTCTCCCAAGACTAAACCAGGAAGAAGTTGAATCTCTGAATAGACCAATAACAGGATCTGAAATTGTGGCAATAATCAATAGCTTACCAACCAAAAAGAGTCCAGGACCAGATGGATTCACAGCCGAATTCTACCAGAGGTACAAGGACGAACTGGTACCATTCCTTCTGAAACTATTCCAATCAACAGAAAAAGAGGGAATCCTCCCTAACTTATTTTATGAGACCAGCATCATTCTGATACCAAAGCTGGGCAGAGACACAACCAAAAAAGAGGATTTTAGACCAATATCCTTGATGAACATCGATGCAAAAATCCTGAATAAAATACTGGCAAAACGAATCCAGCAGCACATCAAAAAGCTTATCCACCATGATCAAGTGGGCTTCATCCCTGGGATGCAAGGCTGGTTAAATATACACAAATCAATAAATGTAATCCAGCATATAAACAGAGCCAAAGACAAAAACCACATGATTGTCTCAATAGATGCAGAAAAGGCCTTTGACAAAATTCAACAACCCTTCATGCTAAAAACTCTCAATAAATTAGGTATTGATGGGACGTATTTCAAAATAATAAAAGCTATCTATGACAAACCCACAGCCAATATCATACTGAATGGGCAAAAACTGGAAGCATTCCCTTTGAAAACTGGCACAAGACAGGGATGCCCTCTCTCACCACTCCTATTCAACATAGTGTTGGAAGTTCTTGCCAGGGCAATCAGGCAGGAGAAGGAACTAAAGGGTATTCAATTAGGAAAAGAGGAAGTCAAATTGTCCCTGTTTGCAGACGACATGATTGTATATTTAGAAAACCCCACCGTCTCAGCCCAAAATCTCCTTAAGCTGATAAGCAACTTCAGCAAAGTCTCAGGATACAAAATCAATGTACAAAAATCACAAGTATTCTTATACACCAACAACAGACAGAGAGCCAAATCATGAGTGAACTCCCATTCACAACTGATTCAAAGAGAATAAAATACCTAGGAATCCAACTTACAAGGGATGTGAAGGACCTCTTCAAGGAGAACTACAAACCACTGCTCAAGGAAATAAAAGAGGATACAAACAAATGGAAGAACATTCCATGCTCATGGGTAGGAAGAATCAATATCGTGAAAATGGCCATACTGCCCAAGGTAATTTACAGATTCAATGCCATCCCCATCAAGCTACCAATGCCTTTCTTCACAGAATTGGAAAAAACTACTTTAAAGTTCATATGGAACCAAAAAAGAGCCCGCATTGCCAAGTCAATCCTAAGCCAAAAGAACAAAGCTGGAGGCATCACACTGCCTGACTTCAAACTATACTACAAGGCTACAGTAACCAAAACAGCATGGTACTGGTACCAAAACAGAGATAAAGATCAATGGAACAGAACGGAGCCCTCAGAAATAACGCCGCATTTCTACAACTATCTGATCTTTGACAAACCTGACAAAAACAAGCAATGGGGAAAGGATTCCCTATTTAATAAATGGTGCTGGGAAAATTGGCTAGCCATATGTAGAAAGCTGAAACTGGATCCCTTCCTTACACCTTATACAAAAATCAATTCAAGATGGATTAAAGACTTAAACGTTAGACCTAAAACCATAAAAACCCTAGAAGAAAACCTAGACATTACCATTCAGGACATAGGCATGGGCGAGGACTTCATGTCCAAAACACCAAAAGCAATGGCAACAAAAGACAAAATTGACAAATGGGATCTAGTTAAACTAAAGAGCTTCTGCACAGCAAAAGAAACTACCATCAGAGTGAACAGGCAACCTACAAAATGGGAGAAAAGTTTCGCAACCTACTCATCTGACAAAGGGCTAATATCCAGAATCTACAATGAACTCAAACAAATTTACAAGAAAAAAAACAAACAACCCCATCAAAAAGTGGGCAAAGGACATGAACAGACACTTCTCAAAAGAAGACATTTATGCAGCCAAAAAACACATGAAAAAATGCTCATCATCACTGGCCATCAGAGAAATCCAAGACAAAACCCCAATGAGATACCATCTCACACCAGTTAGAATGGCAATCATTAAAAAGTCAGGAAACAACAGGTGCTGGAGAGGATGTGGAGAAATGGGAACACTTTTACACTGTTGGTGGGACTGTAAACTAGTTCAACCATTGTGGAAGTCAGTGTGGCGATTCCTCAGGGATCTAGAACTAGAAATACCATTTGACCCAGCCATCCCATTACTGGGTATATACCCAAAGGACTATAAATCATGCTGCTATAAAGACACATGCACACATATGTTTATTGCGGAATTATTCACAATAGCAAAGACTCGGAACCAACCCAAATGTCCAACAATGATAGACTGGATTAAGAAAATGTGGCACATATACACCATGAAATACTATGCAGCCATAAAAAATGATGAGTTCATGTCCTTTGTAGGGACATGGATGAAACTGGAAATCATCATTCTCAGCAAACTATCACAAGGACTAAAAACCAAACACAGCATATTCTCACTCATAGGTGGGAACTGAACAATGCGATCACATGGACACAGGAAGGGGAACATCACACTCTGGGGACTGTTGTGGGGTGGGGGGAGGGGGAGGGATAGCATTGGGAGATATACCTAATGCTAGATGACAAGTTAGTGGGTGCAGCGCACCAGCATGGCACATGTATACATATGTAACTAACCTGCACAATGTGCACATGTACCCTAAAACTTAAAGTATAATAATAAAAGAAAAAAAACGTAAAAAAAAAAATTAAAAGTGTTTAAAAAAAAATGAACTAATAACCATTCTACTCCAACTCTTCAAAAAAAAAACTGCAGAGCGGGGAATACTTCTAAACTCATTTTACAAAGGCCAGCATTAACCTATTACTAAAACCAGACAAAGATACAACAACAACTACAATCCTCAACAAAATACCAGCAAACTGAATGCAGTAACACATTAAAAAGATCCATCACTAGGGTCAAATGAGATTCATCCTAGGGATGCAAGGATGGTTCAACATAAGCAAATTAACATGACACATGACATTAATAGAATCAAGGACAAAAACCATGTGATCATTTCAACAGATGCTAAAAAAGCGTTTGACAAAATTTGGTATTGCTTTATGAAAAAAGTTCTCAACAAACTAGGCACAGAAGGAACGTATCTCAAAATGATAAAGGCTATATATAACAAACCCACAGCTAACATCATACCGAAGAAGGAAAATTTGAAAGCCTTTCCTCTAAGATCTAGAACAAGACAAAGATGCCCACTTTCACCATTTTTATTTCACATAGTGAAGTCCTAGTCAAAGCCCTCAGGCAAGCGAAAGAAAAAAAGGGCATCCAAATTTGAAAAAAAAAAAAAAGTCAAATTATCCTCGTTCACAAACAACATATTACATTTAGAAAAACCTAAAGACTCCACACACATTAAAAAAAAAGAAAAAACCTGTTAAAACGGATAAATTTGGTAAAGTTGCAGGACGCAAAATCAATATATTAAAATCAAATGGCTGGGCACAGTGGCTCATGCCTGCAATCCTAGCACTTTCAGAGGCCAAGGCAGGTGAATCGCTTGACCTCAGGAATTTGAGACCAGCCTGGGCAACATGGCGAAACTCCGTCTCTACAGAAAAAAAACAAAAACAAAAACAAAAACGCTGGGCTTGGTGGTACACAACTGTAGTCCCTGATATTCGAGAGACTGAAGGGAGAATTACTTGAGCCTGGGAGGTTGAGGCTGGAGTGAACCATGATCACACCACTGCACTCCAGCCCAGGTGACAGAGCGAGACCCTGTCTCCAAAAAAAAAAATCAACTGCATAGCTTTATGCCAACAACAAACAAACTAAAAAAGAAATCAAGAAAGCAATACCATTTACAAAAGCTACAAAAAATATATAAAATACCTAGGAAAAAGATTTGACCAAAATGTATAAAGCTATGAAACACTAATGAAAAAAATGAAATAGGACACCAAAAAATAGAACGATATCCCTTATTCATGGTTTATAAGAATTTAATATTGTTAAAATGTCTCTACTACCCAAAGCGATCTACAAGACCAATGCAATCCCTATCAAAATACCAATGATATTATTCACATAAACAGAGAAAACCTAAAATTCATATGGAACCTGAATAGCCAAAGTAATCCTGAGCAAAAAGAATAAAGCTGAACACATCACACTGACTGACTTCAAAACATACCAAAGTTATAGTAACCAAAACATCGTGGCAGTAGCATAAAAACAGACCAATGGAACAAAATAGAGAACCCGGAAATAAATCCATGCATTTACAGCCAACTCATCTTCAACAAAGGCGGCAAGAGAATATACTGGAAAAAGACAGTGTCTTCAACAAATGGTGCTGGGAAAACTGGATAACCATATGATGCAGGAGAATTAAACTAGACCCCTACCTCTTGCCATATGCAAAAATGAAACCGAAATAGATTAAAGACTTAAATCTAGGACCTGATACCTTAGAACTATTTAAAGAAAACATTGGGGAAATGCTTTAGGACACTGGTCTAGGCAAAGACTTTGGATAACACCTCAAAAGCACAATCAACACAAGTGAAAACAAACATATAGGATTACATTAAGCTAAAAGGCTTCACGGCAAAGGAAATAATCAACAAAGTAGAGACAACAAACCGAAAGAGAGAAATTATTTGCAAACTATCTGTCTAATAAGAGATTAATAACCAGAAAATATAAGGAACTCAAAACACTCCACAAGCTTGGTGGAGTGTTTTGAATTCCTTAAAAAAAAAAAATGTGATTTAAAAACGGGCAAAAGATCTGAAGAGGCATATCTCAAAAGAAGACATACAATGGCAAACATGTATATAAAGCAATGTTCAACATCACTAAACACCAGGGAAATACAAGTCAAAACCACAATGAGATTATCTCACCCCAGTTAGAGGCTTTAATTAAAAAAAAAAAAAAAGACAGAGATGCTGGCATGGAAGTGGAGAAAGGGAAACACTTGCACAGTGTTGATGGGAATGTAAAGTAGTAGAGCTACATGGAAAACAGTATGGAGTTTCCTCAAAAAACTAAAAACAGAACTATAATCCGCAATTCCGCTGCTTGGTATATATCCCAATGAAAGGAAATCAGAATATTGAAGGTCCCATATTTATTGCAACACTATTCACAATAGCTAAGATATGGAACCAACCTAAATGTCCATCAATAGATGAATGGATAAAGAAAATGTGCTATATATACAGAATGTAATATTATTCAGTAATAAAAATGACTGAAATCCTGTCATTTGCAGCAATATGGATAGGACTGGAGGTCATTATGTTAAGTGAAGTCAGTCAGGTACAGAAAGACAAATAGCACATGTTCTCACTCATATGTGGGAGCTAAAAAAAAAAAGTGTATTTTACTTTATAGAGAGTTGATGTTGGTTACCAAAGGATGAGAAGGGGATTGGAGGGAACAAGAGAAGTTGGTTAATGGGTACAAAAATATAGTCAGAAGGAGTAACATCTTGTTGTGTTAGCTAGTACAGTAGGGTTACTATAGTTAACAATAATGTATTCTGTAGCTCAAAATTGCTAGAAGAGAAGATTTGAAATGTTCCCAACATAAAGAGAAATGTTTCAGGTGATACGCCAATTACTCCAACTTGATTATTGCACATTTTATGTATGTATCAAAATATCACAGGTATCCCCCAAAATGTACAACTATTATGTATGAATTTTTAAAAGGAAAGAAATTAAAATCAACATCTTTACTTTCTTTTTGCTTCCATTTGCTTGTTAAATCTTTACCATCTATCTTCATGGTTATAATTTTCTGTTAGCTTGGCTGAAACAGAAGTCTTGTAAAAAACTTACAGTTAAATCTTATGTTGTAATTTAATCTGAATGTTTTTATCTTTTAATAGAATTTAAACCATTTTCATTTACTGACATAACTGATGGGAAGCATGGTCTAGCAGAAAAAGTTCACAGACTTTGAAGTCAGACAGATCTGATTTTGAATTCCAACTAGCAGTTCAAAATTCCTATCGTAAGAATTAGTGATAATATATAAAAAGCATTAATATATGATATGTCCTCAATAAAATGTATCTGTCATTTATTATATACTTTCTTAGGTTTCTTTCTTTTACTATAACAGCAAAGTTTTACTTATTTTCATTTTCTCATTGTTTTGAAATTCCTTTCTCACTGATTTGAGTTCTACTAATTGATAGCTTTTTTAAAAAGATATAATCTTTGTCATTTCTCTAATAAAATTTAGGATTAAATGGGATATAAATATATAGTATGCACAGAATACAGTTTCCCCTCTCCTCTTACACTTCATTTTGCTGTCTTTATCTTTTATTTCACCTTGCTTTCTCTTATTTCATAGTTGTCATGTCTTTATAACTTAGTTGAGGATGCCAGGCATACATTTCGAAATGCTTCTTCTGGTCCTGTAGTAAAAAAATTTTCAGAGGTATAACTACCTTCTGAATCAACAGGATAATGCTACCTTTTTCTAATGAAGTATTTTTTTCATAAAGCCCATGTTGGGGTTTTTTCTGTTTATCATACTTAAATGAGGAAAGATCTGTGTAAACCTAGTGTTTGCCAACAATGTATGATTTTCTTTGAACTCCCCTGTCATGTCCACTTGGGCCTAAGCAGAACTCCCTTCTTTGATCAACTGAGTGGACAAGGACATAAACGATTTCCTTGCTTATAGCTCAATTTTCAATACGTGGCAGACTATCTGCTGACTGAGGTGGAATCACCCTCTCTTCCTACTGCCTCATTCTCTAACACCAAATAGAAGAGAAACATTAAAAACTGAAATCCCTGACCATGCTGTGAACAGAATTCTTCCCGGATCTCCTTCTATACACAGACCTTGATATCCTCCTCCAGAATGTCATTGCTACCTTCTCTCTAGTATCTACATGCTACTTACTGGGAGCTACAGTTGCTAAGTAGTATCAAATGTGAGGAGAGAAGAAATGAGGATAATTCAGTAACTACTGGCCAATTACCATTTTAAAGCAAAAGTCAAGAAAGCCTTTTAACAGCTGGCATTATTGGACAAGTGAACAATGGACAATGACACTATTTAAACTCTTTCATCATGGATTTTATTCATACAGAAACTGGATGATATATTACTAATGCAGGAGCAATTCCTATATCAGATGGGAGGATGGTATATGAATTCTTTGGGCCCTTTCAGAGGCTAAGAGTCTAAAAAATAACATATTTAATCAACTCAGCTACCTAAATATTGTTTCGATAAATATTTCACTAAATTTCTTACATGCGATAATTTGCATACTATCAGACTTCATTAATTAACAAAATACATAGCTGTGCTTAGGAAAACAAGCTTTAAAAACTCATAGCCAAAAGTGGCATAGGTATGTTCAAAATAAAGTTGTTTTTAACTTAGTCTTACAATTCCTTCCTTTTAAAATAGGTAAATTAATTAAAAAGGTGCTTTACATAGGCAAGATAAAGCAGGTCTATTTTTTAAATTGTAAATAAATTACTTTGATAGAGCTAAGGTAATATACTGGTTTGAACTACAGTATTTGCCATCTAAAGTCCAAAAGCTACTTTTTCTGGAAATACTTCCAATTCACTTTTAGTTCAATTAGGACAAGGAGTCAGTGAAGATAGCTTCTCTACTTCCTTCACTGTCAGGTAACTCATATAGCACTCATTCACATCAAAAGATACCTTTAACAGATCATGTTCCCCAACATTTGCTGCATATGTCCATGTAAGTTTTCTGGTACCAGTAGGATCTGCCCAGGCAAAAAGTCGAGCCTGTCTTGGCAGCAAGACCATTTCTTCTGGTGACCCACTAAAACACAATGAACAGAGAGAAAATCAGAATATCTTGGAGATAAGAAACCCAAACCTGTAGTTTACTGAGGAAGGGATTAGCACAGAAGTCCTACGAAATTGCTGTGGTTAATAAAACACAACTCTACCTAAAAACAAGTACCCTAAAATATCTAATAAACTCATGGTTTTTAAGCTCGGGGAAACAGAATATTGCCCTTTCTGAAGCTTCAATGCACTCGGAATTGATCCAAGTGGAATCATAGCAATGGAATTCATTAGGTAAACAGATTGCCAGATCAGGGTCCACCTGTGGAAATGGCTGTGAAGAGGAAATATGTTTAGTAGCAGAAGAACTTCTATTCAGTGCTTAAATTTAAACATATTTTTTAAAGACAGGGTCTCCCTGTTTCCCAGGCTGGAATGCAGTGTTCATTCACAGGCAAGATCATATTGCACTACAGCCTCAAACTCCTGGGCTCATGAGATGCTCCTACCCAAGCCTCTCAAGTAGCTGTGACTATAGGTATGCATTACTGTGACCAGCTAAGCTTTTTAACAAATACAATACTTAAGATATATTATGGGTCACAGCAACAAAAAAATTATGTTCACACTGTTACTACACAAAGTGTGGTCCGTAAACAGGCAGAATAAGTATTACCTGGGGTCTTGCAGGAAAAGGCAAAGTCCTGGGTCCCATCCAAAACCTACTGAGTCAAAATCTGCATCTTAACAAGACTCCCAGGAGATTTTAAAATTGATTATTACAATTTAAGAAGTATTTGTCCATTTAATGCAAAAAATATTCCAGAGAACTGGGAGAAAAAAAGTAATCCAACTAGGTTTTAATCCTAATCTGTACTTTTAAGTCTCTCACTGGATTCACTCCATTAGAATTAAGACTAGGGAAATCTTTAACAAATTTACATATATACATACATTTATATGTGTGTATATATGCATGAATATATACACATATATACATATGTTAATATAAATATAATTTTATAAATAAAATTATACGATACTTTAAGGGCTTAAATTCTCTACCATTAAATAATGACATCATCCAAAACAAATGACAGCAAAGGCAAGAACAATGAAATTCCTATCAGCCAATGATATACATTCAACACCACTATCTACTCATCGTCTTCTCATTTAACCTTCTACTATCCCTACCCAAAAAAACTAAATACAGATTTATAGGAAGAGGTTCACTGAGCGTTACCAGATTACCAGGAAAGGGAATACTTAAACAGGTTCACTCCCTTATCTGCCATTTTGAAATTTAAAAAGCTCTAAAAGCCCAAAGATTTTTCTGGAAATTTGGTATCAAAACTCATTTGGCGGCAAAACCTGACCTGAATTGATACGAAACTATTAATAATTTCTATTTATCCCATTTGATGTGAATATTCATCAGTTTTGCTGCAGAAATATTAATGTGTTTACAGAGTGTTATCTCAAAACATGTAAGGGTATTAAAGATAAATACCATGTGTTCCATATCACCTTTCTAAAATCTAAAAACATTTTGAATATGAAACCAAAGTGTTTCCCATTAGTTACTATGAACCAATAAAAGTATTTCCCATTAACCCTTTTTTCTCATACCTCTGTTTGTATGTGAGGATGTCCCATGGTGTATGGTTCATTATCAAGGCAGGTGCAGATCCCTCATGGTAATCAGAAAAAGTTATGACAGTTGAATGTTCGGCAGTGTTTACATCCACCAAGATACCCCCATTCTATTGTAGAAAAAAAAAAAGTATGTTTGATGTACTGGTTTAATCTACACTTACATATGGAATTTCAATATTACGTAAAACACAAAAGCTTTGGTTTTTTTCGAGACAGAGTCTTGCTGTCACCCAGGCTGGAGTACAGTGGCGCCATCTCGGGTTACTGCAACCTCCATCTCCCAGGTTCAACCAATTCTCCTGCCCCAGCCTTCCGAATAGCTGGGATTACAGGCATGTGCCACCATGCCCAGCTAATTTTTGTACTTTTTAATAGAGATGGGGTTTCACCATATTGGCCAGGCTGGTCTCGAACTCCTGACCTAGTGATCAGCCCGCCTCGGCCTCCCAAAGTGCTGGGATTACAGGCGTGAGCCTCTGCACCCGGCCTGTTTCCTTAAGTTCTTACTAAAAAGCAAACTGGCTCTGATCTGTTATAAATATATGTTGGCATTATATATTGATATAGCAGCACCTTCAAATAATTACCAGTAAATTTTGATAGCATGGTTTACTGAAATATCTCAAAGCAAATTTTAAAAATCAAAGACATTTTATTTTAAAATATGAAAACTTCATCTATGTCCCTACAAAGGACATGAACTCATCATTTTTTATGGCTGCATAGTATTCCATGGTGTATATGTGCCACATTTTCTTAATCCAGTCTATCATTGTTGCACATTTGAGTTGGTTCCAAGTCTTTGCTATTGTGAATAGCGCCGCTGGAAACCATCATTCTCAGCAAACTATGGCAAGGACAAAAAACCAAACACTGCATGTTCTCACTCATAGGTGGGAATTGAACAATGAGAACACTTGGACACAGGAAGGGGAACATCACACACTGGGGCCTGTTGTGGGGTGGGGGGAGGGGGGAGGAATAGCATTAAGAGATATACCTAATGTAAATAACAAGTTAATGGGTGCAGCACACCAACATGGCACATGTATACATATGTAACAAACCTGCACGTTCTGCACATGTACCCTAGAACTTAAAGTATAATAAAAAATTAAATAAATAAAAATAAAAATAAAATAAAATATGAAAACTTACCAGATCTTCTAAGCTCAATAAAGTGCCATTATCCTGTCGGTTATAAAAGAATGGTTTGGAAGATCCTTCACAGCCCACCACTCTCACACAAAGTTTGCCTGACAAACTTTCTGGCCAAAATGGAAGGCACTAAAAATATAGAAGTTATTATCAGTCTTAAGACAATACCGTTATATAATAAATAAGACATTACCTAATTAAATTTTCAATTCTGATTCTGATCTTGATTAAATTATTATGAAGTTTCTAAAAATATGTCCTCTACATCTCATAGTAAGATTACTGACAATATAATGACCATGAAACCAAAGAAATCACATCAGGAGAATACAGATATATTAGTCTATATGTATTTATGGTATAATTGCAATATGAGAAACTGAGGAGCCTGTTGATTAAGAATTATAAAATTCATTTTAATTATTGAAAAATTATATTTAAAAATTATCATTTGCTTTTGTGTATACCCATTTTAATTCATTAATACATGATGAATTCTTTCACAGAGTATCTTAATCATAGATAAACCAGAAAGACAACTGAAGGCAGAGGAGAGAACACCACAGACCTTGCTGGAAGTTCTGACACCATCCTCCTAGTTGTTTGATATCAGACCATATACTTACTTCTTTGAGCCTCAGTTTTATTTATAAAACTGAAGATTTCATTCCTAATACAAAATGTGCTTCTGTTATAGAATACTAAGTAAATTCTATTTCTGAATAAAAAATACTACTATAATCAAACCCACACAAAGATTAAAAAAAAATAAGCACTTACTTGTTGCTGAGTTTATGGAGATCATTCTAAGTGCCTTGAACAGACCAGCTCTTAGGGCTCTAACTTTATTTATATTGTAATTGGAATCCTTCCTTTTGAGTCTTTTGCCAAATATTTCTTAAGTAACTTTAGAATCTTTCTTTAAACAGCAGAAAGTGACCTTCAACTATCCTGAGAGTCAGCTGGTTTGGTTGAAAATTCAGTCAAGATCAAGCACCAGTGCTTATCTTTGCACCTGTCCTCTTCTGGCACACATTCCCCCATTTGCTTCACCTCCTCTAATCTTACTGAGCATGAACAGCTTAGTTCAAATCCCACCTCTTCTGTGAAACTTTTATCTTTTGATCTATAACACCATGATTTCAACTACCAATGACTTTATCAATCTTGGAAAAGTCTGAAACTCAGTTTCCTTTTCAGTAAAGTGAGAGGGCAGAATTTTAGCTAATTTTCAAAGAAATTTCCAGCTCACCTATTCAGAAATTCTATAACCACCTATAACTTAGGATGTGCTATCTCTCCACATGCAGACTTTTATGACTCTTTTAAGATAATAGCTTCTTGAATATAGAGACATTATCTTGACTATGGAGACACCACACAGTACATAATCTCTATGTACTTTTTACAGTACATAGCTACGTTCTACACATATAGGAAGAATTAGAAAAAAGACTATTAATGATCTAGACTGGGCTAGTGTATTATCAAAACTTTTCTCCTTTTTTTAAAAATATAGTAAGAGAAAAATCTTTCAAAGCTGGCTGTCATATTTCAACACATAAATATGATAGTCTGAAAAAGAGGTATATACAATTCTTATTTAGATGTCAATATTTATTTGTATATTTTAGGAATCAGTTGTAACAAAGAAAAATGCTACCTCTGAAGAAGCAATATAGTTCCATTTATTAGTTGGCATTGAGCCATCAGATGCAATCTCGCCAACTTCTAGTTCTAATGATGACTTGTTTGCAATGGTACAAAAGGGAGTCAGGGTAACTATTCGTGAAAGGTTGAAACTGCTCATTTTGATGCTAACACCAACCTGTGGAAAGGAAAAAAGCTTATTTTCCAGTTTATTCAATGTCTTTGAAATATATACACATCCCCTCATTCACACACAAACTTCTTACAATATTTTAAAATAATAATTCTTAAATAAAGCAACTATAAGTTACATTCTGCAAAAGATTATCTTCTGAGAAAAAAATTATAGTTCCTTAGTTTGGCTCCATCAGAAACAATTCAAGAAATATCAATTAGTAATTTAACTAACGACTTACAATGACAGATTTAATACGTCTAGCATTCTTTACTTTTTAAAATTCCAAACATAAATTGCTTTATAATTAGTGTACAGGCTTTGTTATCTGCTATTAGTAAAATAAAAATTTTGAAGTAGTAATAAAATAGGTTAATTGGCATCATATTATTCAAATTTTCATACTAGTCAAATTTAAGATTTAAGAAATGTCTGGCAAGGGGTGGTACAGAATAAGGATTCTAGCATACTGTGAATATTTACCAAGTTGCTCAACTGGATGGATTAAACTCAATGTCCTAAACTTAGACAAATTCAGGTTTTGCTCTGGTATCAGTGACCATAAAAATTTGTAGTGATAACAGCCCTCCACATTATCACTTGAAATTCAAATTTCGGTACACTTTAGGAGCCAACTTGTTTTTTTTTTTTTAATTATACTTTAAGTTTTAGGGTACATGTGCACAATGTGCAGGTTAGTTACATATGTATACATGTACCATGCTGGTGTGCTGCACCCATTAACTGGTCACTTAGCATTAGGTATATCTCCTAATGCTATCCCTCCCCCCTCCCCCCACCCCAAAACAGTCCCCAGAGTGTGATGTTCCCCTTCCTGTGTCCATGTGTTCTCATTGTTCAATTCCTACCTATGAGTGAGAACATGCGGTGTTTGGTTTTTTGTCCTTGCGATAGTACACATGAAAAAATGCTCACCATCACCGGCCATCAGAGAAATGCAAATCAAAACCACAATGAGATACCATCTCACACCAGTTAGAATGGCGATCATTAAAAAGTCAGGAAACAACAGGTGCTGGAGAGGATGTGGAGAAATAGGAACACTTTTACACTGTTGGTGGGACTGTAAACTAGTTCAACCATTGTGGAAGTCAGTGTGGCGATTCCTCAGGGATCTAGAACTAGAAATACCATTTGACCCAGCCATCCCATTACTGGGTATATACCCAAAGGACTATAAATCATGCTGCTATAAAGACACATGCACACATATGTTTATTCCAACTTGTTTGTTGAACTGTAGCAAAGGTGAACGGAATCAAAGGTAAATAAGGAAGCAGAATCTTACCAGGTACTCCATATTGTTGGCAGGACACTTCACACACCCATAACTTCCCACTGTATCCAATGAGAAACTACTGGACCAGGCACTGGTTGAAATTTTTAATTGTACCTATACCAGAGAGCACATATCGTCATATAAGAAATCTAAAACACTATAATAATTTTATTTGAGAGAAAGTTGCTGGACTACTAGAAATTTCTTTAGTACCGTGGGACACAGAAATATATAATCAAAGCCATATTGCAAACAGGTAACAGAACCACAAAAAACTCTAGGGAACAACAAAACAAAAACTTCCTGAGAAAGTTTGAATGAGAAAGTTCTGACTTTCTCATTCACCTATGCAATGAGTATAGTAAATCTAGATACCAATGAGATTATGTATTGTTTTTAAAAAGAATTATAATGCAAAACGATGTTTTCCAGTGATAGACTTATGACATAGAGCTAACAAATTTTTAAAGTCTTAGCATAAAGAGAATTTATGTCTTCAACATTGTTCAGCAGACACTACATTAAAGACATTGTGACAGGCAGAATGGAAGACAGCAGGACACAGTTCCTGTCTTCGATGAGCTTCCAACTAGACAGAGAGATTAGGAAATACATACGAAAAATTATGATACAAGACTCAATGGGATAAGAACCATACAAGAGGCAAAAAATGCTATAGAGGTGAGAGGATAAATAGTTTACTTCTGGTTCTGGGATTTAGATAAAGTTTTATAGAAGAGATCAAATTGTGCCCTTGTATTAATCTCACCTTCACCCACCCAATTAGTTTGTAAAAAACTTGAGGACAACTAGAGGTCAGACACATATACAAGCAATTACAATACCATGTGTTAATCAACACTCAAAGAGAGTGGAGTTGCCAAAGCATCACCTGTTGGAAATGCAAATTCTCAAACCATACCCAGACCTACTGAATCAAACTCTACAGACAGGACCCAGCCATCAGTGTTTAAAACCCTTCAGGTGCCATGCGTGGTGGCTCACACCTGTAATCCCAGCATTTTGAGAGGCCGAGGCTGGCAGATCACCTAAGGTCAGGAGTTCGAGACCAGACTGGCCAACATGGTGAAATCCCATCTCTACTAAAAATACAAAAATTAGCACTGTGTGGCGGCAGGCACCTGTAATCCTAGCTACTTGGGAGGTTGAGGCAGGAGAATCGCTTGAACCCGGGAGGCGGAGGTTGCAGTGAGCCAAGACCACACCACTGCACTCCAGCCTGGGCAACAAGAACAAAACTATGTTTCTTTTTTTTGAGATGGGGTCTCACTCTATCGCCCAGGCTGGAGTGCAATGGTGCAGTGCAGAGCTGACTGCAACCTCTGCCTCCCGGGTTCAAGTGATTCTCCTGCCTCAGCCACCCGAGTAGCTGAGATTACAGGCATCTGCCACCACGCCCAGCTAATTTTTGTATTTTTAGTAGAGACGGGGTTTCACCAGGTTGGCCAGGCTGGTCTCAAACTCCTGACCTCAGGTGATCCACCAGCCTCAGCCTCGCAAAGTGCTGGCTGGGATTTACAGGCATAAGCCACCGAGCCTGGCCAAAACTCTGCCTTAAAAAAAAAAAAAAAAAAAAAAAAAAAAAAACCTTTAGGTGTTTCTAATAATGTACACTGAAATTTGAGAACCACTACTCCTGTACAAACACGGATGGGATGTCTAGGCCCATTTTAAATGGTTAGAAAATCTTCATATATATCAGGCTTGAGCAGAATGCCAAAGGATGAACAGCAGATATCAGGAACGATGAAGAAGACAGAAAAAAAACAGGGGAAGAGGCACTGTAGGCAAAGGGTGCAGCATATACAAAAGCCTAGAGGTGAGTCCTTGGGGAAATGTGTGGTGAGGGATACCAAAATGTGAGCCTGAAGAGGAAAGAAGAGACCAGAGCATAAAGGATGAGGCTTAGGCATTAGGTTTCTCTCCCAAAGGCCTGCCTGAGTGCTTCACACATAGGAAGGCTCAACTAATATATGCCAAATTCAATGGTTACATCTTTAGAAATGCCATTTCATCACTGGTAAAGTACATAAATTCAAGCTATTCTATCTACTATACTACTACTACTACTACTACTACTTCAAGAACAGAGGTAACTCTATAGGCATTGGAGAAAAGGGCAACTCATAGTCTCAGGAAACCTATTAGTTCCTAACATCCCACTTGATTACGCTTAAGTCTCCTTGAACCTAATTCACACCAATGGCATTTAGCAAATAGGTTAGCATGGTTTTAGGGAAGACAAATGACTCCCAAGTTTCTAGATTAGGAATTTATCTGCTTTAACTTATTATGTGAACAAAACCACACCTTATTTTTAGTAAAAATGTTCTTCTTCTTGAAAGAAAATAAAATAATATCCCTGAAATCAGCTGGATGTTTCACATGAATATCTTCTGAACGATACTGGAGAACCCGGGTAGTCTTGTTGATTAACCAATAGGGACTAAAGACAGACAGCACCATCCGGCTGCCAATTCTCCTGACGTGGACTGACAGGTCGACTGTCGTCACTTCTGTGGAGTCAGAAGAAAAACACACAGGAAAGAATTCTGGTAGTGTATCACGTATGCGGAAATGTCCATTCCAGTTTTTGCCCTGGTATTTCACCAGGACTAATTCCATTATTTCACCACTGATTCTCGAATGCAGAACATCAGCAGTACTGCCTTCTGCCAGCTCATGAGTTTCTGCTGTTCCCTAAAAACAAACAAAAATTCGCTGAGTAACTTTTTAAAAACTCTGAAATAACAAAATTCTTATTTTTCACAAATGCTAAATAAACTACCAGATGCATGTAAACTGCTAAGTCTTCTGTGAAGTACCATGCTTACATATTACAAATGTCCAGTACTCACCAAGGACTAAAAAGAAAACGCTACACCATAGCCACAGGCAGAAACTGACTTTGGCCATTAGGAGGCTAATAGCCATCAGTTTTGTGAAAAAATCAGGTCTATATCAAGAGTCAAAGACTAGATTCAGGAAGCCTGGCTGTTGTCCATTAGAGCTATGTCATTAAATGAGCCACTTAACTGCCTGGCCTTCAGTTTTATCCTCTAATTATAGACCATGACTAATGGTTCCCATATGAATGGAATAAGAAAATTATTCTTATTTACTAGTCAGAGTAAAAAGTTACTCTGACGAGTTATCTAAGTAAGGTGGCATTATTTGAAAAATGAATAATAACATATAAACCATGTTTCCTTACTAAAAATCTCCTTACATAAATACTATTTAATTCTTATAAAATACTCATATAAATACTATTTAATTCATTTAATTAATTTTTGTCTCCACAACTCAGGAATGGCTCATTGTCAGATAAAAAAACATGTAGGTTCCAAACACTTTCCAGATTTTCATATTTTAAAATATACTGCCATACAGAAATTTTAAAATATTTATCATATACCATTACTAGAAAATCTTTATTACTTCTTAAGACAGACAGTAATTATTTTTTTTATTTTCCAAGGTTTATTTTCAATAGAACCTTGAAGAAACAATCATAATATTGACTTTAAAATAAAAACTTTAAGATGAAATATTTTCTCATTTTTTCCTATCTTTTAGTTAATGGAATTTTACTTAATTAATAAACAGACGATCATGCTTCTTAATTTAAGGAAGATACAGTAAAGAGGCAGGGATCAAAAAGCCAAACTGCCTAGGTTCAAATCCCAGCTCCACCACTTCCTAGCTATGGGACCTTGAGCCAGTCACTTAACCCATTTTCAACTCAGTTTTCTTATGTGTAAAATGGGCCTGATAATAGTACCTACATCAGGAGGTTATTATAAAGAGTAAATAGGCTAATACATGTAAAGCACACAGAGCAGTTCCTGGCACATAGTAAATGTTATGCCAGTTTTTGCTATCATTAACATTATGAAGGCATTACACATTACACATACGCTATATAAAACACTGACCTCACTTAAAAATACCATAAAACAAAATCAGAATTTACTCTGTGCAACAACAAAAATCAAACAAAATGCAAGAGACATACCTCAAGTAAATATCTTAGGGAATATGGGAGAAGATTCCGCAAAGTGAGAGAAGGATAAAGATGAATAATGTAAGCTACATCCCAGTCTTCCCCATGTGTACATATGTAGCTCAATTCATCAGGCAGAGCAACTGTATTCACTATGAGAGGTAAGAAGCTGACTTCTACTGATGGACACTGCAACATGCATCTGACTTCCCTGCTCCTATGAAGTTCTTCCTTCCAGGAAATATAAGTGGTAGATTCTTTGTACTGATGCTCTAAGATTCCAGCTGGCTGGATAAACAATTGACATCTGCAGAAAGAGGAAACAGTGACAATAAAGTTTTGATCCACAACTTAAAAAAAAGCATCTCATTAAATCTTCCTGACAACTCTACAAGATAGGTGCTATTATTCCTGTTTTTACAGATATACAGATGAGGAAACCAGGGCTAAAAAAAAGGTTAGGAAATTCACCCAAAATCACATAGCTAACTTACGGAGGACTTTCTGAAAAGAACAAACAAACAAAAAACAACTCTGTAAACAAGACAACTTAAAAAAATTTTCATTTCAAATACAAAGGCAATCTAATAAAAATAGTCAGAAAAATCCTGACATCAAATATACAGTCAGGAATTTTCACCTGATAAATTCAATGATAATATAAATGTATTTCTCAATGGAAGACTAAATTATGTCTTAAAACTGGCTTTTACTGATCTTTAGTTAATAAAAATATGAAGTTATTTGCCAGAATATAAATCCCCAACTCAATACATTTAAAGTTTAATACATTTAAGAAGTATCTACCTATATGAATCTAAAGGAACATGGAACTCCTCTTCAGGTCTGGCTATCCCAATGCGCTCCAATAGCTTAACATTCTTAACAAATTTATAGATGATAAATGCAATGGAGAAATGGTTTTTGATCTGTTGGACAAAAAAAAATACAAGTTTTTTAAAAGATATGTAAGTTCGAAAGAAAAAATGAGAGCCACAAACAAATACTTTTAGATCTAAAAAATTTCAAACTCAGTATTGGAAGATATTTTTATTGGCAATTGAAAAATTTTAGGGTATTTAAGTGCTATATATATTAAATTTAATGTTTAAGTGTCAGTTGAAAACTGAGATATTCAAATGCTCCATATATTATAAGCTTATGTTTAGTATTAGTCTATATTATCTTTCAAATATGTATTATTCTCTGAAGATTTAAGCCATTTTTTCTCCATGACAATCTTTTCTCAATGTATCATGTATAACAACTAAACAGAAATGGATAGCAAAAAATCATGAGAAAAATAGTACAATTCTTTTCTTGACATCAGTCTGTTACGCATTGGAGCAAATAACAAACTATAAGATAACAATGTCCAAAATTTGAAACCTTTTCATTTGTATCTGATGTTACAGGTAGGAAAAAAAATGTTCTTTTGTTGACCATATGCTGAAACCTGTAGTAATACACAGAAAAAGAAAAATGTTGGATAAAACCTTAAAAGTAGAAAAAATATTTACACAGATTAAGATGCTAAAATGTTTTTCAGAGGGATAGATCATTCCAATATGCCTTCATACATATCTTGAAAAATATAATCCAAGTGACATACAAAGAGAATGGAATGTTTCCTAACTACAATTACAATAATCCTCGGTTCTGAATATTTAAAGGAATATACCAAAAGAGCTTTATTAATTTTGCATTTGTCTTAAAAGACAGAAAACAAAAATGAGCTTTAAGTAAACAAAACTACAGACATTTAAAATAAATATTATCAGAGCAAGCTGGACAGTAAATAGAAGCCATTTCTGTTACTATTTATTTCTGAATAATTACTATTTATTTCTGAATAATCAGAATTGACCTGATGAAGTTTTACTGTATTCCTATATTCAGCTAAATGATTTAACCATTTCTTGGTACACTGAAAGGGATACAATTAACTTTGAAGTATTACCTGTAGAGGAGAGCGAAGGGTAATTACTTTATTCCCTTCAGTTGCATCAATTTGTACCAAGACAGAGTCAGAATGACTGGCATTGGGATTCCGTACATTATACAATCGCCGTCCAGGTCTGGCCACAGGGATATTTGCAACTTCTGTATATCCATGAGGTACTAAGGCAGTGCATAAGTGAAAAGAATTCCAAATATTAATTTGCCAATGTTTCTCTATAACAATCATTAGTACCTCAAAATAATGAAGAGTATTTTTCCTCATCACTAGAAATGATCACCACAAATTGCTTTTCTAAGACATAAACTTAAAAAGAAGACCAGTTACTGTTATAAAATTTTTGGCTGAAAACAGTTTTGCTTGGGGTTTTGAATATAAAAACAAAATCCAACTTATTTCTTATTCTCTCAATCATATAGCAACAATCTTTTTCTTTGTCACAGTGTCAACACTGTAAGACTTCTGAATATAGCTATTTTCTCTCCTCAGTAAACTCCTATCCTTTTAAAAACACATTATATATATAATATTTATATATATTATATAATATATACATTATTTAAGGGCACAAAAATAATCTAGTTTTGTAAAGTTTTCTTAAATCAATAAAGTTTAATTTTCTCAAGTTTAGAAAACAAGAAACAAGAGGTTAGCAATTATATGTTTCAAATGTTGTATCTCCAGATATCTGCAGCAAAATGTTTTTTCACATTTTATCAAAAATAAGCCCACACCAACAACTGCTAAGATACCCTTAAGGAAAACAAATATAGCCTACCAATGGTCAGAGTGAAGAAGGAGCTTTCTTGACGGCTCAATATAGATAGGTTCCCTTGACTTGAAGGTACCATGCTGGCATACTCCAGTTCCAAATTCTGGCCAGCATCAACATCAAAAATATCACTTTTCTCAGGGAAGCCCATTACTCTGAGATTACAATTGGGCTTCACCTTAATGGGAACACCTACAGCATTTTTTACCGTAAAAGGAGCTCTGTCCTTTAAAGAGTAGTCAAAAGTAGAAGCAGTGCCCTCTGAAAAACCCTGAAAAGGAACATATCATCACAGTAAAATTTTTGAAAAACATACATTCTTCCCAAAACCTATACCATAATTACACATTTTTTGGAAACTAATTTTGATGACAAAAAAATTATATGTTTCATTTTAAAATTCCACTTGAAATATTCTAAGCAAGATTCAGACATACTTTTGCTAAATTGTTGAAAACATTAAGACAACTTTTGGATATTGTTATATTCATTGTATTTCCTGAAGAAATATGAATTGCCATTTGTGGCTCAGGAATAAAATCATCTCCTGGCAGCAAACTTTTATCCTGAACTGGGTTCTTCTTTACCTATGAAGAAAAATAACACAGCAAATTTAAATTATTAGCCAGTTGATAATAAAATAAAAATGCTGGAGTTCAGTTCTCCTAAACTGATCACTTTATAGTAATGCTTCGCAAAAGTCTTATTTTCAAAAATATACCATGCTTCACTTTGATTTCATGGAGTTCAGCATTCATTCTTTCAGGGTATAGTCCAAGCATGGGGAAAAGTTTAGAATTACGCCATGAAATTACTCAAAGCCAGCTACAATATTTGTCTCTTATGCATTCCTCAGAGCATAGCTATTTATTCAGTGTCACCCAACTGGTGATTATGTGTTGACGAGCAATCTAAGAGGACCCTGAAGTCTAAACTGATCCCTATTAGAGGTGCCACCTGGAAATGTTTCTCTCCTTCTATTTTTTAAACCAATAACACCTTCAAATAAGTAATATTAATATAATAAACACTTAACTAGCCATCAGATTCCATCAGCTTCTGTTCTAGTAGTATTTCAAAAGCCTTGTAAAACATTCTTTGTTAGCCTCCCTATGCCAGAGAAAGGCAGGTCAGAAAAATATTACTTCTTTATTGAGAGGAAATTGGAACACAGGTTAAGTGACTCATCTTTAACAAAAGAATATGTGGAGTCAGTTTCAGTGCCTGACTCCTTAGTAAGGCTGCCCCAAAGAAGTATGCTACGACAATTTCTTAACAATATATGACTCAAGTTCCTTTTAATCAAGAAAAATGTGCTTCAGTATCTAGGTTTCTGAGGTGTTCTCAAAAAACAACATAAAAAGATAACACACAAGAGTTCATTAACAATTCTCAAATATTCTGGTCTCACCCTTAAAAATCACTGAGTATACTAAAGAGCTTCATTTATGTTTTATCTACCAATATGTACTCTATTAACAATTAAAACTGAAAAAAAATTAAAAATTCATTTAAAAATAAAAATTACATGCTAATATAAATAACATTTTTAATCAAAAATAACTATTTTAAAAATACAGTGAGAAGAGGAACATACACATATATCTCTTTACTGCCTGCCTTAAGGGAAGACAGATAAATTCTCGTTTCTGTTCTGCATTCAATCTGTTGCAGTATCACCTTCATTAGTCTCTGGAAAACTCCACTATACACTCGTGAGAGAATGAGAATGAAAATGACATATGAAAAGAGTTCTGACCTCATGGACAGAGCCCTTAAAAGGGCTTCAAGGATCCTAGACCACATCTTAAGAATCACTGA
The DNA here is from genome assembly GCF_000001405.40 of Homo sapiens. NCBI lineage: Eukaryota > Metazoa > Chordata > Mammalia > Primates > Hominidae > Homo > Homo sapiens. The sequence continues at coordinate 61,921,882 of NC_000015.10, forward strand.
AATAAAAACTATGAATGAATATGCATAGTATCATTCTATCCAAAGATATTTTAAGATTTCCTTACATCAAGCCTTAAATTCCATTGTCTCTTCCCCTCCACTCTCTCAATCAGTGGCTCCCAGACAGCATGGATCTCATTGTAATAGTGCACCTGGAAAGATACACACAAAATTATAAGACAGTCCTTTGGCTTTAATTACATATTTCTGTAACCAATAGGGAAATTATTAAGTAATCAATGTTATATATCATTAGCCATTTTCAAAACCCATCTAACAATATATAGAGTGTATTTTCCTTTACTCTCTTACTCTATTGTCATAAATTATTTAGCAAATCAATCTTTAAAAAATAATTATCAAAAAACAATACATCGACAAATTAAATGTCAGAACACACTATCTATTCACATATGTACTCATAGTGGCCATGCACAAACAAGAAAAGTGTATATCTTAATTCCAAAATCGCACTTTCAAGAAGTCTCTGAAGGTATTAAGTGATGTGGCCATACCTGTAGTGTCACGTCAGCAACAGCAGCCATTAGAGAAGTCCAATTTTTAATATTTCCTGAAAACTTAGACTCTGCCAATAATAAAGGTACAGTTCGATGTCCAAGGCCACATTCTAAGGTAACTTGAATGGATTCTACAACAACACCACAATTTTCCTCTATCAGTGAATGTTCAATGCCTTTGAAGCTTTCCGTTATTTCTGTTGCCGTGTCAACACCAAGAAACCAAGTGTTATAATCATTAATCGATTTGATACCCCAAAGATTTTCCATTTCCTTAGACGTATCTTTGGATCCATCTTCTTTTGTTTTTGGAGACAATGCAGCCATGATTGTCAACACAGTATTAAGAATTATGGGTGAAATCTTTAAAAAAGAAAGCAGAAAAATATTTATAATAAATTCTTTCCCAGATGAGAATATATACATACATGATTTTAAGTGACATACATTAATTATAAGTGACATTTTTAAATTAAATTTTAATTTTAAATTAAAGTAACTAATTTAAATTTTGAATAAATTCGTAACCAAGAAAAACAAGAGAGAACACAAAATTATGTGTCAAGCCAAGTAATCATGCAACACTGACTTCTACTCAGGTTATCTGGAATTAAATAACTAATGTTATATGTCAGTAGTCAAAATCTAAAGTTAAGCTGATCAATTCAGAGCAAAACAGTGTTATGTGAATAGACAAGTATAGCAATGTAAACAAATTCTTCATTTTAAAAACAGCTACATTAACTAAGCCAAAGTGTGTGATCCTTGTCAAGATACACATAAATATCGGTATGCAACAAGATCTTCTGAAAAAAAAAAAAAGGAAGAAAAAGATATACATTTGCCTTATTAAAGCTGGAAGACTCAAAATCACAGCTCTCCTTTGACTTACCCCAAGATCTATAAATCCTACCTCTTATTATCTTTGGACAGTGCCTTTCTTTGCTCACTTCCCTCACTTCCTATTACTGTGCCTTAGTTCTACACTGATGACATCTTCTACGGCCAACGCCCTCTCAGCCTACACTCCACACTGCCACCAGCATAATTTTTCTACAAACCAAATCTGAGTATGACATTCTTATGTTTAAAATCTTCATCAACTTCCCATAATTTTTTTATCCCACAAGATAAAATTGAAACTCTCTTTAACTTAATGTGCAGAGCTCTTTGTGGCCTAGTGCCTATTCAACCAGCTAGCCAGGATTCTCCCAAAGTTTGAGAAATACTAGGTTAAATAAGTTAACTGTATTCCTTTATTGTTCACTTCTCACAATCCTTACTTAAAATGTAAAGGGATATAATTATATCATCAAAAGCAGGATCTAGTATGTATTGTTTTCCTAACTTACTTGTCAACTTTTTTTCCGTGTCTTATTAATGTCACTTATAATTAATGCTTCCAGTCTTACAACGCCACCACACCATTCTCTCCAGCCATATGTGACCACCCCTCTAAATCTTTTTTTTTTTTTTTTTTTTTTGAGACGGAGTCTCGCTCTGTCGCCCAGGCTGGAGTGCAGTGGCGGGATCTCGGCTCACTGCAAGCTCCGCCTCCCGGGTTCACGCCATTCTCCTGCCTCAGCCTCCCAAGTAGCTGGGACTACAGGCGCCCGCCACTACGCCCGGCTAATTTTTTGTATTTTTTAGTAGAGACGGGGTTTCACCGTTTTAGCCGGGATGGTCTCGATCTCCTGACCTCGTGATCCGCCCGCCTCGGCCTCCCAAAGTGCTGGGATTACAGGCGTGAGGCCACCGCGCCCGGCCACCCCTCTAAATCTTAAAGGATTTTTTCACACCTCTGCCTTTGTGCATATTATCAGTTCTGTCTGGATAAACCTTTCCATGCTCCCCATCTATTTAATCTCCCTTCAAAACTCAAATCAAATAGTCCTGCTTCTACACAGCTTTCCCTGATGTCCTGGTCTGAATTAAAGGCCCCATGCCTGTGCTCCCAACTGCATCTTGGCCATGCCTCTAGCACTGAAAGCTGTAATCACTGATTTCTTTCTTTCTCCCGCATATGTCATTAAGTTTTTTGACAGCAGGGGCTACATATCCCCAATGCCTTGTAAAGGACATTTTTTTAATACACAGTAAAAGCTCAAAAACGTTTTTTGAATCAATCATAAATTTATACACAAAGAATGTAAAGTCTCACCAGCACCTAACCTAGTGCTTTAAAATATGCAAATTCGAGGAGTTTTTCCCTCATTTACTACTTTATATATTTTTAAAAGTAAATCCATTAACAATATACATTCTAAGACTATCCAGTATTTTAAAATATTGAGAAAAAACTAAATTGATATTTACATGGTACTTCAAATGAAATGAGTTTGAGCCTTAGTTCAATCACTGTTGGTCACGGACCTATATAAGTAAAGCTACTACCATTATTGGCATTAACCAATTAACCAAAAAAGGACTCATTTTTGTATCCTTTGTGCAAACAGAGAAATAGATTGCAGAAAGTATTCTATATCTTCTATTCGTGACTGGGCACGAGGTATACTTAAAGAACCTGAACGCCATTGGAAAACAATAATTGTTTTTCAATGCTTTAAATGTAGTGAATAAAACAGTAAACTCCAATAATTATTTCTAGTGTACATCTGTCATTATAAATATTTGAAGCCAAATCATATAGTTATTAAATTCAATCAACTTATACATCAAATAAAAGCCTAAAAAGAACTTATTACAAATAAAGTAATAACAACCTCTTCTCTCCATCCCTTCTTCCCTTCTCTTCCCACCCCATATCTCTTCCCTCCTCCAACTCAACCCCCACAACACACGCATGCAAATAGAATAGAGAAAAACTACCCTGATCATTTGTAGATATTAAAAAGTACTCTTTTACAGAAAATAGAAACAAACATTTGCATTAAAGAAAAATATACTTTAATGTTAGAAGTTACTGATTACTGAATATGTGACTAGCATAATGCTTGAGTTATGAGAGACATCAAAAGATACTGTCTCAACTGCAAATATGCAATGTCGTGAAGAAAAATAAGAATTTTCACTCAAAGAATATGGTAAGTACTAACCTTAATTATAAATTCTTTAACCATAATATTTATATTTTGCTTTCCTGAAGCCCACGTACATTTTTCCATAAATAAAGAACAGGGCTGCAAGACCTATAAACAGATAAATGAAATTCACATTTCCATAGATCCATTATATACATAACACACACTTACAAGAACCATGTCTTACTTAACTTGGGATCTTTAACTACAGCCTGCTATTATACTAAAAGCAAAAAAGCAAAAATAAATTAGCTGAGACTCTGTTGTGAAGACTCTTCTGAACTATGAGAAATCTGTGAACACTGGAAAATCACTTTAAGCCGTTCTGATGAATTTCATCATGCCAAATCCTTAAGTAATAAAGCAGATTTACTGTTTAAAATGTTTCTTTCTGCTAAAATAGTTTTTAAATGATGGCCTCTATAAAATATACCTTTGAAATATCTATAAAAGTGAGCTAAAGACTGTGGTAAGGTAGGTAAGTAAACAGTTTCCCGATGCTTGACAGGTCAGTCTGAAATATCATGTAAGGCCTTTATTAGAATAAAAGTCAATTCATCAAATTGTGAAGCCTATATTCTTATATATCATTAAAGAAACGAATAAATAGGCTTGTACCTGAACTGAATGGAGCAATTAGTACGGCATAATTGTCATTTCTTAAAAAATAGGATGAGGCCAGGTATGGTAGTGCATACCTATAATCCCGGCACTTTTGGAGGCCAAAGTAGGGGGAATGCTTGAGGCCACGAGTTCAAGACCAGCCTGCACAATATAGCAAGACCCCCTTCTCTACAAAAAATTAATTAAAAAACAAAAACAAAACTAGCCAGCTAGTAGTCCTAGCTACTCAGGAGGCTGAGGCAGAAGGATTACTTGAGCCCAGTAGTTTGAGGCTGTAGTGAGCTAAGATGGCATTACTGCACTAAAGGCTAGGTGACGGAGTGAGACCCTTGTCTCTAAAAGAGAAAGAATTAGGAAGAGCTAATTGATATAAACTTTTGGTGACATGTATAAAGACGATCCTGTCAAAGAATATTTCATGATAAAGTATAGACTTCATACTTTCTTTATGCAAGTCATTTTGTCCACAAATTTTTTACATTTAAAATGCCACTGCAAATTAGTCACATAATATAATGATTCTCTTACCATAAAATTATCAATACTAGAAAATAATTGGTGTGGTAATTAACTGACTAAAATCATATGTTTCGATAATAATATGAAAACATAATTGACATTCACTTTTAATAACAGCAGAACACCACCGCTTTTGGCGAAGTGACTCCAATTTAATTTTTTTCATTCTAAGCCTAAATATTCACTCATTCATTAATTAGGTATACCACGGTGAACAAAAGAAACAGTTGAAAAAGAATATTAATTTGTACTAAAATTCAAACACTACTCAACAGAAGATGGTATAATGAAAATAAAACCGTTCTGAAGGTAGTCCCCAGTTCTGTCACTAGCAGCCATGGCTAAGTCATTTAACATCTTTGGAATTCAATATCTTTATATGTAAAACCCCAAGTTCACAATAAATAATCTCTAAAGTCCCTGCAGAGCTCTCATATTCTAGGATTCTATGAATCAACTGTTTCTGCCATTCTTCAACCCAAGATTAGGACACAAGGTAATTCTTACTGTGGTAATGTTTTTCCCTCTCTTTTCTCTGAGAAAAGGGCAAGCGAGCACTTTCAGATCTCTCACAGAAGCTTCCATCATCTGTTCGAGTTTGGATGTTGACAGAGAAAGGTTGCACTGAAACGAGGCTGTCAGAGCAGGAGCATCAGCCTTTGTCAGGCTGGCAACAAATACCACTTCTGGATCTGTGATCATGGCCTTTAAAGTCATATTTGGTCTAACAGAGTCATCTGAAGAAACAAGCAACAGGAACCAGAAAAGTTTAAGGTAAGTCTTTTCATTTGACTACATGTTATCTACAAGTTGTTAAGTTGTTCTCAATGTTTTTCTATAACAGATATGGTGAAACTGACAATATTAATTGGTTAATTAATACTAATTATTAAATGATTATTAACAAATGCAGATTGAGCAAGATAAGGCAATCTGATCCCTGTCCCAAGAATACCATTACCACTTTGACCTAGCAAGAATAATCCTGTTTTACACTTTTACACTGTTGGCGGGACTGTAAATTAGTTCAACCACTGTGGAAGTCACTGTGGCAATTCCTCAGGGATCTAGAACTAGAAATACCATTTGACCCAGCCATCCCATTACTGGGTACATACCCAAAGGATTATAAATCATGCTGCTATAAAGACACATGCACACGTATGTTTATTGCGGCACTATTCACAACAGCAAAGACTTGGAACCAACCCAAATGTCCAGCAATGATAGACTGGATTAAGAAAATGGCACATATACACCATGGAATACTATGCAGCCATAAAAAAGAATGAGTTCATGTCCTTTGCAGGGACATGGATGAAGCTGGAAACCATCATCCTCAGCAAACTATCGCAAGGACAAAAAACCAAACACTGCATGTTCTCACTCATAGGTGGGAACTGAACAATGAGAACACATGGACACAGGAAGGGGAACAACACACACCGGGGACCGTTGTGGGGTTGGGGGAGGGGGGAGGGATAGCATTAGGAGATATACCTAATGCTAAATGACGAGTTAATGGGTACAGCACACCAACATGGCACAGGTATACATATGTAACAAACCTGCATGCTGTGCACATGTACCCTAAAACTTAAAGTATAATAATAATAATAAAAAAGAATAATCCTGTTTTGAAGTTCTTTTTATCAGAATTAAAGAATGTGCATGTACGCAGGCATAAGTATATATTATATTGCAGGGGCAAGAAGGGGAAAACTGGAAAGAATATCAGGAAGAGGAAAAGAGACCCTGATAAAATAGATTATTATTAGTTGTTTCTTTCAATTTCACCCAAAAGTCCATAGTCAATGTCATATAATCTATACTGTAAATATATTCAATGCATATATAAATATAGCAATATCAGATATGATCACTATTTAAAAAACATTAAAGGTAAATTTTAAAAATAGCATTCTTACCAGGACATATTAGTTTTCCAATCTAGGTTATACATTAGAGAGAAAAATATCTGACCTTAGACATTTATAATTTAACATAGAAAAGTCACTGATCTGGCAGGAGCAAGGTGTAATCCACAGCACTTGGGGAGGCAGAGGCGGGCGGATTGCTTGAGCCTAGGAGTTTGAGACCAGCCTGGGAAACATGGCGAAGCCCCATGTTTACCGAAAAACAAAAAATACCAGGTGTGGTGGTGCACAACTGTGGACCCAAGCTACTCAGGAGGCTGAGGTGGGAGAACTGCTTGAGCCCACCTCAGGAGGTGAAAATTACAGTAAGCCAAGATTACACCACTGCACTCCAGCCTGGGTGATACAGTGACAGCCCATCTCGAAAAAAATTTTAAAAAAAAAGGAGAGAAGAGGAGAGGAGAGAACAGGAAAGAAAAGGAAAGAAAAAAAAGGGAAAGAAAATAAAGAAAATCACTGATCTACTGGATAATGCTGGAATAAAAGAAGTACAGAGCTGAAAGTGGCTTCAGCATACACCTAGACCAGACATTTGCAAACTCTTCCACAGAGTTTAAGGAGTTAAAGCGACATCCAGGGAAGTCCTGCTGGGTCCTCCAAAGTCCCCGTGTTCTGCTTTAATATTTTCAATTGTTCTTCAATGTGCTAGAATTCTCAACATGTTTTCTTTGAATAAGATACCCCACCTATAAAACAGGCCACTAACCACTGACCCAAATTAACTTCATTTCTGGATCAGTAAAGAAATGTTCATGGCACAGTTGGAACCAGCGGACTTTCCTGGCCATTGGTCCAATATCTACTGTACCTCTCTCTTAAAAATGTTTTAAAAAACTAAAAAGCTAAAGTTTTTATATAGAATATGTTTAAATATAAAAGACTAATTTTACGTTCTTAAATTTTTCATTTCTCTTTTTTCTGGTTTGTAATTCTTGTCAAAATATACAAGTTGTCATCTATGACAGATAAATTCTGCTAACCTTTCTCTATCTTGACCTTCCCTGTGGCAGTCTGTCTTGGTAAAATCTGTGTTTCTTTTGCCACATTTTCTGGACTCTGAGGCACAGCTTTGATAAAGAAATCTGCCACAGTCATCAGAAATTCCACACTGGCACATACATACAGCTTGTCAAGAACAGCATCAATTTGACTTCCATTTTTGTCTTGTTTGTAACTTATATCAATCATAGAACTGTTGTTATCTTGGTCATTCTTTCTGTCAATCATTCTGAAAAAAAACATGCTATTCATTATTTTATTCTTGCTAAAACAATAAAAAAGATGAAGAATTTCCTATATACCTCAATAATCTTTATTTCACCTTTCAGTTTCTAATCTGTATAGAAAACAGGTCAACATTAACTAGAATCTAATTTATCCATTAGTAAACAAGACTACTAATCTCCAAAGCAAGATATACGTTATTAAGCAATTACTGAATATTTTATACTTACAATGCAATTCTATATGTTATTGCATTATAATGCAATTTTTGAGTATTACATTATAATGCAATACTAAAGAAACAAACCAATAATGGCCGGAAAGGAATTTGGGCAATTAACAAAACAAATCAGTGTAGTCACACAAAATAAAGGCAGCCTTTTAATATTATTTATGAAATAAAACCTCCCTGAAGGAATTTATCTTCAAAGATCATCCTACGAAAATTTGAGTCTGAAAGTATTCAATACAACTCAAATCATCAAGTGTTTATCAAGTGTGCTCAACTATAGTTCCCCTACGTCCTCCCATGAACTGGAAAAAGCAGGCTACCTAACAGATGATAGCATTTATCACCCTTGCCGGGAGAGCTGTGGACAGCTACTCCAGACACAAAATTTGCAAACTAGAAAAGCTGGGTGCATGACAGCACTCTTCCCTCATTTATTCATCTCTCAGAAAAACAAAGGGCTCACAAGTATCCCATATGTATTCAATGGAGTCCAAGTTTAAGGAGCAACACAGTTTTTCTCAAAAGCAACAACAAAAAAATCAGATACAAAATATTATGTCTCATTACTTGAGAAAAATAAAAACATAATTAGGCTATTGAAAATTACATATTTCCCATTTTAGAATGAGCTAATATAACTCACCCTTTCAAAAACGGCTTGATGATGTGAATGCGCTCGAGATTCTATTTCTATTAAAACTTTGAAAGAAATTTTGCATAACTGTTTTAAAAAGACATGATCAAAATAAACATGATGAAGGAAAAATCCATAGCTTGAAGGCTTTTTAAAACAAAATTCTGCCTACTGGGAATAATTTAGAAAAATACATCACCAAATATATCACCCCATGTGGATTTAACTATTAAAACTCATTTTCTCTTAGTTCCCATTCTAAATATGTTACTCCATTTTATAATTAAACTTCCCTTTAACTTAACCTTTAAAGCAGCTGAATCTGATATTAGCACTACTTCTTAATGCAATTCAAATCAGGAAGTATGACCAAAAGACAGAGATCTTTTTTGGATGATCCCTAGCCTAGCAATGCCTGGCAGCCATGCAGGTGCAATGTCAACCTTAAATAATGTATTGCAAACTCAGAGCTGACAAACCTCGATGTTGCTCTCTCAATTCCTTCTCTGAGATCATCAAGGGTGCATGTCTTAAGTTTAACGCTGACATTCATTGAGCCATCCTTAAACATCTTCCCTGAGGAGGCCATAAGATGTAGTCTGAGTTCACCAAGTTGGAAACTGTCATTATGAAATGCAACTCCAGATTCCTATGGTACATTTTTCAAGCAAAAGAATCAATTACCTTTAAATATTATATAATTACTTTTAAACATATTACTTAATTCAAAACTTAAAGGCAAACTGATCTCATGAATTTTAAAAGTATGAGTGCTAAAACATCTGAATGGAACAGAGAATAATATGCATGTTTGTGAGCATACCTGTACATACAAATAAATAGATATATGTGTGAATATCCAACAATGATTAGTATAGAAAAATTTATCTGATTTACAGTTTAATGCAAATAAAAATAATTAGGAAAGAGCTGTCAATTCATCAATTAATCTAACTAATAAATTTTTTCTTTTTTTTTTTTTTTTGAGATGGAGTTTCGCTCTGTCGCCCAGGCTGGAGTGCAGTGGCGCGATCTCGGCTCACTGCATCCTCCACCTCCTGCGTTTAAGCAATTCTCCGCCTCAGCCTCCCGAGTAGCTGGGATTACAGGCGCCCACCACCATGCCCGGCTAATTTTTTTTTTGTATTTTTAGTAGAGATGGGGTTTCACCATCTTGGCCAAGCTGATCTTGAACTCCTGACCTCATGATCCGCCCACCTCGGCCTCCCAAAGTGCTGGGATTACAGGCATAAGCCACTGCGCCCCGCCTCTAATAATAAATATTTAATGAGCTCTTCCATTAAAAAACAGTGATAAGATTTATGAGGTTTACAAGAAAGAGTAAGGCATGGTAGATGATGTGAATGAGCATATACCCTAATTCCTTGAGAAAACAAAATAGAAATACACTAAAAGGAACATCACAAGAAGATGCTATTAGTTGTAAATGATTAAATATTTTGTGACATACAGTATTTTATTCATTCATATTTATATCTTCTCACATTTCACAAAAGCCATTTAGTGGTTAGGTAAAGAGTATAAATAGTAAAAGCTCAGAGAGGTTGAAGAGATCATTATGGCTGGGGAAAATTCATAAAGAAGGTGAGAACTTAACAGAACCTCAGAGGCTGAGTGGGATCAGATAGGCTAAGAGGGTGGCAGAAGACACTCCACATGAAGAAAAAACATGAACAAACAATTCAAGATGCTTTAGGACATAGGATACAGGGTGATTGGGCTTGGATACTCCGATTAAAGAATGGTAGGGAAAAAACTAGAAAGAAATACAGAGGCCTAATCGAAGTCTCAAATCCCAAACTAAATATTTAAATTTTCATGTATAGAAAAATGGACCTCGATCTTTATTCTACCATAACATATAATTCCAAATTCTCTCAGTATGTCCAGATTTAAAAAAAAAAAAACCCCAGCCAATCAACAAAAACCTTCAGGGAAGTGATGAACATCCAACACCATTGCTTACTAGAGACCCTGGCATTGATAATAGGGGTGCTGGGTATGTGCAATCATTGGCACACTGGTTAGAACTCCACCCCTTCTCTCACTCAAGATAGTATGTTGATGCAATTGGGTCAGAATGACATTATTACTGGCAAGCTTTGAATGCTTTTAACTTATGAAAATGGAAATAATTCACAAACTTTTATTCTGTAATCATTAATAGCAATGACCTGAGACACATCTGCTGATGACAACACACTAATGTTTCCTGATAGGATTACTGATATGGTTTCCTGATGTAGACAATTTGGAGCCACTGAATTTCTTTCCATAATATGAAATTCAGATTATATAACACAATGTTTATTAGTGGAAAGGGAAGATGGAAATGGCTACATGACATTCATTTAGGAAACTGAAGTTGTGCCAATATCTAGGATGGATGAAAGGTAAAAAATCAAACAAGGAAGTCATTGCAGTACTACAAGTGTAAGAAGAGTTTCAAATAAAGCAGCAGTGAGAAGTGATAGAAAAAAGTAAATGTTTATTCAAAGAAAAACCTGACAGTACTCAGCATCTCAATGAATAAGGAAGGCATACAAACAATGAAACAAAAGTAGACATCAAGATTCTAAGACTGCAGAACCAGCAGAATGATGGTACCAAGTAAAATGAAGAATGAATTTAACTGCTCATTTTTGGTAAGGTCATTTTCTGATGTTGTAATGAGCATTAAACATTAGAAAATAAGGCAGTTCATTGCATAAATAACAGATACAAGCCAAAAATTCAATAGTAACAATGTATGAATATTGCATAATTTGTAGTAAATAAAATGAAATATAAATGAACATATTTCATATAAATGGACATTAACAGATATAATACCCATAATCTGTATCTGTTGTTAATGTCCATTTGAGTATATTGCTCACTGCCCAATTAGGGTATATGCTCACTGTTGAATCTATAATCAATACGGAATATGGATATTAAAATATGCCATATGTATTATAGGTATTAATGTATGACATAATATAATTAAAAATATTTACTGAAGGAAATATCAGCATAATAAAAAATAGCTCTCTAAAATACCACTGACATATTATTTAGTTCAAATCATCATGGCATAAGACCTTGGCTCTTCAATTCTTTAATTAGTATCCTTAATACATAATCTACTACATATAACATTTATTCAATAGAAACACAATTAATGCTTATATACCAAGGATAATCATGAATTCAAAAATAATCAGGTAAGGCTCCAAAGTCACTACTAAATTATTCTTAAGTCGTTATATATACATATATATATAGCTATGTAATAAAACTGTATATATAATTAATCACTCATATATAAAATTCTTCTGTTGGTAATAAATCAAAATGTGTTTTGGTGCTGATATTACTTGGAAAGAAATAAAACCCTGAGTACTTTGCCTTAGCCTTGGAAGATTAGAAACACTAACAAAGTGAAGATAGAGGGCAGGACCAATGCACATTCTGTAGGCCAAATAGAATTTTATAGACATATTAAATGTTTTAATGAAAAGTCCCACACAAAAAAAAGCCAACACTCTAAAACTGACTATCAAGAGCTAAGGATTTATTTCTAATTACAGAAATGTATTACATACCTGGTTGATATCATTGTTATAAAGGATAATGGAAAGAGATTCAAAGTGAAAGTCAAATTGGAGACTGACAATCTGGTTCATAGAGAGCTTTGAGTCTGTCCAATCTTCTTGTTCTAATGGTGAAAATTTAAAAGCTTTTAAGTAGGTACGTAATTTTATAAATATTTTTAAATATGAGATAATTTCTTATTCTAAATTTATATGACGCTTTCTGGGATTCTGTAAATCATATTGAGACAATTAATAAAAATGGCAATTATGTTCCAACTGTTAAATTTTAAAAATGGCAATGACTATTCCATATATATTTAGCATATATGTGCAAAGAGGCACAGGCAGACTATGTTAAAAAATTTTTTTTTAAAGAGGAGGCCTTAATTTTCAAGGCACTGACACCTAACTGGCTACAAGCCATTTTCAAGACATTATGAAATTGGAGACTCAGAACAGTCCAATACTTTGCCTTATATTAGACAGCTAGTAACAGATTTTCTGCTAGACTAATGCACCTCTCACTAACTTTATTTTATTTTATTTTATTTTATTTTTTGAGACAGAGTCTCGCTGTGTTGCCCAGGCTGGAGTGCAGTGGCACGATCTCAGCTCACTGCAAGCTCTGCCTCCCAGGTTCATGCCATTCTCCTGCCTCAGCCTCCCAAGTAGCTGGGACTACAGGCGCCCGCCACCACTCCCGGCTAATTTTTTTGTATTTTTAGTAGAGATGGGGTTTCACCATGTTGGCCAGGCAGGTCTCGATCTCCTGACCTCGTGATCTGCCCACCTCGGCCTCCCAAAGTGCTGGGATTACAGGTGTGAGCCACTGCACCCAGCCTCATTATCTTTAATTACCTATATTACCCAATCCATTTTCTTTATCAGAAGAACAGAATATAACTCAATAGCAAAATCAAACAGAGTTCACATATGATGCAGGGGAAAGGAGTGGGTGCTTTGGAATTTTGAGACAAATGAGACTTCAGGAAGTAAGTCAGTCTTTTCTCTCATCTTTAGATAGATCACACAGACTGAATAGATCTTGCTTTCAATCACTCTTACGGACTGATTCTATAATCTTTTTCAACACTGACTCTAATTTTTTGTCATACTATAGAACAGTCTGTTTTTACAAGTTACTGGAAAAACAAATACTGCGTAACTTTAACCACGTAAGCCTTCTCCAAGTTAGAAAATTCTATTTTTCTGAGAAATAATTTATATTCTAATTTTCATCATCTTTGCAGCTTCCATTTGAATTCACAAATTTTCCCAAGTGACACGGTGTCCATATAGCAAGAACCAGATACATGATCGTGATCACGGCTGAACACAGTGAGATCATTAATCACATAAGGCTTGCCTGTTAATAGTTTATTCATCTCTACATAGTTCCTGTCTAACTATAACAACAGCCTTTTTATCTAGCATTTGTCTGTATGGTGGCACAAACTTCACCTGGGGAGATGTTGACCTCATCAAGCTTATGCAATACTTAAAACTATCCACTTAAACCAGAAACCTTGCACACTGTTCTAGTCATTTGTTTGTGTGATTTCAAAACACACCTAGCCTAACTATAGGAGAAGCAGTGTTGATATGGTATATCAACTGGTAGTTTTACCGATTACTGTCATTTGAAGTAACAGCTGATGGTATGAGAGCATTAGAAAAGCACAGCAGCCAGGACCATTTACTATATGGGCAAGGGGTACTTCATCTCTTTTTAGCCATGAAAATATTAACCTATTTACAGTCTAATTAAACATAATATTCACATCAATGGCTTTAAATTATGAAAAAAGAGTGAAATTATATGTAATATAATCTGTTTAAGAAATCAAAAAGAAACCTTGTATTTTAGAAAAATTATTTAAAAATGGCTGAATTCAAAAGGTTCACTGCTTTTAATAGGTTCAAATTAATGATCTGAAAAATTATCTTATGTATTTGAAACATAACGCTCCAATAAGTCCAGATAAATAAAGCTGTTACAAGAATACCTTCCTTTCTCATGGTTCAATCACCTGAGTATGACATGTGATACCAAGGTCCTTTTCTCTCTTAATTAATTTGGGACCTTACTACACTGCCTATCTAGCTTGATTCTTCTCTCAAGATACGCCACTTCAGTGCCTAGTGAATTCAGCAAATTTAGCATTCACAAGTAAAGGGTAAACAAGCACCATGCCAACAACAAGTGACCCTTCCCCCTGTAGCAGAGAACAGACATACCTCCCAGCCCCAGCCGAATTTCCACAGTAAGTAGTACAATACTGAATTAGTTCATACCACATTGTGCTGGACAGCTAGAAAAATACTAAATATAAATATGACATTAACACCAATTTTTTCTCCATAAAGTAAATATCATCAATTTATACCTTTGAGATGGTCAGGTACACTTGAAACATCAACTTTTCTCACTCTTACAGTCTCCTGCACAGACTGTGTAGGGCTTGGTTGTGAGGAAGCTTCTCCAAGATTTTCTAGCAAAATTTTCATTAAAACTGTCAAGTCATCTTCACTGAGAGCAACCTAGAAACCACCAATAATTTGTTAACTCTAAGTAATAAAAAAAATGTAGACTATCATATCTATATCTCGATTTGTGGTTTTTCAAATTAATTGTTCACCTACTTAAAAAGAAGAGAGTTAGAGTTAGGACTATAAATACCAGAACAGAAGTATTTCACCTTGTTTACTGTGTGCACACACACTTCTGCCTTCGCCCATATCCAGGCCCCTGCCTCTGGCACTCCAACACTCTCTATGGCTTATCTGTTACTATGTCTTCCTGTTCCTGGACCCGTGCCTATCTGTCCCATTTCCCTATCTTCCCATCTCCATTCTGTCTCTCTCTCATCTCAACCAGTACCAGTTCCTTCTTCTATATTATTTACTCTCCTTGAAACTAAATACAGGACGAGTGTTGTTCAGTTTCTAGTCTCTACCAAATAGTAAAAAGATGCTCTCCTGCTACGTAGCTCTTCATCTCAGTATATATGCATCTGGACATACATAAAACATTTGTTTAACTTATCAAGAATAATACCATTTAGAACAATAACAAATGTATCTACAAAGAATGTTTAAAGAACAAAAAATAGGAAGGTAGCATCTTATCTTTTACCTTCATAAAAGGGTATGTGTGGCAAAAAGAAAAAGAGCCAGGGCTTTGAGTCAGGCAGATCTGTATCAACTACCACTTTCAAGCTGTCTTGCTGCAAAGTTTCTTAACGTCCTTAACTCAAGTTTCTTTTCTTTTCTTTTCTTTTTTGAGATGGAGTCTCGCTCTGTCGCCCAGGCTAGAGTGCAGTGGCACAATCTTGGCTCACTGCAAGCTCCGCCTCCCAGGTTCACGCCATTCTCCTGCCTCAACCTCGTGAGTAGCTAGAACTACTGGCGCCCGCCACCACGCCCGGCTAATTTTTTGTATTTTTAGTAGAGACGTGGTTTCACCATGTTAGCCAGGATGGTCTCGATCTCCTGACCTCGTGATCCAACCGCCTCGGCCTCCCAAAGTGCTGGGATTACAGGCGTGATCAAGTTTCTTAATCTCTAAAATAGGCATAATACCAACTTTCTCACAGATGGCTGCAGAACAAGAAACTAAAACAAACGAAACTGCTACTGGCTGCTAAAATCCATTAAACCAGTACTGTCTTTGAAGCTCCTTATCCTTCTACCTTATGTAAGACACAGTGGCTCCAAAGGCCTGTTTCAAGTACTTACAAATTCACACAAGCATGCATGCAAGCACGCATGCATAGCAAATCTCCTCTGAATACCACAGTACCCTATGTCCCCCAAATTAGGTCCCTACCACCAGAGAAATTGCCTAGTTCCCACTTTAAATGAAAATACAGAGCTATTTAAGTACAAGATAATGACCAGGGATTTATGGCTTGTCCTAAGCCCCAGGCCTCATATAACAGGTGTAATTTTAACACCTTAGAATTTCCTTGTATATCCCAACCCACTTCTCATACCAACCAAGATTACCACAGCTTTCTGAAGGGCAACTAAGTTCACCCCTCTTTCACTTTGCTGTGGGGTGGGGGGGGAACAAGTATGAAGGACAATTTTGAAAGGCAGCCCCACAGTTCTTTAAAAACCATCAAAATGATCCACCCAAAACAACCTGTAGGTATCACCTGCCTGATACCCTTTTTTAGCTGCAGCCCAGACCAGGGAAACAACTTGCCAGTGTCACCTGCCTGATACCCTTTCTTGGCTGCATCCCAGGCCCAGGAAAACTATACAGACTATGACCAAAGGGGGGTGTTTAGAGAGACCTGGATCAGCGACAAATTAGGCAGTGGTGGCCTCATCCACTGTTGCTGCATTCCTGAGTTAATAAGGATGCTTTTGGTTAAAGTAATTATAATACTTTGATGCTAAAGTATCAGATGTTACTTTTTTTTCTTGTTTCTTCTAAAATACCTTAAAAAGCATAAAGGAAAAGGACAGAGAATACTATAATCTTCCCCTGTGAATCTACCACCTGGCTTTGTCAAATCTTAACAAGCTGCAATATTTCCTTCAGATCTCGTTTCCCATTACAGATATAGCAGAAGCCCCGTGTGTACTTCTCTGAGACCCTATTCCCTTCTCCTTTCGCCCTTAGAGAAAGACACCAGCCTAATTTAGAGATTATTTCCATGAATACTTTTCTTAAAGTTATCACACTGCATCTCTTATAAACAATATATAATAGTATTATATTGCCTGTTGAAAATCTGAAATAATATAAAACTGATAGAACTGTACTATCATTTTGCAACTCACTTTTTTCATTTTTATGTTCAAGATATATCAATTTTGTTTGATATAGTTCTATTTTATTCACTTTATCTGCTTTACAACATCCATTATATGAAGATACCAAAATTTTATCCATGTTCTGCTACCAACAGACATTCAGGTTTTACTTATGCTTTCAACAAACCTATAACCACAAAATCTTTGAAAGGGATTGTCAGATATTAGTCCTGGGATCTAATCTTTGAAAGGGAGAGCCAAATATTAGTCCTGGGATCTAACCTCTTGGCAGAAAGACAGAAATTAAAAGAAGGTACCCATACTCTGGAATAAAGGCTACCCTATGAATGCCCAAACAAACAAAATTTAATAATTGTTCTTCATGTAATATATCCACTAGTATATGAACAGAAACCCTTCATTTCTACAACAAGCTTCAATTTTAACTTCTTCCCTAGTAAAACTCTGCTCCTTTGATCCTTCCTATTTCATGTTAGAACCAACTCTGAAATAATCACAGGTATGAAAACCCATTAAACCACTAAATTTTTGTTTGGTTTTGTTTAGTCTCTCTCACCCCTATCCCATCCTCGGCTGTTTGGTTTCAACAGTTTCACACATAGGCACACAAGAATCACAGGATTCCTATACTTCCACGACTACCTTCAACCAGTCTCACCTCCTCCTCTGAGCTGATATGCAACCTTCTAGCTACATTATTAAAAATAACGCTGTGGCCGGAGCACGGTGGCTCACGCCTGTAGTCCCAGCATTTTGGGAGGCCGAGGAGGGTGGATCACCTAAGGTCAGGAGTTTGAGGCCAGCCTGGCCAACCTGGTGAAACCCTGTTTCTACTAAAAATACAAAAATTAGCCAAGTGGATGGCGGGTGCCTGTAATCACTGCTACTCAGGAGGCTGAGGCAGGAGAATCGCTTGAACCCAGCTAGTGGAGGTCACAGTGAGCCTAGATCATGCCACTGCACTCCAGCCTAGGCCACAGAGCAAGACTCCGTCTCAAAAAAAAAAAAAAAAGTTGTATACTTATCAAATATACACATTTGCCTATTAAAATGGTAACACCTTTCTAATTAAAACAAGGCCTCTACAAACTACACTATTAAAAATAATGGTGTATTTATATGCTTATCAAATATACACATTTGCCTATTCAAAATGATATCACCTTTCTAATTAAAACGGGCCCTCTACACATTTAAAAATACTAAGGTGCTTTGAATGTAGTGTCTGAATATCACTTTGCATTGTCTTACAATTTAACTGCATTAAAACTTTAACAGAATTTTCCAAAATTAAGAATAATATTTTTAGTACACTCCAACAGATTTTATCTCAGACTCCTTGCTGGTTTTACCAAATATCTAACTAAAATGAAAACAAAGAAAAGTGAGGGAAACAAGGATGATTTCATTTGCATATTTTTTATTTATTTATTTTTGTTGTTTTTAAATAGGAAACAAAATCTAGTTTACTCAATTTATTACTTGGGCAAAAGTACACATACAACAGACAAATGCTCACTAAGAGAAAACTGGTTTAGCTTTATCAATAACGTAGCAACTCCTACATTCTGATATCCACTAGAACTGCACTATGATCAACGAGAAAAGCCTATCAAGAAATTTTCATATATTATATACTAGCTACTTACCTGCATAGGTTTTAGTTTTCCTTTTATCTCCATCCCTGGAATTTGCACATACCATGCTGCTGCTAAGTTTCGCTGTATGGACAAAAGCATGTTGACTGGTTTTAAAATTTCAATGTCATTTTGTGGCAAGCTAGCCTGCAAAATAGTTCTGAAAGAAAAACAAGAATTTATTTTTTACTTCAAATTTACATTTTAAAATGAGGACTATCCTATTGTGTAACAGTTTCCACACAGCATTTCATAAAGGCTAAAAGCTGCTAACAGAAGTCTTTTAGAATACACTTCTTTTCACATTTTTAAGATCAATCTAAATCACAACACATAAGTTTATATGCAGAGCTATCCAAAACCAAACCTACATAACACTGATTTCAAAAACATAATTTTCATACACTATGACAACTGCATTATTTATTATTTTTCACAAAGGCTGTTTGATACAGCGAATAGTTTACTGTCATGCAAACAAATGTTACATCCTCCTAAAACTGGAAGATGAAGAAAGTAATCTTATACTTAGCCCTTAATATGTTATTGGTACTTCTCCAGACTCAAGGGGGAAACTCAACTAATCTAAAAGTTAAACGAACATACGGTAATAGTCATTCCAGCTTGCCTGCCAACAACCATTTGCCTAACCAAATAAACGCTCTTGTCACTCAATAGAGCCAACACTGTCCCATTTCGATTCACTAATCCTTTCGATAACTCACTGAAAATTCCCAAATGTGACAAGGTTTGGAAATGAGAAATAAATCTTAAATTTTATATATTACGAAGTTTTTTCCCACCAAAAATAAAAAAGGAAATAGCTACGTGCAAAGTGAGAAAAATAAAAAATTTAAACTAAGTATTGAGTAAACTATAATTTTATAATAGCTAATTTTTATAGAATGAAAAAAATCATATTACATATGTAGTAAGGGAAAATACAGACTCCATGAGGCACATACATGACTGTTTAACCACTGACCAAGAAGCCAATGGTCAAGGTTTCATAATTAGAAGAAATAAGGAATGAAAACCACAAATTACTACAACATTTTACCTTAGGTAAAAATTGTATGAAAATCCTATTTCTAGTAAGCAATACACAATTAGATTACATATTTATACCTTGACAGCTTCAACTGAGTGAGTTCGATGTTCATTTTATCAATGACTGGAGGAAGAGAATAATGTTCCATAGGAACCAAGCTAAACTTGTTTTCAACTCTGATTAAACCCAGATCTGCTATAACAGCATTAGGTGATACTGAAGACTGAGGAATAATAATAACTGGTGCTTTCAAATTAATATCCATCAAAAGGCGGAAACTCTTTTGAGCCAAGTCTTTCATGCTGGAAGCAGCTCTTTCTGCAGCCTGGACTGTGGCTGTACTCAAAGCTTCTTTAGCAGTTTGGAAATTGTTGAGGAAGTTCTGTTGGAAGAGACAGATATTTAGGGGAAAAAAGGCATTTATTTTTAAAAGAAAAAACTTTAAAAAGCATTTACTTTAAAAACTAAATAAAAAAGTAATATAAAAGATGTTATTTATGATTTTGTGTATGTAGAGAGTGAAGTCTAGAAACATACACTCTGAGCTATTAACAATAGTTACTGTAGGAAGAAAGAGCTCTTTCTTACATTTCATAAAATATTTTTCATTTTATAAAATATTTTATAAAATATAAAATAATTGAGAATTATTTTATTCTCATGATAAATTTTTGCAACAGTTCTTTTAAAAATCTCCTTTTTATTAAGAATGTTGGTTATTTTAAATTCAAATTTAAATGAAAGGGAGAAGGGCAGTACCGTACTTCTCCAAAATTGGGTTCAATTCTGTACTGCTAGGCCACAGCAATAAAGTTTAGTCTTAGAAACTAAGCTTCTGCCGGCTTATTTCTGATAAGGCTTTTTTTTTTTTTTTTATGTACTCAGCATGAGGAAAGACAGTTAATTGTCTACAATCCTGTAATCATTAGTAAGAGTCAAAATTTATTTATAATAAGATGTATTTCATCTCAATTTCAACTAAAAACAGAAAAATCTTTCCCAATGAGGATAAGATCATTCTCAGAAGCAATATTCTTGGTGTACATCCATTAATATTACAAAAGCAACCTAACCTCCCCGGCACCCACCTCCAAGTTAATTGCTCTCTAGAAAAGTAAACATGATGGTTTAAGTAGAAATGCATGCTTTTAAGGAATCATGAGATTCTGCACATGGGAAACCCTAAGGACTCCACCAAAAGGCTCCTGGAACTGACATACAACTTTGGTAAAGTTTCAGGATACAAAATCAATGTACAAAAATCAGTAGCATTTCTATACACCAATAACATCCAAGCTAGAGAGCCAAATGAAGAACACAATCCTGTTTACGATAGCCATCAAAAAAACAAAGTACCTAGAAATACATCTAACCAAGGAGGTGAAGGATCTTTACAAAGAGAACTAGGAAACACTGCTGAAAGAAATCACAGATGACACAGACAAATGGAAAAACATTCCATGCTCATGGATTACAAGAATCAATATTGTTAAAATGGCTATACTTCTCAAAGCAATCTATAGATTCAATGTTATTCCTATCAAATGACCAGTGTCATTTTTCACAGAACTAGAAAAAACTATTCTGAAATTCATATGGAACCAAAAAAGAACCCAAATAACCAAAGCAATCCCAAGCAAAAAGAACAAAGCTGAGGCATCACATTACCTGACTTTATACTATACTATAAAGCTACAGTAACCCAAACAGCATGGTACTGGTACAAAAGCAGACAAACAGACCAAGGGAACAGAATTGAGAACCCAGAAATAAAGCTGTACACCTACAGCCACCTGTTCTTTGACAAAGTCAACAAAAAATAGGCAATGGGGAAAGGATTCCCTATTCAGTAAATGGTGCTGAGATAGCTGGCTAGCCATATGCAAAAGAATGAAACAACGTTTTATTCTATGGTGAAAGGACCCCTACCTTTCACCATATACAAAAATTAACTCAAGATGGATTAAATATTTAAGTGTAAGACCTCAAACTATAAGAATTTTACAAGAAAACCTAGGAAACACCATTCTAGATATCGGCTCTGGGAAAGAATTTATGACTAAGTGCTTAAAAGCAACTGCAACAAAAATAAAAATTGACAAGTGAGACCTAATTAAAGAGCTTCTGCACTACAAAAGAAACTTTCAGTGGAGTAAACAGACAACCTACAAAATAGAAAAAATGTTCGCAAATTATGCATCTGACAAAGGTCTAACATCCAGAATCTATAAAAAAAAAAAAGTGTGAACAAGTGAACAAGCAAAAAACAAATCCCATTTAAAACTGGGCAAAAGACATGAACAGACACTTCTCAAAAGAAGACATACAAGGAGCCAACAAACATATGAAAAAATGTTCCACATCACTAACAATTAGAGAAATGCAAATCAAAACCATAATGAGATACCATTTCACAGCGGTCAGAATGGCTGTTATTAAAAAGTCAATAAATAACAGATGCTAGGGAGACTGCAGAGAGAAGAGAACAATTACATAACTATTCATGCAAATCTATTTCAGCCACTGTAGAAAGCAATTTAGAGATTTCTCAAAGAACTCAAAACAAAACTACCATTTGACCCAGTAATCCCATTACTGGGTATATAACCAAAAGAAAATAAATGGTTCTACCAAAAAGACACACACTCACGTGTTCTTCAGAGCACAATTCACAACAGCAAAGACCTGGAATCAAACTAGGTGCCCATCAACAGTGGACTAGATAAAGGAAACGTGGCACATATACACCATGAAATGCTACACAGTCATAAAAAAAGAATGAAATCATGTCCTTTGCAGCAACATGAATGCAGCTGGAGGCCATTATCCTAAGCAAATTAACGCACGAACAGAAACCAAATACTACATATTTTCACTTATAAATGGGAGCTAAACACTGGGTATTTCATGGATGTAACATTGGGAAAAAAAGACACTGCGGACTACTACAGAGAGGGAGGAAAGGGGGAAAAAGTTGAAAAACTATTCTCAGTACTTGGGTGATGGGATCAATCATAACCCCAAACCTCAGCATCATGCAATATACTCATGTAGCAAGCCTGCCCATGTATGCCCTGAATCTAAAATAGTTGGATTATCAACTGAAATTAACAAGTGAAGTCCAAAAGAGTTGAAATTATCTTTCTTTGAAAAAAAAATATGATTTTTAAAAGTTTTGATTGGCAGCCCCACTAAGAAGAATAGGCAGATTTAAATCCTTCAGCCCATGTGATATGGTCTGGCTCTGCGTCCCCACCCAAATCTCATCTCGAATTGTAATCCCCAGGTGTCAAGGGAGGGAACTGGTAGGAGGTGACTGGATCACAGGGGCAGTTTCCCCCATGCTGTTCTTGTGATAGTGAGTTCTCATGAGATCTGATGGTTTTATAAGAGGCTCTTCACCCTAAGCTTGTTCTTGTCTGCTGTCATGTAAGACGTGCCTGCTTCCCCTTCCACCATGATTCAGTTTCCTGAGGCCTCCGCAGCTATGCGGAATGGTGAGTGCATTAAACCTCTTTTCTTTGTAAATTACCCAGTCTCAGGCAGTTCTTTATAGCAGTGTGAAAATGGACTAATACACCATGACAGTTACATGGAAATAAGTAATAAAAAGAAAAGCATTTCATGATGCTGTTGATCACAATCATAACCAAAAGCTGTAAGTTCCAATATGAGTCCTCCAAATGCCTGAAAAGTTTCCTCAAAAAATTGTTTTAACTAAATACTCTTAAATATATCTCATTAAACAAGTTACAGTGGAAAGCCCTAAATTAAAACATAAAACATACATTTAAAATGTATACCTGTGGAAATGTTATAGAATTACAGTCTATATCTTCAAAACAATAATTTTAAAAATTCATTTGGTTAACATCATGAAAAGGATTTCTTTAAATATTAACATTCTGTTCAGCACTCAGGTGCTCATCACACAGCCTTATCAGTGAAGATTTTTACTATCTAGGTTCAGTTGTATAAGCAAAGATATTTAGGCCTCAGTGAGGAATAAATATATTTTTAAAAACTTACCAAAAGAGACATGAAGAATTTATGAACATAAACAATCTGAATACAACCCACTTTAAAACTAAGTTTGCCGTCTACTTTGGACATATCAGCATAGGCCTCTCCTTCTGTGGCATCTGGATAAAGAGTCAGTTGGAACCTAAAGACTTCATCTCCCAAAATAGAGACAGCCTAAAAGTATTAGATTAACTGGTTATTATATCAAAAGAGCTGTATAGCCCTTATCAATGTATTATAAATAAGTTCTCGTATTACAGAATCCTTGATAAGTAGAAATATATGAATTCAACATTAAAAATTATTAGCTAAAAACATTTTACGTGACAATAACTTCTTCCTATTTCTATAAAAAGCATTTTATCAGTGAAAATATCAACCACTTAGCTGTTCAGAAATAACTTTTACAAATCACTGTGTATCAAGAGGCCTAGTCTATACACAATGTGAAAGCAGACTATTACCGTTTTCATCTCCAATTCCTAATAAAGTGCCTGGTACATGACAGATAATAAATGTATACTGTGCAAATAAATAATAGCATCTCAAATCCAAAAGGCAAAATAAATTCCAATATAAAAATCTATTTTTTAATCACCTTTTTGTGAATGGACTGCAAATCTACATTCATAACTATAATATCTTTAAGTCTGGCAAACACATCAGTCTGCTTAGGCTTCACAGAAATAGAGGCATCCATTCCTATAGGAAACATAACATTTATAAACTTTTCACCCAATCCACATGACTAAGCCAGTGGTATTTAAGTTCAATAATATACTGACAAGATATAAAGTGAATAAAAATTACTCATTATAAGACACATTAATGGCATCAACTTTCATGTATGAGATACCTAAGAAAGGTAATAATACCTTTAAATAATAACTTTAAGGGACACAGGCATCTCCTCCAAAAAAGTTGTAGAAATTTTAAAACCAAAAAAAAAAACCCACCAAGTTTCAAAGAAATTCAAATTAATTTAGAAAATTAATCACATTTCTCCAAACTTAAATATCCTCTGCATTGGCAAGATCAGCAGTGGTCATTTAGGAAGACAATATTTGTTAAACAGTGATCTTACAAACATTTACTATATTATTAAAAACTGTTGCTCCAATAACTAAAAATAAATGAACATTACTTGATGAATAGTCTTACTTCTATAATAAACTGTATTAGGAAACAGTCTTCTAAGATTTCCCTCCAAAAAAAATTTGTCATTCTCAGTTTCTAAAGGCATAATGATTTCTGCAACTGCATAAAAATGTAGATAATGCATAATGCATAAGGAATGTCTCAAGTCAGCAATGAATCACAACAAATTTACTTGTAACATTTTAAAGCACATCTTTGAAAAGTTTGCAAAGTCTTCAATATAAGTAAACCAAAAGAAAACTCATGAGAAATCTAACAGGTACAAGCTCATTTTTCCTAGTTATGTAAAGAAACAGAAATACCTACAACAAGAAGTAACTACTTACCATGTATTTTAATATCTGCAATGTTACACTTCTGATCACAGACAAAGACATTAAATGCATTTAATTCAGCTGTGATCTTTAAATCAAACACATCCTTTTGGGAAATGTTGCTGGATACTAAAAAATAATAGAAACCTTCTGATGAGCAAAGGGAAAAGATAATACAACACATACAATAACCTCAAATCCACCAAAATAAAAGTACCCAATGTACTCTGAGGAACCAAAATGCCCTCCATTAAGATAACATGTAATTAACATAAATTTTGGAATAATTATCAAATTCCAATCTACAAAAATTAGCACGTTCCCCTTCAAATTAAGAATAAAAGCAACTATAATATTAATAGCACCTTGAAAGTGCAATTTACTAGATGGAAACTTTACTACAACTTTTTTTCTGGGAAAAAAGAAAACATTCTATATTAGAACTCTAGAATTCTCTTGGTCTAAAGTTTTGATTCTGAACTCCTTTTCGTATCATATATTAGATTAAGGAAGAATAACTCATGATAAACTGCAATGGTGATGCCCAGTTAATAAAATACATATTATTTACTATGGCACTTACATGTTATTAACTACATGATAAATTTCTCCAGATTACACCCTGTTGCTCCATCAAGAATCCTAAAATAAATTCTTTGAGAAATGAACATAAAGGGCCAACTTAAAAAATACCAAAAAAAAATTTATAATGTATATGCACGCAGGTGTATGTGTGCATAAGAATCACAATCAAACTAGCGCCCTAAATCCACTTTAGTCCAGATCCTGACTGATAAATTTAGGATCCATTTTCCTAAAAATCTGTCTTGCTGGAAGGAAATAGAGCCTTCTGATTGAAATTGCAAAAGCACGGAAAGTATCTGTCCTTAATCACCAGTACGACAGGTTGTTTTTTTCTTTAATATTTGATGTAACATAATCAAACCACAAAGACCAACAATATAGCAAAACTGGAAGACTGTTTCTTTGGGTTAATAGTGTTTCTAGTGTATTGTGAGTTTAAACATTTCTTTTTCATTTATTCAACTGTGTTGTGTATGTACTGTATGCATATATAATATAAAGGAGAGGAATTTCCAAGGATATTTCTGAGGCTATTAATGTGACAAGTACATTAAAGACAAAGCAGGTAAAGCTCTTTTACTCTAGTTTATAAGGAAATTGTTGCTCTGTTCCATGGTTTAAAAAAATCACATCCGGCCGGGCGTGGTGGCTCATGCCTGTAACCCCAGCACTTTGGGAGACCGAGGCAGGTGGAGCACCTGAGGTCAGGAGTTCACGACCAGCCTGCGCAACATGGTGAAACCCCATCTCTACTAAAAATATAAAAAATCAGCCAGGCATGGTGGTGAGCACCTGTAATCCCAGCTACTTGGGAGGCTGAGGCAAGAAAATTGCTTGAACCTGGGAAGCGGAGGTTGCAGTGAGCCAAGATCACATCACTGCACTCCAGCCTGAGCAACAAAAGTGAAATTCCGTCTCAAAAAAAAAAAAGAAAAATCAGATCCTTGTACCTGATCTAACAGTACTGACAGTTTTACACCAAACATGCCAGTAATACAGGTAAAACTCAAACTCGTAACGATCTGAAAACTGAATTACTAGATGTTAAATACTGACATTATATAATATGAAAGAAAAATAATTAAAATGATATTTGGCTTAAAAGTAAGCAAATGTTATTTATTCACTCAGGATATGTCATACCTAATTTTTCATAACATAAGTCATATGCCTGAGGACCCTGTGCCCATATCTGTGTGATCTAAATATAGTTTTGGCTAGAAACCAATATGAGTGTGTCTATTCCATGAGCTCCTTCCCTGCAGTGTCCCACTAAGCATTTAAAATTGCTGAGCACCAGGTAAGTCTACCTGACTAACTGAAACGGGCCTTTGTGACCTTGTATGACTGAATCATAACTGAACTTTTTCCTTTCTCACTTCCATTGAACTGAAGACTACAAAGACACATCAACATAAAGTACATACAATTTCTATTTTATGTAAAAGCTAGACAGTGAATTGAAATATAAATATATAATATTAAACAACATCTATTTAAAATTCCTCACTAAACTGCTCTATAATCCCATAGAGATAACATTTTCTTTCTCTTGAAACTAACCTATCAGAGCAGCAATGTCAACATGCTAAATATTCATCTTAACTGAAAAAAACAAGTTGTTATATGATTATTAAAGTTCAAAGTATTATTAGATCATAATTCAAAAATTATTACCAGCTTTGACAGCGATACTTCTGGACTCCCCCACAAGTGGTTTCAGCTCGGATTCCTTCTCAGAAGAGGAAGGCTCAGAGAATGGAGCAGCAGATGATAAAAAATCCATGAAGGAAAGTAAAGCTTCCAAATGAAGTACTAAGTCTAAGGATGCAAATGAAACCTAAGATAATGAACAATTAAAGAGGCAGATTTCAGATGCAGTAAAATCTTTACATCAGGGTTCAACAGATATAAGTAGCACAAGAACAGTTCAATTAAGGGCCTTTTTAAAATTTTTATTTTTTTAAGAACTCACTATTAACTCACTATTAAAATGTCAATCCTTGCCAGATAATAAATCAACTCTCTGCTCACTCCCATGTGCAACCACAATTTTAACTCAAAAGAACTGGATGAGTTTTAAGTAAAGATACAGGAAATATTATCAGGCTTTAAACCACATTTCAGGCAGTTCCAAGCTGATTATGCATGTTCAAATGGACTGTACCAGGTCCAGTACAGGTAATGCTTGTATGTAATGTCTGTACCAGGCCTTGCTTTATGCTTCAGTTAATCTTATTCTAATCCTAACGCCAATACATAATTCAAATGTTTAATGCTTCCATCAACGCTAGGCCAAAAAACCACAGTTGACAAAAATGAGTAACAAAATTCCCTTTAAGTGTATTATTCACATACTTGTCAAGAAATCTAAGTCAAAACTGGGAAACAATCTTTTCAGAACATAAATCAACTTTTTGTAAGAACTTTATTCCAATTCTAGTATCTACTTAACTTTATCCATAAATTAGGAATATTATTATTGCCACTGTTATTCTCACGTTAGAACTTACAATCTCACAGTTGAAAATGGCTATGAAGCTAGATATAATCAACACAACCCAACCTTATAGCAAATTATAAAAGTTTTACCTTCAGTCTCTGTTTGGTACTGTCATGAATAGTTTTAAATTCTGGTCCATCACTGTCTGCCTACAAATAGTGGAGAATTACACCACTGAGTTTCAAACACTAAAAATTCATACACTGAAAATATACATATTCTTTACTTTTCTAAGTATGCTATTAAAAGAGTAAAAAGATATTTCCTAAAGGCAAAGAAAGCCATTCAAAAAAAAAAAACAAAAACAAACTGACCACATAAGCATTTCTTACATTCCATACAAGCAAAAACTCTAATTCCTTATCCTACTGTGGAGGAAATGCTAGTATATCTAGATTAGGTACACTAATCTAAAAAGTAGGAAAAAGTGCTAGATTATAACACACTTTGCTTTGGATTACAATGGAACTTTAGGTTATTACCATTTATTCAATATCATAGGGTAACTCAGAAGGTTAATGAAAGTATCCAGGATTTTCAGATGCTTGCAAAATTCACCATAATCAATAAGTTTAGGTAGAAAAATGTTGGGAGAGAAAATGAGAATATTAAATATAAGGGTAATATAACTTCATATATTCAAATATTAAAGAATCCTAGAAATGAAACTAGTTACCTTTGTCAGTAACATTTTCAGAAGGGGTTCGTCAGTCACATTAGAAGAGTTAATAATGTGAAGAGGTTCCCCTTTAGAGTCTAAAAGAGAAAAAAGACAAAGTTGATCCATCAATTAAACATTTCACACATTTTAAAACAGGACCAGCCAAATGTACACAAATATACATTTGTCAAAACTCAGGACTGTACACTAAAAAGAGTGAAGTATGTTCTGTATAAATCTTACCTCAATAAACCTGGCTTTGAAAAAAAAGGAAACAAATTCCATAAAACAAAAATACTAGTACCCACCAATTACAACTGGTATAACCTATGGTACTACTGTATTACTCTCATCTAAACAAATCATGGTATAAAGAACCTATAAAATACATAAAGTAGGGATTATTCTCAATACAAGTTTATTTCACTTAAAGATATCCCATAGAGTTCTTATAAACTTTAAACACTAACAGAACTTTAAAAGTTAGCTTATTGCAGAAACTTAAAAGGTCAAGGATACCCACTAATGATAACTTAGTATTTATTCTGAGGGAAGGACATGAGACTACAGATGATATTAATTTTTTCCTCTATATACTTTTGTATTTGATTTTCATTTTTCACAAATACATATTAACATAATCAAAAAGAAATGTTAAAACTCACATAATTTAAAAATTTAAAAAACAAATAAAACATCACATTTCCTAATAAATTAACCCAGCTTTTCAAAATGGGTCCCCTAGAACTGTACCCAGGGACTGTTTTTGAAAAGTTGAGTTAATGTACTAGGAAATTAACACAATTGCACAGAAATCAATATGTTTAATGTTGATAAAAAGGTAGGGATCATCTGCCTAATGAATAATTTACACAGACAATATTTCACACTTACCAGTGAAATCAAAGCACTGCATACTAATTTTTTTTAGATAAGCTTTAGCAGTCATGTCATAGGTTTTAACTTTAGCTTCCATTCCAAGTTGCAGGACATTTAGCTCATGTAAAGGCCTTCCTTTCTTTTCTGATTTTTTCATCAAAGTAACCACAACCTAAAAAACGGTACCAGTATTACCACCAACTATTTCACCAATATGCAATGAAGGTAAGTCAAGAATTTAATAAGTATCCAGAGTGATATAAGGAAGAAATTCACACAATGTTAAGATGTGTACTTCTATTTGTGCCTGCAGTTTGGCATGATTCCCAGAACTCCTAGTCTGATGGACAGCCTTTCTTCTGAAAGTCTGTAAGACCAACAGCCAATTTTTACACCACTCCTAAGGCAAGCTCTTTCATCTTCGGCACCATTAACATTTTGAGCTGGTAATTCTTTGTGGTGGGAAATGTCTTATGCACTGTAGGATATGAGGCAGCATCCCTGGCCTCTACCTACCAGTTGTCATTAGTATTCTCCCCCCAGATAATGGCAACAGAAAATGTTTTCAAACAATGCCAAATATCCATTGGGAGCAATGCAAACTGCTCCCCTTTAACCCAATCATTGTCCTAAGGGAGGAGAACAATCATAATATATATTACAAAGAATATTTAAAAGGTCTTATGGACTTTATATATGTGTGTGTGTATGTGTGTTTGTGTGTGTGTGTTAAGTATATCTGCAAATAGAATGATTCATCTATCAATGTTTCAACTACCAAGGCTTAAAAACCTTCATTAACTCTGATATTAACCAGAAAAACATCCAAGTTTAACATATAACATCAAAGGATGTATTTCAGATTCTAAAAAGTAGAGCCCATTCCTTTAAAAGTTTGTTTGTTTGTTTATTGACTGATTGATTGTTAGAGACAGGGTCTTGCTCTGTCACCCAGGCTGGAGTGCAGTGGCACAATCAGAGCTCACTGCAGTCTTGACCTCCTGGGCTCAAGCGATCCTCCTGCTTCCCAAGTAGCCAGGACTAAAGGCACATGCCACCACAACTGACTAATTAAAAAAAAAATCTTTTTTTTTTTGTAGAGATGGGGTCTTGTTATGTTGCCCAGGCTGGTCTCAAATACCTGAACTCAAGCGATCCTCCAGTCTTGGCCTCCCAGAGTACTGAGATTACAGGCATAAGCCATTGCAACCAGCCTACTTAAAACTTTATTATTTTTAGCTCAGAGCAAAAACATAACCTCTATAAAATTATTTAATGATAAAACGGATCTTAGAGGAAGTCCTTGCAAGTCCCTGTATCCACTATGCTTTCTCACATACTCACACTTTTATGCCTGTTCCTCTTTCTGCCTTGCCCCAGACCCTTTCCTGATCCCTTTTCTCAGACAATTTTTTTTAATTTATTTTATTTTATTTTATTATTATTATACTTTAAGTTTTAGGGTACATGTGCACAATGCGCAGGTTAGTTATATATGTATACATGTGCCATGCTGGTGTGCTGCACCCATTAACTCATCATTTAGCATTAGGTATATCTCCTAAAGCTATCCCTCCCCCCTCCCCCGACCCCATAACAGTCCCCAGAATGTGATGTTCCCCTTCCTGTGTCCATGTGTCCTCATTGTTCAATTCCCACCTATGAGTGAGAATATGTGGTGTTTGGTTTTTTGTTCTTGCGACAGTTACTGAGAATGATGATTTCCAATTTCATCCATGTCCCTAAAAAGGACATGAACTCATCATTTTTTATGGCTGCATAGTATTCCATGGTGTATATGTGCCACATTTTCTTAATCCAGTCTATCACTGTTGGACATTTGGGTTGGTTCCAAGTCTTTGCTATTGTGAATAGTGCCGCAATAAACATACATGTGCATGTGTCTTTATAGCAGCATGATTTATAGTCCTTTCTTATTTCTCTTTAAAAACTTCATTGAAATGTCTCCTCCTCTGGAAAATCTTTTATGACCCTCTCAGTTTGCTTAAATGCCCCCTCCCTACCATCAGCACCCCAAGCTCCAATTAGTATCCTCAGCAGAGTTTTCGTGAAATAATTACAAAAATGTTAACAGTTTTCCTGCATGAGTTCAGACTCTACGCCTTTTACCTCTATCCTTGTCACTGGGCATATACAATAAATATTTGTTGGATGGGTGAATAAAGAAGAAAATGTATTTCATCTTTCCTCAAGAGTATGCAGATGGCAAACATATTAGTAATGTAACTTTTTTTTAAAATGCAGGCATATTGTGTTTTATTCTATCAAGAGTTTCTAACATTTGAAAAGAATTTATCTGACACTATTGTCCTTTCCTGCATTTCTTATATGACATCCAAAGCAAGTGACATTCCAACTGTCCTAAAATCATTAAAAAGCATGTTATACAACATGCTGTCATTTTCTCTATGAAATATTATAAACTCCCAAATCCTTAACAAACTTTCAATTTTTAAAACATCACTGCTACATGTGAACAGCCCACATAGATTTTTTTCATCAGTATCAATTATCTGTAAGTTTAGTAGAGGTAATTCCAATATCCATTACTTATTCACCTCACTTTACAAAAACAGATGAAAATTACACACCTCTTTAATTTCAAAATTCAGCAGCATATTAATGATGTCTACAGACCTAATTTCTTCCACTCCAGTTGTTAAAGTATTTTTTGAATCATGTACATCTTGTGATATAGAGATTTCAAGGGGCTCTTTAATTTCACCTGAAATGTTTAAAAGAAATTCATTACTTTTATTCACAAATTTCTTCCACAAATATTTATTGTGGACTTATATGAGTATTCTGGACCTGGTAGAGGCAATGAAAATCCACGAATTAGTAACAGCGCTAGCCCTTGGAAAACTCATGGTTTAGTGGAAGAGACATATACATTTAAAATACAAACAAACAAGCAGGCCACACCTAGTCACATTAAGTGAACAAATGTTAATAGACTCTATATAAAATGCACTGCAAGCACAGAACAAAGCGTGACACTGTTATACAGAAGTCAAGAAAGGATGTATTAGAGGAGGTATTATTCAAGTAGAGCAAAGGACCTCCTCACACGGTGGAGACATTACTAGAAAGGAGCAAAACCAGGGAATGATAACACATGATAGGTTTTGCAAACAGAATGGAGTTTGATATGGTTGAATCATAAGGGGGACAACAAGAGGTAATACTACAAAAGAAAAAAGGGAGTGGGAGGTCAGGGCCTCTTATGCCATATTAATAAACAAAGGTAAAGCTATATAATTATGATGCTGTGTTTCTGAAATTCGTACACCCTGAAATGCAATAAAATTGTTTTAAACTGTAATACAAAAAATAACAACAGCTATCACTTGCTAAGTGCTCATCTGTGTGGCAGACACTGTTCTAAGGTCTGTATATGGACTGTTCTATTTAATTCTTATGACATCTCTTTGAGATAAGAACTTTATTGTCCTTATTTCAGAGATGGGCAAATTGAGGTTCAGACAGATTCAGTCCCTTGCTCAGTGTCGCACAAATGGCAGAGCCCAAATTCAGCAGTCTGATTTTACAGTCTTCACTCGCCACTGTCCCTCAATATCATTAAGTTAGTTATTACCATTATTGCGGTTGACATTATCTTGACCACTAATACAACACACAGGAACCATGTAGTGTAAGCTACACCAGAATTCCATACAGAAAGCCGCTAATGTTAATCATTACCTTTGACAAAGCATTGCATAGCGCAAGGTTTCCTAACTATCACCTTACTCCATCACTGTTCCAAACATAATGTGAACCAGGGGAAATGATTCTAGCAAATATTTTTGCTTTTATGAAACAATTCCCAGAATAGGCAAAGATTTTTCAAATGGAAAACAAAAAATACTGATCATTTAAAAAACCAGTAAATTTAAGTTGATTGAAATTAACAAATTTTATTCATTAAAAGATCCATTAAAAGACTGAAAGGCCACCAGTCAGAATATCTATTGAAAAGTCAAAAAATAACAGATGTTGGCCAGGTTGTAGAAAAAAGGGAATACTTATACACTGTAGGTAGAAATATACATTATTAGTTCAGCCACTATAGAAAGCAGTTTGGAGATTTCTCAGAGAATTTAAAACAGAACTACCTTTGACCCAGCACTCCTATTACAGGGTACATACCCAAAGAAAAATACCTCATTCTACCAAAACGACCACATGCCCTCACCTATTCATCACTGCACTATTCACAATAGCAAAGACATGGAATCAACCTAGATGCCCACTGACAGTGGACTGAATAATGAAAATGTGGTACATATACACCATGACATGCTATGCAACCACAGAAAAGAATGAAATCATGTCCTTTTCAGCAACATGGATGGAGCTGGAGGCCATCATCCTAAGTTAATTAGCTCAGCAAGAGAAAACCAAATACCACATGTTCTCACTCGTAAGTGGGAGCTAAACATTAAGTACACATGGACACAAAGATGGGAACAACAGACACTGGGGACTACTAGAGGGGAGAGGGGGGGACTGGGGGAGGGCTGAAAAACTACCTATCAGGTACTATGCTCACTACCTGGGTAATGGGATCATTTGTAGACAAAATCGCAGTGACATGCAATTTACCCATGTAACAAACCTGGACATGTACCCCCTGAATCTAAAATAAAAATTGGGAAAAAAAGAGAGTGAAAGGTAAACCACAGACAGGGAAAAGATATTTCTATACATATATGCATACAACACACACTAACCAACAAAGGGCTCATATTCAGAATTTTAAAACTACATATCAATAAGAAAAAAGGCAAACATCAAATAGTTGTATGATAGAATGGTTACATCACATAAAAGGATATCCAAATGGCCAATAACCATATGAAAAGGTGATCACCTTCACCAGTAATCAAAAAGCAAATAAAAACCGTAGTGAGATGCCACTGCCTATCTATCAGAATGCTAAATTTAAAAAGATTGGCAATGCCAAGTACTGGGGAGAATGTGAAACAACTGGAACTCTCATACATTGCTGCTAGGAAAGTAAATTGGTACAACCAGTTGGAAAACTGCTTGGTATAATTTGGCACAAGTTACTGAAGCTAAACCCAAATCTCACATATGACCCAGTAATTCTACTCCTACCTATGTATCCAAAAAAAAAGTGTATATAACTACGTCAAAGACACACAATAACATTCATAGCAATTTCATTTATGATAGCTAAAAACTGGAAACAACCTGAATGTCCATCAAAGAATGAATAAAATAAATTTTGATACATTCATATAACTGAATAGTGCACAGAAATAAAAAGAACAAACTACTCCTATGCACAACAACACGAATGAATCTCGCAAACAAAATGAAGAATAAAAGAAGCCAAACATCGAAGAGTAAATTCTGTATGATTCCATGTACACGAAATTCAAGAAGAGGCAAAACTAATCTATCTATTACAAGTTAAAATGGTAGTTACCTCTGCGTGGATTTGCAGGCAGAGTGTTGGGTACTGACTGAGAAAGGGCAAGAGGGAGGCCTTCTGGGGTGCTGAAAATGTATTATATCTTGATCATGGTGTATCCATATATGCAAAAATTCACTGAATAGTGCACCGAATATTTGTATACTTCACTGTATGTATTAAAATACAGTAAAATAGTTTTTTAATAATGAAAAATACAATGGCATACCGGTTTTCACTTAGCACATGGTCCAAAATTTTTTAATGTGATAATATACTATGTTAGAAAGGTATAGAAAAACAACCTGGTGGGAGTGCAGGGTTAGTAAAGTTCTATGGAGGGCAATCGGCAAGATCTGTCAAAATCTTAAATTAGTCTATCGAAATTATTTGCTGACCTAATTGTCAATTAGATTTACATATTTTTTAACTGGTGTTATCCTATAGAAATATACATACTTGTAAAAGTATATGTATGAGGATATTCAATGCAACATGGTAATAATGAAAGTTTAAAAACAACCAAAAATGTCTAGTGCTAGGAACTTGCTAAATAAATTATGATGCTTCAATAGAATTTAATACCAGGCAGCCACTACAAAGAATGAAGCAGATCTATACATATCTACAGATATGGAATAGACACCAAGATACACTGTTAATATTTTTTTAAAAACAGCAAAGTGAATAAACACACACATGCATGTACACATACAGGATGCTACCATTTGTTTGAAAAAAACTAAAGATTATACATTTATGTCTGTATACAACATTTTATATATATATATAGACATACACATATATTACCTTAAAAAATAAGGCTAGAACTTTTTCTTTAAGTCAAAAGGGCCATGGTAACTAATAATTTAAATTCTCTTTCCATTTTTACTGCTGTATAATCTTTTCATTATCTTTGGAAAGTGATAATTTATCAACCATTTCAATTCTTACAGATGTTTTACTACCAAGCCTTATTGAAAAATCAGATACACTATGCTACCATAACCTACTGCCAACTCAAAATGGTTTCTTCTATACATGCAATTTCAATGATTATTTCAAGAATCTACCACTGATTTGAAGTTCTTCTTTATGGCCTCCTCTCAACTCACGCAACTTAGAAAAAAGTCCAAAACTATAACTGACAACTTAGCTTAAGAGAGTCAATCATCTCCAAATATGATTTCATTCAATAGCATCTTGTTTGTTTACTCGGTAATACAAACTGCAATTTGTAAACATATATTTGTTTACTTTTTATTTGCTGATTCCCTACTAAACCATAAATAAATAGACACATATGTATATTGCCACTTACTGTCAGCCTCTTACCTGTCTCTTGTACTCTTGGTTTCACTTTATCCAAGTCTTCAGTACCCTCACAGAGATTTTCTGTTAGTATCCTAAATAAAAGATTAAGATCTTCTTGATTTAGACTAACCTGTAAAATATTATGTTAAAAAAAAAACTATATTACGTTTTAAAATGAAACAATTTTAATACAGAAAATAAATTCCCATTTGCAACACATGAGGGACAGAATAATCCTAACACTGAAAAGTTACATACAATCACAACTCACTTAAGTATTGCACTACTTATTTCATGTTAAAATTTTTATTTTCAAAGATAATAAGATGTTTATAGAAAACCAGTGTAATTTATCAGTCAGTATTGGCTCCAATGACTTGACTTATGTTTATTGAAAGTTAATTATGATCAAAGAAATCTGACCTTTTCTATTAAAGTGACAACTTTGGAAAATGCATAATTCTACTTTTTAAACAATAACAATTCCAATGAAATAAAATGGTTGTCTTCAATATAAAAAAGTAAATATTTCCCTCAATGCTATCATCATCTTAGGGCTACTTAGATATCCCTAAAAACAAAATGTACATATATAATACATGAGATATAGTATAATATGCTAATACATAATTTATATACAGATCTCTACCAATATGTATGTATAATAAATTTTAAAGTTAAGAAATCTTAACTAAAGATTAAATTCTACTGAAAATAATAATGATCTTGTTGGACAAAGTCTCACTGAAATTTCTCTTATACTATTCAGCAAAAGAGTCTACATTTCATTTGGATTTCTGCTAAAAGTCTTTGGAGTTTAAAATTTCAACAATGAAGTTTTTTCTTCACTCATATACTTACATTCATTGAATCAAGATGTCCTTTAATTTCCACAACAGGCACCTTGTGGTACCAAGATGCAGCTAGATTCCGATTTACAAGAAATTCCAAGTTAATTGGGTGCAACAGCTGAATATCAGGATGGTAGATGCCTGGCTGGATCACTGTCCTACGAAAAACAGAAATGTTACATAATGCATAGATATAGGGTAGAAATGCAACATATTAAAAAAAAGCAAAGTCAAGCAGTTATTTGCTGCTCTAAATACTGATCTGAAACAGTGTGGCTTGAGTATTTTCAAAACTGAACCTATAATTAATCTATAATCCACTAGAAGGGACAAATTAAAAGGTGATATACAATGAACCATTAAGAAAACTTTTTTCTTTAAACAGTAGATAGGTGAAAAATTGAATAAGTTTTTAAAAGCAATCCACACCATTGAAGAAATACAGAAAATCATCATATACAGTTGTTCAAGGATTAATAGGTATGTTGGTGCAGAGACTGAAGAAAATGATGGCAAAGTGAACAAGAGGAGTTAGCATTTTCCAAGGCATTTCATAAAGGTTTTCTCTAGGATTATTTTCTAGACTTGCCTTGTAGTCATTAATTTTTTATTCTACATAATTAAATCTTCATGGATGGGGTAGAAAATAATTTTAAAATGAATTATGTACAGATTTCATGTGCCACCTGGTATGAGCACTGAAGATACAAAATAATTTACACAACATGCCTGCCAAAAATGTGTAAGTTCAATCAAACCATGAGGAATCACTCAGACACAACCAAATTGAGAGGTGAGTGGAACCGGACTGTAGTCTTCAAAACTACAGTAGTAGTCATGTAGTCATAAAAAGACAAAGAAAAGCTGAAGAACTACTCCAAAATAAATTTCTGTCAGTACAGAAATCTTCCTCAATAGTACAGAATACAATTATACGCTATGGGTGATCCTGAATCAGGGAGAAATTTTTATAATGGACATTCCTATAATGCGAATTATTATAATGGGACAACTGGTAAAATCTGAATATTGACTGAATTTCAGATTATAGTATTACATCGATATTAAATTTCTAGAATTATATCATAGTTAATATAAGAGAATGAATGTCCTTGTTTATAGGAGACATATGATAAAGTATTTAGGGACAAAAAGTTAAAGATGTCTATTCTCAAATGATTTAGCAAAAAATGTTTTAAATAATATGTATATGTTTATAGATAGGTTAAAGCAAATATAAACAACTGGTGAATCTAGATGAAGGATATGTAGGTGCATTCACAGTACTATTTTTTTCCATTTTTCTGTAGGTCTGAAATTTTTTAAAACAAAAGTTGATTAAAAAACTGTTCTGGTGGCCTGGTGCGATGGCTCATGCCTGTAATCTCAGCACTTTGGGAGGCCAAGATGGGCAGAACACCTGATATCAGGAGTTTGAGACTAGCCTGGCCAACATGGTGAAACCCCATCTCTATAACGAAAAATACAAAAAAATTAGCCAGGCATGATGGCACGTGCCTATAGTCCCAGTTACTCAGGAGGCTGAGGCAGGAGAATCACTTGAATCCAGGATGCAGAAGTTGCAGTGAGCCAAGACTGCACCATTGCACTCCAGCCTGGGCGACAGAGCAAGACTTCATCTCAAAACACAAAATAAAAAACTCTTCTGGGCCAGGCGCGGTGGCTCACACCTGTAATCCCAGCACTTTGGGGGTCCAAAGCAGGTGGATCACCTGAGGTGAGGAGTTTGAGACCAGCCTGGCCAACATGGTGAAACCCCATTTCTATTAAAAATACAAAAAAAATTAGCCAGGCATGGTAGCACATGTCTATAGTCCCAGCTACTCGGGAGGCTGAGGCAGGAGGATTGCTTGAACCCAGGAGGCAGAGGTTGCAGTGAGCCGAGATCACGCCACTGCACTCCATCCTGGGTGACAGACCAAGACTCCAACTCAAAACACACACACACACACACACACACACACACACACACACACACACACACAAAACAATGACAACAATAAAAAAAACTGTTCCGTGTAATGGAACAGTTTATTTGAATAAACTGTGTTGGGTAGGAATTTCAAGTCATAAAATTTCATGGAAATCATGAATATAATATTTAAATCCATAATTATTGAAAGAGCATACCTATAAAGTGTAAGCTTTGTTAGCTGCACATCCATTCTATCAATTACTGGAGGATTTAAGTAGTCTTCATCAGACACCAGACTGAACTGATTATGAACTCTGATTAACCCAAGATCTACCACTACTGCATTGGTGGAAATAGAAGACTGTGGGATGACTATAACCGGTGCTTTCAAATCAATATTGATGGAAACACGAAAACTCCTCTGGGCAAGATCTTTCACACTTGTGGCAGCCCTTTCTGCAGCCTGGGCAGTGGCAGCACTCAGAGACTCTTTGGCTGTCTGGAAATTATTCAGGAAGTTCTGTGGACACAAAGCATAAAAAGAGAAATTCAAAGAGAATACAGGCACATCAATAATAACACTATCTTCTTTTCATACATGTGGTAACTTTTTTTTTCCAATATTTAACTTTCCATTGAGCCCTATTTTTCTAGCAGTATTAAGAAATTACGGATAATCCATCTATAACTATGAGCTGCCTGAACTGAGCTAATGTTATATGGTTAAGGAACAGAGAAAAATTTTTTTCCAATAATTTTTATACTAAAGAATCTGGCTTCATTATATTGTAGCAAAAATAATTTGTTCTAGACAAAAATCATTAAATGATTCACTTTTCAACTGTTAAATAGGGGTTTTGATCTCTACATTCACGCATAAATATAATTAAAATAATGCCCACTCTAAAATCCAAGGTTTATAACATTTGCCATCATAATTATCACACTTTTAAAATATTTCAAAGTTGAAAAATCAATATACAAATAATTATTTTACCAGAAGTGACATAAGGAATTTATGAAGATAGACAATCTGAATACAGCCAACATTCAGAGACAGCACACCATCCACTTTGGACATGTCAGTATACAAATCCCCCTCAGTAGCATCTGGATACAAATCCAAATTAAAACGGAAAACTTCATTTCCCATTATTGACACAGCCTGAAAAACAGAGACTTGAATGTACTCTATCCGGGAAGGTAATGACAAAATAAAATCTCATTTACAAAAGGCTTTACATTTATAATCTTTATAAAAAAATTTTTCTATTGAAATATATTTCATTAATGTTTTTAAAATAAAATACATTTTACAATAGAAGCTCATATTCAGTCATTAAAGAATATTAACTATCTGTTTACAATCACCTACTTTCTTATGAACTGTCTTTGGATCAACATCTGTGACAATAATATTTTCTAGTCGGGCAAAAAGTGACTGCTTTCTTGACTGGAGAGAAAGGGAGGAATCCAGTCCTGAAAAAAAGAGTGTATTATTATAATTTCTACAGACCTACCATAAATAAGATCTTTCTTTCCATTACATTATTTTATTTTGGGGTGACTTTTTTAAATTTAGCAATGTTTCAACTCCCAATGGATAAATAAGTTGCAATATTAGAGTTTTTTGGTTTTATAAACACCAAAACCTATAAATTCATTAAACAATGATTATGTGACTTTTCAATCAGGGGAAGAAATACATCTAGTACAAATAGATTATCTCAGGATTTAAGTAAATTATCCTTTATACCTTATATCCAGTCATTTACATGGAAACTATAAAAGTTTCACAAATCAAATTCAGACTAGTAGATGCGCTGCCAGTTTGGAAAGGACAAAGGAAAAAAGCCCCTAGTTTTCTAGTTTTTAAGTTCTTAAAAAATTTCATTAAACATATTCAACATATTCTTGACCTCTACCAGGTCACAACAAGCTAGTAAAAG
This sequence comes from Homo sapiens, assembly GCF_000001405.40. NCBI lineage: Eukaryota > Metazoa > Chordata > Mammalia > Primates > Hominidae > Homo > Homo sapiens. Next base: position 61,963,323 of record NC_000015.10, read on the forward strand.
TAAGCCAGAGGAAAAGCTAGATGAGTTTTGGCAGCTTTTACCTAAAAGAACATAATGGGCTCATAGATATTGTCACCATTATAAGATTGCTTTTCATAAGGAAAGACAAATAAAGACAAATACATAATTATATATAAAAATCATATGAAGGTAAAAAAAAAAGATTAAAAAGTTACTAGAAAGCACGTCCACAGACCTTCACCTAAAATCTAGACTGACACTTCTCCTAGCCCATCAATAGCATTCCTACATTGACATCAGTATCCCTTTTCCACTTCCTAGATAACTCTCAGGAAGGTCCCAAACACCAGGATATGTGTAGAGGTCAATTGGGATGGTCAGATTCTGACCAATATCTATATCCCAAATAGAGGAAGCATACAATCCAATTACGTCTTTTCAGGTTTCACAGCTTAGAGCCCTTTATTTGTACATTCTTTAGCATTGCAAAGAGACAAAAAGAAGGAAAAGTTTATCTTTTCGCCAATTTTCAATGCCGTGTGAACTTTTACCTTGAATCTTGATTTCGGCGATATTGTTCTTTTCGTTGCAAACAATGACACAGAAAGCATTCAACTTGGCAAATAGCCTGAAATCAATAATGTCACTATCTCTGGAGGATACAATCGCTAAAAATAAAACAAAGCATCTGTCACATGGTGAGATTCTAGTCATCTACATTCTTTTAAGGTTTATTCGCTATATTAAGTGAACCACTGTTATGTTAAAAAAAATTATAACATTCTCCAACTCTTAAAGATTCAAACACTTTTTTTGCTTTATATATTCTGTAAAGTTTGCATTTTTAATAGTGAGATATTACTTTTATAATTTAAAAGCAAGAGAAAAAACTACAATAAATAAATAAGGACACTGAACCTCAGAAAAGTTAAATAATGTGTCTAAGGTTACATGGTTGAAGTAGCAAAATCAGGATGTGAACTGAGTTCTTCCTGATCCAAAATCTGGGCTCTTGGCCAATTAGATGCTACTCCTGAACCCTTCCCTACCTTTGTGTCTCTGAGCCTTAATTTCCTTATGTGTAAAATGGAAAGAAAGACTAACTCTTTATAAAGCCCCTTCAGGAGCCACTGAGCGGGGAGGAAGAGCTCAGTATAAATACAGATCTTCTCCCCCTATTACCTACCTAAGGGCTTCCTACACCACCACCAAAATAAGAACTAAAAGAAACATTTTTAAAAACAACAGTATTGATTACATTTGCCTTATACATCAGGTGCTCGCATATAATTTAATTTGAAGAAAAGGGGAAAATGGTATTTAAATGACTGAGTCAGATAGTCTCTAGTATTCCTCATTTAGCTTTAGAATTCTAAAACCCTTGCTAACAAAAAACAAAAATGTATGTTTCATACCTTTTGGCAGAGTTGAATTTTTTTGTTGTTTTTCAGTTGAAATTTGTACCTCCTTAGCAACACTTATGCTTTGATCATCAGATGGAATAATGGTTGTGAGGTAATTAATAGAAGCGACAAGAGCTTGTGTTTGCAGCAACAGATTTAAAGATGAAAAGGCCACCTAAAAATGTTTTAAAGAGAAAATTAGTTTTCCACAGCCAATTATAACCTGTAGTCTCCACGACAGACCCAAAAGATTCTCAGGTGGGCTTACATCATTGCTTTCCACCACTCTGAAGGAAGAGTAAAAAGTGGAAGATTCACAATCCCCTTAAAAAGGGAATATACAGAGAAAAATTACACTTATACACTTCAGGGGTACATCAGAATATTACAGTAACCTAATTACTCCATTTCCAAAGCATAATGGTTATGAAGTCTATACTCTGCTTCTCATGGCTATGCTGATATTCAACATACAGACGGCTTCTTGGATCTTCAATGGACAATTATGATTATATAAAATTATAAGTCAAAAGGCGAAATCCCAGAACCACCATGTGCTACTACTATGTCTAGAAATGACTTCAAAGGTGGCATCCGTGAAATTTAAATATAAAAAGGACAATTATGAATGGGTTACTAAGTGACCTTTTCAAATCACAATAATGGTGTTATCATTTAAAAAGAAACACAATATAGAACTTGTAGGGGAAAAGTACTACTTTTTTTAAAGCAATCACTCTAGGAAGCTAAAATAGCAATACAAATTGATTTCAAGAATGGGTAGTTTTCTAATAGCAAATTAATATAAAATAAAAAGCTCTGTTTATAAAAATGAATTTCTTTTCATTTTCTCATAACACTAAATGGATATAAAAACAATAAAAGGTTCACAATATTAAAACAGATTTCCCCATCTCTCAAAAAAGTGTGAGCTAAAACTCGCCTCTCTCCTTTTCTTTTTAGTTACCCATAAGTACATTTTGCCCCTCTTACTCTAAGCTACTACGTAAGTAGTGCTTTGACTTCAAAAGTGCTCAACATGTCTCCTTATATTTTATACACTTTTTCACCTGTACATCAAACAATGGTATCTAGTTTGGCTAGTTTAGAAACCTTTTAGTTCTTTGTACATCAAAGTTCTTTTGTCTACAGCATTCCCTAATTTAGAAATAATACTGAAACTTTTAAGGACGCTAGGATGTGATATAACAAAACAGCTTTACTAAGCTGAATCATAAACACAGAGCATGGTAAGTATCGATGAGGTTATTTATAACTCTTATTGGTCCTTGATTATGTCATCAAATTACCTAGTCAATACTCCTCAAAGGATACTAGAGGCTTTGAGACTAGGTTATTTTCAAACAGGATAAATTCCTTTAACAGAATTTCTTACCTTAACTGTTTGTTCAGTTTTTCCAAAAGCAGTTTGAAAACTAGGTCCATTCTTATCAGCCTGAAAAAAGAAGTAAAAGTTCTAAAGAAGGTACTAGGATCGAAGTAAATAAATCACTTATTTATTATCTCTGGTTAATTTATTTATAGTTATAAATGTATTTTATATACACTGTATATTTAATTTTATTGCCATTATTTTAAATTTACATCCAAATAATGTATTTATTATAATAGTGCAAATGTGTTCTCCTCTTCAAACATGGGAGAATATTCATTTCTGGGAAACTGTAGCTAAGAATCAGAATGACAAACTCTGAAGGTTGTAAGGTGTCACAGTCACGTAGCCCATCTATCCCCTAATGCTTAAATCCCTCCATAAAGTCGTCAGCAAGTCTACATTTTTTTATATCTCCAGTAAAAGAAACCTTGTTTCTTTACAAAACTAATCTTTAGAAAGCTTTTATTTAATGAGGTCTTCACATTGAGTCAAAAATCTGTCTCCCATCATAACTAACCATTGGTCCTAGTTCTTTCTATCCCTTGGGAACATAAACAAATTCAAACTCAAAGATTTACCTCCTGTGAGAAGTCTTCTGGCCTTGCCAATTTCCCTGCCCCTCTGTTCCAATAATGCTTTGTGCTTTTCTTTATTAGGGAATCAATCACATTATATTCTAATCATTATTTACTTGTGTTATCTCCCTACTCGTCTACAATTTTCTTGAGAACAGGGAATGTTTTTCATTTCTGTATCCCAAGCGCCTAACAGTACAGACATCCAAAAACACATCCAGAAGTATTCAATAAATAGCTGCTGACTGATTAAACAAATCGATTCATCTTGAAGGCAGCTAAATACCATCAGTTCCTTCAGTGTTTCTCATACGAAATATTTTCGTGGCCCTTCCTATTCATGGCATTTGTCTTCTGAACCCAATTTAATATGACTTTATCCTTTTTGATGCAGGATACTCAGCCAAATGTCACCTATATATGACCTATAATCAGTACAGGTATGTGGGTATGCCCTAGAAGACAAATGGTACCTACTTCATCCCAGGCTTCCATCTCTGGGAACAAGAAGTTTAGTGACTTTGTATAATAATAGCCCCGTACTTAAGTGAAAGAAAAGAAGGTGTACAAATGAAAAAAGAAACAGATTTCCCTCTAATTAGAAACTGTGATACACATCCAGAGCCATTAGTAACTTACTGTCATATTCTTCCTTCCAGAGAAATAGTTTGGAGTAAACAATAAATATATAATCATTCTATAGCCCTTACCTTAATATACTCCACTTTCAAAAGATCTAATCCAGGTTTGTCAGAAGAGCTAATCAAGTGAAGGGGCTTCCTTTTGGATCCTAGATTAAAGAAAAAGGAAAAAAAAGTGTTTCAAATAAATTGCTCTTTTGTAATTTGAAACATTTTAGATTTTTAAAAATTTGTTAATTAAGCTTTAAAAGAAAATCTTTGCATATTGTCATAGCTATTAAATACAAAGGCCATCACTGTTGAAGAAATTAACCAATCCAAATTGTTACCTCTGACATCCAACTTACTTAAAAACATGCATATTTATTTTCACCTGATTTCACAGGTGACTTCTAAAATTCTGACAAATAATTTATTTTACTTCTATTAAAGAAATTTAAATAATTTCCTTTTGTTTAAACTGTGAGAGGTGACTTAAAAGAGGAAAGCTTTGTTTTTGTTTTTTTTCCTTAAGAGAGAACTGTTAAACTCCTTTTTAACTTAAAAACAACAGGTACTACCAGATGTCCTTTATATCCTGAGGTAGATGTACCAAGGAACTGCCTCCAAAAGCTGTGGAAGGAGAAGTAATTTGTCCACCATTTTATCCATCTTTTGTTATTTGCAATTCTTTTAACTCTTGCTTCTGAGAGAGCTTAAAATTTTCCCTTGACTTCCAAGGGCATAACCTTCACTAAAGGAAAAAATAGCCTAGAAAAATTATTATTTATATTTTTCCCTCAAGACAATAATGTAAACCTTATCTTAACACAGGTCCTATAGAAATTACTAACACATAAAATATTTTTCTTCTAAATTGAGATTTGTTTTAGTTTCAACTATTAAAAAGTTATAAAACATAGGTCTTTATACAGTCAGTGTTCTGTAACCAAGGATTCCAACCCATAGTATAAACCAACTTCAGATTGAAATATTAAAAAAAATTAAAAACAATAAAAAATTAAAAATACAAAAATTTTTAAAATCAACATGGTGTAACAACTCTTTTACATTTACAATGTATTAGGTATTAGAAGTAATCTAGAGATTTAAAGTATATGGAAGGCTATGCATAGGTTATATGAAAATACAATGCCATTTTATATAAGGAACTTGAGCACCATGGATTTTGGTACCCACAGAAGTCCCAGAATCAATGCCCCACAGGTACCAAGGGACGACTGCATTTGACTAAAGCATTAGGGAAATATTAGGGAATTTTAATTACTGTAGATTTGTCCATTCCTACATGCCTCAAATACCTGAGCAAACAATATATACACTGAAATGAATAAACAATCAGAGTTTCTGAAAGAACTAACTTTACATCCTATCATTTTTATTTTTATAACCTGGTGTTTCTTGTGGTATATGACAATCAGAGTTTCTGAAAGAACTAACTTTACATCCTATCATTTTTATTTTTATAATCTGGTGTTTCTTGTGGTATATGAATACTATTTAATAGAAAGAACAAGGCCTTCAATAACATATGATCAGAGATAAACTCTTAAGTTTTGTCATTCATTAAATACAGGATATTCAGTAAGCCACTTAATCTTTATTTAGCCTTTGTTTATAAAACAGGAATAATATTCCCCATATCAAGGGGATTTTTAGAGACTCTCTGAGGCAAAAGGTAATATTAATTAAGAGCACAGACCCTAGGGCCACATTTCCAGGGTTTTAATCATGGTTCAGTCAATTACTAGCCCTGTGACAATTAGTAAATTATATTAATACAATCAGTCTGTGACTTAGTTTACTTACATTTAAACCATAGATTATAACACTGCCTACCCCATAGCACTGCTATAAGGATTAAATGAGTTATTACTTGTAAAGTGCTTACAACAGTGTAGCTATTATTTATTATAAATACAATATAAATGAAAGTGTTTCAGATACTCAAAAGTCCTATCTTTATTATAGGCTATTATTTCTATTTTTATGGGTATTACCTTCAATTTCATGATAATCCAAGCTGATTTTCTTTAAATAAGATACCACAGTTAAGTCAAATGTTCTCATTGTGGCCTCTGTTCCTAACTGAGTAACATTAAATACTAGAATTGTATCTTCTTCTTTCTGCTGTTTAGTAAATTCCAAAATCACCTAAAAGAATTAGAGTCAATGAAAAGTTGATAAGAAGTCTGAATCATACTTAAAATAATGAAAACAAAATCTTTCTCCATACACATCACCATGAGAATAGTAACTTTGCTCATATCCTTCTGCCACCATAGCAATTTAATATAATTGGAAATTACAAAACTTAAATTCTATTGTTGAGAATATAAATACATTTATAAAAAAATCATGACAGAATTTAACTTCATTGTTTACTTTTTCTAATTTAGTAAAATAGGAATGTATAGATTCTTCCTAAATATGATTTTCTTAAACCTGTATTTCAAAGCAAAAATCATGTTTAGTAATTTTTTTTAAAGTATCCCCATTAAAGTAGAAAGTAAGACAAGATGTTCTCTATCATACTACTATTTAAGTTAACTCTGGAAATTATAGCCTGTATATTTAGCCAATAAAAAATAAAACGTGGTAATTTTTAAAAGATGTAAGTGCTTTTGATATTCTAATCAAAAGGTGTAGATCTTTGTCTCCACCCTTTGAATATGGGCAGGCTTGTGAATGCTTAAATCAATATAGTAGAAAGGAACTGATACTATAAGGACTTCCGGTGTCATAAAAGACCACGAAACTCCTACCTGGGAACACTCATACTGGGGGAAGCCAGCCACCATGTAAAAAGTTCAACTACTCAGACTACCACGGCTTTTACCATGCTGAGAGGCCATAAGTAGGTGTTTCAGTCAATAGTCCCAGCTAGCTCCCAGCCAATAGCCAGTATCAATTGCAAGCCTCATAAGTGAGCCACATGGACATCCAGCTTGAGGCTTCAGATGACTGCAACCCCAGTCAACATCAGAATGCAACCGAATGAAAGACTATGCACAAAATTACCCAGGTGAGCCCTTCCAAACTTCCTAACCCACAAACCTGTAAGCAAAATAAAATAGTTGTTTTAAGCTATTTAACTTGATAGGCAGCAATAATAACCAGAATAATATAAATACTGAAAAAAGGCAAAAAATATTATTATTAGCAGATGTTATAATTACATACTTAGGTAACACTTTAAAAATACTTAAAGAAGAGGCCAAGTGCGGTGGCTCATGCCTGTAATCCCAGCACTTTGGGAGGCCAAGGCAGGCGGATCACTTGAGCCCGAGAGTTCAAGACCAGCCTGGGCAACATAGTAAAACCGAATCTCCACAAAAAATGTAAAACATTAGCTGGGTGTGGTGGTATGTGCCTGTAATCTCAGCCTCTTGGGAGGCTGGGGTATTCTGTTATAGTAACAGAAAACAAATTAAGACATTCTTTATCACCATGAAGTTTACATTCTAGGGAAAGTTGGAGAAAATGAAGGTTGCTGTCTTGTCTTGGGTGGTCAGATCTTTCCAATAAGATGACAATTGAACAAATACCTGAAGTTAGTTTAAAAAAAAAAAAAAAAAAAAAATCAAGCCATGCAGGAAAAGAGTGTTCCAGGCAAAGGAAATAGCAAGCACAAAGAATGTGCTTTGGTATACAGAAGGAAAAACATAAGACAAGTGTAAGCTCCATGCGGCAAGAACTTAACTCACTGCTATTTTCCAGTACCTAAAATAATGTCTGGTAATAATGGCACATGATCAATACCTATTGAAGGGATAGATGGAATATGGCTGAAGCAGAGTGAGCAAGGCAGGAAAGAACTGGCCAGTCATATGAGGTGTTACAAATGTAAGGCCTTGTAGGCCATGGAAAGGACTTAGTCCTTTACTTTTAGTGACATTTGAAGTCAGTGGAGGATACTGAGCAGAGTAGTAACATGATCTGACATTCCCTTTTATTTTTATTTTACTTTATTTTATTTTAGAGACAAAGTCTTGCTCTGTCACCTAGGCTGGAGTGCAGTGGTGCACTCTCAGCTCACTGCAACCTTTACCTCCCAGGTTCAAGCAATTCTCCTGCCTCAGCCTCCCGAGCAGCTGGGATTACAGGTGCCCACCACCACGCCTAGCTAATTTTGTATTTTTAGTAGAGATGGGGTTTCACCGTGTTGCCCAGGCTGGTCTTGAACTCCTGACCTCAGATGATCCACCCACCTCGGGCTCCCAAAGTGCTGGGATTACAGGCGTGAGCCACCATGCCCGGCCTGACATTCACTCTTAAAGGATCAATCTGGCAAATGACAGAACAGAGTACCTGATGGAAGCAAAGACAGTTAAGAGGCTATTGCAAAATAATCCAGGGAAGAAGATTACAGTGACTTAGACAGTACAGTAGCAGCAGAAAGGAAGAGCAATCATCTGAATGCATTTTGAATTTAGGGTCATGGGATTTAATGATATTTTGGATGTAGTATGGAGAAAGAGAGAAGTTGAAGAAGGCTAACAGTAAAGAACATACCTTTCTCTAAACAAATACCAATAGTACTTAGGTGTGTACACACAGTTAAAATGTAGTATTTCTGACATTATATTTTAGGACATGCTCTCACTATGGCACATGAAACAGTCAATAAGGAACACCTCCATTTTCTATCCTTTTTGTTTTATTATCAAAGCAAGACAAATTTTTTATAGAAATCTGGAATACATGTAAAAGTAAGCAGGCATGTATAAAAACCTGTAATCTCACCACCCAGAGATGAACACTGTCTGTCATTTATCAAAGAAAACATATAAATATAACTTCATATGGAATCATAATATCTTTGGTATTATAATCTTTTTGTTTTCCCAAATAATGACATACCGTGAACATCTCTCCATGTTTCCTTTTACCACATGACTTTTAAAGGCTGTAAACGTATGTTGGAAATTTAGGTTGTTTACATTTTTCCAAATCATAAACATGATAATGAGCAATATTATTTAGCTTAAAAGTGAAAAGTTTAAAAAATTAAAGTAGGCATGTCATAAAAATTTTCTGCAGAAAAGTAAGTTCTAATTAAAAGTCTAAGCTCTTCCAGAATAAATTAGATATGCCACAGATCATTCTTACATCAGTTTTTTTAAAAGCATTTCATTGTTAAAAATCTCTGTGTGTGTGAGAGAGAAAGAGTGTGTGTGAGAGTGTGTATGTGCATGTGTGTTGGGCAGCAGGAAAGACAGAGTACCACATTTTTAATATACTTGACATTTGGGTCTAGCTTGAGGATAGCTTACAAGATAGTGACAGCCAGAATATATCTATTTATAGACAAAAAAGCACATACTTCTTTAATTTCAAACTTGAGTAGAAGATTGATGAGCTCCTCATTTGGGACCTCTGCAGCTTTTTTAAGTTCTGATCCTTTCATACTTTTACAAGTCTGTGGTTCTCCATCTTCAGCATCAAAATACTCATCATCAGACTCTAAAGGAAAAAGACATTTATTTGATCTGAGACAATGTACATTGAAAACTGCATGAAACACTCAAATCTAAATCTCTAAAAAGTGAAATTCATTTATTAGATATAATCTTCATATTCAGCATCAGAATAGCTGCCTTTTTTAAACTTCTACCAAGTGACTCAACCTGCCATGTAATAATCACATTTGAAATCAAATAGCACTATGTTCTTTTCTTCAATGGTTCTGTTTTTCCCTATAGTTCATTCACTCAATATTCAACAAAATATTTATTGGGCATTATCTACCACGTATCAGGCTGTGCCAGCCAGTAAGGATACCAGAATGACCACGATAGACATGGTCCTGTCCTGATGAAGCTTACATTCTAGTTCAAAATTAAAACAGATCAATTAGGTCAAAGTTAGAGAAAAGCTCATGTAGAGATTGGGGCCAAAAAAAGTAGTTTATTTAGAATCTTAAGTAAGCATTGTCAACTACAAAAAAAAACCCTTCATTTGTCCAACGAAGACAGAAACTTGGGCTTAAAGGGGATAAGAGACTCAGAGTCACACTAATGTAGCACAACTAGAACTAAAACCAGTAAATTACTACAGCACTTTCAGACTGCCCTTATTTTCTGAAAATGTTATCTCTGTATAACAATGTATAGGCTTAATTTAATAGAGAAAGAGTATTTTACTTTCCTTACCTGATTCCACAGTGTCTAGCAATAGTGAAGTACCAAGTAGACCTTTTGTACCACCTGAAATAATAGGAATTGAGGATACCTAGCAAAGAATACAAAAAGTTTTCTTAAAAAGGATGACTTAGCAGGATTAAATGTCATAAATGAGAGGAAGACTAAAAAGTAATAGAGGATAAAGAGATATGGAAAGACACATACACACAATATAACACAATATACAAATCTTCCAACAAGATATATTGTGTAATCAACTAATAATTGGCTAGAATTTACAAATTATTAAGTCTACCACCCACATCTACAAGGGCAAAACTAAGCCCAGCTCTAGTAAGTTAGTCTATTATTACTGTATATCATTTACATTCTGTCTATTACAATATTAAAGTACATCTTTTTTATAGGTCCTTGGCACAGGGTATCATCATGAGCTGGCTTTATCAAATTTCATTTCAAAGTAGAAATCCAACATTTCTACTGTGTAAAGCCTTGGCACATGGTATCACCATGAGCTGGCTTTATCAAATTTCATTTCAAAGTAGATATCCAAAATTTCTACTGTGTAAAGATCAATTTCAATTAAAGTGATCTAGAACTTATAAGCCTAACATATAAGAAAATTTTATATCAATTGTTTTATTTGCAAGATTCTAAAGAAGGTTTTTGTTAGTTTTTTTCCCCTCTAGCTTTATTTAAAACACATTATAAATTTGAAAGACATTTTACTTTCATTTCTGTACTTTTGGTCCTTTCACTTATAAACCTTGCCCTGAAACTGACTTTTCATCACTGCTCTAAAACAATAAAAATAGGGTTATACATTTTATTGTATCTATTTACCTGTCTCTCTGGAGACTGGGCTGATGATTTCTGTGGCAAAGGTATACTGTTCATCAAATATAGCACATCTTTCATCTTCTGGTCAGAAATTCTCACATGCATCAAAGGAAGTCCTCCTGACACTTTAAATCTAAAAATACAATTCAGTGGTTTTAAGTCAGCATCTCTACATTACAAACGAGGGAAAGAATTGCATTAATGTAATTAGATTAAAACATGCCTAAACTTTTGACATGTTTTAATCTAATTACACTAATGCCTCATTTAGACAACATTGTCAGGAAATGGGAAGTTCTATGTTAGCTAAGTTTTCAGATAATTTCAACATATCCCTCTTAAGTAGCCAAATCTCTTTAACTTAACTAATTTTTAGGAAAATCTTTCCAAACACAATTCTCTACCTTTCAAAACCAAAACACTACTTCCTGGTATCAAAGATTCTTATTATAAACATCAAAGAGTATTTAACCTCATCACTTTCTATCCCATTGCCTTGCTTTATTTCTTTCTATATATAGCACTTGGCAGCACCTGACATATCACATTTATATTTGTTTATGTCTCCTCTGATTAAAATGTCAGCTCCATGAGGACATCTGTTTTACTCACTACGAATCACCACTGTGCTTTTATCAGTTGCTTACTTTTTGGCAGGTGCTTCTATTCTGTTTCCCTACTCAATGTAATTGCCTCAGGTTTATTTGTCTCAATAGCCTTGTGGCAGCTAGTCATAAAGCTCTTTCTAGCTGTTGTTGTTTATCTTTGGCTTCCTGACTAAGCTGTGAACAGCTCAAGCTGACAGATGCCTAATTGCTGGATGCCACACTGGGGTACAGTAAAGCACTGTAGAGAGGGAAATATAAAGCACTAAATGCCTATATTGGAAAAAAACTAAGGTCTCAAATCAGTGACCTCAGCTTCTACCTTAAGAAACTAGGACTGAAAAGCAAACGAAATCCAAAGTAAGTAAAAGAAAGAAATAATAAATATCAGAGAGGAAATCAGGAAAAAAAAGAATCAAAAGAGAGAAGATAATGGAAACCAATAGCTGGTTCTCCCAGAAGATCAACAAAATTGATAAACCTCTGATCACAGTGATCAGGAGAAAAATAGAAAAGGCACAAATTACTAACATCAGGACTAAAAGAAATAACATCACTACAGATTCTTCGTGTATTAAATAGGTAAGAGGAAAGCATTATGAACAGTTTTATGCCAATACATTCAACAACTAAGATGGACAAATTCCTTAAAACACACAAACTCAAAACACTTGGAACATACAGATCATACAGAAGAATAGATAATCTAGCCCTATATCTATGAAAAAACATGAATTTGTAGTTAAATACCTCTCAAAATGAAAACTCCAGGACCAGACGACTTTACTGGTGAATTCTACCTAGCATTTTAGGAAGAAATAATACTAGTTCTACACAGTATCTTCCAGAAAACTCAATGCATGAGGCCAACATCATTATCCTGATACCAAAACAAGAAAAGCAAAGACCAATATCCCTCACTAACACAAATATAAAACTTTGTAACAAAATTTTGGCAAAACAAGTCCAAAAATATTTTTAAAAATAATACATATGGGTTGAGTATCAGAAATGGGGCAAGAAGTATTTAAGATTTGGGAATATTTGTATTACATAATGAGATATCCTGCAGATAGGACCCAAGTCTAAACATGAAACTGATTTATGTTTCATTCATACCTTGTACACACAGTTTGAAGGTAATTTTATACAAAATTTTTAATAATTTTGTGCAAGAAACGAAGCTTGTGTTAAGAACTTATGTGCAGAATTTTCCACATGTGTCATCATGTTGACTCTCAAAAAGTTTCAAATTTTGGAGCATTTCAAATTTTTGGTCTTTGGATTAGGGATGTTCATCATTACCAAGTGAGGTTAATCGGTAATGAAAAGTTGGTTTAACATCCACCTGATAAAGGGTATCAGTGAACGACTGATACATACAACATGAATGAATCTCAAATTAATTATGCTGAATAAAGGGTATCAATAAACTGATACATACAACATGAATGAATCTTAAATTAATTATGTTGAATTAAAGATGTTAAACAAAAAAGTTAAAAGTCTAACATTCTATTTATATAAAATTCTAGAAAATTCTAACAAATCTATAGTGTCAGAAAGCAGACCAATGTTGTCCAGGGACTGGGGGAAGAGAAATTTAAGTAGGGAAGGAAAGAAAGGAATACAAAGGGGGAACAAGGACACTTTTGGAGATGGTGTGTTCATTGTCTTAACCATGATGATGGTTTCACGGCTATATAGCTAAGGCAATATTTATCAAACTGTAAACTTTAAATGGATGCAGCTTATTGAACATCAATTATATTTCAATATAGCTGTTTTTTAAAAACAGTATAAACATTTCATAACTGTCTACTTAAATTCAAAATTAATTTTCTATTTTTATGTCCTTTGATTTTTCTCAGGATTATATGGGATTTCATTATCAAAAGAGCCTCTAATGTGTTCGAAGATTTTATTTTGTTGATATTAAGCATTGGATTCGATTCATTCAAAAACATGAACCATCAACTTTTACAGAATGTAAAAGTCCAAATATTTCTGAAATAAGTGTTGATGTATAATTCAAATATACATTTTCTTAAAAATGTATTTCTGCTGCAAATTGGAATAATCATTTTTGCTGTCTCCCACAGAAATCTATCTTTGCTTCCTTAAATTCTAGCAACTGATGCAGACATATTTCACCTGTTGATTTTCTAATATAAAAGAAGTTTATACATTACCTGGCCATTCTAATGTCTTTTTCTACCATGGCCTTAGCCAACTCAACATGAATATCCATGGGTTGCAATATATGCATAGTTGATGGATGCTGAAATCGACACTTTTTCCAGGTTTCCTCTTTAAAAAATAATTTAAGATATTATTTATTATTTTTACAAACAGCCATGGAACATGGATAAATATTATTTTTAATGAATATTATTTTAAATTGTCAGACATTCTATGGAAAATCACTATAAATTAATCCAGAATCAATGATTACCAATTTTCACTTCTTTCAGCGTATCAGTTAAATAACCTATGCTTTTTAAATACAGACTGACAGGATCAAAGACTGTGATATAAAATAATTCTATTTGGAGAATGTTCACATAACATCTTGCATTTCAAAGTAAACAGGAAAAACAAAGCCCAGGATCTATTACCTCAATTCCAGAATTAGTGACTAAGGTTGATAATTACAGTGAAAAGAGGAGGAAAAACAAGAAAAAAGAAAAAGAAGTATGGGGTTCCTAAGTACAATATTTACACCCAGCTTGGCATACAATTCCAAAGCAAAGCAGAGTTTTATCAAACAAAATTTCATGACCAAAAATGTATAATAATCACTTTTCTTCAAATAAGGTCCCAAAAACAGATTTTCCAACAACTAATAGAGTTCTATGTTTATTGATGACAATGACTGAAAATCTTTTATCACTTATAATCCAATTATTCTTAAGTAAATACAAAAGAAAAGGCAGTTTTAATGGTCTGTGTAAATACTCCAAGGAATTAACAGGCTCTTAATATATGAAAAGTAAGTAGAGCATTATGTATTTACGTTTTAATAAATCTCAACACTCCTACTAGAGTATAAACTCTGCACATAGAGACTATAACTGTCCTTTCCTCTAATGACCTACCACAACGTGATACTATGATCAAGGATAATTAATAAATATGTATTGCTTCTAGAAACTAAGTAAGTCTTTAAAAAAACAAAAATATTTACGTAAGCATAGAAAAACACCAAAGCTTTTGGAAAATAATTAAGTTAATTATCTTTAATATATTAAGACTATATCTACTATTCTGTAGATACATACTTCTCAGATATCTACAAAAGTAGACAGCATAATACTAGTAATACTATTGAAATAAAGACTAGGCTAATATAGTATAATATTTGATAATGAAGGCAGCAAGGAAAATAATATTGAGTCATCCCAAAAGCGGTAAGACAGAAAAACATGAATCCACTGCAACTTCCATTTTGTGTTCTAAGCAGTTTTATAGTCACATTACAAAAACATAGGCTATGAATAGGCTTAGATTGAAATGGAGCTAGGTATCTTAAGATGACTAGCCAAATTTCCATTTCTATTTATAAATGTTGTAGTAATTTACACTGATAGTGTCCTACATGGTTTATTTAAGCAGCCAAAAGAATATGTGTGCAAAATGGTTGTCAGGGTTGATATATAGGCACACATATATACACGTATATTACACAAACTACCCATCATAATCCCAAGATCCTAAAAGCTGAATAACGGTTTACCTGCTCTTGCAAAAAGTAGTTGTACATTTTTTATTTCAACATCAAACTTGTCATATGCCTTATCCATTATTTCTTCCAGAGATGAATTAGTAGTCTTCTGTAAACCTTGATCTTTACTGTTGAGCTAAAATGAAGGACAAATTTCAATTTTTTTTTCCAAAACAGAAAAGCACATACATCAACATACTTTAGTTAGGTTTCAGTCTTGCATTTAGTTAGTTAAAACCTAACAAATTGAAAATACTGCTCTTAATGAATAAACATTTTAATTTTCAGATAATTATTTGTAAACAATATAATATTTCAGCATACATCTCTACTAAAGTTGAGAAATAGGTGTTCAGCACATTTTCATGTTTGAGCTGTCTGCCTCGAATAACTTGTCTAGATGTACAACTCCTCCTCTTCCTGGCTCTCAGGAATTATTGCCACTTAGAGTCCAGCTCCCCTGACCCCCACCCTACACCCTTCACCATTAGATAGCAGCGTTTTGTTCCTTCTCCGCACTATACCACAGGAATAAAATTAGGCCACTATAATTCAGCTCCAATTTGTACTGCCTTTTCCCCCTTCCTGGTGGAAGCAAGGATCAATTCAGGAGTATACAAGGGATCTTCAAAAAGTTGATGGAAAATGCCCATTATGAAAAAGCTATGCATGAATTTCAAAACTGTTTTGTACCAAAAGAAACTTGTACTAACTTTTTATAACATGACTGAACAGGATCTAGTTTGAGTCACTAAGAAGATTAAGGCTTCAGTTTGAAAATGGCCCCCCCATAATAGCAACATGAATTCTGCTAAAATTGAGGCAAAAACAAATACCAAATTTATGCTGAAGCTTGGGTGAAAGAATGGTGAAATCAGTAATGCTTTATGAAAAATGTATGGGAACAGTGCCCCAAAGAAATTAGCAGTTTACAAATAGATAACTAATTTTAAGAAAGGTCAAGACAATTTTGAAGATGAAGCCCACAGTGGCAGACCACATCAATTTGCGAAGAAAAACTTAATCTTGTTCATTCCCTAATTGAAGAGGACCGATGATTAACAGCAGAAACAATAGTCAACACCAGAGACATTTCAACTGATTCAGCTTACACAATTCTGACTGAAAAATTAAAGCTGAGCAAACTTTTTAATCAACAGAAGCCAAAACAAGTGCGCTCAAATCAGCTACAGACAAGGGTAGAGCTTTCAATGGAAATTTTAAAAACAAGTGTGGGATCAAGATCAGAAGCATTTCTTCAAAGAATTATAATAAGAGATGAAATATGGGCTGGGTGAGATGGCTCACGTCTGTAATCCCAGCACTTTGGGAGGCCAAGGTGAGCGGATCACTTGAGGTCAGGAGTTCGAGACCAGCCAGGCCAACATGGTGAAACCCCGTCTCTACTAAAAATACAAAAATTATCCAGGTGTGGGGGTGCGTGCCTGTAATCCCAGATACTTGTGAGGCTGAGGCAGGAAAATCACTTGAACCCAGGAGGCAAAGGTTGCAGTGAGCAGAGACTGCACCACTGCACTCCAGCCTGGGTGACAGAGCAAGACCCCATCTCAAAAAAAAAAAAAAAAAAAAAAAAAAAAAAGAGAGAGAGAGATGAAACATGGCTTTCCCAGTACCATCTTAAGGACAAATCACAATTAAAACAATGGTTACCATGATGTCAAAATGATCCAGTCAAAGCAAAAGCAGACTAGTCAAGAGCAAAGGTCATGGCAACAGTTTTTGGGGATGCTCCAGGCATTCTGCCTGTTGACTTTCTGGAGGCCCAAAGAACGATAGCATCCGCTTATTGTGAGAGTGTTCTGACAAAGTCAGCCAAAGTTTTAGCAGAAAGACACCCAGGAAAACTTCACCAGAGAGTCCTTCTTCACCACGACAATGCTTCTTCTGCTCCTTCCTCTTATCAAATGAGGGCAGTTGTATAAGATTTCCTATGAGAAATCATTAGGCGCCCAACTTACAGTCCTAATTTGGCTTCTTCTAACTTTTTTTGGTTTCCTAATCTTAAAAAAAAAAAAATCTATAAACAGTACCTATTTTTCTTCAGTTAGTAATGTAGAAAAGACTACAATGACATGATTAAATTCCCAGGACCCTCAATCCTTGAGAGATGGACTAAATGGCTGGTATCATCACTTACAAAAGTGTCTTGGACTTGATGGATCTTAAATTGAGAAACAAAGTTTATGTTTTTTTATTTTTATCTTTTAATTCCATTTTTCCACAAACTTCAAAGTCCCCTCATATATTTGAAATTGTCACCTTTTACTGGAGGCTTGGCTTTCTATGAGATTCAAAATCCAAAATCCAAAAGTTGTCTTGCTCTACTTAGTTACTGACAGTGGTTTAACAAATATACATTCATATATGTACAATTTCCTATTGTCAAATTTATAAGCAACAAATAACACTGTATAATTAAGCCCTGGAAACTATGAAAACTACGAATGCTTCTTTCTAATTAGGAAAAGGCAGATGTAATCCAGTCCTTACTGTCAAATCACCCTACCACTACAGAAAATTTGGAGGTTTTTTGTTTTAATAGTCATAAAACATATATAAAATACTCCAAGCAAGGCTTGAAACACAGGCTAAAAAATAAGTCTACATTTAGTTTAGTGAACTCTGAAGAAAAAAACAGCAAACTGTTGGAGAGTTAGCTAGCAAGCAGGTCAAAGATGGGCAGACAAAAAAACGCATATATACCTACCTGAAATGTACCAAAATCTAAAATCAGAAGATCTGACTTTTCATGGTGGAAACCCGTCTGTGGAACTACTAGATAAGAAGGCTTCAGATTTATCCTTAAATCAAGGACTTTTCGAGTTTCAATAATATGTGTAAGTCCTAAAGACGTAAGAAATAATGACAGATTAGATGGTCAAGTTGAAATATGTAATCATATTATTAACAACTAGAATAAGAGTTTTACTTGAAAAGTATTACAGGTCGGGTGCGGTGGCTCACGCCTGTCATCCCAGCACTTTGGGAGGCCGAGACAGGCAGATCACGAGGTCAGGAGATCGAGACCATCCTGGCTAACACGGTGAAACCCCGTCTGTACTAAAAATACAAAAAAAAATTAGCCAGGCGTGGTGGCGGGCGCCTGCAGCCCCAGCTACTTGGGAGGCTGAGGCAGGAGAATGGCGTGAACCCAGGAGGCGGAGCTTGCAGTGAGCTGAGATTGTGCCACTGCACTCCAGCCTGGGCAAAAGAGCAAGACTCCATCTCAAAAAATAAAAGAAAATAAAAAATAAAAAAAAAAGAAAAGTATTACAAAGGAGTATTACTTTTTCTCACAAATTAGATTCTCAATTCAGCATGTAAGGTGAAAACTGCATATAGTCAATGGTAAACAATCTTATTATAGCACAGTATAGTAAACCCAACATAGCTAGTACTTTATGTAGGGATAGAATAATTTATTATTTCCTTGGTTAAGGAACTGGATAAAATAGTTGGCTTGAGTTTAGAGGTCATGTTATACAAAAGTAAGTATCTTTCAAACTATATTCACACACAGTGTGATTAACAGTTTCTTAAGAACTGAGATGGAGGGTTGTTTTCCATCTCAAGCTCATTCTGAAGCAGGAGTTCTTAACTGTAATGGCAGGAAGAATCATCTGTGCCCCATATTATGCTCTTTCTCACCCAGTCTATCAGGTATATTTGATTTTGAGAAAGCCATGTCCACTCTATACTGTAATACAGCCTGAGTTTAAAATAAAGAAAAAAAGCAACATAATATTTTGAATACAATGTTTACATTAGAGTAGGCAAAATTTTTAAGCTTAGCTGATGCTTATGTAGACACTCAAATTCTTCACCTGTAGCTGTTCTCTCCTTAATTTCTTCCAGCTTCATCAATGTTGCTGATGTTATTTGCTCAAGATCCAATCCCTTATTTGATTGAAAGAATTCAACCACTGCATTGACAGTTTTCTATAAGAAAATTTTTTTAACATAACCAAGTTACACATGGTTCTTTCCATATTGTAAACTTCAAAGTTTCACCTCAATTCTAAACAGCTGTAGCTTTGAACTGTGGAACTCCTAAGATATTCTGTCCTACTACATCTCCCTTTGGAGTAAAAGAGAACCTGGAGAAAGGAAGAGCCTAAGCAAGCTTACTGGAGAGGCAACAAATGTGCACATATCATTAAGGTGTAAAGTATGTTCTACAGCGTCATATGGATGTAGCAGCAGACATTACTTCTAGATTTAGCCTCCAATTAGTCAGAAGATGAAACAGTACTTCTCTACCCTGTAATTAGATTCCCTTGCACTTTGAAGTTTAGAAAATTAAGAGGAAGAAAGCCATTCAGCTCTTACCTACATGCCAAATTTAAACTTTTAAAAAATCAGAGATTTTCCAAGATGAAAACAGTTCTGGAGACTGGCTGTTCAACCATGTGAATGTACTTAACACTACTGAACTATAAACTTAAAAACAGTTAAGATGTTAAATTGAGTTACGTGTATTTTACCACAATTAAAATTTTTTAATTATAAAATATAAGGAGTTCTGCAGTCTTTATATGCTGTCCCCCCACCCACACACACACACTTTATTTAGCTTTCAGTCGTAAAGTAAAATTACATCAGGGATCTCAACAAGGTGGGGCGAACCTACAAGTGATGCAATGAGTAGTGAACCATATCCATACTGATGACTAACTTGAGATGATGGATAAGATAGCATGAATAAAAGGTAAAGTCATAGATACAGAACCTGAGCCAGAACTTCCAATAACATCTAAACATCAATGCTTTTTTCCCTTGTGAACAATATTTAAAATTATTTTAATCAGTCCTAAAGCTCTTTGAATTTGTTCCAAACATTGAAAGAAAAGAGAAAATATACAAAAAAGAACTGGAGTAGGAAGTAAACGTGTAACAATTTGGAAGTCGTTGGCAAATAAACAAGAATTTTTAAAAGTATATTAGATTTTTTAAAATTTAACAAAGGCGTAGATAAATAAACCTTGGAGTAGGGAAAAATGTATTGCATATGAAAAAAATCAAAATTAGCTGCTGAACATATACTGCTTTTGAAACAAGAAAAACCTATTAGGAAACTTACTTATTAAGTAAATAAATGTTAAATATGAAAGAGGAGAAATAAGAAAACAGTATGTCAGAAGCATAAGATGATTTAAATAAAGAGTTACTTTCTCCTTGCACTTACAGCATCATAGATGACCTCCACAGGCTGGGACTGAACAATCAGAGTCTGGTCAGCAGGACTATCCTCCGGATTGGTTTCAAATTTAATTTTAAGCAAGGATGATGTAGTGTCACCAATTGAAGCCACAAGTGATGGCACAATATCCTGCTGTCTCAAACCTGTTATATACCAGTGTTCTAATTTCGCTTCTACCCTATAATCCAATGAAGAACAAGGAAAGATGCAGACAAGGTCTTTTGTAATCTAATGGACTAAAATACAAATTTCCTTTTAAAAACGTCTTTGAGAACCAGGACCATCCATGCACATTATCCAGAGCTGAAGCTCAACCTCCTTAGCCAGGCATTCAATTGCTCACACACAATCTGGTTTGCTGCTCTTGTTGTTTTAATTAACTCCTTTCATCTACGTGAAAAACTCACTTCAACCAACTTTAGAATACTGTAAAAGTTCTGATCACTGTTGTATGAATAAAAGATCACACGACATGGATGAACTCCTCTCCCTATTTCTATGCCACTCTTAACACCCTCTTACTCCATTCCAGCTTCTCCTAGTCATTTCCATTCAGCTATCCTAGGCCTTCTCCTAGCTCAGTTATTCTCTTCCACAACTAAGCTCGTGTAGCATTAACTATGAGGCATTTAATTTTACAATACCTTCTTACCTTAGAGCTGTCTAATGTTATATAGTTCTTGAATTATTAATTTTTTGTATATCTTTTATCAGCTATAGCATACATTTCTTGAAAACAAAAACTTACTGTACTTGTCCACAGCTTTTACATTATTGAGCCTATAAATTAAATACTATCCAATAAATATTCACAAAGGAAAGGAGGGAGGGCAGAACAAATGATGAAGTACCCACACAGCTCCACAACAAAACAAGAGCAAATATAAAAAGGCTATCTTGACATATACAAGGAAAAGAAATTAAAGAGCTGGCACTAATCATTTTTAAACCTGAATAACACACATTTTTTGCCTAAAACTATAACTAAAAGTAAAAATTGAAATAAGTTTTTAAAAACTTACTTAAGTGCTTGTGCTCCTGGTCGCTGAGATACTTGAGTGCCCAGGCCAATTATCTGAATTTTTAGTATTTCTGGAATATTCTTGTTTTCTCTTATCGTAACAGAGGTGCTTACTAACTTCAGGGTCATAATATGGGCAACATACTATACAGAAAGAATGAAATTAAAATTGTTAAAGTTTAAATAATTATTACTTTCTTTAATAATTTCTTATTTAAATTTGCTGAATTATAAAGCAACCTAACAAATACAGCATGGCAGGTTCTGGCATCCACATGCTCACCATAAAGGAAAAATTCTTCATTTACAAATTTATTCACTATAAATTACAAAATTCAATACAAAATTGTCCACTCAAATAGGATGCTTACAAAAGATCTAGAAATTCATTTCTCTTAAGTTTTATTTTATTTTATTTTTGAGACAGAGACTTGCTCTATTGCCAGGCTGGAGTGCAGTGGCACAATCACAGCTCACTGCAACCTCCACCTCCTGGGTTCAAGCGACTCTCCTGCCTCAGCCTCCCGAGTAGCTGGGATCACAGGTGCCCGCCACCATGCCAAGCTAAGTTTTGTGTTTTTAGTAGAGATGGGGTTTCACCATGTTGGTCAGACTGGTCTCGAACTCCTGACCTCAGGTGATCTGCCCACCTCAGCCTCCCAGAGTGCTAGGATTAAAGGCGTGAGCCACCGTACCCAGCCCTCTCTTAGTTTTAAAGGTTATAACAATGAAACAATTACAAAGCATTTTGTGGCATAAAGATTCAATTCAGCAGCTTTTTCTGAAACAAACTAAGTATTTCAGAATAAACCTGTGGCTGAAGGAAAGAAACCTGTATAGAACATCTGCTTGATTTCTGTGCAGAGTTAGTAAGACACTGAGAAAATAAATCCTGACCCCAAAATTACTGAGTCAAGACTGGAGGTAAAACAGAGAACCAGGGAGATGATCCTGGAATTTGGGGACCTGTTTCTCCTAGAGGTATTTGGAAATTTCAAAGGGGACAGCCTAGAGGCTGTGAAGCTAGGCTAGCAGGGTCAAAATTGGAAATCAGTTCCCACCAAAGGGTAAAAGCACTGCTAAAACACATTCTTTTGCCTGGGACCCTAAAGGGCTATATATCATAAGAGTAAAGGTGAACTGGAAGCAGGCAGACTCCCATGATCTGCAGCACAGCATCAAATCATCTCAATACCTACAGTAACACTGATTGGTGCACATATACACATACACACACACTCTCACACATACACATACACACACACACACCGGTACACACACACACACACAGACAGGCTCACTAGATTCATGACAAATTGGAACAAAAACCAGCAGAAACAACAGAAAATAGATTCACAGGCGCTCTAGACATCAAGTGTCTAATTTTAGACTTACTCAGACTACTAGATTTATTAGGGTCAAAGACATAAAAGATAAAACAGAGCATGTTAGCAAAGAATTTGGAAGCTATAAAAAAAGAACCACATAGAAATTCAAGAACTGAAATATACAAAAGCCAATTAAGAATTCAATAAATGAGTTTAACAGTAATATATAAAGAGCTGAAGAGAGAATTAGAGGAAACTAACCAAAGAATAAACAGATAAAGAACTTGGAAATACCTCAGAGAAAATAAGACACACATGAGATATTATGAAAAGATCCCACTATGTACATTAGAAGAACCAAAGGATGAAGGATAAAAAAATGATGGGAAATAAAACTAGGAAGTGAGGATTTTTTTCCCAAATTGATGAAACCTCAAGATGTCCAAACAGTAAGAAGTCCAAACAGTATAAACAAAAATGAATACATATCTAGTCACATCACAGTAAAATTACTGAAAATCTAAGGTAAAGAGATTTTCTTAAAAATAGAAAAATGAGAGAGATGGGTGGAAATTACCTTTAAAGTGATACCGTAAGACTAACAGCTGAATACACAAAAGAAAATGCAGGCCAAACAACAATGAAATTATACCTTCAAAACTCAGAAAATCATTAACAACCTAGAATTCTATACACAAAAGTATCCTTCAAGAAATAAGGAAAAATAGAGATATTTTCAGAAAGACAAAAAAAATTTAAAAACTCATCACCAGCAGAACTGCATTCAACAAAATAATATAATTGGTATTGTTCAGGTAGAACGAAAATTACTGACAGATGGTCAAAGACAAAGAAAGGAATTATGTGACTGGAATATTCGATATTGCTAAAATTACAATTTTCCCCATAATAATTTACAGATTCAATGTAATCTCTAACAAAAGCAGCATGTACTTTTGAAAACACTGATAAGATTATTCTAAAAGGTATATATAAGTGGAAAAGGCCTAAAATAGCCAAAACACTCTTAAAAAAAAAAAAAAGAAAACCAAGTCAGAGGTCTTACTTTAAGACTTATAAAACTATAATAATCAAGTGCATTAGTCCATTCTCATGCTGCTAATAAAGACATACCTGAGACTGGATAATTTATCAAAGTAAGAGGTTTAATGGACCCACAGTTCCACACGGCTGGGGAGGCCTCACAATCATGGCAGAAGGCAAGGGAAGAGCAAAGACACTTCTTACATAGCAGGCAAGAGAGCTTGTGCAGGGGAACTCCCATGTGTAAAACCATCAGATCTCATGAGAATTAACTCACTATCACGACAACAGTATCGGAGAAACCAACCCCATGATTCAATTATTACCACTTGCTCTCTCCCTTGATGGTGGTGAGGGGCGGATTATGGGGATTACAATTCAAGATGAGATCTGGGAGAGGACACAAAAACCTAACCGTATAAACATCATTAGTCATTAGGAAAATGCAAATTAAAACCACAGTCGAGGAACATATCAAATCCGCTAAAATGGCTAAAATTAAAAAGCCTGGCAATATCAAATGTGGTCAAGAATATGTAGCAACTGGAACCAGTAGTAGGAATATAAAATATTACAACTTTTGGAGAAGTGTTTGCCAGTTTTTAGAAAAGTTATACATATTTACCCTATGACCCAGCAACTCTACTCCCAGGTATTTAACTCAAGAGAAGTAAAAACATATCTCCACCAAAGACTTGTACAAGTATGTTCATAGCAGTGTTATCTGTAATAGCCAAAACCAGAAACAAAAAAATATATATCAACAGGAAATAGATAAAAAATTATGGTATATTCATACAATGAAATACTATTCAGCAATGAAAAGGAACAATCTACAGACACATACTCAACATGGATGAATATCAAAAATATTATTTTGAGCAAAAGAAGATAGAAACAAAACAACGCATGAACTGGAAAAAGTAATCACGGTGACATAAGTTATAAAGTGTTTGTTTTGCAAGGCAAAAGAAGAAAAATGACTGGAAAGGGTTACAAGGGAACTTTTTGGAAGGATGGAAATGTTCTCTATCTTGTTTTTGTTGATCACCACATAGGTGTATTCAATTGTCCAAATTCATCAAATAAAATTTAAGATCTGTGCACTTTATTGTATGTAAATTCTGCCTCAACCAAATTTTAAAGACACTTATACCAATCCAACAAAAGATGTTCAACTTCTACAGATAAAATTATAAAACATTATTAGAGGAATGAAAAAGAGGTAAATAAATGGAGCCATGTGCTATATTTATAGGTGAAAAGACTCAATACTATAAAGACATAAATTCTCCCCAAATTAATTTATAGAGTCAATAAAATCCCAATGAAAATCTCAAGTTTTTATAGAAACTGAACAGCTGATTCTAAAATTTATGTGGAAATTTTAAGGACCAAGAATAGAAAAGGTAATCATAAAGAACACGAGAGTTTAAAGATTTCTACAACAAGGTCAAAGGACTGATTACAAAGTTACAGTAACTAAGACACAATACTACAAAGACAGACAAATGGCCAATGGAATAAAGCAGGAATTCCACAAATATGGACACTTAACTGATGATAAAGAGGTAAATGGAGAGCAGTGGCAAAGGCAACCGGTGCTATGTAAGGAGACAGCTATATGGACAAAAACTGAATCTTAACCCCAACTTCACACCATACACAAAAATCAATTTTAGACAGACCATAAATCTAAATACATAAAGTAAGACAATATAAAACTTCTAGAAGCATAGTTTCATGACCTTGCAATGAGGAAAGACTTTTAAACAGGACACCAAAAAAGCATTAGCCAAAAAGGAAAAGATTAATAAAGAAAATAAATATTAAAAATAAGAAGTCTAGCCATCAAAAGATATTATTAATGAATGAAAATGGGGATGGGAGTGGTGGCTCACACCTGTAATCCCAGCACTTTGGGAGGCCAAGGCAAGCAGGTCGCTTGAGCTCAGGAGTTTGAGACCAGCCTGGGCAATGTGGCAAAACCCTGTCTCTACAAAAAAAAAAAAAATACAAAAAATTAGCTGGGCATGGTGGCACATGCCTGTAATTCCAGCTACTCGGGTGGCTTGAGGCAGGAGACTCACTTCAACCCAGGAGGCAGAGGATGCAGTAAGCCAAGATCGTGCCACTGCACTCCTGCCTGGGAGAGTAAGACCCTGTCTCAAAAGAAAAAAAAAACAGAGAATGAAAATGTACTTTACATTGTGGGCAGACAGACTTGCAACACAACTAAAAGTGAAAAGCCAACCCACGTTTTTGGGGAAGATATTAACATCTAACTAGCAAAGGCCTCATATCCAGAATATATAAAGAATTCCTACAAACCAATAAGAAAAAAAGACAACCTAATAATGAAGAAGAGACTCAAAACCCACTTTCACAAAATAGCATATCTAAAGACCAAAGACCAATACATACATAAAAAGTGCAAAACCTCTTTAGTCATCCAGGAAATGCAAATTAAAACCGTAATATTACAATTACTTTTGCACCAACCTAATACTACTACTATTCATCCCCATTTAGAATGGCTAAAATTTAAAAGATTGATAATGCCAAGTGCTGGTGAAGACGTGAAGCAATAATTATCCTCGCATACTGATAGCGGAAGTGTTTTCCACATTGGAAAACTATTTAATATGCTCATATCCTATGACTCAGCAATTCCACTCCTCAGTAAACGTTATCTTACACATCCACACTAAAAGACACAAGTTCAGAGCAGCATTATTCATGATAAACAAGAAACAACCCAAATGTTCATCAACAACAGTACAAATAAATAAGATGTGGTATTTTCAAATAACTGAATCCCATACAGCAATGAAAGTTAGTAAAATACATCTACTGCAACAACAGGGATGAATCTCACAAGAACAAAACTAGAAACAGAAAATATATATTTTATAAGGCCATTTATAGAAAGATTAAAAATATGCAAAACAAAATAACAGTATTGGTAGTAAAAAACAAAAAGAAATAAAAGATATGATTACCACAAAAATCAAGGTAACAGTTACCTTTGGAGAAGCAATGATGGGGGATCTAGGGACTTCTAAGGTGACAGCAATATTCTAAATCTTGACCTTGATAATAATTGCACACCTGTTCCCTTTTTAGTCAATCAAATAGGCAGTACATTTTGGTTTTGCTTACTTTTTTATATATGTTATGCTTCACAAGTTGAAAAAAATTTTTAAGATAAAATTTTTTTAAGATTCAGTTTAGCACTATAATAAGTACTTTTGTCAGGTTATTCTTATGTTCACTAAAACTACTTAAATCTAAAGTTGGAGGCTGGGCACGGTGGCTCACCCCTGTAATCCCAGCACTTTGGGAGGCCGAGGAAGGCAGGTCACCTGAGGTCAGGAATTTGAAACCAGCCTGGTCAACATGGCAAAACCTCGTCTCCACTAAAAACACAAAAATTAGCCAGGCAGGGTGGCAGGTGCCTGTAATCCCAGCTACTCAGGAGGCTGAGGCAGGAGAATCACTTGAACCCAGGAGGCAGAGGTTGCAGTGAGCCAAGATCACGCCACTGCACTCCAGCCTGGGTGACAGAGCGAGACTCCATCTCAAAAAATCAAATAAAATAAAGTTAGAGAGAGAATTTTAATTGGTAAAACCTGACTGAAACATTCAACCATTAAGTAGCAGAGTGGAATTAATAACATTTATATTACTTAAAAAAATCAGTAAGTCTAATCCAATTCAATCTAATATAGTACAATGAGACAAAATTCCTTTAAACCACTTAAATAATTACCTGCTTAGGTAAAGTTAGGTTGTGGGTACTCTCACTATAACCAATGGCAGTGAAGAGTTTATCTTTTTCCTCTGGAGTCATAAGGTCATCAATAGCTATGAAAAAACAACATTTTAAGAAATTAATTGCTTCCATTTTACAAATATAACTAAAAAGACTAACCAAACTAACAAGTATCCTAAAATCAACAGACACAAATGCTAAAGCAAAATTAGCCAGGTAATATCCTCTAATATACTACAACTTTGACCAAACATATTCTATTTGCTTGCTAAGGTCAAGAAAAGGCAAAGAGACACCATTAAGGAAATTCAGTTCTAATATATGGGTTTTAGAATTCCCTAAGTATTTTAAAACTTAAGTGAAACTTTTAATTGAATATCTATGCAAAAGGTAACAAAAAATGCTAAATGTTGAGATCTTTAAATTTAAACATTTTAAATTTGACATAAATATTATTTCACAAACAAAAAAATCAATGTTTTATTTTAGTCTAAGTTTTATTTTAGATAAACAGGAATATTCCAGCCTGATGTATTTGCTTATATATTTACTATACTGAGGTAATTTATTTCAAATGTATTTCAAAATAAAATTCAACAGGGAAGATATAATTTACACAGTTTTTTTTTAACTTAACACTGTACAATAAGTTATTTGACTTGGAACTTACTTTCAGGAATCAATGATTCTTCGTCCTTTTTCTTAGACTCTTTCTTACCCCACAACCCACTAAACCAGCCTCCACGTTTCTCGCCTGTGTCAGCAGACTTTTTCCTTAATTTTTGCCCAGACCGAATCACCTGAAAAATAAAAATTAAAAAATTTACTTTAAGAATGTTGCCCTCTTCATTTTCAGGTGTAGCCTGGGAAAAAAAAACAATGGTTCTTTTTTTTTTTTTAACGCTACGTAACATTGCACCAGTCAAGATCTTAAATGATGCTCACAACATAATTTAGTTAAATGCAGTCTCCCTATTAGTTTATTAATACTTCTCACACCAACTGATAGCATTTTGATAAGGCTGCATGTTATGAGCAATATAGTTAAGGTTTCAGGTAAAATACTTCTAAGCAATGTGACTTCCAAATTCTTCCAAATTTTTAAGTTAAGAAGCCACCAGAACTGCATGTTTATAAAATGAAAAGTTCCTTGAAAGGAAACACACCCAAAAAAGTATTAATTTAAAACAATTATATTTCAGAATTCATATACAATGCTGGCTTGCTAACTAGGACAGTGGCAGAAGGAGGGATATAAATTAAAATAGTCCTTAAATCTAATTTCACCCTCTTTTCTCAACAAATCCTGACTTGATTTTCTATCACTCCTTCTCTTTGCCCACTTTTCAGAGAAATATGGATGAATAACCAAAAGGCAGAATACAGGGATAAACAAAATAAAGGGGATAAGTAATTTAGATTATATGTTCTCATTCCCTGAATAAGTAAATTTCAATAATTTTTCCACTTAAAGTATTTGAAATTGGTAGTGAATCGGTAACATATTGTAAGCCTCTGTGTGTAATAAAAAGTGGAATAATACAAAAGAGAAGATAAAAGTAAAGAGTTGAATTCTATAGTAAAGAGAACAGGTTTGATTGGTGAATGTAAAGACTAAGGATGGGCAAAATGTTAAACTTTTGTCACAAGCTAGGGATGAGTATATACATTTTCAAGCCCTGTTTGAAACTGCAAGATGAAAGTAAATGACAAATCAGCTACTGTGGATACCACAGCTCAGTGGTATTCAATCCTTGCTGCACAAAAGAATCATCTAGAAGCTTTATGAGAAAAAATGCCAAAGCCAAAGCCCCACCACACAACAATTAAATCAAATCTTGAGAGAGTGGGTTCTCTCTCAAGAAAGAGGTATTTTTTTTTTAATTCCCCTGGTGATTCTAACATGCAGCCAAGGTTCAGAACCACTGAGATGACAACAAACTAGTTTCCTTCAACAGCAGAGATCATGATAAAGGGAATTAACTGCTTCAACAGTTTCACAAGTAGATAAAACCGAGCTTTTTTGGAAATGACACCCAATTAAATGTATATCATCTGAGTTTTTCCACTTTTAAGAATCTTCTATGAATTCTTTTAGGGAAAATGCAACCAGAAACTTCAAGTTTGAACCTCTCTTAGATACTGAGACTTAATAAACAGATGAATTCATGAACAGTTTTTACAAATCTAAAAGCAGAAAAAGCTAAAAAGCATTTGGATATTTTATTAACATCTCTTTTAACCAAACTGATAGCTTTAAGTTTTAAAAGGGCAGGCACTAAATTGTATTTTTTCATTGTTACCATATTCTTAGCTACCATAAAAATTATTCTTTATAAAAATAGATAATATATTTTTTTACACTTTGGGGTAAAGAAGCCATTTTATTTTGGAAAAAAAAATTAACTGAAATTAACCTTTTTAAAATATCCTAAGAGAAATCAAGATAGTATGGCGACAAACCCCAACATTCAACTTCCTCCCAAGTCTCTACCTAAATATCTGAAAACCTTTAAAAGAAAGATAAAGCCATTATTAGCATTAGCGTTGAAATCTTAAAGGTGTGATCAGCATGCTACAAATTTCAAGGAATTTAAAAATAAACTGAAAATTTTACACATAATAAAGAGAAAAAGAGATGAATTAGGAAAGCACACAATCAAAAATACTAATTTCAAACATAGAAAGGCTATGAAGAAAATGAAGTAACAAAGAACAGTGAAGAAAAGTTTTCCTACGTTTGTCAATTACCATTTAAAAATAAATAAGAATTAATATTTAAAAATATGAGAGCTGTCACAGAACTATACACACACATCATACCAATGTCAAATTCTTGGTTTTGGTATTGTACTATATTATGTAGATGTAAGCACTGGGAGAAACAGGTGAAGGGTACACAGTACCTCTGTGAACTATCTTTGCTACTTATTGTAAACCTATAGTTATTTCAAAGCATATATATATATATATGAGACCAAAAATAAATAAAAATATACAAATGAGACCTAAGATGAAGACGGATGCAGAGCGCTTTCCCTTTCCCTCAATTACCCCCTTGGTGCCTTCACTTCCTTCTCTGTCCAACTAAGTTGCCCATGGTAAATAACTTCAGCCAATCCTCCGCCTACATTTTAAACTCAGGCCCTATGTACTTTCCATTACAATGAAAAAAATCAATGTTAGATAGATCAAATTGCCTTCTCTTCTACATCCATCCTTCTTTGTCTACTGCATCCCAATATTAGTTCTCTTTCTTCACTTTTTAAGCAACTGTAGCTGGTACTAAGAATACACATTTAAGCTAAAGCAACTTAAGTCATGGAGGATTGAAATTGTTATCCTCCGGTGATTCATTCCTCTCTTTCATAGGAACAATCCCCAGCAGTAGCAAATACCTTTTAAAATATTCATACTTTCTGACCTAATAACTTGTACCTTGGGGAATTTGCCTGTGAGAAAATAAGGGATGTTTGAGAAAATGCAGAGATAAGGCTATTCATTGTAGAGTCACTTACAATTAAATATAGCCAGTGAGAAACAGTGAAGCAAATTCTGGTATATGCACAGAATGGAATACTATTCAGCTATCTTTTTTTTTTTTTGAGATGGATTCTCACTCTGTCACCCAGGCTGGAGTGCAATGGCATGGTCTCGGCTCACTGCAACCTCCACCTCCCGGGTTCAAGCGATTCTCCTGCCTCAGTCTCCCAAGTAGCTGAGATTACATGTGTGTGCCACCACACCCGGCTAATTTTTGTATTTTTAGTAGAGACAGGGTTTCACTATGTTGGCCAGGCTGGTCTCAAACTCCTGACCTCGTGATCTGCCCATCTCAGCTTCCCAAAGGGCTGGGATTACAGGAGTGGGCCATCACATCGGCCTCTATTCAGCTATCTTAAATGATGTCAGATAAATGATTCTGCTGACATTGAAAATGGATACTACAATTTTTTTAAAGAAAGAAAAGCAAGTTACAAAACCTTCTCTTGACTCCACATTGTCCACCACTTACTGCTCCATTTATCTGCTCTGCTTACAGCAAAGAATCATACTGTTCCTACTCACTGTCTCCCATTCCCAGTCGTTCATGCTCTCTCATTCCTATCAAGCTTCTGCCCACATTATTCTATAAAAATTGCTCTTAAGTTACTTCTTTATTACTAATTTCAGTGAAAGTTTTAGTTCCATGGTGGCATAAGCCATCTTCAACCCAAATAAAACTTCTGAACAAAATATAAAAAAGATCTACCCGAGACTTTGAAAAGTAAGCAAAGCAGGCAAATAGTAGAAGGGGTCACAATTTGGAGAGTGACCTGCACAAGACTGAGTTTTCCATGACGTTTGTTTTTCTCACATGTTGTGCCCACCCCATTCCACCCCACCACCATAATCTCCCATTTCTAATGTTCTTGCCCTTGAGCATGGGCATGACTTGCAACTAGTTTCTAAACAATAAAGTATGGCAAAGGTAATAAAATATACTTGATTCTGTGTACAATGTGTATGTTATATACACAAGACTTTAGTGACCATCCTGCTGCAGTTTCTCTCTTCTTTTGAAGAAGAAAGCTGCCATGTTATGGTTGTCTATGTTGGGAAGCCCATTAGGCAAGGAACTGAAGATGATATTTAGAAGCTGAGGGCAGCTCTAGCCAGAAATCAACAAAAAGCTGGAGCCTTCCATCCCACAGCCACGAAGAGCTAAATTCTGCCAAGGAAAGTGGATCCTCCATCAGTCACGTTTCAGATACCATAGTCCCAAACCAACATCTTGCAATATTTTAAAACCTTAAGCAGAGGACTCAATTAACCCATACCTAGACTCCAGACCCAGAGAAACTCAGAGATAATAGCTATGTGTTGTTTCAAGCCACTACGTTTGTTATACAGACATAGAAAACTACTATACATGGCTCTGCCCTGAGCAAGGGCCTCACCATGGAGCACAGCAGAGGAACATGGAGCACAGTTGCACAGGCAGCTAAAACCCTGAGAAAAACTCCGTATTTCCGGCCAAGGAACCAGTAAATGGAGTTCATGAAGGCCAGAATGTATGTGAGAAAACCCTGGCAGGGAAAGAGCTGGAGAAGGGGATATCTCTTAATTCTGTATATGAACCTGTCAAAATCTCAGTCTAATACAAGCTTCACATATGTGAAACTAACCCAAACCAAAGTAGCAAAGGTCTTAGCCACATGAACTAATATGAACCACCCACGCAAGTCTCAAACTAACCCCAGTAATATTCACGTGTAAAACAAACTCAAACTTACATACCAAAGGTTTAAAGAGCTGAACTGAAATCTGAACCACCATCCACAGAAGGCAAACACAACTTAGATTCATAACTTAACTAGGTTGTACACTAACACAAAATGTCAACATTTTCCAGAGGATTATAACAAGATCCAGAGATTATATAATAATCACAATGTCAAAAATACAATCCAAAATTACTTGACATACGAAAACAAATAAAACTGAAAATGTAAACAATTCTCAAGGAAAAGATAATCAGCAGATGCCAGTAATCAGATAACTTCGATGTCTGATAGCTGGAACTATCAGAGAGGCACTGAAACTATAGTACATGACATAAAGGCAAACACACTGGAAATTACTAAAAAGATTGGAATCTTCAATAGAGAAATGCAAACTATAAAAAAAAACTCAATAGTAATTTTAGACCTGAAAAATATAATATCTGAAATTAAAAACTCCCAGGATGGGTTCAATAGCAAAATGAAGATGACAGAAGAAAGACAGAACTTGAAGATAGATCAACAGAAATTATCTAGCCTTAGAGAGAGAAAAAAGACTGCAGGAAAAAAAAATGATGAACAGAGCACCAAAAGGTCTAAATACACACACACACACACACACACACACACATATATATATATTACATATACACACATATATCTTATATATGAATACATATATCTTATACATATGGCTGTTTTCATCCTTGCCTATATATTTTACATACATACATATATATATATATGTATAGAATATAAAATTAAGAGTCCAAATAATCAAGAGTGCAAAAGAAGAGAATAAAAAGAAATTGGTGCCAAAAAATTACTTGAAAAACGTCATGGCTAAAAATATCCCATATTTAGTAGGTTTAATGTTCAATTCTGTCCTATCTTAGTTAAAAAATCAGGTGCATCTGTCACAGTTGATCACTTTCTCTTCCTTGAAATTCTTTCTTCACTTGAATTTGAAGGTGTTACATTCATACAGCTTCCCTATTACAACTCTGGCAATCCCTTTATGGTCACCTTTGCTGGTTCTTTCCCATCCCTCTGATTGTAACAATAGAAGCTTTGGATCTTTGCAACTCTCCTCTTCTCTAGCTATTCTAATTCCTGAGGTGATCTCATGCAATCTCATGGCTTTAAAGAAATCCATGTGCTGACCCTTCCTACATTTCTATATCCAGCACAGACTCCTCTTCTGAACTCCACATAATTGCCTACTCCACTGCCCCTCTGAGGTCTAAGAGATAGCTAAAACTTAATAGGTCCCAAACTGAACTCCTGGTCTTCTCTCATCTCACTCAAGCTTGTTCTCTCCCATCTTCCCCCTCTTATTTGATAGCAAATCCATCCTTCCAACTGCTCCAAGTCAAAATATTTAAAGGCATTTTTTACTCTCTCTCCTACAACTCACATCTAGTCAGTCAGGAAATACTGGCTGTACCCTCAAAGTATATCTAGAATCTGACCCTTTCTGATCACCTTTATTTGCAACCATTCTCAGTAAAGCTACTATCACCACTCATCTCAACTATTTCAATAGCCTCCTAACTGCTCCCCCTGTCTTCACTCTTGCCTTCCTTCCTACAGTCTGCTTTCAAAGTAGCCAGGGTGAATTTTAAAACTTATGCCAGATCATATCACCCTGTTTCAAAACCTACTATTAGTTTCCCAATTCAGAGTAAGAGCCAAAATCCACACAATGGCTTGTAAGATGCTACACAATCTGGCAATCTCAACTCCCACGAGCAGCCCTCCCATTCCTCTGCTACCTTACTTCTCTGACCTCATCAACCACCACTCTTCCCTCTCTCAGGACTCCAGTTAGTTTCCTGAATGAGCCAGGTATGTTCCAACCCCAAAACCTTTAAGCAGTTACACTTTATTATTTCTGCCTGGTTATACCTTTCCCTTAGATATCTTTCTGGCTGATTGCCCCATGGTCTTCAGATCTTTGCTCAAATGTTTCCTTGTTAGTGAGGCTTTTCCTGACAACCCTGTTTAAAACTGCAAATCATCATCACTGACTAGCTTCAGTGCTCCTTATATTCTTTCCTACTTTATTCTTATTGAAGTACTTATTAACCTTGTCCCCTACTACAATATAAATAAAAGATTTTTGTCTGTTTTGTTCATTTATGTAGGCTAATGCAAATGATAATGACAATGAAAAAAAATCACGTGTTTAGTAACTGCTATGTGCCAGGCACATAATCATTTAAGTGTTTTACATGAATTATGAGGTACTCCTAACAATAACCCTAAGACATAGGTACTACTAATTAATCTCATCTCACAAATCAGGAAACTAAGGCACAGAGGGGTCAAACGGCCCAAAATCATATAATTAGTAGATGGCAAAGCTGGGATCAGAATCCAGACCATCTGACTCCCAAGTCTATACTTTTAGCCATAATGCAAGCATAACAGACACTCAGTGAGTACTTGCTAAACAAATGAACAAGTGTAGAGATGACCCTTGAACAACATGGGTTTGAACGGCATGAGTACACTTATACAAGGATTTTCTTCTGCCTCTGCTACCCCTGAGACAATCCTCCTCTTTCTCCTCCCACTCCTCAGCTTACTCAATGTGAAGACCTTTATGGTGATCGACTTCTACTTACTGAATAGTAAATATATTTTCACTTTCTTATAATTTTCTTAATAACATTTTCTTTTCTCTGGCTTACTTTATTGTAAGAATACAGTGTACAATACATATAACATCTAAAAATATGTGTTAATCAACTATTTATCAATAAGGCTTTTGGTTAACAGTAGGCTATCAGTAGTTAAGTTTTTGAAGAATCTAAAGTTATACACAGGCCAGGCACGGTGGCTCATGCCTGTAATCCCAGCACTTTGGGAGGCCAAGGCGGGTGGATCACCTGAGGTCAGGAGTTCGAGACCAGCCTGGCCAATGTGGTGAAACCCCATCTCTACTAAAAATACAAAAATTAGCCGGGCATGGTGGCACATGCCTATAGTCCCAGATACTCAGGAGGCTGAGACAGGAGAATCGCTTGAAACCTGGGAGGTAGAGGTTGCAGTGACCCAAGATTGCGCCACTGCACTCCAGCCTGGACAACAGAGCAAGACTCCATCTCAAAAAAAAAAAAAAGAGAGAGAGAGAGAGAAAGTAGTTATACACAAATTTTTAATTGTGTGGGGGCTTGGCGTCCCTAACGTTCAGTTTGTTCAAGGGTCAACTGTATATGCCTTAATCTCATTTAAAAGTATGAGTAAGTACATGGACATCTGTAACTATAAAAAGGACTAAAAGGATATACAGAAAGGTATTAACAGTAGTTACTTTTAGTTTCTGAGATGAGTGTTTTTGTTTTATTTATCTATATTTTCTAATTTTTCTACAATGAGTTACATTGCATTTGTAATTTTTTTTCATCACCAAAAAGTCATGTTACAGAATCTTAGAAATGACATGGAACACTGCGCACAAGGCATCAATAAATAAGCAGTTATAAAACATTATCAGTAGATCATTTCCAATTTCAGAAAGAAAGGAAAAAAAGGAAGAAAGTGAAGGAAAGAGGAAGGAAGGAAAGGAGAAAAGAAAGAAGAGAGGGAGAGAAGGAAGAAGGAAGGGAAGGAAGAGGAAACAAAGAAAAAGTAAAAAAAAAAAAAAAAAGGAGATAAAAAGCATAAATACGCAGGTATATAAGCATGGGAGAAAAACTGATAGCCAAAATTATCACAGTAGTATTCTAAGTTGTCAGAATTATAGATGTCTTTTATTTACTTTCTTCTTGGAGTTTTTCAGATTTTTCATTATAAAATTTTCTAAGTGGCCAGGCGCAGTGGCTCACGCCTGTAATCCCAGCACTTTGAGAGGCCGAGGTGAGTGGATCACCTGAGGTCAGGAATTCAAGACCAGGCTGGCCAACATGGCAACAACCCATCTCTACTAAAACTACAAAAAAAAATTAGCCGGGCGTGGTGGCACACGCCTATGATCCCAGCTCTCAGGAGGCTGAGGTAGGAGAATCACTTGCACCCGGGAGGCAGAGGCTGCAGCGAGCCAAGATCACGCCACTGCATCCCAGCCCGGGAGACAGAGCAAGACTCCATCTCAAAAAAAAATAATAATAAAAATAAGGTTTTTTTTCCCCTTCATATTAGTGGCTTTTTTTCAGTACTCCAGTTTCTTTTCTCCTGAGACTAAATTAAGCAATAAAAACCTCACCTCGTGAAACTTCAATTTCTTGATCCTAGGTTTAAAAGCGGGCATTAACATGTTTAAAACATAAAATCAGCTAATAAAAATGATTACCTCAACTTGTGCTTGTTGCCTTGCTAAAATTATGTTAAAAACATCTAGAGTCTTCTCCAAGTCCTGTAAAAAACAGAGGCACTTATAAACAAGAAATTTAATCATTAGATAAAAGAAATTTTTCTTTCATGATTTCTAGGCATATCTAGTCCATTATCAGTACCTGTGACCTAATGAAAGTATTAGTATAAATTTGAATGTATTCTAGACTTTTAAATTTTTTAATTTTTTACAGTAAGAGAAAATAAGTTTTCTAAGAAAATAAATCCTCATTAAATATAGTATGAAAATAATTTTTCTGTGAGACCATTATAATTAACACATAGACATAAATGCACATGAAAACAAGAATATTTAGGAAGAGGACTTGTTTTACATTTATCATCCTTATGATTCTTACTTCTAACTCCCCCCATTCTTATCATTACATAGCCATTGTACTAACGGTGACATTACAAAACACATAATATTTAAGAATGTAAAATTCTGCAAATCAATAATTAGGCTAAAGTAGAAACTGATTTGAGGCATTTATATAAAAGTACGTGGGGGAATCCAACATTAACCAGGTGACCTGTGTTCCAAGTGCTTTATGTGCTGTCTCATACAATTCTCACCACTCTGTAAGACAGATATTGTTACCATTTTATATACGAGAACACTAGACCTGAGAGTTTGAGAAACTTGTGTCCATAATCAGAAGGACACTTGGTAAATATCCAAGTCAGTACTTGAACCCAAATCCATCTGACGCCAATAACTACGCTTTTTCTAATATTTCACACTGGTGATTGTGATATACTTCAGAAAAATAGGAATTCAACTCATTTTTCACATTATGAATCATTGCTAGAAATAGTTCTATAACTGAAATCATAAGACATTAAGCAAATTATGTATCCAGTGTGTTTCTACCTTTTATTTTTTTTGATTATTTGTTTGTTCGTATTTACTTTTTTTTTATTATTAGTATACTTTAAGTTTTAGGGTACATGTGCACAACGTGCAGGTTAGTTACATATGTATACATGTGCCATGCTGGTGCGCTGCACCCACTAACTTGTCATCTAGCATTAGGTATATCTCCCAATGCTATCCCTCCCCCTCCCCACAACCCACAACAGTCCCCAGAGTGTGATGTTCCCCTTCCTGTGTCCATGTGTTCTCATTGTTCAGTTCCCACCCATGAGTGAGAATATGCGGTGTTTGGTTTTTTGTTCTTGCGATAGTTTACTGAGAATGATGATTTCCAATTTCATCCATGTCCCTACAAAGGACATGAACTCATCATTTTTTATGACTGCATAGTATTCCATGGTGTATATGTGCCACATTTTCTTAATCTAGTCTATCATTGTTGGACATTTGGGTTGGTTCCGAGTCTTTGCTATTGTGAATAATGCCGCAATAAACATATGTGTGCATGTGTCTTTATAGCAGCATGATTTATAGTCCTTTGGGTATATACCCAGTAATGAGATGGCTGGGTCAAATGGTATTTCTAGTTCTAGTTCCCTGAGGAATCCCCACGCTGACTTCCACAATGGTTGAACTAGTTTACAGTCCCACCAACAGTGTAAAGGTGTTCCTATTTCTCCACATCCTCTCCAGCACCTGTTGTTTCCTGACGTTTTAATGATCGCCATTCTAACTGGTGTGAGATGGTATCTCATTGTGGTTTTGATTTGCATTTCTCTGATGGCCAGTGATGGTGAGCATTTTTTCATGTGTTTTTTGGCAGCATAAATGTCTTCTTTTGAAAACTGTCTGTTCATGTCCTTTGCCCACTTTTTGATGGGGTTGTTTGTTTTTTTCTTGTAAATTTGTTTGAGTTCATTATAGATTCTGGATATTAGTCCTTTGTTAGATGAGTAGGTTGCGAAAATTTTCTCCCATTTTGTAGGTTGCCTGTTCACTCTGATGGTAGTTTCTTTTGCTGTGCAGAAGCGCTTTAGTTTAATTAGATCCCACTTGTCTATTTTGGCTTTTGTTGCCATTGCTTTTGGTGTTTTAGACATGAAGTCCTTGTCCATGCCTATGTCCTGAATGGTAATGTCTAGGTTTTCTTCTAGGGTTTTTATGGTTTTAGGTCTAACGTTTAAGTCTTTAATCCATCTTGAATTGATTTTTGTATAAGGTGTAAGGAAGGGATCCAGTTTCAGCTTTCTACATATGGCTAGACAGTTTTCCCAGCACCATTTATTAAATAGGGAATCCTTTCCCCATTGCTTGTTTTTGTCAGGTTTGTCAAAGATCAGATAGTTGTAGATACGAGGCGTTATTTCTGAGGGCTCTGTTCTGTTCCATTGATCTATATCTCTATTTTGGTACCAGTACCATGCTGTTTTGGTTACTGTAGCCTTGGAGTATAGTTTGAAGTCAGGTAGTGTGATGCCTCCAGCTTTGTTCTTTTGGCTCAGGATTGACTTGGCAATGCGGGCTCTTTTTTGGTTCCATATGAACTTTAAAGTAGTTTTTTCCAATTCTGTGAAGAAAGGCATTGGTAGCTTGATGGGATGGCATTGAATCTGTAAATTACCTTGGGCAGTATGGCCATTTTCATGATATTGATTCTTCCTATCCATGAGCATGGAATGTTCTTCCATTTGTTTGTGTCCTCTTTTATTTCATTGAGCAGTGGTTTGTAGTTCTCCTTGAAGAGGTCCTTCACGTCCTTTGTAAGTTGGATTCCTAGGTATTTTATTCTCTTTGAATCAATTGTGAATGGGAATTCACTCATGATTTGGCTCTCCGTTTGTCTATTATTGGTGTATAAGAATGCTTGTGATTTTTGCACATTGATTTTGTATCCTGAGACTTTGCTGAAGTTGCTTATCAGCTTAAGGAGATTTTGGGCTGAGACGATGGGGTTTTCTAGATATACAATCATGTCGTCTGCAAACAGGGACAATTTGACTTCCTCTTTTCCTAATTGAATACCCTTTAGTTCCTTCTCCTGCCTAATTGCCCTGGCCAGAACTTCCAACACTATGTGGAATAGGAGTGGTGAGAGAGGGCATCCCTGTCTTGTGCCAGTTTTCAAAGGGAATGCTTCCAGTTTTTGCCCATTCACTATGATATTGGCTGTGGGTTTTTCATAAATAGCTCTTATTATTTTGAGATACATCCCATCAATACCTAATCTATTGAGAGTTTTTAGCATGAAGGGCTGTTGAATTTTGTCAAAGGCCTTTTCTGCATCTATTGAGATAATCATGTGGTTTTTGTCTTTGGTTCTGTTTATATGCTGGATTACATTTATTGATTTGCGTATGTTGAACCAGCCTTGCATCCCAGGGATGAAGCCCACTTGATCATGGTGGATAAGCTTTTTGATGTGCTGCTGGATTCGGTTTGCCAGTATTTTATTGAGGATTTTTGCATCGATGTTCATCAAGGATATTGGTCTAAAATTCTCTTTTTTGGTTGTGTCTCTGCCAGGCTTTGGTATCAGGATGATGCTGGACTCATAAAATGAGTTAGGGAGGATTCCCTCTTTTTCTATTGATTGGAATAGTTTCAGAAGGAATGGTACCAGCTCCTCCTTGTACCTCTGGTAGAATTCGGCTGTGAATCCATCTGGTCCTGGACTCTTTTTGGTTGGTAAACTATTGATTATTGCCACAATTTCAGATCCTGTTATTGGTCTATTCAGAGATTCAACTTCTTCCTGGTTTAGTCTTGGGAGAGTGTATGTGTCGAGGAATTTATCCATTTCTTCTAGATTTTCTAGTTTATTTGCATAGAGGTGTTTGTAGTATTCTCTGATGGTAGTTTGTATTTCTGTGGGATCGGTGGTGATATCCCCTTTATCAATATTTATTGCATCTATTTGATTCTTCTCTTTTTTCTTCTTTATTAGTCTTGCTAGCAGTCTATCAATTTTGTTGATCCTTTCAAAAAACCAGCTCCTGGATTCATTAATTTTTTGAAGGATTTTTTGTGTCTCTATTTCCTTCAGTTCTGCTCTGATTTTAGTTATTTCTTGCCTTCTGCTAGCTTTTGAATGTGTTTGCTCTTGCTTTTCTAGTTCTTTTAATTGTGATGTTAGGGTGTCAGTTTTGGATCTTTCCTGCTTTCTCTTGTGGGCATTTGGTGCTATAAATTTCCCTCTACACACTGCTTTGAATGTGTCCCAGAGATTCTGGTATGTTGTGTCTTTGTTCTCGTTGGTTTCAAAGAACATCTTTATTTCTGCCTTCATTTCGTTATGTACCCAGTAGTCATTCAGGAGCAGGTTGTTCAGTTTCCATGTAGTTGAGCGGTTTTGAGTGAGATTCTTAATACTGAGTTCTAGTTTGATTGCCCTGTGATCTGAGAGATAGTTTGCTATAATTTCTGTTCTTTTACATTTGCTGAGGAGAGCTTTACTTCCAAGTATATGGTCAATTTTGGAATAGGTGTGGTGTGGTGCTGAAAAAAATGTATATTCTGTTGATTTGGGGTGGAGAGTTCTGTAGATGTCTATTAGGTCCGCTTGGTGCAGAGCTGAGTTCAATTCCTGGGTATCCTTGTTGACTTTCTGTCTCGTTGATCTGTCTAATGTTGACAGTGGGGTGTTAAAGTCTCCCATCATTAATGTGTGGGACTCTAAGTCTCTATGTAGGTCACTCAGGACTTGCTTTATGAATCTGGGTGCTCCTGTATTGGGTGCATATATATTTAGGAGAGTTAGCTCTTCTTGTTGAATTGATCCCTTTACCATTAAGTAATGGCCTTGTCTCTTTTGATCTTTGTTGGTTTAAAGTCTGTTTTATCAGAGACTAGGATTGCAACCCCTGCCTTTTTTTGTTTTCCATTTGCTTGGTAGATCTTCCTCCATCCTTTTATTTTGAGCCTATTTTTGTCTCTGCACGTGAGATGGGTTTCCTGAATACAGCACACTGATGGGTCTTGACTCTTTATCCAATTTGCCAGTCTGTGTCTTTTAATTGGAGCATTTAGTCCATTTACATTTAAAGTTAATATTGTTATGTGTGAATTTGATCCTGTCATTACGATGTTAGCTGGTGATTTTGCTCGTTAGTTGATGCAGTTTCTTCCTAGTCTCGATGGTCTTTACATTTTGGCATGATTTTGCAGCGGCTGGTACCGGTTGTTCCTTTCCATGTTTAGTGCTTATTTTTTTTATTTTTTATTTTATTTTATTTTTTTCTTGAGAGGGAGTTTCGCTCTTGTTGCCAGGCTGGAATGCAATGGCAGGATCTGGGCTCACTGCAACCTCCAGCTCCCAGGTTCAAACAATTCTCCTGCCTCAGCCTCCCGAGTAACTGGGATTACGGGTGCCCACCACCACGCCCAGCTAATTTTTTGTATTTTTAGTAGAGACGGGGTTTCATCACGTTGGCCAGGCTGGTCTCCAATTCCAGACCTCAGGTGATCCGCCCGCCTCAGCCTCCCAAAGTGCTGGGA
The DNA here is from genome assembly GCF_000001405.40 of Homo sapiens. Classification (NCBI taxonomy): domain Eukaryota; kingdom Metazoa; phylum Chordata; class Mammalia; order Primates; family Hominidae; genus Homo; species Homo sapiens. The sequence goes on from NC_000015.10 coordinate 62,005,976, forward strand.
TTATAGGTGTGAGCCACCACGCCCGGCCGTGTTTCTACCTTTTAAAAGGGAGTACATAAGACCTCTTCTTTCCCGAGAAGTAAAAGCTGTTTTTTTGTTTTTGTTTTTTTTTAAAGAAATTCTTATTTTTTTTTTATTATTATTATACTTTAAGTTCTAGGGTACATGCGCACATTGTGCAGGTTTGTTACATATGTATACATGTGCCATGTTGGTGTGCTGCACCCATTAACTCATCATTTAGCATTAGGTATATCTGCTAATGCTATCCCTCCCCTCTCCCCGCACCCCACAACAGTCCCCGGTGTGTGATGTTCCCCTTCCTGTGTCCATGTGTTCTCATTGTTCAATTCCCACCTATGAGTGAGAATATGCGGTGTTTGGTTTTTTGTCCTTGCGATAGTTTGCTGAGAATGATGGTTTCCAGTTTCATCCATGTCCCTACAAGGGACATGAACTCATCATTTTTTATGGCTGCATAGTATTCCATGGTGTATATGTGCCACATTTTCTTAATCCAGTCTATCGTTGTTGGACATTTGGATTGGTTCCAAGTCTTTGCTATTGTGAATAGTGCCGCAATAAACATATGTGTGCATGTGTCTTTATAGCAGCGTGATTTATAATCCTTTGGGTACATACCCAGTAACGGGATGGCTGGGTCAAATGGTATTTCTAGTTCTGGATCCCTGAGGAATCGCCACACTGACTTCCACAATGGTTGAACTAGTTTACAATCCCACCAACAGTGTAAAAGTGTTCCTATTTCTCCACATCCTCTCCAGCACCTGTTGTTTCCTGACTTTTTAATGGTCGCCATTCTAACTGGTGTGAGATGGTATCTCATTGTGGTTTTGATTTGCATTTCTCTGATGGCCAGTGATGATGAGCATTTTTTCATGTGTTTTTTGGCTGCATAAATGTCTTCTTAGTAAAAGCTGTTTTTTATAAATAATATTTTGAAGTATTTTGAAAAGCCACTACCGTATAAATACAGGATGTTTACTAACAAAACAAGATATATCTATCTAATAAACACATATTTAAACAGCTCTGATACTGACTTCCTAAACATTATTATAAAAACCAGTCACCTTTCCCCAAATTGTTTACAGTAACCTTATTTTATCTGATATTTGCAGGGGGAAAAAAAGTTTTTTTAAAGAAGAAAAACTGGAAAAAAAAAATTCTGCATTTTCCCACATAATTCTCTCTCAAAAAGAGGTGAATTCTGTTCTTCCTAAAATTATTTTTTGATTCAAATTACATGCAGAAGAATATTAAAGGATGATTAGACAAATAATAGCTCTCACTAATATATGCAAGATATACCTGAATTTCTTTCTGTATTTCTTCTGAGACTTTAGACTGTGTTAACTTGTTTTTGTAGGCAATTTTATAACTCTTGAGTAACTGCCTGTGCTTTTTTATGTTACTCCATGACCACATCTGTGTATACCTTCTTATATGAACTTCAAGAACAGAATCAATTGCATATTTCCACCTGAAAATCAAATTTTGTTAACGTAAATGTTAATATAAAGGTTTAAGAGAAAACAGGAAAAGTCTTGACATTTTAGATCTTATGCTGTCAAATTTTTTGTTCTTCTTAACTGTCTTCCTATAAGAGCTCAGCAATTCCCAGTAAAATTGTCTGACTTAAATAGACTTAGATATAAGAAAACCCTTAAGGAACAGACTTTGCCAAAGCAAAATCCAAAAGGCACAAAACGACATGTGGGAAATAGCATTCCAGTATGGTTATAACACTGAGTCTATGTGGATGACTGATAAGCGATAAAACTTTTATAAAAATGTTGAATGTCTTGAATGTTAAGTTAAGAATTTGGGAACCGGCAGGGTGCTCACGTCTGTAATCCCAGCACTTTGAGAGGCCAAGGCGGGCAGATCACGAGGTCAAGATTTTGAGACCATCCTGGCCAACATGGTGAAACCCCATCTGTACTAAAAATACAAAAATTAGGCCAGGCACGGTGGCTCACGCCTGTAATCCCAGCACTTTGGGAGGCCGAGGAGAGTAGATCACAAGGTCAGGAGTTCAAGATGTCGAGATGCTGAAAGCCTGTCTCTACTAAAAATACAAAAATTAGCCAGGCGTGGTGGTGGGTGCCTGTAATCTCAGCTACTTGGGAGGCTGAGGCAGGGAGTTGCTTGAACCCAGGAGGTGGAGGTTGCAATGAGCCAAGATCGCGTCACCGCACCCCAGCCTGGGTGACAGAGCAAGACTCTGTCTCAAAAAAATAAAAATACAAAAATTAGCTGGGCGTGGTTGCACACCCCGTACCCCCAGCTACTTGGGAGGCTGAAGCAGGAGAATCGCTTGAACCAGGGAGGCACAAGTTGCAGTGAGCCAAGATCACATCACTGCACTCCAGCATGGGGACACAGCAAGATTCTATCTCAAAAAAAAAAAGAATTTGGGAACCTAGGAGCAGAAATACAAGTGGATGTTCATATGAAAAAAGTAATATGGACATACAAAAGAAGTGAAAGCTGTTTTTATAAGTAATCAATATATTTACCATTTGTCTTTTAATACTCTTGTCTCTTTTTTTAAAGTGGCTGAATTACTTGGCTTTTAAAGGTTGCTTAACTCTGAGAGTAACTAAATATATGATTATATGTTCCTCACAAAACAAAAAACAAATTCTAACTTACCATCGTCGACCATTGGTATGAAGTGGTAAATAAGGCTTGTATTTCCTATAAGGCGCATTCCTAACCATATAATCCACTGACTCCAAAAGGTCAATCATACTTAAGTACTGTTAAAACAAAAATAAAATTATATTTATTACACTGTATATATAAAAAAAAGACTAAATTTAATTCTATTTTTTAGGCTAGTGAGACTCCAAATACCCTGAACAATGTTGCCTGGTAGTCCAATAATATACTGTATTTCATCAAATTTAAGATGCTATCAATTACAAGTATACTACAGTTCATCAAATTTAAGACACTATCAATTTTAAGTTGTAATATAATTTTAGGTTCTACTACAAAAGAAAACTGCTGTTAATTAAATTGTCTTATCACCAATATATATACACATCCTATTTTCAAATGTTAAAATGCAAACTAAATGAACATCTTAGAAACAATGAAATATGGTATCTGTAAACTATGATATAAAATATGCCTGTTTCTAAGACTATATATTTTTCCTCTGGATCATCATTTCAGCAGTAGCTGTCTATGAGCTGATTTTGAAATTACTGCAAAAAATTATTGCATAACCAAAGCAACATAAAGCTATTTAAGCAGCCATCTTACCATCAACACAGCAACTCTGTGTAGATCTGACAAAACAGTTCAAATGGAGGGAAACATAAACCCAGAGGTAACATGAAAGCAGAGAAGATTAAAAAAAAAAAAGGGGGCAAGTCTAGCTTCCTCCTCTCTAATTTTTCACGGAATGCAGTTCTAACTAAAGGTTACCTACCATGCGGCTGTTTATCACTTGAAATGTGTCTAGTCTGAACTTAAATGTATTTTAAGTGATGTGAAATGTCTCATTATAACTTTTTACATTTATTATATGTTGATATGATTAATATTTTGGAAATATTAAGTTAAATAAAATGTATTATGAAAGTTAATTTCACCTTTTTCTTTTTACATTGTTAACACAGCTACTAGAAAATCTAAAATTACAACTTGCATTACATTTTTATTTAACAGAATTGTACAAAAAAGCTAAATTAGCTAAATCTCCTGTCCTCCTTTCACTTCCAGTTCACCAAGCCTGTCACCCCAACTCTCTGGGCATATAACCATGCTTGGGAAACAAATAGAGGAAAAAGCTGCCAACATAGCTGTTCTAAAAATTAAAGAAACAATATTTAATAAGAGTCTCTTCCATTAAAAACTGAGGAGGGAAAAACACATTAAAATCTTCCATCAACAGGCCAGGCGCGGTAGCTCACGCCTGTAATCCCAGCACTCTGGGAGGCCGAGGCGGGCAGATCATGAGGTCAGGAGATCGAGACCACCCTGGCTAACACAGTGAAACGCCATCTCTACTAAAAAAATACAAAAAAAATAGCCAGGAGTGGTGGCAGGTGCCTGTAGTCCCAGCTACTCTAAAGGCTGAGGTAGGAGAATGGCATGAACCCAGGAGGTAGAGCTTGCAGTGACCTGAGATCGCACCACTGCACTCCAGCCTGGGCAACAGAGTGAGACTCCATCTCAAAAAAAAAAAATCTTCCATCAACAATTGTGAGTCAAATGGAAATAATGTCATTCCCTGCAGTTTGATATGATTCTCCACACTTTAGGAAAAGATGAAATAAAATTTTAAAAAACTACTTAAATTTGAAATTCATTTTCTTTAAAACAAAAATTTTTAAACAGTCAAATCTCAACATAACAAACCCCAAAAAACCACCAACCACTAGAGAAGTAATAATCACAAATAAAAGCAGTCAAGATTCAAGGCTAATCAAAGCTGGAAATATCCACATGAATCATACCTGAGGTTTGGTCAGTTCAATGGCAATATTTTGTATTTCTATGTTGCAATCCAGTTTGGGCGTTTTGAGCTCTGATTCTGCATAAGGATTCATGTAGAGTTTTGCAGAGGCTGATATTGGCTGGAAAACTTACATCACATGGGAAGACATAAGATATGTTCATATGCTTTTACATATAAACAAGTGTAAATAATTATGAGAACACTGTTACTCTAGAAGTAAAGAAAAATGATCAAAAATGTGTGTAACAAAATCACTACCAAAAAATATTTAAGCAATTTAAGCTTCTACTTATATGCATAATAATAAGCTCGATGGTTAAAGCGAAATCTCCAAGGAGGAAATTGGAATCCCATGCTTCTAGGTAAGAAATGTATAAAAGAGACAGACAATCTACTCTTGGTTATTCACAGTCTGCATAAAATTAGACTTCTCTTCCTTGTTGCAAGACATTTAATGATTGTATTATTCATTAAAAATACTAATACAAAAAAGGAAATAAGATCTGATAAATTTGTCTTATTTAATCACTAGCAGAATTTAGTAACAAAATCATGAATAAAATTCATTCCAAAAAAAGAAACTGCTCACCACTTTATTATTGTCAAAATAATCATTACGTATATAACCTTAGAATCAACTAAAGAAAATAATCTTCAAGTTGAGAAGTAATATAAAAAGGTGTATCAGGGAAGATGATAGGGGAATGCAAGGTGATAAATTTTAACTGTGAATAGTATCAAACTATAAAAACTGTGATATCTCATGGTAATTACAATTTGCATAAGACTGTACAAAATTTTCAACTGCTTTAAAAGCTAGTTATAAATGGAAAATGCCTAAGAATGAAATTGTAGATTTTCCTTAACTATTTATTACCATTAATGAACCTAAATGATTTCACAAACTAGCAGCACTTGAAAGTTTTATCATCAAAAAATGTAGGGATCTATGTAACATAAGTGCCAACTATTATCCAGCGTCAATTAGTTATAAAAGAACACGAAGAAAACAACAGTGAACCAGAGTAATACGGAACAACGTGAGTATGAAAGCTGAGAAAAATCATAAAGGGGTATACTAATAAAAAACCAATAGCTTCATTACCATGAAACTGAAATAAAGAAAACAGATGGAAAAAATAAATAAATAACAGGAAGCTTTGTTAGAGATCCAGTTGTAAAATAAAGGTGAGGCTGCCAAGAAATAGAAAAGCTCACTAAAAAAATTCTCTAGAGTGGCAGGATTATGTTAACACTGCAATAGTAACATAAGGGTGACCTGAATACCAGAATCTCAGAGATTTAGTTACTTTTTGAAAAAAGAAAGAAAATCTAAATCCTAAAACAAAGAATACAGTAGCAAGCTAAGAAGAATACATGGAATTCAAAGAAAGTTGGCTGTAGGGAATGAACTACAGCTATACTGCCCTTCTCTCTCTCTTATTCTCCAGTGGTGTGTGTTACGATCTATTCCTAAATAATAAGTTATAACCCAAACATGTTGTATCATAATAGTAAGGTATAAAATTAATATACTTTGACTAAGTAAGTTTATCAGAAAACTATGTTAAAATAATGTATTTAATTCTATGTTTCTTCCTATAACATGAAATAAACTTTTACTATTACTTACTGTATTGATAATTTGGGGGTATATTTCCACTTGTAAGAATTTCATTTTTCAGCTGATCCTAAACAAAAAATTTGAATGAGAATGAAAAAGAAAATGCACACATATTCAGACTCAGACACACACACACACACACACACACACACACACACACAAAGCTTGGTTCTTCATCAATATCTTTGCTTCTCTGTTACTAGTAGTCAATAAGAAAAATACACGGAGCATTATTTATAAGTATAAAGATACAGAAGCAGATAATTTTAAGAATTCTGTATGTCTACAAACAACCTTGTAGTATGTCCACTCTGACTCCGAAAAAATGTACATATATGTATATCCATACACTGCGATTTCAGACACATTCTAGTCACAGGCAAATCATATGTTACAGTATCTTTCTGAGAAATCAGAGATAGAAGATTGAAATTTATCCAGTTCTAAAAATTGAATTGTTCTTTCTTTAATCTCTAAGTAAATAAACATGGCTAAGACTGGTTTAGCACATTGAAGTTTTGAATTAATCTTCTACTATTCAGAAAATCATCACAAATGTCTAAAACATGTGTCAAAGATACATGCTTTATATCTGAGAAATATTATCTTTATAATACTCTTAATCATTCTGATATGAAATATCAGAATGTGACAAGAATGTCATCAAAATGAGAATGTAAAAAAGCATAAATACAGTTTTAATTTAATACCATGGGCTCTGATATCACTGCCCAGTGAATGATTTCACAAACATCTTCAAAAACAAAACTGCTTTTGTGAAGACACATAGTGGATTTGAAAGGATGTTTTTCATATTTCTGATTTAGTGAAATACAAGTTAAACAAATGGCTGATATCCTGTCCTCATGAAGGCCCTCTTATATTAAACAAATTTAGGGATGGGAGTGAAGTTAGCTCTTCCAAGTATACATTAATATTACCAAAATCTGTTCCCTTGATCTCTGGTAAGACATGCTGCAATTTACATTCCAGTAGGCGCTAAGACTATCAAGTCGTATAAGCTATAAGAGAAAAATGAAAGAGATCAGGCAATCAACACACTGAAATTATGAATCAATATTAAAAGATTATTCTCATGTTCACCACTCCAAAATTACCCAAATGCCATTTTGAATTTTTAAAGGAAAGAAAATAACATAAAAATGAGGGGAAAATATATTCATGTTATTCAGACTTTATTAAGTCTAGCATTTGCTAAATTGCACTTTCAAGAACACTATTTCCAAGGAACTCATTCATTCAATTATCAAATATTTATTCAGAAATTAGTATTTAACAGACCCTGTAAATATTTTGCTGAAAAAAAAAAGACATGATCCCTCCAGCAGATATGAATAGCTGTTTCCTGAAAACAGGTGGTAGCAGAGGAGTCTATGGTCAACAAGGTGGGAAAGCTACATACTAAATAGCCCTCTTGGAGATTCACAGTGTTTGTTAACATATCTAAAGCTCTATAGTTTAAAATAAAATGAAACGTATCTGTTTAATTATGTATAGCTTAGTACTTTAATCAATAATCTTACTTGATCAGAGAATATTTTCTCTACAACATCTCAAAATATCTCAATATCTAATAAAGTACCATTTGGGAAGTATTAACTGTATCCTGTATCTTCACTTGATAGGTAAAGAACCTATATCTCAGAACTGGTAAGTGATTACAGAGGGTCACATAGTAAGTAGCAGGGCCAAAACTAGACCCTAGACTTTTAACTCACACTCCAATGGCATATTCTGCTCCATCAATGTTTCTTCAAGAAAATAAATTAAGTGCACCTAGGAAACTAACAAAAATTTTTATTCCAACATAATACCTTGTATATAATTTTGTCTGCTTCATTTAATATGCATGGAGTCCAGTGTTCATTTGCAGTCTAAAAGAAAAAAGGGAATACCTGTGAAACGTGGTATGGATGTCATTAATAGCGCTCTAATACTTACATAATGTAACAAAATAATTTAGGAAGAAATGACATCTACTTAATGTTAACTAGTATTAGCTATCTATTTCTTTACATATATTTATAAGACAAAATCAAAGAAACAATGAAAAGAGAATTGACATGATTCTAATTTGAGTTCATTCATTCAGAAAATAATTACTGGGTTAATATGTATTTGAACTGTGGAAAGAATCAGGTATGAATGAAAACAGAGAGCCAGCCTATACACTATTGAATATGGTATACATTCTTTTTAAAAAAACAAGTAATTGTTTTGTAATAGGAAGAAAACCAGGAGAGTATGGAAATTACAGCATGACCAAGTTTCTACAAGGACAGCATGTTCAGCAACACCAAACACTAAACTTATTTAGCAGCAAGGGCGTTATTGAGAAACTTGTTAAGAACTGTTTCAGTGGAGTAGTAGAGTGAGAGTACAGTGAGCACATAGGTAAAATGAGATCCAGATCAGAGGTGGGAGGATAACTTTAGATTTATAAGTTAGATTGTAATTGCAAAGAAAAATAAATGGTATGGATACAAAAGAGGTAGGTTTACTATTGCTGTAGTTGTTATAATAGCCACTATAATAGCAGGAAATAATTGAGCCAGACAATGTGCCAAAAGCTTTACATAAACTATCTCATTTAATCATCACAAAAACACTAAAAGGTAGGTACTACTTCAGTGAATGAATGTGGTTTTGACAGAAGGAGATTAACATGATAACCAGTACAATAATATTTTACAGGTCTTTGACAAAATACAATAGGAAGCATAAAAGAGGGAATGGTAAATTCTAAGAAGGAAGTGAAAAAGAATGAGAAAGAAAGGTCATATATTACTTAAGTATTAAAACTTGAGTAGAATCACCAGGCAGAAAGTAATACAGACAACTAAAGCAGAATGAAGAGTCTGAGCAAAGATACAAAGGGACAAACAGCAGCAAACACTAAGGAAACTACCCATTCTTATGCAATAGTATACCTGTTATCAGACAATAGGAGGTATATGACTATTTTGTATTTTTTGCATTGTCTGCTAGAAGCTCAAAGTTACTCTGCTCCCTTATGACCACTATCATTAGTCACAGTTTTCTGGAACAATTCTCTCTCTATCCTTTAGAACACAGATTCTATCCTCTTTAAAGGTGTTACTGTATACTTGTTTTTGTCGAAAGCTACCTCAAATTCATTTTGGAAACAGGCAAAGGATAAACTAGTTTCCTCCCATGTTGTAGGTTGCCTGTTCACTCTGATGGTAGTTTCTTTTGCTGTGCAGAAGCTCTTGAGTTTAATTAGATCCCATTTGTCAATTTTGGCTTTTGTTGCCATTGCTTTTGGTGTTTTGGACATGAAGTCCTTGCCCACGCCTATGTCCTGAATGGTAATGCCTAGGTTTTCTTCTAGGGTTTTTATGGTTTATTGCGGCACTATTCACAATAGCAAAGACTTGGAACCAACCCAAATGTCCAACAATGATAGACTGGATTAAGAAAATGTGGCACATATACACCATGGAATACTATGCAGCCATAAAAAATGATGAGTTCATGTCCTTTGTAGGGACATGGATGAAATTGGAAACCATCATTCTCAGTAAACTATCGCAAGAACAAAAAACCAAACACCGCATATTCTCACTCATAGGTGGGAATTGAACAATGAGATCACATGGACACAGGAAGGGGAATATCACACTCTGGGGACTGTGGTGGGGTCGGGGGAGGGGGGAGGGGGGAGGGATAGCATTGGGAGATATACCTAATGCTAGATGACACGTTAGTGGGTGCAGCGCACCAGCATGGCACATGTATACATATGTAACTAACCTGCACAATGTGCACATGTACCCTAAAACTTAGAGTATAATAAAAATAAAAAATAAAAAAAGAAGTCCAAAAAAAAAAAAAAAAAAAAAAAACTAGTTTCCTTCACTGCCTTTCCTTTGTTTCTTCAGCTCTCTCTTTTTCTTTATTGTTTCTGCTCTGTTCTTCAATGCGATGTGTATCTCTACTTCTCTATATGCCCACAACATTGTGAAGCCTTCCACATAACCATGTCCTTCTTTTTCTGTTTCTCTGCCAGTCTACCACCCTACCATTCTTCTTCCTCTTCTTTCCTTATTGAGGCCCTCTCCATATAAGTAGTCATAAGGCAAACTTGTCTGGTATGATATATGGTTCACTGTCCTTAACTTTATTTTATATATATATATATTTTTATTATACTTTAAGTTCTAGGGTACATGTGCACAACGTGCAGATTAGTTACGTATGTATACATGTGCCATGCTGGTGTGCTGCACCCATTAACTCGTCATTTACATTAGGTATATCTCTTAATGCTATCCCTCCCCCCTCCCCCGACCCCACAACAGGCCCCAGTGTGTGATATTCCCCTTCCTGTGTCCAAGTGTTCTCATTGTTCAATTCCCACCTATGAGTGAGAACATGCAGTGTTTGGTTTTTTGTCCTTGCAATAGTTTGCTGAGAATGATGGTTTCCAGCTTCATCCATGTCCCTACAAAGGACATGAACTCATCATTTTTTATGGCTGCATAGTATTCCATGGTGTATATGTGCCACATTTTCTTAATCCAGTCTATCACTGTTGGACACTTGGGTTGGTTCCAAGTCTTTGCTATTGTGAGTAGTGCTGCAGTAAACACATGTGTACATGTGTCTTTAGAGCAGCATGATTTATATTCCTTTGGGTATATACCCAGTAATAGGATGGCTAGGTCAAATGGTATTTCTAGTTCTAGATCCCTGAGGAATCGCCACACTGTCTTCCACAATGGTTGAACTAGTTTACAGTCCCACCAACAGTGTAAAAGTGTTTCTATTTCTCCACATCCTCTCCAGCACCTGTTGTTTCCTGACTTTTCAATGATCGCCATTCTAACTGGTGTGAGATGATATCTCATTGCGGTTTTGATTTGCATTTCTCTGATGGCCAGTGATGATGAGCATTTTTTCATGTGTCTGTTGGCTGCATAAATGTCTTCTTTTGAGAAGCGTCTTCTTTTGAGAAGTGTCTGTTCATATCCTTCGCACACTTGTTGATGGGGTTGTTTTTTTCTTCTAAATTTGTTTGAGTTCTTTGTAGATTCTGGATATTAGCCCTTTGTCAGATGAGTAGGTTGCAAAAATTTTCTCCCATTCTGTAGGTTGCCTATTCACTCTGATGATAGTTTCTTTTGCTGTGCAGAAGCTCTTTAGTTAAATTAGATCCCATTTGTCAATTTTGGCTTTTGTTGCCATTGCTTTTGGTGTTTTAGACATGAAGTCCTTGCCCATGCCTATGTCCTGAATGGTATTGCCTAGGTTTTCTTCTAGGGTTTTTATGGTTTTAGGTCTAACATGTAAGTCTTTAGTCCATCTTGAATTGATTTTTGTATAAGGTGTAAGGAAGGGATCCAGTTTCAGCTTTCTACATATGGCTAGCCAGTTTTCCCAGCACCATTTGTTAAATAGGGAATCCTTTCCCCATTGCTTGTTTTCGTCAGGTTTGTCAAAGATCAGATAGTTGTAGATGTGTGGTATTATTTCTGAGGGCTCTGTTCTGTTTCATTGGTCTGTATCTCTGTTTTGGTACCAGTACCATGCTGTTTTGGTTACTGTAGCCTTGGAGTATAGTTTGAAGTCAGGTAGCGTGATGCCTCCAGCTTTGTTCTTTTGGCTTAGGATTGACTTGGCAATGTGGGCTCTTTTTTGGTTCCATACGAACTTTAAAGTAGTTTTTTCCAATTCTGTGAAGAAAGTCATTGGTAGCTTGATGGGGATGGCACTGAATCTATAAATTATCTTGGGCAGTATGGCCATTTTCACGATATTGATTCTTCCTATCCATGAGCATGGAATGTTCTTCCATTTGTTTGTGTCCTCTTTTATTTCATTGAGCAGTGGTTTGTAGTTCTCCTTGAAGAGGTCCTTCACGTCCCTTGTAAGTTGGATTCCTAGGTATTTTATTCTCTTTGAATCAATTGTGAATGGGAGTTCACTCATGATTTGGCTCTCCGTTTGTCTGTTATTGGTGTATAAGAATGCTTGTGATTTTTGCACATTGATTTTGTATCCTGAGACTTTGCTGAAGTTGCTTATCAGCTTAAGGAGATTTGGGGCTGAGACGATGGGGTTTTCTAGATATACAATCATGTCATCTGCAAACACGGACAATTTGACTTCCTCTTTTCCTAATTGAATACCCTTTATTTCTTTCTCCTGCTTGACTGCCCTGGCCAGAACTTCCAACACTATGTGGAATAGGAGTGGTGAGAGAGGGCATCCCTGTCTTGTGCCAGTTTTCAAAGGGAATGCTTCCAGTTTTTGCCCATTCACTATGATATTGGCTGTGGGTTTTTCATAAATAGCTCTTATTATTTTGAGATACATCCCATCAATACCTAATCTATTGAGAGTTTTTAGCATGAAGGGCTGTTGAATTTTGTCAAAGGCCTTTTCTGCATCTATTGAGATAATCATGTGGTTTTTGTCTTTGGTTCTGTTTATATGCTGGATTACATTTATTGATTTGCGTATGTTGAACCAGCCTTGCATCCCAGGGATGAAGCCTTCTTGTCCATGGTGGATAAGCTTTTTGATGTGCTGCTGGATTCGGTTTGCCAGTATTTTATTGAGGATTTTTGCATCGATGTTCATCAAGGATATTGGTCTAAAATTCTCTTTTTTGGTTGTGTCTCTGCCAGGCTTTGGTATCAGGATGCTGCTGGACTCATAAAATGAGTTAGGGAGGATTCCCTCTTTTTCTATTGATTGGAATAGTTTCAGAAGGAATGGTACCAGCTCCTCCTTGTACCTCTGGTAGAATTCGGCTGTGAATCCGTCTGGTCCTGGACTTTTTTTGGTTGGTAAGCTATTAATTATTGCCTCAATTTCAGAGCCTGTTATTGATCTATTCAGAGATTCAACTTCTTCCTGGTTTAGTCTTGGGAGGGTGTATGTGTCGAGGAATTTGTCCATTTCTTCTAGATTTTCTAGTTTATTTGCGTAGAGGTGTTTATAGTATTCTCTGATGGTAGTTTTGTATTTCTGTGGGATCGGTGGTGATATCCCCTTTACTATTTTTTATTGCGTCTATCTGATTCTTCTCTCTTTTCTCCTTTACTAGTCTTACTAGCAGTCTATCGATTTTGTTGATCTTTTCAAAAAACCAGCTCCTGGATTCATTGATTTTTTGAAGGGTTTTTTGTGTCTCTATTTCCTTCAGTTCTGCTCTGATCTTAGTTATTTCTTGCCTTCTGCTAGCTTTTGAATGTGTTTGCTCTTGCTGCTCTAGTTCTTTTAATTGTGATGTTAGGGTGTCAATTTTAGATCCTTCCTGCTTTCTCTTGTGGGCATTTAGTGCTGCAAATTTCCCTCTACACACTGCTTTTAATGTGTCCCAGAGATTCTGGTATGTTGTGTCTTTGTTCTCGTTGGTTTCAAAGAACATCTTTATTTCTGCCTTCATTTCGTTATGCACCCAGTAGTCATTCAGGAGAAGGTTGTTCAGTTTCCATGTAGTTGAGTGGTTTTGAGTGAGTTTCTTAATCCTGAGTTCTAGTTTGATTGCACTGTGGTCTGAGAGACTGTTTGTTATAATTTCTGTTCTTTACATTTGCTGAGGAGTGCTTTACTTCCAACTATGTGGTCAATTTTGGAATAGGTGAGGTGTGGTGCTGAGAAGAATGTATATTCTGTTGATTTGGGGTGGACAGTTCTGTAGATGTCTATTGGGTCTGCTTGGTGCAGAGCTGAATTCAATTCCTGTACTGTCCTTAACTTTAAAAGTATCTAAGTGAACCACATCTTCCTCTCCATACATGCCCCAAAACATGTTTCCTACCACTTAGTTGCCTGTAATAGAAATAAAAATGTCCAGCCTATATATATATATACATATATATATATGTATGTGTGTATATATATACAGACACACACTGTCTACTGTTAAAGACCATTAAAAGAAAAACTCATTATAAAATAATCAAAATAAATTAATTTACATATTGCCCAATGAGATGAGTGTGCGCACACACACACACATACATAAACATATGCATATCTATAAGCTATTTAGAAATTCCATCTACCTATACCGAAGATGAGTACATGACTCTACAGAAATTCATCTTCCCCTACTTCCCCCACATGTTTAAGATACAGCTTTTATTTCTTTCAAATCATTTGATAATGATATTTTGATACCTGTTACACAGAAAGACAAAAATAATTTTAAAATGTAATAATAGCATCACTAAAAATGTTAAACTTCTAGAAAAGTTGTTTAGCATGATAATATATTTAAAAAATCATAGTTCTTTGTCGCATAGTTGATTCTAGACAATTTACCCTGTGACTTCAGAATAATACTTTACAGGTTCCATAGAAGTTTAAAATAAAGCAAACATTACCAGTAGACTAAGCTCTCCCAGTGTGACACCAAATGAAAGAGGCCGCTTTGGATCAGTGACCTACCAAAGAAGAAAAGATAACAGTAAAATATGCTGATGGTGAAGGCGAATCCATGTCCTTTACAATAGGCAGCAGAGGGAAATGTGTTTACAGGTTAAGCCATACAACCCAAATGGATTTGTGGAAAACACAGGGGAAGGAGGTAATAACATGGCTGGGATTATCCATATTTTGTAGACATAACATTTCTATGCTACCAATAAGATCCTTTCCCAGTGGAACTCTTTTCATACTAGAAGATGACTCACTAACTATGACTAACAAGACTTCTCTCTAGACAGTTAAAAAGGAATAATCTTTTTATGTGTATAATCAAAGATTTTTTCACAGATAAATTTTAAAAGGTGTTACAGATAACACTGCCACTAAATCATTTTAATAACACTTAGGGTACATAGTGGAATACTATTCAGCCATAAAAAAGGAAAACATGTTTGTTTGGGTTTTTTTGCAGCAACATGGATGGAACTGGAGGCCATTATCTTAAGTGAAACAACCCAGAAGCAGAAAAACAAACTGCACGTTCTCACTTATAAGTGGCAGCTAAATAATGAATACACGTGGTCAGTGTGTGGAATAATACACATTGGAGACTTGAAAGGGTAGGGTGGGTGAGAAGTAGGTGTAAATGATAGGAAATTTATTAATGGGTACAATGTATATTATGGGTGATGGAGACACTAAAAGTTCAGACTTCACCACTATGCAGTATATCATGTAACAACACTGCACTTGTACTCCTTAAATTTACACATTTTAAAAAAAAGGCTTTCATACTTGGAAATATGAACTATCTCTTTAAGCCTTTAATGTTCTTAACACTTCAAAATGCTTCTAGGAAAATCTCTAGATCCTTAATATTTAATTTCTTTAGTCTCTATATCCAAAATCTGTCAACATTAAGTTTTTGTTGTATTTCTGATCTTCAATATCTAAGTTGCAATCCACAGTGCTTAAACTATACCACAGTGTGCACAGTATCACCATTTTAGACATCTTAAAGAAAAGTCTTATAGAATTGTTTGGTCATGGCAGAAACTAAGGGAAATAAGGAGAAGGGAAATGGATAATGTTCTAAATCATCCAACTGGGACTCCAGAGTTTAGTCACATACAATTTTCTAAATGGAAAAAAATCCATGTGGTACAGTTGAGAAGTACGAATAGCTTTATAAGTCATTTTAATTAACATCAGATATACAATGATTTGTGGCAAAATATTTTCCTTTATTCCCACACTCTCTTTTTATACTTAGAGATAACCAGCTCAAAATAAACCTGCAGCTCTTTCCGAAGAAACTCATTTGTTTTATTAAAGACAACCCTCAGTTGCTAATGTACTATCTACAAACCACAGCTATTATCCAGTGAGCATCTTTATGATAAATTATTATATTTTCTCTACACCCATTTCTTAATACATAATTTTGCAAGTGAAAGAATTTCCTTCATTTTAAAGGCTGAATAGTATTCCAATATGTATATACACATTTTATTTACCCATTCATCCACTGATGGGCAATCTTCTCTATAGTGAATAGTGCTGAAATGAACAAGGGAATGCTGACATCTCTTTGACATACTGACTTCAATTCCTTTGGATATATACAGCAGTTCCCCCTTATCCTCTGGAGATATGTTCCAAGCCCCCTAGTGGATGTCTGCAAACACAAACAGTACCAAACCCTAAATATACTAGGTTTTTTCCTATATATACATACGTATGATAAAGTTTAATTTTACAAATTAGAAATGGGATTGCTAGATCATACAGTAATTTGATTTTTAGATTCTGAGGAAACTCCACACTGTTTTCCAAAATGGCTGTAGTAATTTACATTCCCACCAACATTGTACCCAGGTTCACTTTTCTCGACATAGGATTTTAATGATAATTCTTCCACTTTCATGATGCGTTGAGTATACTTTATTTTCTTAAGCTTGTTATTAACAAAGGCATTTATGAGTGAGGTTTTTTTAAGACATTTATTTGTTAACACAATTCATTTTAATGACTCCATAAATCAAGTCAGTATAAGACAGAGGTGGTATTTTTTGACAATCTACAAATGTGTCCTGCTGACTTATCAAGTTACATAGGGAACTTACCAAGAAAAGAAAAACAAATTCTACAAATGTCAGTATTGCTTTAATTCAATTCAAATTAAAAACAAAAAGAATGCAAACTCATTTTTAGAAGCAATGAACATTTCCAGGTTCCTAGATAAACGAAAAAATTCAAGTTCTTACATGTTTCAAACTTTTAAACAAAGCAATGCATATTGTTCAAAATATGTGTTGTATGTTAATTAAAATTAGCCAGTTAAACAGTTCTTAATCAGCTGATGTTACTCTTTTGGTTATGAGTGAAGTTTGGTTTCTTCTGTGCAACTACTGTTGCACATGTGTGTGAATAATTTTGGGTGTTCAATCCAACTCAGTGGTATGTAAAGAGAATGAGACTACAGTCAAGTGACCAGATTTTAGTCACTTTTTGGCCAATTAACATTATCATTAGTTATTCATCACCTTTTAGAATTAACTCTTTTGTCAGCATAAAGCAAAAATTAGTTCCTTAAAGTTATAATATTATGTCTTAACACGTAAAATAAAATTCAAAAAAAATAACAGAAGACAATCCAAAAACCTCTTATATCAGCTTCAGAAAGGAACACATGGTAATTTTATAGTATATTTATGTACATAAATGCCCAATAAAACGAGGCTAACACAAGAGGATATGGTAGTGTACTCATAAGAAAAAAATTAATCTCGGATTTAAAAATGGGCACAGATAATCCACATATAGAAAAGTCAAGAATATTATAAAATACATATTTAATTATTAACTGAGTAAATAAAAATTACTTACATCATCTTCATATTTAATGTGAATATCTGTGATTTTTACTTGTACATTTTTTATTACTTGAGTTGCCAATTTTTCCACAAATGTATCCTTTTTGGCTTCTTTTGGCTTATCTATTAAAAAATAGAAAAATACAAGCTCAAGAGTTGAAATTCTCATATACCTCAAAATTAATAACCAAAGGATAGCTAAGGTACTACTCAATGGAAATTACAGCCAATAGTGTCTTTATTTATATTTTAATATGCATTTCCAACTTAAAACTTGTTTTTGAATTTATACTGTTATCTGACATTCATTTCACATTCCAAATCAGAAATAAAGTGGCAATGTGTATAAACAACACCATGGCATAAAACTACTTTTACCTACCTTTTGAACGATCAAGACCTTTAAAAGGTTTCTTAAAATGTTTTTTGTGCTTTTTACGTTTACGTCCTTCACAGTGGAAGCATTTTAGTGAGAAAAGGATAAGATTCAAGTTAGCAGACTACAGGACAGAAAAGAAAACAAGAGAATTTTTCCTAACAGCAAATTTTGGCACAACTCACCTTACCTTATTCTAAACTGACCTGTTACTTCAATATAAAGACAAATTTACAAACCTTCTTTAGTCTAGAATAACCTTCTATTGTAAAGAATAACCTTCTTTAATCTAGAAAATAAATTGGCAGGTGTAATTATACTAAAATTGGATAAAATCTCCATTCCCAATGCCATTTATAATATTAATGACTTTACAAAGTTACACTTTAATTTCAATATTACCAAAATATTGGAAATGTAACAATGACAGAATATAAAACTTTCAGAAGAAGGTTTTGATAAACATATGGTAGGAACATAGGCATACAAATGAAATGAAAGGGTAAGTTGCCCACAGATGACTTCCTCTGGATGATACACTTCACAAGCAAATTATTTAATGACTCAAGGATATAAAGAACATTAAGTGGGCATAACATGTACATTGGACTGTACACTGAATTCGATTAGGAATTCCTTTAAAACCTCATTCTCTTTCAACACTGCCTCACTGCATTCTGGCATTTACCAATACCTGTCTTACTCAACTTACAAATCTTCATACTCAAATTCCTATCAGGCATCACCTCCACCCTGAACTCTTGAGGCAGTCTCTGTATTATCTACTGATCTCTAGTCTCCAGCCTCAGCTCCTACTAAAGGTCCTTCTACCCTGTTACCAGATTGATGTCTTTTAAAATACTAATCACATCCTGTTAATCTCTTGCTCAAAATTATTTAAAGGCTCTCTGCAACCTTCCAGACATAATTAAAATGTGTTTACACAATAAAGTCCTTTTATGATGTGACCCTACATCCCTGTCCTGTTCTATCTCCTAACATGCATCCTTGCACTGGATACTACAGAAATAATATTTCTACTTTCCCAAACAAGCCATACTTTCTAATGCCTAATGCCTCTACACATGTCATTCCGTGAACTTCCGTCACCCTCCCGGAAGTTCTTCACCAGGCGAACTCCTAGGCAGCTTTTAAATCTCAGGTCCAGCACTACTGCCTGTGTGAAGCCTTCTTAAACTACTCCAAGTAGCCCCAGGGCCTGTACCTTACACAGAATTGCATTAAACAGTGATTATACCATATTTGAAGTGTTTGCTCAATTGTCTTGCCATCAGGCAGGAGACTTCATTAGGTCAGAGATAATCCTACACCTGGGCACAAAGCACACAGTACTTATCTGTTCAAATGAATAAAAAAAATTCAGATCCAACTAAATTCATGTTATATATATTTTAGAGAATATATGTGAAATGGAGCTTGAAATTTTTAATTGGTTCTTCCTTGATTTTTAAAAGCAAATTGTTCTGCCACTACAAAAATTAAGAAACAAATCCTCAACTACAAAAATAAAACCCTCAGTTTCAAGAAGTAAACATTTAATAAGTAATGTAACACAATCAGGATAGTGCTATTCCAGTAGTTCTTGCCACTGTGAAAGTCACTGACTCTGTTCTATTCATAAATCAAACATACATAAAAAGAATGAGTTCTCAAAGAAATACCATTTGAAAAGAAACAAGTAAGAAAGCCAGTCTAGCCCTGAAAACCATTCCACTTGGCTAGAACAGCTTTCAAAGACATAGACTCAGCTGCCTCGTGTTAAATTCTCTTCTTACCTGACCAATTATCTTTCTGGTTTCATATTTGTTCTAGCACCATGTTCTGTCTTTCATCTCAATGGCAGATACACCATGTTTAAACCTCTCTAAACAGTTTAAATCTAATCTTAGAGCTAATATAGCTCTTTAGAGAAAGTTTCTAATTAATCCAATAAATAATAAATTTATGATTCTCAATCACAAACTAAAGCAGTTCTCAAAGACTTTGGTTTCACAACCCATTTAGCATTTATAACTTGAGGACTCTAAAGAACTTTTTATTTATGTGGGTTATAACTACTGATATTTACCATATTATAAATAAAAACTGAAAAAAGACATTCATTTAAAAATAGGCCATTACATAATAACATACAGTTATAAAAATAGCTATATTTTTTAAACACAATGTTGTGAGAAAAGTTGCATGGTTTTACATTCTTACAAATCTCTTTAATGTCTCACTTAGTAGAAGACAGTTGGATTAGCATATCTGCTTCTGCCTTCAACCTGTTGAGATATGTTGTTTTAATTGAAGTACATGATGAAAATCTGATCTCACTATAGATATATAATTAGAAAAGGGGGGAGCATATTCATTGCCTTTTCATATCAAACTCAACAAGTGGAAGTTTCTTAAAGGTAGCTGCATCATGGAATCTGAAACCCTATCAATGAATTTTTCATACAAATCAAAATCAATTAGTCCTTCTTGCACTTTAAATGAACCCCTTTACACATGTATGATTTTTATCTTCCATTGGAAATATTGCTTTACTGAATTATGCAAATCTTCCAAATGTCAAGTCATTTCATTATTTAATATCAAAAGTCACATCTGTTAATATTACCACCAATCTCATCAGAAAAGTCTTAAAGTACTACTGGGAAGCTGTCGATCTCAAGTTGGCAAATACAAGTTTTCCAAAATTCTACTCAAGAGCTCAAATTTTATCACTGACAACAAATACTGCCAGTTCCTTTTCCTTGAAGTGGTTTTGTTGAAGTGTCTACCAAACAACCAAATCTGAATAATGATAGTCTGTGATTCTTCCCACTAAAAATGGCTTTCCAGAAAAAAAGCAACTAGCTCAGCTCACAACTCAAACATCTGCACAAGTAATTTTCCTTGAAACAACCATCCTACTTCAGTATGCAGAAATGCTTCAGGCATACTTTCTCTGCTGTTGCACAAAATATTAAAGAGACATGCTCAAGGGTTGAAGTTTATTAAAATTTAAAACTTCCTACTTCATCAAGGGAATTCTTAAGTAAAAACTGGCAATTTTTTTGTTTCATTTTGCTTACTGTGAGTGCATGGCA